>NC_000023.11:8387488-9012488 GCF_000001405.40 Homo sapiens | reverse complement strand
TAAAAACACTCCTTAATGTGGGAGTCATCAGTACCACATAAAATGTGCAAATTAGCAACATTTCTGTCCAAGTATTGAGCTACAAGATTCAACTCTGGAATATTATATGGTTTTATTCATTTTAATACGTAATGGAGGAGACACATTTTTGCTTGTAAAGGAATAAACTCATGTGTCTAATTATGTATTAGGAAAATGAGGTCATTTCCTTCTATGTGGTAATATATTCACATATAGGGGGAAATGCCATAATATATGGGACAATAAGATGGATAATACTATACTAACAAATATAATAAAATGAATAATATGAAAAAAAATCAAGAGATGGAATTAACTTTAAATACAGGGCAGATATATTTTTATCAGCTTGCTGGGCTAGCACTTTTCCTTACTTCTCTCCCTGAAGGGTCCTCAATTCTGTTTCTATTCTGTGTGTCTTTTTCCCCTACTTCTGTGTACATATGTCCAGGGCCCCTTCCCCCAAAGCCCTTCAACTAGTTATTCTCCAGCAGAACATTTTTCTGCCAGTAAAAATATTTTCTTTCAGGAATTGGCTAAAAGCTATTTTCGTAAAAATTTCCCTATATGAATTGAGCCTATAATTATCTGGCTCTTTCTTAGGATTTCTGCAGAGCGTATGCACACCTAAAGCGTACCAATTCACACTTGGTTCCGGGGTCTATAGTAGAGTCACAGAAACATGACTCCTGTCATGAATGCAAGCTAGGATGTGGTCCCTAAAGCAGGGGATGTGTCTCGAATGCCTCTTCAATCCTTGTGCAGTGTCTAATGCAGTACTGCTTCCACAGTGTTGAGCAGCAGTCCTTAAGAGGGTGGAGTTTAGAATTTGATCTTTGCAGACCTGAGTTTTAATCCTGACTCTATAACCTACAAGCAGTATAAGAAAGTTACTCAAACTGTCTGTCTCATTTGTCCAGTGGGGACACTCCTCATTTTACAGGGTGTGATGGATAATTTCACTGTCAAGGTGACTGCCTTAAGGAATACATCAGGAATTGGTAAAGCATTGTTTCTAGGTGAGCCTGTGCAGATACTCCCATGAAGATTGGTGTGAGCTGCTGGACGGAGTGGGGAAGATGTCTTCAATAGAAACAGGCCCCATCCAATTCTCTGAGGGCCCAGATAGAAGAAACAGGGCAGAGGAAAGGCACTTTCCTCCCTTTCTCTCCTGGAGCTGAGACTCTTCTTTTCCTGCCCTTGGACATCAGAACTTCAGGCTCTTTTTATACTGAGAGTTACACTATCCACTTACCTGGTTCTGAAGTTTTTGGGTATGGACTGAGTCACACTCCTGGCATCCCAGGGGCTCCAGCTTGCAGAAAGCCTGCCCTGAGACTTTTCACCCTCTAATTCCCCTAATAAATCCCCTCTCATCTATCTTTGCTGATAACCTGTTGGTGGTGTCTCTCTAGAGCCCCGATTAATCCACAGGGGTAACGTGAGGGAGAAATGAGGTCGTGCTTGGGGAGCATTTCACACCCTGCCTGACACATGCCAGGTCCAATAGGCTGCAGCTACAGTTATTCTAGAGCTTAGCATCAGTGTTCAAAACAGCGGAAGGCCTTCCCTCTGGTACCCAGCCATCGCGTTGAGCTTCTCCTGTCATTTTTCAATTCCAGAGTGTTTTTTGAGAGCAATTCTGTGTCCTGTGTATCACTGACGTGGGGCCAAAAACAATCGGTATGCGTGGGGATCTGAAGCTGGGAATGACCAATAGGTCAGAAAGTTCTTAGGAGTCAGGAGCGGAGGAAGCTGCATGGTCAAGGGGAATCGACGTGAGCCTTCCTGCCATGTGTCCTGTTTCCTGCGGTCTAATGAGACAGAGACATATGTATGTATGCATCAGCTCATGCTTAGCTCTTTAATATGTACAAGGTGTTTTCAAATTCTCCCACCGTCTTTGACAGCTGAGAATCTCAAGATCAGCTGTTGTTCATGACTGTTGTCAAGGGGATCCTCCTTTTAGGGACACAGGAAGATTTGCCTAAAAACGTCAGGAAGCTTTGATATCTATTATTTTATTATAAAAATCAACTACAGCTTTGCTGCTATATTACTTTGGGTCTTTACTCATTCCACTGTTTATTTTAAGCCTGAGCTTGTGGGTAGTTGGAGAAGGAGGGAAAATATTTAAAACTCTTATTTATTAATTTAACTGTGTATATAACATGTAGAATAAAGAAAGACTTAAAGGAAGATGTAGTATTTGTGAATGCTCCAACAAATTAAAAGATTATTTAAATTATTGATTTCTGATTAAACCACTTATTGTCTATAATGAATTAAAAGTTTGTGAAAATAAATTCAGTGACATTTTTGCATCTATAATTTCAAAATCATAGTAACTTTCCAAAGCCAAAAATTCCTGAAACACAGTTCTGCCAATCATCACAATAAAACATGAAGCCCCAGTGAAATAGCTAGTCAGGATGGGTTCCCAACAAATAACAATTGAAGCTCCAACTGCCATGAAATCATGAAAGGAACACGATGTAAGAGCCATGGATAATTTTTTCAATGCCAAAAGAATCATCACAGACTGTTGTGACATGCAGAGCTTGAGGGAAATAAGGCATTAAAATAAGGTGCACGAAATTAATTTTTGAATGTAATTTTGAAACACACTGCAGAATTGCTCCCTAATATACACCAAACCCAAAAGTGGCCACTGACAAGATTCAGCTTATTTCAGTTTTATGCTGTCATTATGGAAAAAACTATAGCAGAGAGTTCACCAATTTCCCTTTGGAAAGAGATATACAACCACAGCCAATAGGCTTTCCTAAAAGACAGCAGGAGCTTTTCATTCTGACTTGTTTCCCATCCATAACATACACATATTTATTGTTAAGGGTCAACACAGCCTTGCAAATAAACAGGCTTTGAGTTATACCAAGCATGCTCATCCTTTTATGGTATTTCAATATAAGAAATACAAAAGAAATATACCACAAAATGATGGTGTTCAGGACATGGGGCAACGCCCTGTTTCTGTGGTATAGCGTCCTAGGTTTCGTAGGATTCCATAGTAGGCAACTACAAGATCAACATGAAAAGCTCTGAAATCCCTTCCTAAGCTAATGAAGTGAAGCCCTGACTGCACCAAGGAAAGGATGAAACAGAACCCATTTATTGTTTCTCAAATGATGCTACCATCTCTTCAAAGCCACCATTAATTTTACCATCTTTAAAGCTCTAAGAACAATCTATGTAACAAGTGAAAACTGCCTATAAAATTAGTGCTTTACATCTCAAACCCTTATTATATGGAAATTCGTATTTTCAGAATCACATAAAAGTTTAACGTGCTATTCATTGTAAGATTAAATGGCATGAGTTATTCTGTCTGCGTAATTATTAACAACTGGAAATTAAATCGTGATAATTTTGTACTTTATTCTTCTTAAAATGATAATTTCCTTTCTCCTTTTGCCTGAGAAGCATGCTTCAACAATACTAACAGCTTACCTTCTAAAATAAATGATCACATATAGAATAGATATTTTATATATAATATATATTTATATTTATACATTATATATTTATGCATTTATATATAAATATAAATATGTTTATATATTTTATAGATGTCTTTAAATATTTATATAGAATATAAATATATACAAAATCTATATCTGAGATCTATTTATATAAATATATTAAATAGATATATAAATACATAAATATACAAATATATAGAGATTATATGTATATAAATATCTAGGGATAAATATAAATTATATATATATACACATTAGAAATACACCGATCTTTTCTGTATAAAGACCTGTGTGTTCATATAAAAATCTGTGTATTTATATAAATATTTATAAATATAGATTTTATATATATACACACATTAGGAATACAGTAGTAAATTCTACTATATATAGAAAAGACCTGTGCATTTATATAATTATATATAAATGTAGATTACATATATACACAAAAGAAATACACAGGTATTTTCTATACATAGCAAGTTCTGCTATATTATTCTCTCATTGCAATTATTGACAGCTGGGTATTGAATTGTGATGATTTTGTACTTTATTCTTCTGAAAGTGATAATTTCCTTTCTCTTTGTCTGGGAACCATGCTTCAACAAGCATAAAACCTTACCGTCTAAAATAAATGATTATATGTAATATATAAAGATAAATACATGTTTATATATGTATTATATATAATATATATATAGAATATAAATATTACTATATAAAATATAAAAATAGACTTGTTAATATATAAATATATAGTAGGTTCTAGTATATATAGAAAAGACCTGTGTATTTCTAATGTATGGAAATATGAAATGTACTTTTTGTCTCCTCAGTTGCAAAAATAAAAAGGCTTTTTTCAAGTAGATAGATTTTGCTCTACTTTGAATTTTTCTTTTTAATTATATTAGGTTGTAGGGAGCGGACGATGAAAGGAAAGACCATGGAAACGATTCTTTCATCGGTTTCTATAAATGAAAAGATATTTTAACAATGAAACCTAAGTAGGTAGAATCCAGTTCTTGGTACTTGGTGTATGTGCTAGCAAGATTGCATAATCTTAAAAACTGGATATCCCTATGCAGAATAATGAAACTAGACTCCCATCTCTTGCTATATACAAAAATCAAATCAAAATGGATTAAAGACTTAAATCTAAGATCTCAAACTATGAAACTACTACAATAAAACTCTGAGGCAAATCTCCAGGACATTGGTCTGGGCAAAATTTTCTTAGGCAGTATCCCACAAGCACAGGCAACCAGAACAAAAATGGGCAAATGAGATCACATCAAGTTAAAAAGCTTCTGCATGGCAAAGGATACAATCAACAAAGTGAAGAGCTAACCTACACAATGGGAGAAAATATTTGAAAACTACCCATTAGACAAAGGATTAATAACCAGAATATGTAAGGAGCTCAAACAACTGTATAGGACAAAATCTAATAATGTGATGAAAAATGGGCAAAAGATTTGACTAGACATTTCTCAAAAGAACACACACAAGTGCAAACACACATATGAAAATGTGCTCAGCATCAATGATCATCAGAGAAATGCCAATTAAAACTACAATGAGACATCATCTCACCCCAGTTAATATACCTTATATCCAAAAGACAGGCAATAACAAATGCTGGTGAGGATGTGGAGAAAAGGGAACCCTCAGACACTGCTAGTGGGAATGTAAAGTAGTATAACCACTATGGAGAATAGTTTGGAGCTTCCTCAAAAAATTAAAATTGAGCTACCATATGATCCAGCAATCCCACTGCTGAGCATATACTCCAAAGAACGGAGATCAATGTATTGAAGAGATATCTGCACTCCTATGTTTGTTGCAGCAGCATTCACAATAGCCAAGATTTAGAAGCAACCTAAGTGTCCATCAGCAGATGAATGAATAAGGAAAATGTGGTACCCACCCACAATGGAGTACTATTCAGCTATAAAAATGAATGAGATCCTGTCATTTGCAATAACATGGATGGAACTGGAGGTCATTATGTTAAGCGAAATAAGCCAGACACAGAAAGACAAGCTTCACATGTTCTCACTTATTTTGGGGAGCTAAAAATTAAAATAATTAAACTCACAGAGACAAAGAGTAGAAGGATGGTTACCAGAGGCTTGGAAGGGTAGAGGTGGGATGGAGGGAAGTGGGGATGGTTAATGGGCACAAAACAACAGCTAGAAAGAATGTGTAAGACCTAGTGTTTGATAGCACAACATGGGTGCTATAGTGAAAAATAATTGTGCATTTTAAAGTATTTAAAAGTGTAATTGAATTGGTTGTGACACAAAGAATAAGCGTGTGAGATGATGGATGCCCCATTTACTCTGATGTGACTATTATTACCCTTTGCATGCCTCTATCAAACTATCTCATGTACTTCATAAATATATACACCTACTATGTACCCACAAACGTTAAAATGAATAAATATAAAATAAAATTTAAAGAAACCATGTGGCTTTGATACTCAGTTTTTCTGAGCCATAGTTACTAAATATGTAAAACTGGGGTGCAAATAGAATTTATCTCACAGATTATTGTGAAGTTAATTTACCTGATAAATGCAAAGAATTCTGAATAGTGTCTGGCTCATAATCAGTGCTAAAAATCTTTTATTTATGAGACAAGGGAAGAAATGAGGCTTCATTCTACTGAAAAAACAAACAAACAAAAATTCTAGAAATACTGCTGGAACTTGGTCCTGAAGGATGGGTATACTTTGAATATTTAGAGTCATGACCTAGGGCCTTTGTCTTTTAAACAAAGAAAAAGCACACATACATTTGGGGAAAGTGATAGAAAAAGTAAGCCATCCAGTTGGGCTCTCACCCAAGGATCCCGCAATAAAGAAGGGAGATTAAATTATAGAGGCAGTAAATGCTTTATGGAGTTTGGAATGTGTTCATTAGACAATGGTGAGTGATAGAAGGTATTTGATCAGGAGAATAGCTTAGTCAGTGCTTTGTAACAGGAAGATTAATCCTGTTGCAGAGTGCAAGCTGGATTGAAGAGGAGAGAGAGAGAGAGAGAAAGAGAGAGACATCAAAGAGACTGCACAGGATGTTATGAATATATAAAATCAGGAGACTATTGCAAAGCTAGTATGGTAGTCCAGTCATGAATTAATGGGGGCCAGAACTAAGGTAATAACAATGTGAATGAGGAAGAAAGAAAAAAATGAGATGAAGATTTGAAAGAAAGATTATCTTTTATTAGTTTTCTAGTTTCGGAAGCTAGAAATCCAAAATGAAGTTTTGGCGGGGTCATCCTCCCTCTGAAACCTGTAGAGGAGAATCTTCCTTGCTTCTCTCTGTTTCTTAGCTTCTGGTGGTTTGCTGACAAACTTTGACATCCTTTGAATTGTAGCTGAATCATTCCAAAACTCTCTCTTCATTTGGTAAAGTCTTCAGATCTTCTCCCTCTATGCAGATCTATCTTTATGTCAGATGACACCAGTCATTTTGGATTAGGGCTCATCCTAATGTGTCATTTAATTTGATTACTTCTGTAAAGACCTTTTTTTTTTTTTTTTTTTTTTTTTTGAGATGGATTCTCCCTCTGTCACCTAGGCTGGAATGCAGAGGTGGGATCTCAGCTCACTGCAACCTCCGCCTCCTGGGTTCAAGCAATTCTCCTGCCTCAGCCTCCCGAGTAGCTGGGATTACAGGCATGCACCACCACGCCTGCCTGATTTTTGTATTTTTAGTAGAGACAGGGTTTCACCATCTTGGCCAGGCTGGTCTTGAACTCCTGACTTCAGGTGATCCACCTCCCACCTCCCTCGGTGGCTCATGGCTGTGATCCCGGCACTTTGGGAGGCCAAGGCAGGCGAATCACCTGAGGTCAGGAGTTTGAGACCAGCCTGGCCAACATAGTGAAACCCCATTTCTACTAAAAGTACAAAAATAAATAAAAATAATTTAAAAAATAAAATAAGGCCACATTATGAGATACTGGAGGTTAGGATTTATATATATATTTTTTTCTTTTTTTTTTTCTTTGGAGGAGAGGGGAAGGGGATAAAATTCAAACTATATTGGTACCTAAGTCAGTATGATGCAGATCCATACTCATTATCTGCAATTACTGCATTCAAAAAAATCTGTAAGCTGAAAATTAAGTAATATCTCATTTGGCAATAAACACAACCAGTGCCAATGAAATCATATTATTGTTCTTTGTCTCACTTGATGTGAATGTGAACATAATTTTTCACAAAAAACATTGGTGCTTGAATACGTGGTGCTGCTTCTCACCCTCCTGGAAAAGTTATGTAATAAATGGTGTAGAGCTGGGGTCCCCAATCCCCATTACTGGTCCATAGCTTGCTAGAAATTGGGCTGTGCAACAGGAGGTGATCCGTGGGTGAGCACGCAAAGCTTCATCTGTATTTACAACCTCTCCCCATAGCTTGCATTACTGCCTGAGCTCTGCCTCCTCAGATCAGAGGTAACATTAGATTCTCATAGGAGCATGTGTCTTATTGTGAACTAAGCATGCGTGGGATCTAGATTGCACACTCAGTTTGACAATCTAATGCCTGATGATCTGTTGCTGTCTCCCATCACCCCCTGCAAACACTTCTACATGTGAAGTCTCAGTTGGCCAACATTTAGAGAGACGATTGGGACCCTGCCACACTTTGAATATTTTTATCCCCCCAAAATGCATATGCTTTAACCTAATCCTCAATATGGTAGTATTACAAGAAAAAACTTTCTACGATCATTGGATCATAAAAGCAGTGCCCTTTTGAATGAGATTAGTGCCTGTATAAGGAACTAAAAAGACTGGAGTTCTTCCCTTCCATCACAAGAGGCTATAGCAAAAAGCCACCATCTGTGAAGCAGCAAGTGATCCTTCAACAGACATAAAATCTGCTGACTCCTGGATCTTGGACCTCCAGAACTGTAAGAAATATCTGTTGTTTATAAGCTACACAGTTTATGGCATTTTTGTTATAGCAGCCTGAATGAACTAAGACCCTAAGATTTGAATTTGAACTAGCAACAGATAATCACACAATGCTTAGTTGTCTTTCACTACGAGCAAATTGCAAACAAATACATACAAAAAAGTGTTAGTTTCACACCATAAACCTCTCCCTTATTTTTTATTTTACCATTTATTTGGGTTGAACAAACTCTTCTATGAAAATCTGAACTTGATGTGCCCAAGTGATTAAAATGTTAAATTTTGAAAAAAGAAGAGAAAAAAAGGTAAGAAAAAGGAATTGATAGTTAAGGATTTGAAATGTGGACAACTGAAAGTGAGCTTGCTCATAAAATCAGATTCCAGGGAATAACCAGTTCCTGACTTGCTGAGAGAGGATGCTATAAACACAGCCATGGGCAGAAAGTTTAGCTTCTTTTTTGTGGCTGGGATATGGACATGTTATGTGCTCACATAAATTTCCTGCTTAACAGTCCTGTCTCCTTCTGCTTCTCTGCATTCAGCCCTGCAAAATAATTCAATGAGTTGCGAGGGCCCAGCCAAAATACCAAGGAAGCAGAGGCAGAGTGTTAGTAATTATTGCTTGAGTAGGTACTAGAAGTGAAAGCAGGAAGTGGGTCAGAATCCACAAGACAAGCCAGTAAGGAAGCGTACACAAACTATCCAAGATCAGGGCAAGCAAAGAGCCCAAAGCTAGGTCAATCAGCACGAAGCAGGAGGATATAAATAGTAGCGGTATATGGGGCAAGTCTATTCTAAGGCACACAACAGCCTAGTCAATGGGGAAAGAGAAGAACAGTGTAAAGCTCAGGTCAGATGCAAGCTCTGGAGAAGGAAGGCCAGGGTTTGCTTCCAATAGAGGCTTTGGCTTGCTTCATGGGAAAGGTGGGCTTTTCCCCAGTGTGGACATGCTGAGGCTCATAGCTGGAGTCATTTGGGAAAATCTCTCCAGAGGAAGGAATGGGGTGGGAGAGAAGAGAGAGAGAGAGACTCCCTAACCTGTGCTGTACTTCAACCCGTAGATCTTAGAGAAACACATTTGTAGAGATGCATTAGTCATTATTTTTCTAAAAAGACAGCTGAGGATAGTTGTATAAAATCAATTCACTCCACATTTAATGCATTCAAGTCTGCTTAATGCACATAATGAGTATGCTAACCGCACTGAGCCTCTCTCCTCCAACTCAACCACACTTCATAATAGGAGCATTAGATAGCCCACAGACCTCATAATTTTCCTTCCATTTTCTTTGACTTAACTCATTCAATGAACAACTCTCTCATTTTTCTCTGGTCGTGTCTTGGCCTCACTCTCAACTTTGTTTTCTTCTACTGACTTCTCTAATCATGAGTTCCCAGGAAGGCATATAACTTCCCCCTGCATCACTGTCTGAAGCCACATTATACAGTCTAATGGAATGCAACCCTCTTCTCCAGGTAAAAGAGTTTTAATATCATTCCTTCTTTGCTTATCTTTTTGTGAAGCTGTAAGAGAAACTCTAAAAAAAAAATAGTAATGACAATAAGAAAGTGGCCATTTTTCTTGTGTTAAAATGAAGTCCCAAGGAGTATGGTGGCTCTGCGATGCCATTGGGGAGTTCATTTTGCATCTATTTTTCTACTCAGCCTCAGCAGAGTGTGTGGATGTCATCTCATGATTGCAAAGTGGCTGCTTCTTTTCTAGTATTGTGACTACCCCAGGCAAGAATGGAGAAAAGTTGATGATAAGCTAGAGCTACCCAACTCAGCTTAGTCTGCTGCCATTTTAAAGATTATTCCCAGAAGCTTCACTGTATACTTTTTATGTATATCTTAATGGTCAGAATTATAACACATGGTCATCTGAAGGTGCAAAGGAGCTTATTATCTTTAGGTTTTAGCCAGAATTTTTTCACTCATTATAAAATAGAATCATTTTTGATAGAGTAAAAGTGGCAATAAATATTGGGTAGGGAAATGGCTATCTGGCCATAGACATAAAATAAAGCATTAAAAGTGTACAATCAATGAGAAGCCTTAATAAGTGGTAAAATTAAGTAGTTCAGGTTGATATGAGAGCATATCAGGAGGCCATGTGATGTAGTCTGAGGACTGAGGAAAAAAGCTTAATAAACGTGAGACCAGAAAAACAAATAAGAATTAATTAGGTAAAGGGGTATTGTGGGATAAGGATTTATAATTCCGGGCAGAAAGAATAATACAGGCAAAAAAATGCCCAGACTACGAAGAAGTGTGCCATTAAACCTAAATGTAATAAGCTCTGCATCTTCAGATGATCATGTGCTTTTATATTTAGGACTACAATCCATTTGGGATGAATTTTTTTTTACATGGATTGACTAAGGCATCTAAATTTATCCTCTTTTATATGTTTTTGATAAAAATACATCTTAATTTATTATCTTTGCCATTTTACATGAAGAGTTCACTATTGTTAATTATATTTAATTGTTGTGCTATAGATCTCTAGAACTTTTTCTTCATATATGTAACTTCACATCCACTGGACAATTCACCATTTCCTCCTCCCTCCTAGCCCCTGGCAACTACAATTATACTTTCTATTTCTATTTATGTCTCATAAAAGTGAAATCATACAGTATTTATCATTTTGTGATGAATTTATTTGACTTAGCATAAGTCCTATTTTTCCTTCTAGCAGATTTATGGTTTTAGATATTACATTTATGCCTTTAATTTGTTTGTTTTGAGTGAGTTAATTTTGCATATGGAGTAGAATAAGGGTCTAACTTTATTCTTTTGCATGTGAATATCCAATTTTTACACCACCATTTGTTGAAGAGAATGTTTATTTCCATTGTGTTGTCTTGGTATCCTTCTTAAAGATTGTTTGACCAGCTGCAAGAAGGCTTATTTCTCAGCTCTCTAGTCTTTAATTGGTCTACACATCTGCCTTTTTGCCAGTACTACATTTTTTGATTACTGTAGCTGTATAGTATGTTTTGAATCAGGCAGCTTGAGACCTCCAACTCTGTTATCCTTTCACTGTCAGTACATGCATGTCCTTAGCTCAAAAGTGTGTCTTTTGTAAACAGCGTATAGCTGATCCTGTTTTTAATCTATTTTGCTAATTTATGCCTTTTCATTGAGGAGTTTAGTCCATTTATATTTAAAATAATTACTTCAAAAGAAAGGCTTTCTGTTGACATTTTTTTTCTTATGTCTTATGTAACTTTTTGTTTCTCATTTTCTCCCTGCTGCCTCTTATTGTGTTAAGCTGATTATTTGTAGAAACATACTTTGATTCCTTTCTCATTTCCTTTTATGTATATTCTATATATCTTTTCTTTTTTTGTTAGCATTAGTATTACAAATTACATACAAAAATAATCCAATTTATTTGAAAATGAAACCAAATTAGCTTCACTTGCATAGAAAAACTACTTCATTACTACTTTTACTCTTTCTCCTTTGTATTATTAATGTCATGAATTATATCTTTACTTATTGTGTACCCATTAATATAACTTCTAGGTATTTTTATGCTTTTGTCTTTCAAATTTTCTAATAGAGTAAAAAGTGGAGTTACCACAATTACAATAATGCTGATTTTTCTGCAAACAATCAGTTTGCAAACCCTAGGAGAGGGAGCTGCTTTTAAAATGCCCAATTTTCAACAAAAGATTACAAGAAATACAAAGAAACAGATAAACGTGGTATGTTCAAAAAAATTAATAAATTCCCAGGAACTGACTGTCCTCCTAAAAAAAGCTTAGCCTTACTAGACAAGACCTCTAAAACGCAATCTTAAATATGCTCACATAGCTAAAGAAGCATACAGACAGAAAGCTAAGGAAAATTTTACAAGAATAACATATGAACAAAATGAGAATATCAACAAAGACATGGAAATAATAATAATGCACAAGTAAAAATTCCAGAGAAGAAAAATATAACTCTCTGTACATTCACTAGAGGAGATTAACAGCAGACTTGACCAGGCAGCAGAAAGAATCAGCAAACCTGAAGACATTATTTGCAATTATCTGTTCAGAGGAACAAAGACAAAAAAAAAAAAAAAAAAAAAGAAGAGAAGAGTAAACAGAGCCCAGTGTACTTACAGAACCCCACCAAGTTGAGCAAAATACAAATTACAAGAGTCCTTTATAGAAACAATCTAATTTTTTTATAGATTTTCTATTAAAAATGAGAGAAAAGAGAGTAGACGGAAGAAAGAAGAGAGAAAACAGCAAGCAGTTTATTTGAAAAATTCATGGGTGAAAACCTCCCAAATTTAGGAAAAGAACTGAAGATACAAATCCAATAAGTTCAGCAAATAAGGTAGGATAAACTTGAAAAAGAGCCACACTGAGATATATTAAAATCAAATAGTTGAAAGTCAAAGACAAAGAGAGCATCTTGAAATAAGAAGAGAAAAGCAAGTCATCACATACAATGATCCTCAATACAATTATCAGCAGATTAGTGGCAAAAACCTTGCAGGCCAGAAGCCTGAGGATGATATATTTATTGTGCTGAAAACAAAACAAAGCAAAAATACCTGTCAACTGAGAATTCTGTGTCTATCAAAACTATTGTTAAAATGAGTGAGAAATTAATACATTTCCTATAACTAAAAGTTAACAGAGTTCATACACCGGACCCACCATACAAGAAATGCTGAAGAATTTTTTCAAGTTGAGACTGAGATGCTAGTCAGAAAATTAAACTTATGTAAAATATAGTTTCCTGCTAAAACTTAATACATCGACAAATATAAATGCTCTCTTTGTCTTTGACTTTCAACTGTTTGATTTTAATATATCTCAGTGTGGCTCTTTTTCGAGTTTATCCTACTTTATTTGCTGAGCTTATTAGATTTGTATCTCCAGTTCTTTTCTTAAATTTGAGAGGTTTTCACCCATAATTTTTTCAAATAAAGTGTTTGCTGCTTTCTGTCTTCTTTCTTCCCTCTACTCTCTTTTTTCTCATTTTTAATAGAAAATCTGTAAAAAATTAAATTGTTTCTATGAAGGACTCTTGTAATTTGTATTTTGCACAACTTAATGGGGTTCTATAAGTACACTGGGCTTTGTCTACTCTTCTCTTCTTCTTTTTTTGTCTTTGTTCCTCTGAACAGATAATCTCAAATAATGTCTTCAGGTTTGCTGATGCTTTCTGCTGCCTGGTCAAGTCTGCTGTTAATCTTCTCTAGTGAATGTATAGAGAGTTATATTTTTCTTCTCTGGAATTTTTACTTGTGCATTATTATTATTTCTATGTCTTTGTTGATATTCTCCTTTTGTTCATATGTTATTCTTTTAAAAATTTTCTTAGTTTTCTGTCTGTATGCTTCCTTAGCTATGTGAGCATATTTAATATTGCATTTTAGAGATCTTGTTTAGTAAGTCTAAGCTCTTTTTAAGAGGACAGTCAGTTCCTGGGAATTTATTAATTTTTTTTGAATAGGCCATGTTTATCTGTTTCTTTGTATTTCTTGTAATCTTTTGTTGAAAATTGGGCATTTTAAAAGCAGCTCCCTCTCCTAGGGTTTGCAAACTGACTGTCTGCAGAAAAATACCTTCCATAATTACTCAGTGTGAATGCTTATGTTTTCTTAAGGCTTTTTCTGTGCATGTGTTTTCTCTGGACCTGTATGTTTCCTCAATTTTTCATATATATGTCTGTTTGAAATGTCTTAATTTTCCAAACAGTCTCACCCCTGCTTCTTTTTAGAGGCTTCAAATGTTTTATTGTATTCTTCTGCCTATAATCCTTTTGTTCCTATGTGCCCTCCTATCTGCATTTCCCTGTTTCTTATGCTCTATACTGCATTCTGTAATCTCCAACCTGATATTCAAATATGTCTTCATTCCCATCTGAGGTCAGAATGTTTTAAACAAGTTCTACTTTTACTCTTATTCTGAGAGATGAACTGGGTATTGGGCAGCTTCCTCCAAATTATGCTGTAACAAACTGGAAAGGAAATAGGACAAGGGAAGAAAAACACTATGAAATTTCCTACCATTTTGAGTGGTCCCCCCACCCCACCCCACCTTGGTTGGGTGTTTGCTGTTTGGTTGCTGCAGATCCTTTACTTGTTCCTAGAGCTCCCACAAGACCATTTTCACCATTCTGTAGTTTACTTAGTGTTTCTATGGGGAAATAGCATCTAGAGCTTCTTAGTACATTGTCTTATTGATAGCTGTTTACTTGGTATTTTCTGACCATGCATACTGCCCTGGATGCATGCCTGGATTTTTTATATACAGAGCTCTTCATAACCCTTTCACCCCCAGGTTTTCCTCCCAAGCTTTCAGCATGTTTATTGCTTTCAACAACTTTAATTTTTGCCTTATTCTGCAAGGTCTACATTGTCTTTTTAAGAAATACCTCTTCTTAGCTGCTTTGCTTTTCTGAGAAAGTTGTGAAAAAAGCAAACAAAACCAAGTAATTTGGATCATTCCTTCAGGGAACCCATAAATTAGTTAGAACAGACAAACTCCATTTTTAGGGGAAGGTTTACCTTGCTCCCTCAGAAACCTGTATTAACATGGAAGCACAGGTTGTCATTCTCAGAATTGCTCCTCTCTTTGAAAGAATAGCAAGGTTGAAATAAAACATCACAAAACTCTGATATTTAAGTCTCCGTTTTTCTTGACTCAGCATTTGCTTGGGAAAGTTGATTTTAACGACTTTATTTATTTACTTATTTTTAATTTGTGTGTCAGTGTGTAAGTGGGGACAGGATCTTGGATGCCTCTACAATATCATCTTCAATTATATCACCGCCATGTTTACTTTTAATAGAAATGAATCTGTTTTATGAGAACCACTCACATAAAATATTTTATGTCTTTTAAAAATAATTTTAATTTTAAACTTAAGGTTTTACATGCTTTATTAAAGAAAAACTTTTTAACCCAAAATGGGAGAAATTATTTTTTTCTAAACTTCAAAATATATAGAAAATGTAGGTTTCTATGTTACTCACAATGATTCTCTCTACTTTATTTGTTCTTCTTACAAAGGCAGTGGTTCCCTCTTTTTTATTAATTACCTTCAAGTTATTAATTTGAAGTTGGTATCTATCAGATTAAGCTATTAGTAAGATTAATATGCCCTAATGGTGTGTTCTATGTACCTGGATTAAGTTTACCTAATTCAAGTTTATTACCTGTTTAGCTCTATCTCTTTATTATTTAGTATTGAATGTTTGCACAGCTGATATGAAACAATGAAAAAAAGCAGAGTTGAGTTGAGAGAATATAAAATTAAAAAGTTGTTTTAGGTCTTCCTTAAAAATACCTTCTAGCTTTATTTGAATATATAAAACACCAAACTCACAAATTATTCACCATTTTAATGTTTTTAATTACATTAAATAACAATTATTTTTATACAAAAACAGGATTAAAAAAATTCCTCTTCCTCAGAAATGAGTCAGACTCATCGCAATTACCGAGAATCTACCTATTTCTGCATAGTGAAAAGGGATAGGATCATTATTTATTTATTTATTTACTTATTTATTTTTTGAGACAAGGTCTCATTCTGTCGCCCAGGCTGGAGCGCAGTGGCGCCATCTCGGCTCACTGCAACCTCTGCCTCCTGGGTTCAAGCGATTCTCCCACCTCAGCCTCCCAAGTAGCTGGGACTACAAGCATGTCCCACCATACCTGGCTTATTTTTGTATTTTTTGGTAGAGATGGTGTTTCAACCATGTTGGCCGGGCTGGTCTCCAACTCCTGAGGTCAAGCAATCCGCCTGCCTCGGCCTCCCAAAGTGCTGGGATTACAGGCAAGAGCCACCACGCCCAGACGATAGACTCATTTTTTAATCTTGTTTGCAGTGTTACAGATAGCTTAAATTATGCAAAAGGAAAGTATCACCATAGGCAGCTGTCTCTTTTAGCAAAAGTATATCTTATTAGAAAATATATACTATAAAGTACAACTTCAACTCTCATTGGGCTCTCAATAAATGTTTCTAGAGTAAATATTCATCCAATTTTTTAAAAAGGAAAGAATTGTTAAAAGCCACATTGATATGGGTTATTAGAATGTCCATATACACAAGAACACATGTCTAATACATATGTGACCTAGATTCCTGATTTATCACTTGAAACTGTTTATTCAGGACAAAATTTCTGACTGCCATTTGAGGCTCAGTGCTTCTATTGGGAATAGGCCTGAGTTGAGTTGGGAGAGTATAAAATTAAAAAGTTGTTTTAGGTCTTCCTAAAAAACACCTTTCCTTTTGCATAATTTCAGCACTTGTAGACTGACTTAACAAGTGCTGGACCTCAAACTGTTCATTCCTATTATACTGAATTACTCTGTTGCCTTTTACATTTGCATTTGTAACATTCTTTTGTGTATTTGTTTATTTATATTCTACCTTCTGCTGAGAATGCATCCAAACATCTTGTAAAGGCACATATAATATAGCTGTGCTTCTGTGGAGGCTTGGTTCCAAGAATAGGTGTTCCAAAAGACAAATAGTGGAAGCTTCCCATCTCTTAAGGTCTGGGTCCAGAAACTGACGCAGCAGCATCCCATCGAATTCTATTGTTTGGGCCATCTTCATTTGCCACACTAAACTTTTAAGTAGAAGGGAAGACTGACCTGGATTGATATACCCTCACTCTCCTCCTCCATCATCTCAGCAAAACAGAGGGGCTACAGTTGGCTGCTTTACAATGATGGGCCCTTCCTCCAGCCTTGGACCACAGAAACCCTTTGGACTTTATGTTGTCACATTTTAAAATTCCTTCCCTTTGAGTTCCTTGTATTTCTTTACAAAATCCATCTCCTGCTCACCTAAAATTGACGGTCTCAGTCTCAATAAGATTAAATTGTAAAATTAAGATGTTATAGCTGTAGGGAGAGAGGGTGGTATGAAATGCAATACGCCGTGTTTCTCCTAGGGAGTTGCTGGGCCTTATCAGCCACAAGCTGATTATGAATTTTAAATAGGCTTCTAAATGAGGACATTCCCCATTACACATTTACAGGTACATGTTCTTTTATGTTTTTTTTTCCAGTTTTATTGAGGTATAAATCACAGATTGCATATTTTGTCTATCCAAGATGTAGAGCATAATTATTTGATTCACACATATATTATACACTGATTACCATAATTAATTTAATTAACATTTTCATTGCTACACATAATTACTATAGTGTATGGGAGGGTGGTTAAGGAATACTTAAGGACTACTCTTAGTATTACTAACTGTAGTTGCCATTGTGCATATTAGATCCCTACACTTACTCTCTTAAAACTAAAAGTTTGAACCCTTTCACTAACATCTTCCCATTTCCTCTAATCCCCACCTCCGGGCAACCACTATTTTGCATTCTGCTTCTGTGAGCTCATCTGTTAAAGATTCTACATATGATTAATATCATAGACTAGTTGTCTTTCTGTGTCTTATTTGTCTTACTTAACATAATTTTTTTTCAGGATTATCTACATTATTACAAATGGCAGGATTTTATTTTTAATGGTTAAATAATATTTGTGTGTGTGTGTGTGTGTGTGTATTCTTTATTCATTTGTGGACATTTCATTTATTTCCATATCTTAGTTATTATGAATAATAATGCTTCAATAAACATGGCAGTGAAGATTCTCTTGGGAATACTGATTTTAGTTTTTTTGAATATATACCCAGAAGAGGCATTACTGGATTAAATGGTGATTCTATTTTTAATTTTTCGAGGAACCTTCTTAGAGTTTTCCACTAATGTACTTTCCTAGTATACAGAGTTTCATTTCCCTCACATCCTTGCCAACATTTATCTTTTGTCTTACTGATAGTAGCCGTTCTAACTGGAGTTAGGTGATATCTCACTGGGGTTTTGATTTGCATTTTCTGATGATTAATAAGGTTTAGCAATTTTTCACATACATGTATGTCTTCTATGCAAAAATGGTTATTCAGATCCTTGGCCCATTTTAAAAAATTGGGTTATTTGTTTTCTTGCTATTGAGTCGCATGTGTTCTTTACGTATTTTGGATATTAACTAATTATCAGATATATGATTTGCAAATATTTTCTACCATGGCATAGATTGTCTCTTCACTCTATTAATTCTTTTACGCTGTTTAGAAGCTTTTTAGCTTGTTGTAATCCCATTTATGTATTTTTTGCTTTTGCTGCCTGTGCTTTTGAGGTTATATCCAAAAATCATTGCCCAGAAAAATGTCATGGAACTTTTTCCCTGTGTTTTCTTCTAGGAATTTTATGACTTCAGGTTTTACATTTAAGTCTTTAATCCATTTCAAGTAAATGTTCGTATATGGTGTAACATATGTCCAATTTTATCATTCTGTATGTGGTTATCAAGTTTTCCCAACACAATTTGTTAAGGGGACTGTCCTTTTTCCATCGTATATTTATCAATACACTTATATGTGTGGCTTATGTCTGGCCCTCTACTCTCTTCCATTGGTCTATGTATCTGTTTTTATCATTGGAGAATACTGTTTTTATTAGTATTGCTTTGCAGTATAATTTAAAATTCAAGCAGTATGATGCCTCCAGCTTTTTTTTTTTGTCCAAGAATAAATGGGCTATTGGGATCTTTTGTGGTTCTTTATGAATTTTAAGATTTTTTCCCTATTTCTATGAAAAATGCCATTGCAACTTTGAAAGAAATTGCATTGAATTTGTAGATTGCTTTGAGCATTATGAACATTTTAACAATATTTTCTAATTAATCACCATTCAATTTACAAATACAATTTAATCAAAAGCAAAAATGGACAATTTTAGTGCATTTTCAAGTATAAAAACTATTAAAATCTCATCTATTGACTGGAGGCAAAGAAAGCATGTTAAAATTCTTGTATTATAACCATGAATTTCAGGAGATTAGAAAAATGTTCAGTAGTTTCTGCTTTAATATAGAGAATGTCTATTAACATTTTTTGTTCTTAAGAAAAAAATTTTACATATGTAAGACAGAGGTTTATTTACTAAAAGTCCATTATGAGATATTACAATAAGCTTAAAAAGCAATTGTTCAATGTACAATAAAGTTGATTTTTGAAATCCTAGGTTTACAAGACCCAGAAAATCAAAAGAGGCAGGAGCTTCTGTAATAAGATGTGAAAGATCAAGTTGATTTGGATATTGGATGTAGGGCCCAGGAGCTTCAGGCAGTGACTGCTGTGGGAAGTCTGCCTTTGTCTAGAAGGGAGGCAAATGGGTTCATTGTACCAAGGCTATAATCATTACCATTTTTTTCTAAAATCCTGAAAATTTTCTTATAAAAACCAGGTTCTTAAAATTTACTTAATGGGGAAAAAAAGAATCTTGGGAGGGACTAAGAACTAATGATTTCGTCTCTAAAAATATATCCCACTTTTGAATGTGGCAGCCTGGGAGGAGACAGATCTGCTCACACATGCATGGAGTTGGGTGGTTTGAGAAACAGAATCACAAGCCCACCCCTTCCCCACTTGGCACCAGCCAAAGGGTTTTCTGTCACAATTCTGGGAACCCTCCCAAGTCAGAGTCGCAGCATGGTGGGCACACTGAAGCCATCATTTCACATCAGACCAAAGGCATATCAGTTCTCTCTGTGGCGCTCAGAAAGATGACATAATGCATTTGCTGAGGGCTCACATGTCTGTCGAAAGATGATTCATCGGGGTAAAAACTAGGACAATAAAATTCTACAGAATGGTTCTGCATCTCCAGGTACTTAGGGATTAAAGGAAACATTGGAAATAAAATGGAGTCAGTCTAGGCTGGAAAAAAATAATAGTCAAAGAGAAGCAGTAAATGATTATCTTTTTCTGTCATAGGTCCTTCATGCTGGGAATTCTCAATAATGCTCAAGCTGAATTTCAGATATAAACTGTGAAGCCAACATCGGGTGTCTGTGATTTAGGCCAGGGCTATATTCAAAGCATGGCCTGTAGACCAGCATCATCATCATCATGTGGAAGCATATTAGAGATCCAGATTCTTGGGTCCCATCCCAGACCTACTGAATCGGAACCTGTGGGAGTGGGGTCCAGCAGTCTGTGTTTTACCAGCTCTCCAGATGATTCTCAAGCACTCCATACTTTGAGAAGCCCCACTTCAGACTGTGGATAAAAGAAAAATAATAACATAGAAAGACATTTGGTTTACTAAAGCTTAACTCTAAAAACTACATACTAAAATGAAGCATATTTCATGTGTCATTTAGGTGTTTAGATAATAGCCCAGAGTTTGATAGGAGTTGAATAAACGGTAATCAATGAAACTTGACAGATTAACAGATCAGTTACTAAAATATTTGTCCCCGAGTTACTGATAGCATAGTCTAGGTTTTAGAAAATGCTGCTGAACAAGTGAATCAGTTTATATTTTTAGGTTCTAGTTTCTGAAATGGATAGGGGTTCATTAAGAGCTGCTAAATGCCAGCGTGTCCACCCAATCGTATGCTAGGAGAATATACCATTCCTATTTTGAAATGTAGGTTTTATTATTCAGGTTTGGTGTGGTCAATAGATTAGGAGACAGTTGCCATTCGGAGGATAGGTACTCACAATTGCCAACAGGAGGGACATGCAACTTCATGTAGGGCCACATGAAGGAAACACCAGAGTAAGTCAGGGTATGGAGAAAAGAGAGAGAAAGCACGGATTTATAGTCTTTATTGTTGTTTCTGTGGCAAAGAGCAGGAGAGGCAGTATAAGAAAGCTAAGCAGGCTTAGAATCGGATAGTTTGAATAATTTTGGCAAAGTCTGGGCTACAGCGTTGATCCCTAGTTGTCCAGAACCTAGACCTGGGCAGGGGAATAGTGTCACAGACTGCAGGAAACTGATAAAAAGAGGTGGATAGGATATGGTCTTGTGACTGATTAGTTTACTTATAAAAAAATTCTTGCAAGCAAATTGTTTGCTGTCTTTGGGAATTAGGTAACTCTTGAGGAGGCATTTCTTTCCCTAGTCCAAAAAGGCCCCAAGATGTCAAAGCATCATAAAATACAGAAAAAAAATTAAAACATGATTAATACAATCCCCTACTCTGTGGAACAACTATAATGTATTTCTACTGTGGAAAGTTAATAAATATATTAACAACTCCACATGTTCCAAACTCTATCTCTCTAGTTTTGAAAAACGTGAGCATGCAAGATTCAGCCTTGCATCCCCAAGGCCTCATACCTGAGATACAGAGTAACTGCTTGATAGTTGTCTGATGAAATTTCTGAGGAAATTCCTTCTTCAGTTTCCAATTTTTAAAATTTTGTTTAACAATTACTTATTGAGCACCTAATATATACCATATTAACTGAGCATTTCATGGCCCCTTAAGTATGGCCATATATTATGTCAACTTCCCAGACATAATATACAAGGAAAACACAAGCAGCAAATCTAAATTATCAAATATTGTTGCACTCACATTGCTGATTTAAAAATTGAGATTTAGGGCTGGGCATGGTGGCTCACACCTGTAATCCCAGCACTTCAGGAGGCCGAGGCGAGTGGATCACATGGTCAGGAGATCGAGACCATCCTGGCTAACACGGTGAAACCCTGTCTGTACTAAAAATACAAAAAATTAGCCAGGCGTGGTAGCACACGCCTGTAGTCCCAGCTATTCGGGAGGCTGAGGCAGGAGAATCGCTTGAACCCAGGAGGTGGAGGTTGCAGTGAGCCGAGATCGCACCACTGTACTCCAGCCCGGGTGACAGAGTGAGATTCTGCCTCCAACAAAACAAAAAAACAAACAAAAAAATTTGAGGTTTAGATAGGGAAAAATTAATAATTATGTTTGGCTACTTTTTTGGAAGGGAATGGGGGTCTCATTTTATTGCCGAGGCTGACTTTGAACTCCTGTGGTCAAATGATCCTCCTATCTCAGCTTCCAAAGTAGCTGGGACTACAGGTGTACACCATCACACCCGGCTACTTTTAACTTCTAACCTAACTTAATTTTTCCTGGCTTTTCTGCTACATGTTTATTTTACATAAGTTGGTGTCTAATTAGAAATTTATTGTCCTGTGATTAGAAATACAATTCTGGGAGTAATGGTGCTGACTGTCTTGGAATTGCTGTCCGGACACAAAATCAAATCTGCCTGCCTAAGAACAGACCTAGGAAAAGAACTGATTCCCATATTCCACACCTATAGCAGCAGACAGGTGATCACTCCCATATGTCATTCAAGCAATGGAAAACGTGGTGAGGAGTCCAATAATTCAATGGGGAGATAGAGAATTAATTAAAAAACATCCTTTATCGTTCAGAATTTGGGTAATAATGGGCCAATGCACTGTGATCAATGCTCTTCCGTAATATTTTGCACCTTCCTTTCTAGCGGAGCCATCTAATTAGAGAAGCCATTTAATTCTGTGTTTCACCTGAAGCTTTGGGTGTCAATAAATGCTTTGCTATCCCATGTAATAATAAGTGCCATAATTATTATTATTTACTTCCTAGATGCCGGGTATACACAGACCAGTACATTTACGGCCTACTCCAGATAGTGTCTTTGTATTAGTTTTACATTTGTTACTGATGGCAAGTCAATCTTTATTTAAAACAAAAAATATGAACAAAGACGTACGAGGAGTATCTTTAATGACCATTTTGAAGAATTCATTTACAGAGAAGAAGTTCAAAAGTCTCGTTTAATTACAAAGATCAAAGTAGGTCAATTTTGCAGGCCAAGTCATGCCAGCAAGCCTCCTGCTCAGACGAAACATAATTTCAAAATTCAAAATTTGTATTTCAAGTGTACCAGATAAGATGGCTTTTTATTCTTTTTAAAAGCTTGATATTTGGAGGTTGGTCCAAAATGGCTTACTAGAAGCAGCTAGTGTGTAGCGATCTCATGAAGAGGAAACATAATGGTGAGTAAATACTAGCTCTTCAAGGGAATCATCTGAGACCGTGTCAGGATTTACCAAGGAAGCAAGGCACCCACAGAGAACAGAAAGGACTGAAGCTGGGCAGCCACCCGCCCAGGACTAGTGCGCACCAGTGAGAAACTCCCTACCATGGGGAAAAGGTGAGTGAGGGAGAGTGCCCGGGAGATTCACACTTCCAACAGGGACCTTTGCAACCCTGGGCATGGCAGAATCCCCCTAACTCCAGCCCCGGGCCTCTAGACCGACACAGAGAGCTGCTGGGAGTCTTTGCAGAGGTGCTGCTCAAGCCCACATGGAGCCCCACAGGTCCTGGATCCCTGAGCAGCCCAGTTCAGTGCAATAATCCTGCTAGAGGCTGCAGCCACAGTGTCGTCAGAAGGCTGTGCTCCTCCTCCACAGGCAAAGTTCCCATCAGGGCTTCCAGCACAGCAACTCCGCCCCAGCCTGAACTCTTCAGACAGGCACAGCTCTGCCCTTCTCTTGGAACTACTCAGTTTGTAAACCATGTGACTCACCCCACCCACCCTCACTGCTCTAAGCCAGGCAAGCCTCAGCTTGGGCTTCCAGTGCAGGGACCTTGTCCCCACCTGAACACCGTGGTGGATCGTGGCTCTGCTTTCATCAGGGGAAAACTCCTAGTGGTAACAGAATATGCTTGGCATCTTTGCATGCCTGCAGCTGTGAAGTTCAGCATTATTTGGGTGGGAGGGAAGTGCAAGTGTGCCGTGTGCCCAACAGCTGCCAGTCTCCGTTGCCCCAGCTGAGGGGTCCTGCCCTCTCCAGTGAAAGGCTCACAGCACAGCTCTCTTGTCCCCATTGAACAGTTCACCTATGGCCCAGAGCCCTTATGAAAACCCAACTCTGACACGCCTGTAATGTTCCCTCAGGCTCTCGCCACTGAAGCATTCTACCTACCCTGCCTAAGAGTTTGCCTGGTGACCTAGGGACCAGCCCACTCCATCACAGCCAGCACCTGAATTCTGGGCTACCCTGACTCCGGTCCTGCCCCTTAGGAGTCACACATGCTGTCCAGTAGGCCATCTAGGGGCTTGGGAGCTGGGGAACTACCTACCCTGTTCCAACTTTTCCGGCACCTGACCACTTCCCCCAGGGCCTAAGCTCAGGCCGATCCAACCAGCTGACAACACCATGACCAACACCCACTGACATGGGCCCCAAAGTGGCACCACCACAACAAATACGTACATGCACAAGCCCACAGGTGGTGTCTCCTGTTTACAGGAAGCAGCAGTACTGCCACATCAGAGAACAGGTGAGCCTTAAAGCTGTCTGTATCAGGTTGAGTGACAAGGTTATGACCTGAAACTGCTCCCATGGAGAGTTGCAAAACAAGTGTTCCCCCGTGGCTGTCAACCACATTGCAGTCTGGAGATAGACTAGAGTGTGCATCTGAACTAGGAGTCATGAGCCCTGAAACAGGGGTGTGATAAGGAAACAAATCACATTTCTGCTTATTTAGGAGAAAGAGCCAGTACAGCCCCCTCACCTCCCTGCAGAGACCTCAACACACTTCACCAGGGGCTCCTCCCAGCCACCCCTATTACTACTGGTGCCTGCACTCATCATTGGGATATTCGTGGGCAAGCCAGGGCCCCCAGATCTGCTCAGTGGTGTCCCACCAACCCTGCAGAAGAGGACCGGACAGCCCACTGTAGAGACCTTGCATGATTTCTGAAAATTATGTATGAAATTATTATTTTTGCTCCTTTAATAATAAGTTGTTTTCCGCCTGTAGCTTTTTTGAAATTTTCTGTTTATATGATTTAATTTGAACATAATACAGGTAGGCTTAAATGTTTTGGTCTTTAATTTGATTGGTGTTTTCTGAGCTTACTTGATCTGTTTGTTATTTAGATTTGATATACTTGTTATTAATTTTGGGAAAGTCATTCTGGCTTCAAATATATATATTTTTCCATTTCTTCATCTCTTTCTTCTCTCTCAATCTTTCCACTCTTCATATGTTACAATTTTTTAATTTTCCTACAGTTTTTAGATACTCCATTCTATTTTTTTCTTATTTTTTTCTCTTCGTTGTTTAGTGTGAGAAATTTCTATTGGGTTCTTCAAGCTTAGTAATTCTTTTTGTTGTTGTTGTCTCCAGTCTGTTGCTGAGTCTATCAAATGCATTTTTATTTCTGTTATTTACTTTTTAAAAATTTCTATTTTCTTTTCAATTATAGAGGTTTCACTTTTCTGCTAAGTTACAATTTGTTTCTGCACATTTTCAAACATTTTTCATTACAGCCTTTATTGTATTAATTATAGTCATTTAAAACTTTTAGTATACTAATTCCAACATTGCTATCATTATATGAGTCTAGTTCTGAGGCCTGTCTTTCAAGCTGCGTTTTTTTTCTCCCTTAGTGTGCCTCGTAACTTTGTGTTGCAAACCAGATGTGGTGTACTGTGTAAAGGGAGCTGAAGTAAATAGACCTTAAAAGTGAAGCCTTATGTTATATCTGACTAGAGGTTAAGCTGTATTTAGTGTTTCCTATTGTCAGAGGTGTGAATAAAAAGTGACCGAGGCGGGTCTCAATCAATAGGGGTTTATTTAACCAAGATTGAGAGCGCGCATGGGAAATAATTCAAGTCGCAGGAGCGTTTTTGACCCATACTTTTGCTAAAAGGGATATTGGCCACTTCTGTTTTTAAAGAGGAAAAGGCATGCAGGAGCAGAAAAAAGGAGATGAAGGGTGGGCAGGGAGACAGATAGTTGCATTCTTATGAGACTCTGGTTAGCCTCAGTAAGTCTACACTTTGTATGTAAAAAGGGGAGTAGAGGAAAAGGTCAATTATGCATTATCTCTTGCTCAGTAAATCTGCATTTTACATAAGATAAAGTAAACAAGTGAAAAGAGGAAATAGAGAAAATGAGATTATGATACAGGGTTGTAAAATTGCAGATATCTGTTTGGGAACAAAAGGAAATCACCATAGGTGACTCAGTTTCTAAGCTTTTAACTTTCCCTTTGGCTAAGTGAGTTTGGGGTCCTGAGATTCTATTATCTTTCATATTTCCCCCTATGCTTCAAAATCCTTGGAAGAAAACATCACTTAAAAAGTGAGTCTCTGGTTATTTTTCATTAATTCCCTTGTTGTTGATGATTTATTACTTGAAAGTTAGTTCCCACATATTTAGGAAGGCTCATTACCAAGAAGTTGTAAAGTCTTGCGTCCAGTAGAGAAAAATGGTGACAAAAAAAGAAAGAAAAAGAAGGGAAAAAACAAGGCCAAATTATATTATAGCAACAAACAGAAAGTAATCCTGGAAACTGATTCTATACCACCACCTTCTCAATCCAAGCAGTTATTTAGGCAATCATTATTTTAACTCTTTTAGTTGCACATTGACTCTGTTGTATGTCTGGAGCAGTCTATATATTAGTTTCTTTTAGTCTTAGAAGCATTTTCTAATTTCAGCAGCAACCTTATAGATTTTTGTGGACTGTAGTTTTAATCAGGTGTTTAAAAGAATTTTTTGAGGAATCCATGCATCAGTAGGCAGGCACACAAGTGTTGGATATCTCTGTCTGTCTATCTATCTATCTATCTATCATCTATCTATCTATCTATCTATCTATATCTATGTAGCCAGCGGGGTAGCTAGCTATAATTTTACAATATTTTTTTCTCTCTAGGTCCCCGATTTCTACAAAAGACAAATCATAGTGGGACAAATTTATTTGCAAAACAAGTTTAAGAAGATTTATACTTGACCAATGATTTGCATAAAGTGCTACAGGAATAATTATTGGCTATATAGGCTCTTTTAACTTGGCTTTGCTGGAAATTTCTTAAATAATGAATTTCAGTTTAGACTTGTTAAATGCCTCTTCAGCTTAGCCAAGCCAGTGATTTTTCTGTACCTGCAGATGTCCACGAACTGGGGACATTTCTCCCATCTCAAGTTACCAAAATTACCTGGGTTTCTTGACTCTGTCAAAAAGTGACATTTTTACTTATAACAGGTCAGAAACTTGTAAAGGAATCACATAGAAAAAGATACCAGGCCAGTCTTTCTAAGGGTATTTTACTGTCTCTCTCTAAAGTCAACCTCCACCCCTCAAAGCAGTCTGGTCATATCTGAAAACATGCCATTCCAGACAAAACCTTGGTAAAGTAACCAGTGTCTCCAACTGTGTCTGTTAACAAAAGAAAACAGATTTTTTTTTTTTTTTGAGACAGAGTCTCACTCTGTTGCCCAGGCTGGAGTGCAGTGGCATGATCTTGGCTCACTGCAACCTCTGCCTCTCAGGTTCAAGCAATTCTCCTGCCTCAGTCTCCTGAGTAGCTGGGATTACAGGTGCATGCCACCACACCTGGCTAATTTTTGTACTTTTAGTAGAGATAGGGTTTCACCATGTTGGTCAGGCTGGTCTCGAACTCCTGACCTCATGATCCGCCCGCCTCGGCCTCCCAAAGTGCTGGGATTTCCAGGCGTGAGTCACCGCGCCCAGCCAGGAAAACAAATTCTTATTGAACATATGCAAATAACTATATTGTTGTAAAATAAGAAAACTTGCAAATAGTTTCCCAATTCTGGAGAAATCAGGTACAAAGAAATATGCTTTAACTTTTGCTCACAAGAATATATATACTTTTTCAATTTGTGGTCAGCTATAAATAGCTTAACAGGAAAAGTTTTCTTAACTCTGGAAAGAAACACAAAAAGAATCGGCAATGTTTCAAACCAAAAAGTTATTTAAAAACTTTCTGGTATTTACTAGTTTAGTCCCATGCAATTAACTCCTATATTACATGATATTGGGCCAGCAGGCCTCATGAACACATCAGCTCTCCATTGAGAGTCCTGGAAGTTTTCTCTCTAGTCGAGACACACAAACCCTTTAACATTATCAGAAACCTGCATTGAAGAGCATCACAGTGCTTTTCATGAACTTTCCTAAAGAAGCTTTTGGACTGTAGCAGACCACAAACTGATTTTTTTTAGAAAAATCAAAGTAAAACAACAATTGTGTGTGCATGACAAAAATATTAGAACAGCTGTTGTTGAAGACACAATTAACAAGGAAATTTGGTTATTGCTCTGGAATACAGCAATTACAATAATAGTCATAATTATTACTGATAACATTAAGACATCAGAATTATAGAAATCTCATACAATTTGGAACACATTAATAGCACATTTATATAAACTATAACTCAAAGAAAGTTAAACATCATTTCATATTTGATAAAGCGTCCTGTATAATTTTAATACACCACATAAGCCAAATATGTCTCTCTTGAATGTTAGGGATCCTAACATCCAAAGCTGAAGGCTGAATTTAGAATATGATTTTGCAAAGTTTGTCAAATATCAAAGATTTAAAACATCTGATGTCACAAAATAGGATCATAGGTCACTGTAAAGTAACTCATTTAGCCATTTAGCCATTTAGCCAAAGTGATAATTAAAGATTTTCAAAAGCAAAATCCTTTACTCTTTAATAGAGAGGAGACTCCAATTTCCAAACGATAAGACATAATAAAAACAGCTTGATGCCAGTTTAATCTGTCTCTCTCTCTCCCCTCTTTCTCTGCCATTTACTCAAAAGGTAAAAAGAAATATTTCACTGTCTTTTAATACTACATGAAAATCTTTTTCAAAAGAGAAAACTAAATTTTACCTTTGCATTAGTGTATTATTAACACTGAAGTTAATTTTAATAAAATTTTATAAACAAATATATCTAATCTCAATCAGTGTGATCATAAGGTAAGATTTCCATAAGACTTTTATAAATTTTTATTTTTTTTTATTGAAGAACAGATCAATTTTACAGGAAAACCTTGTTATTCTGACACAGGGGCACACAGACTCTGGCGCTGTGTAAGTGTGATTTTGACATTAATGTTCAGTTTATAGGAAAACTAAATAATCCCCTTTAAATTGTAGCCAACTTGATGACACACAGAACTCCTGTCACAAGATCAATTTTTCATAAACCTTCTACAAATTGCTTAAACCTTCAGTTTTGTTCTATCACTTTAGGACAAAATTTACTTTCTTTTCCAACTTTCTGCATCTGTTTAATTTTAGCCATTATGTCTTATTAGTTTAATTTACAATTCTTAAACTCTCTAAACTAGGCAAAATTGCTTTCTCTCTAAGAGAAACCACATTCGTATGCCTTTTTATAACACTTTTATAAAAATCCCAAAACACATTGTATGTTTTGTGTGTACAATGCATATAGAATTTTCCCTGTATCTAGTAGTTTTAATGACATGTATTAATGACAATGTTAACTCTTAGTGGCCTTTATTTTTAGTGAAAAACTTAAGAGGTAAACAATTTTAGTTATGTATTAGATGCGGAGACCAAGGCAAACAATACTTGAAGCTAAGTCTTGTCATGGCCCCCAAAGGCTGAAATCTAAGGACATAAGTTTATAGACAAGTTAAGCAAGTAGAAACATAGACAGAAGCATATCTTATAGATTGTAAGATTTTTATTTGCTAGTCTTCAAATAGTTTGTCTCCCACACTTTAGACTGTCAATCTTTTGATTACCCGCTGCGTTACCCTAAATAATTGTTAAGTAGGCAACTTAAAAATAGCACCAATAGACAATGGTAGTCACATGTATGTATTGCCCAGAGGATGGCAGACACTGGCCTGTGTGGTTCCCACAGACCTGTATCCCCTTGTGCTCGACTTCCTGTGTGATAGCCAATATATTCGCCAAACCCACAGGAGCTACACAGCAGGATGCCAATGCCTCTTCCCTCTTGGATGTCTATAGCTTCTGTCTCAAGTCTGCTAAGTCCCCAAAGCAAAAGTTCCAGGCAAATAAATGGATCAGTGACTATGAAAGCTAAGAAGAAGGCTTCATCCAGTGACAGTAGTGAGGACAGCAGCAAGGAGGAGGAAGAAGCTCAAGGGCCTCCAGGTAAGAAGGCTGTGAGCAAGTTTGTCTCAGCCTCCTGGAAAGGCTATCGCCAAAGCATCAGAGAGCAGCAGCAGTGAAGCATCCAGTGATGATGAGGAGGACGACAAAAAGAAAAAGTCTGTCCAGAAGGGAGTTAAGCCCCAAGCCAAGACAGCCAAAGCTCCTCTTAAGAAGGCTAAGAGCTCTGATTCTGATTCTGATTCTGACTCAAGCTCTGAGGATGAGGCACCAAAGAAACAGAAACCAAAGACATCTGTAGCAGCTAAAGCTCGGGCTAAAGTCCCAGCCACACCAGGTACTCCAGCTCAAGCAGCACCTAAAGTAGCCAATGGCAAAGCAGCTAGCTGCAACAGTAGCAGCAGCAGCAGCAGCAGCAGCAGTGCTGACTCAAAGGAAGAGATGGCAGCAGCCATCCCCAAGAAGACTGTATCTTAAAAGCAAGTTGTGGTCAAGGTCCCAGTGAAAGCAGCTGCCACCCCTACCCAAAAATTCCAGCAGTGAGACTCCTCCGGTGAGGAGGAAGAGTAGTAGGAAAAAAAAAAAAAGAAAAAAACCCCCAGATCCCTAAAGTTCAGTGCCCCCGTCCTGCTCCCCCATCAAAGAAGTCCTTGGGAACCCAGTCTCCCAAGAAAGCTGTGGAGAAGAAACAGCCTTCCGAAAGCAGTGAAGACAGCAGCGACGAGTCTGATTCAAGTTTGGTGGAAGAGGATGAACTCTTGCTAAGTCAGTCATCTCTAAAGCAAATACTAAACAACCTCCAGCAAAGAAAGCAGCAGAGAGCTCTTCAGACAGCTCATATTCCAACAGTTCTGAGGATGATGAAGCTCTTTCCAAGCTAGCCAGTACCAGCAAGAATTCCTCAGATAAGCCAGCTGCCACTACCAAGTCACCTGCAGCGGAGCCAGCTGCAACTCTCAAGCAACCTGCAAGCAGTGGCCAGGAGCCTCTAATGAGAAAGGCTGACAGCAACTCCAGTGAGAAAGAGAGCAGTTCCAGTGAGGAGGAGAAGACAAAGATGACTGTGGCCCCCCCTAAGCCCAAGGTAACTGACAAAGCAGCTCCATATCTGCCTGCCAAGCAGGCTCCTGAGAGGGGTAAGGACAGCAGCTCTCATTCAGACAGCTCCAACAGTGAGGAGGAGGAGGAGGAAGAGAAGACATCTAAATCCCTAGTTAAGAAGAAGTTGCAGAAGGCAGCAGGAGGGACAGCCCCTTCCAAGCCAGCCTCCACAAAGAAAGGAAAGGTCAAGAGCAGCAGCAATTCTTCCTCTGATGACTCCAGTGAGGAAGAGGAAGCGAAGCCCAAGGGCAAGGACTCTCCAAGACCACAAGTCCCCAAGGCCAGTGGCACCTCTGCACTGACTGCCCAGAATGGAAAAGCAGCTAAGAACAGCAAGGAGGAGGAAGAGGAGGAAGACAAAAAGAAAAAGGCAGCAGTGGTAGTTCCCAAGCTGGGTTCAGGAAAGAAGTGGAAGCAGCTGAGACTGCCAAAGAGGCAGAGACTCCTCCAGCCAAGAAAATAAAGCTTCAGACCCCTAACACATTTCCAAAAAGGAAGAAAGAAGAAAAAGGGCATGATCCACATTCTTAAGGGTCAGGGAGGAGGAAATTCAGGTCGCAGACAACTCCATTGATGCCAACTGAGGTGCAGCCGGAGACTGGGGGAACGAGCCAATGAGGTTTTGAGGTTCACCAAAGGCAAATCCTTCTGGTATGAGAAAACCAAGAAGCAGGGCATCTCCTGGGGAGGCTCAATCTCTGTCCAGGTCAATTCTATTAATTTTGACAGTGAGTGACTTGGGATATCTTTGCTGAAGCAGGGGTGAAGATCTGAGACCACTCACTTTCTCCAGTGGACCAGGGAGCCCTCATCTCTATAGGCAAGGGTCTTGATGAGGACAGAATTTGAGAGTAGGTCCTAAGACTTTGAAATGTAACGTCCTCTGTGGTCCTTTTCTGTATTCCTAGTTTTTTTTTTTTTTTTGCTTAGAAAAAACTTTTTTATATGTATGCTTTTCTTTTTTTTTTTTTTATTATACTTTAAGTTTTAGGGTACATGTGCACATTGTGCAGGTTAGTTACATATGTATACATGTGCCATGCTGGTGCGCTGCACCCACTAACTCGTCATCTAGCATTAGGTATATCTCCCAGTGCTATCCCTCCCCCCTCCCCCCTCCCCACCACAGTCCCCAGAGTGTGATATTCCCCTTCCTGTGTCCATGTGATCTCATTGTTCAATTCCCACCTATGAGTGAGAATATGCGGTGTTTGGTTTTTTGTTCTTGCGATAGTTCCTAGTTTTATATAGACTTGTTTTTGAGTGTTGAGTATCAGGGATAAAACGAGGGGAATGTTATTTTTAAAGAAAATTTATTTTCATTGTCTCCTTCCTGTTCTGTGGAAGTCTTCATACTGAGAAATTTGAATATTTTATATTAAATCATTTCCTTTTGATTTTTGTTGTGATTTTCAAAGGTGGATTCCCACAGATATAAAGGGTCACATGTATGACCTTTTATAATTGGAAGAAAGTTCTGCCTTTGTGAGTGCACAAGTCCACATTTCATCTCTCCTTCCCTCAAAACCCTAGTGGGGGGCATTAAAGAAGGTTAATGTATATGTAATGTATGTTATACATGCACTATGTATTTTATCCTCCTTCACTGGGTCTGAGACTGAAGTTTTTAGCGAGCTCGGACCTAACCTACTGTTTTGTTCCAGGCAAAATTCTGGTGTGGTGTGAATGCCATGGGTCAGTCTGAATATATTTTCTTCTGTAATTTTATCACTATTAAATAATGTTTGCAATACGTGCTTTGCTTTTTAATGTGAAAGCAAGCTTTTCTACTGTTGAAACACAGAGTTTGGTGACTTGACCCTTACTAGTACTGAATACTAAGTTGAGGACTGCATCTTCTTATTTTCACATTATACAGAGCAAAATAACACAAAAATCAAGAAGGCTTTATTCCTGGGATGCAGGGCTTGTTCTACACATGCAAATCAATAAATGTGATTCACTCCATAAACAGAATTAAAAACAAAAAATTATTATCCTATTAGATACAGCAAAAGCTTTCAATTAAATCCAGTAAAGTTTCATGATAAAAATGTTCAACAAACTAGGCACAGAAGTAACGTACCTCAAAATAATAACAGCCATACATGACAAACCCAAAACCCACATCATACTGAATGGGCAAAAGCTGGAGGCATTTCACTTGAGGACTAGAACAAGGCAAGGATACAAGCTCTCACCATTCCTATTCAGCATAGTTGTGGAAGCCCTAGCCAGAGCAATCAGGCAAGAGAAAGAAATTTTAGGTTGGTGCAAAAGTAATAGTGGAGTTCGCCATTACTTTTAATGGCAAAACTGCGATTACTTTTGCACCAACCTTATAAAAAGCATTCAAATAGGAAGAGAGGAAGTCAAATTATCTCTCTTCACTGATAATATAATTCTATTTCTAGAGACCCTAAAGACACCACCAAAAGGTGCCTAGAGTTGATAAATAACTTCAGTAGTTTCAGGATATAAAATCAATGTACAAAGTTCAGTAACATTTCTATTCACAAATAACATTCATGCTGAAAGTCAAATCTATAATGCAATTCTATTTATAACAGCCAAAAAATATAGAATACCTAGAAATACATATGACCAAGAAGGTGAAAGATCTCTACAGGTACAGCTACAAAACACTGCTGAAGATACTCAAGGATGACACAAGCAAATGGAAAATCCTTTTATGTTCATGGATTGGAAAAAAACCGATTCTTAAATGTATATGGAACGAAAAAAAAAAAGCCTGAATAGATAATTGCAAGGAAAAAGACCAAAGCCAGAAACATCACAATACCCCACTTCAAACTATATTACAAGACTACAGTAACAGTAACAGCATGGTATTGGTACAAAAATAGACATATAGACCAATAGAACAAAATAGAGAACCAAGAAATAAAGGCACACACCTACAACTATCTGATCTTAGACAAAGTTGACAATAACAAGCAATGCAGAAAGCATTCCCTATTTAATAAATGCTACTGAGATAGCTGGCTAGCCATATGTAGAATAATGAAACTGCACCCCTGCTTTACACAATATACAAAAATTATTTCAAAATGCATTAAAGATTTAAAGGTAAGACCACACACTATAAGAAACCTAGAAGAAAACCTAGAAAATATCATTCTGGACACAGCCTTGGTGAAAAATTTATGACTAAATCTCCAAAAGCAATTGCAACAGAGACAAAAATTGACAAGTGGAACCTAATTAAAGAGCCTCTGCATAACAAAAGAACTATCAACGGAATAAACAGACAATCTACAGAATGGGAGAAAATATTCACAAACTATGCATCTGATAAAGGTATAATATCTAGAATCTATAAGGAATTTAAACAATTCAACAAGATAAAAACAAGTATCTCCATTAAAACATGGGCCAAAGGACACAAAAAGACGTTTTTCAAAAGAAGACATACATGCAGCCAACAAATATATGAAAAAGTGTTCAACATCACTAATCCCCAGAGAAATGCAAATCAAAATCTCAATGAGAAACCATCTCACACCAGTCAGAATTGTGATGATTAAAAAGTCAAAAATAACAGATGCTGGTGAGGCTGCAGAGAAAAGGGATTAATTATACGCTGTTGGTGAAAATGCAAATTCATCCATCCACTGTGTTAAGCAGACTGGATATTTATCCAAGAACTTAAAACAGAGCTACCATTCAACCCAACAGTCCCATTACTAGGTACATACCCAACAGAAAAAAAATTATCCTATCAAAATACACATGAGCTCATATGTTCGTCACAGCACTATTCACAATAGCAAAGACAATGAATCAACCTAGATGCTCATAGACTATGGACTGGATAAAGCAAGTATGGTACAGACACACCATGGAATACTATGCAGCTATAAAAATGAACAAAATCATGTTATTTGCAGCAACATGGATGCAGCTAGAGGCCATTATCCTAAGCAAATTTATGCAGGAATAGAAACTCCAACACTGCATGTTCTCACTTATAAGTAGGAGCTAAATGAACATTGAGTACATATGGAGATAAAAATGAGAACAATAGACACTGGGAAATACAAGAAGGGGGAGAGTGGGAGAGGGGAAGTGTTGAAAAACTACCTATTGGATACTATGCTCACTACCTGAGTGACAAGATTATTCATACACTGAAATTCAATGATACAAAATTTACCCATGTAACAAACCTGCACATGTACATCCACAAACTAAAATACAAGGTGATAAATAAATAAATAAATAAATAAATAAAAGCTTAATTTTTAAAACAAAGTTTGTTTCTTTATGTTTCAGGGACTCTTGGCAGAAGAGAATGGTGTGATATCATTGTTTTCCTAAGTCAATACTTCATCATACTCAACATATCTGAGTAGTAAGTACACATTTGAATAGTCCCTCTTTCTCTAGATTGTCTTTATTCTACTTAGTTTAAGCTATCTCATTTCTATATTTTATTTATTTACTTTTCATTATGAATTTTATTTTTTATTCAGAAGTCATAATTGTATAAACTTATAAGGCATAATGTGATGCTCTGATATATGTACACCATGTGGAATGATTAAATCAAGCTAATTAACTTATTTACCACCTCACTTATTTATCATTTTTTCTGTGGTAAGACATTTGAAATTCTTGGTAATTTTGAAATATACATTATTATTGACTATAGTTATCTCGTTGTGTAATAGACCTCAAAACTTATTCCTATTGTCTATCTGAAACTTTGTACCCTTTAACCAGCGACTCACCATGTCCTCTTTCCCACCCTATTCCCAGTCTCTCACAACCATCATTCTACTCTCTACTTCGCAGTTCAGCTCTTTTAGATTCCAAATGTAAGTGAGATCACGTGGTATTTATTTTTTTGTGCTTGGCTTAATTCAATTAGCACAATCCCTTCTAGATTCATCCGTTTTGTAGCAAATGACAGAAGTTTCCCTTCTGTTGAGGTTGAATAGTATTCTGTTGTGTAGATATCATATTTTCTTTACCCATTCATCTGTAGGTGAACACATAGGTTGATTCCATTTATTGTCTATAATGAATAATGCTACAATTAACATGGGATTGCAGCTATCCTTTTGACACACTGATTTCAGTTTCTTTGAATCTATACTCAGAAGTGGAATTACTGGATCATAAGATAGATTTATTTTTATTTTTTTGAGGAATCTGCATATTGTTTTCTCACCAATGACAAAAGCTATTCTAATAGGTGTGAAGTGATACCTCATTGTGGTTTCAATTTAAATTTTTCTGTGGATTAATGATGCTGAGCATTTTAAATATACAGTCATGTATTGCTTAATGATGAAAATATGTTCTGAGAAATGTGTCAGGTGATTTTGAGAACATCATATAGTGTACTTACACAAACCTAGATGGGATAGTCTACTACAAACCTCAGCTATATGGTATAGCCTATTGTCCCTAGGCTACAAACTTATACAATATGTCACTGTACTAAACACTGTAGATAAATGTAACACAATGATAAATATTTGTGTATTTAAATTTCATTCTTCTGCATGTAGATATCCAGTTGTTCAAACACCTGTCACAAAAAAGGGGTTTTTCCCACATCATGTGTTCTCAGCACCTTTGTAAAAAAATCAATTGGCCACTGATGCATGGGTTTATATCTGGGCTTTCTATTCTAATCCATTGGTCAATGGGTCTATTTTTATGGCAGTATCATGTATCATGGTGTTTTAGTTACAATTATTTTATAATTTTTTTTTAAATCAGGGAGTTTGGTGCCTCCAGCTTTCTTGTTTCTGTCCAAGATCGTTGGCTATTCAAGGTCTTCCATAGTTCCATACAAATTTAAAGATGATTTAATCTACCTCTGTGAAAAAAATGACATCTGAATTATGATAGGGATTATGGTGAATCTGTAGATTGCTTTGAGTAGCATGGCAATTTTCACAGTATTATTTCTTCAAATCCATGAATGTGGGATATCTTTCTACATGGGCTATCTTTCTATTTATTTGTGTTTTCTTCAATTTTTTTATTGATGCCTTTTATTTTTCAGTATAAAGGTTTTCTATCTCCTTTAATACATGTATACCTAAGTTTTTTGCTCTTGTAAATAAAATTATATCTTAATTTTCTTTTTAGATAGTTTATTATTAGTACTAAAAATATTATTGATTTATGTATGTTGGCTTTGTGATCTGCAAGTTTACTGAATTCGTTTACCATTCTAAAAGTTTTTGGCAGAGTTTTTAGGGTTTTCTATATGTAAGATCATGTCACCAGCACATAAAGACAAATTCGCTTCTTCCTTTTATGTTTGTATACTTTTTCTTTCTTTCTCTTGCCTAAGTGCTCTGGCTATGATTCCCAAAACTATGTTGAACAAAAGGGGTGAGAGTAGAGTAATGTTAGCTATGGGCTTATTAGTATGGCCTTTATCATTCCCTCTCTATATAATTTATTGAGAGTTTTCCTTGTAAAAGGATGTTGAATTTTGTCAAATGCCTTTGCCACATCTGTTGAGATAATCATATGGTTTTTGTCCTTCATTCTGTTAATGTGATCTATCATGTTGTTATATTTGCAACATTCAACATACGTTGAATTATTCTTGCATTCCAAAGATAAATCTCCCTTGATAATTGTGAATAATTTGTTTCACTATGCTGTTGAATTTGGTTTGCTAATGCTTTGTTGAGGATTTTTGCATTTCTGTTCATCAAAGATATTTGTCTGTAATTTTCTTTTGTAGTGTCCTAGTATATATTTTTAATTAAGCTTCTATTTGATGAACATGTAAAATTATTAGAAAAAGTAAACACGTTTCTAGGATTATTTTTTCCTTTTTTTCTCAGTATTATACTCTTTTTTAAAATTTCAAATTCAAGCTTCTCATAAATAGTATTGGTTTATGCTTCCTGAGAAACTCCTATACTTCCAGTATGTCCTTAGTTCAATTTTGTGATACACCTTAAATAAACGTTAGAAACCATATGGTGAAGGTGGTTGTCTCTCAATTTTTGTTACAGCATGTAGCACACAGCCACGAAAATGTTTACTCTCTAAATTTCAGGTACTATTCAAGGGATCTGGCTGCATATGGAAAAGTCCACCATCCTCTATCTGAAACTCTTAGGGTCATATGCATGCGAAATTACCATTTTTCTTCTGATTTTAGAAAGGTGAGTATTGCATAGACTATATATTATGTAGCCCACCAGTGAGAGTCCAGAATAGCACCTTATAATCAAGCAAATTAGTATGTCTACAGCTAAATGAATGTTCACACTGGATAAGATAAAGACTATAAATGGATTTATGTCAGTTCTTCAAATGAATCAAATGAGTTACAAATATTATCAAGTAGAAAAGAAAGATTTTCAGATAGAAGACTTATTTATTCAAGAAACTTTAATGACACTGTTGACTATAGAGATGAAAACACAATTTTATAAGGAAGGAGATCACAGATGAGTGTAGTATAATAATTCAATCCCAGCACTTTGGGAGGCCAAGGCGGGCAGATCATGAGGTCAGGAGATCGAGACCATCCTGGCTAACACAGTGAAACCTCGCCTCTACTAAAAATACAAGAAAAAAAAAAGGGAGTCTAGCTATATATAATATGCTACGGTCACAAAGAAAAAAATACACCAAATCTAGTTTAAGGGATTGGGAATAATTTTCAGAACAGGGCAACTCTCAAATATACTCTTGACAAGTATGAACATAAACTGAAGAAGGGAAGAGAGAGGGAATAAAGTTGCTGGCAAAGAGAACATTTTTCAAGGCAGCAAATGTGATCAGGAAGGAACAAGAAAAGGATGGATAAGAAAAAGCTGAAGTCAGCATCATGTTTGACTCTTTAGAAGCAAACCATTTATCTTCAGTCTATTGTGTTATTAAACTTCTGTTAAATCTTGCTGTATATTTGTGTCATATTTAAATTAAGCTCTTATTGAACCTTATCTTTGTTTTTCATACACAATTTTAATGACTCTTGTAGAAATATTTTAAAATAAAATTGGAATCCAGATATGTTTCTTTGGCTTATGTTCCACCTTACCTCCATGTAAGTAGAAATCTTCTAAGACATTTTCACAGCTCTATTTAATTTAAACTTGCATCAAAATTTACCTGAAATACTTCATATGGTAGGATCAGAGAATGAGTAGAGCAGAATATCAAAAGAGCTTGTGAAAATAAAAGCACAGTAATCTGCTTATTTTTAAATTAAAAATTATTTAGACAAGTGATTCGATATATTTCAAAAATAATGCTTTTGATAACAAGACAGTAAACTAGGAAGCTCCAGGCCTTTATTCTTCTACAGAAACACTAAAAGAAATTAGACTAGTTAAAATAACGTTATGGGATTTCTGAAAAACAGTTAATGGTCTGGTGTACATAGGTCTGCTCTGTAATCACCCAATGGAGAAAAAGCTACCTTCAAATTGGTACACAATTTTTATTTTGCTTCTACTGACCTTGGCCCCGTTCTTTCCATGATGCAGTGAGATGTGGTAGATATAAAGCAGCCCAGTTTCTGATCAAGGAATTTCTCCCTTGGGCGAGAGGAAGAAGAAAAAACCTTACTTGCAACATTCTGAACTGTCTGGGAACTACCTAGTATTCTGCCCTCTAATTTTCCTTTCCTGGAATTCAGAGAAGAAAAACAGCATATGCCAGGCCTCAGACTAAAAAACAAAAAGCCATAGAAATTGTCAGTGAAAATGGTTTGTAAAAGCTTCAAGGGGACTACAGACCCACTGATACTGGGAGCTAGAGATTAGTAATTAAGGATTGCAACAGGACAACTAAGACACACTAAGAAGCTGGGCTAGGACTCTTTTGGAAATTAAAGCATTTAAGCAAACATACGTGTACACACACACACACACACACACACACGAAGTCCTAGGTGAGATGCATGCTCAAGGAAGACCTGAGAAAACTTCAAGACTTTACCCCTGCTCGGGACATGCATGCTGAATAGTGAAGGCCTTTCTTGGCAAAGAACCAGTCAGCAAAGACTGGCTATAGTGATTGCTTTTTCAAATGCACATTTTTTGTTTGTTTGTTGCATCAAATACCCAATTTTTTAATGTAAAAAAAAAAAAAACCCACAGTATTTTCAAAGAAAGAGAAAAGGCCCATTCAAAGGATGAAAGAAAAGTGGCAAAATCACCTCTGAGCAAACAACAGTTTTTAGATATATTAAACAAAATCTTTAATATAACTTCCTTAAGTATGTTCAAATAACTTAAATAAAAACAGACAAATTAAAGGAAATTTTAAAATGATATCTGAACAAGATGAGAATATCAACAAAGAGACAGAAACTACAAAAAGAAACCAAGTAGAAATTCTGAAGCAGAAAATATAATAACTGAATTGAAAAATTTACTAGAGAGGATTAACAGCAGACTTCAACAAGCAGAAGAATCAGCGAATGTGTATACATTGCATTTAAAATTAGTAGATAAATTATTATTACTCAGAATTCTCCTGAGAACCTAAGAACTCTCACTAACACAGCTCCTCAGACTCAATAATTCATCTATTTATCTTTCGTCTATATACCTTTCTATATATTTTTTCTGTATAAGTAACATTTATTGAACATAGTATTTAAAAGACTCTGTAAACTAGATCTTCTTTGTATTCTGCTAAGACTTGTTGCTTCTGACTTGAGTGTGCATGTGTGTGTCTGTGTTGGTCCTTCCGAGTGCCTCATATTTGCAGCTCCTTATTCTTTGGTGAGAATAAACACCAGGCATTTTACTTGCATTGCTTCTTCACTTACAGTGTGTTGATAGTCCTGTTTGATGAAACTCTGACCAACTATCTCCCCCTTGTGGAAAACATTTATTGGTGTTTCACTCTATCTAGAGAAGACAAGGCTGCCTTGTTGTGTTTAGTACTGCACTTTATTTCCTCACTGAGGCTGTCTTTGTTTAATTTTTATCTGAAATGCCAGATTCATAAAGTATGAGTGTATTAGTCTGTTCTTGCATTGCTATAAAGAAATTCACAAGACTGGGTAATTTATAAAGAATAAAAGTTTAATTGGCTCACAGTTTTGCAGACTGTACCAAAAGCATGGCAGCATCTGCGTGGCTTCTGGGGAGGCCTCAGGAAACTTACAATAATAGTGGAAGGTGAAGGGGGAAGCTGGCACATCTTACACGGCTAGAGCAGGAAGAACGGGGTGGGGGGAGGTGCTGCACACTTTTAAACAACAAGATCTTGTGAGCACTCACTCACTATCACAACAGCAGCACTGAGAGGGAAATCCGCTCCCAAGATCCAATCACTTCCCACCAGACCCCACCTCCAACATTGGAGATTAAAATTGAACATGATATTTGGATGGGGACACAGATCCAAACCATACCAATGGATCTGGCAGTTCTTGTTTTAATTCAGGTAGAAAAATCCTTCTAAAATGAGCATTTAAATTTTAAATATTTCTCACCTACTCCTCTTTTGGTTCCATTATTCGACTTCAGTCTAATGGAGCAAATCTCAATTGTTACTGAACTTATTTTGGTTTTCTACTTCTCCTCTCTATCAAAACAGAACATTGCTCAAAAAAGAACATTTGACAGATAATTATAAAAAAGCACAAAGAGTCACCTACAATTCCACCTTCAGTGAAAAATCCTCTGATATTTTAGCATATTTGCTTGTTATCTTTTCTCTAGTATATTTGATACTTCGTGTTAATGGTCAAGATCATATGGAGTATGTAATATTGCATCGTTAAGCCCTTTTTTATAATCTGCTTTATTCACCTATTGAAACAAGACCAGATCTGGCTTTGGAATCTTCTGGAAATAGCCTCCTGTAAAATGAAAAAGGTCTTGCACTGAAGGGCTCAGGAAAATCTAGGTTCAGCTCACTCTAACAAACAGTAATTTTGTTGACAAATTACTTTAGGCTCAGGGCCGTGGTTCACGCCTGTAATTCCAGCACTTTGGGAGGCCGAGGGAGGCGGACCATCCGAGGTCGGGAGTTCGAGACCAGCCTGACCAACGTGGAGAAACCCCGTCTCTACTAAAAATACAAAATTAGCCAGGCGTGGTGGCGCATGCTTGTAATCCCAGCTACTCAGCAGGCTGAGGCAGAAGAATCACTTGAACCCGGGAGGCGGAGGTTGCAGTGAGCAGAGATCGTGCCATTGCAAGGCAGCCTGGGCAACAAGAGGGAAACTCCGTCTCAAAAACAAAAAAACAAATTACTTTAATGTCAAGGATCCTGCCCTGATTCTTTCACTTACCATGAATCCCTTCAGACTCTCAGATACCTTGCCATTAGTTCTGAAAATTTCAGTACATAACTATAATAACAATAGCTAACACTGTTTACTCTTCTAAGTATTTTATGGTATTAATTCAACAACAGGTCTACCAATTAGGCACAATAATTGTCCCTGTTGTAAGGAATAAGATTAAAGCACAAAAAGTTAAGTAACTTGCTCAAGATCACACTGCTACTAAGTGGGGAAACTGGGATTTAACCCTCTGGCAGTCTGACTACAGAGTCCATGGTTTTAATCACTATATTATGTGGCCTCTCTGGTAACTGAAAAAATGCATATGAAAGCAGTGTGAATATTACAAATTGATGAGCAAATATAAAATGAATCCTTGCACATTCCATTACAGAAAAAAAAAACAACAACTATGAGCCACATTTTTGTGGGTAATAAAAGCACTGAAAAGAAGTTTGGAGCTTATTGAATTATTTTTTGACTATTCAAATGAGAATTTAATTTCTGAAAATATACTAGGCCTGGGTCTATGCATGAGTCAAATATTTAAGTTTCAAAATAATTTTCATGTTAGACATTTTAAAAAATTAATAGAATTTATTTCTTTTTAAGACAATTATTTTTTATTTTACTTTTTAATTTTAACATACAATACACACACCTCAGCTTCACATCTTTGTTCGTGGAACCCAGGACGGTTGATCATAAATTTGTTTCAGAGATGATCTAGACTGAAGCTCTAAAAAGCCGTGCAAAGCCCAGGCACCTATTAGAATAAGTCAACCTGGCCCTTTTATCCTGAAAATTACCTAGTATGTGGCTTATCCCAACTGCCACCAAAAAAATTCTGATTACTTAGGATACTTCGTATATCATGAAGTAATGGATGAATAGAAGTGATACTAAAGACATTTTACAATCAGTATGGCACTGGTATCAACCAATCAAAAATTATATTGCATCTATTAGAGTGGATGTGCTATTTTTCAGCTGGAGATTTCAGCAAATCTATCAGGTTCTGATTCACGCTATACCCCTTCCTAGCTGTGGTCTTGGGTAATTTCATCACTCTTTATTTACTTCTTTTTATACCCCAACTTTTATTTTAAATTCATGGGTACATGTGCAGGGCTGTTATATAGGTAAGCTACATGCCATGGGGATTTGGTGTACGTATTATCTCGTCACCCAGGCATTAAACATAGTACTCAATAGGTTGTTTTTTGATTCTCAGCCTCTTCCCACCCTCCACCCTCAGGTAGGTCCTGGTGTCTATTCTTTTCTTTGTGTCCATGTGTTCTCAATGTTTAGCTTCCACTTATAAGTGAAAACACGAGGTATTTGATTTTTTGTTCCTGTTAGTTTGCTTAGGATAATGGCCTCCAGCTCCTTCCATGTCGCTGCAAAGGACATGATCACCTTCTTTTTATGGCTGCATAGCAGTCCATGGTGTATATGTACCACATTTTCTTTATCTAGTCTACCATTGGTGGGTATTTAGGTTGATTCCATGTGTTTGCTGTTGTGAATAGTGCTGCAACGAACATACACGTGCAAGTGTCTTTATGGTAGAATGATTTATATTCCTTCAGGTATATACCCAGTGATGGAATTGCTGGGTCAAATGGTAATTCTGTTATAAGTTCTTTCAGAAATGACCACACTATTTTCTACAATGACTGAACTAATTTACATTCCCACCAGCAGTGCGTAAGCATAAGCATTCCCTTTTCTCTACAACCTCATCAGCATTTGTTTTTTGACTTTTTAGTAGTAGCCATTCTGACTGGTGTGAGATGGTGTCTCATTGTGGTTTTGATTTGCATTTCTCTAATGATTAGTGATATGGTTTGGATCTATGTTCCCACCCAAATCTCATCTCAAATTGTAATCCCCGTGGATCAAGGGAGGGACTTGTAATCCCTGGAGGGAGGGAGGTGATTGGATCATGTGGTGGGTTTCCCCCATGCTGTTCTCTTGATAGTGAGTGAGTTCTCATGAGATCTGATGGTTTTATAAGGGGCTCTTCCCCTTTCACTCCCTCTTCTCTCTCCTGCCACCTTGTGAAAAGCTACTTGCTTCTCCTTTGTCTTCTGCCATGATGGTAAGTTTCCTGAGGCCTCCCCGGCCACGTGGAACTGTGAAAAATCACCTGGTGACCATTGAACAGGCCCTGGAGACAAAAAAAAAAAAAAATCCTTATCTGAGGAATTTAGAAGAGAGCAAAGACCGCTTGGTGACCATCAAACAGATCATCCAGAGGCAAAACTCCTTATCTGAAAAATTTAGAAGGCAACAAACACCTCCTGGTGACCATCAAATGGGCCTGGAGGCAAAACTTCTTATCTGGGAATTTAGAAGTAACTCAATTTCCCTGGTATCTAAGTTGGCATCTGGTTCCAGGCCTCTTTCAACTTTTATAAGTAACTAAAATTTCTCTGCATCTCTGGAATGTGCTGAAACTCATTTTACAACCCTGAGCTCCTGCCTTAAGGTCTATTGATACCGCTAAGGAAAAATCCACCGAGGCATGCTCAGTCCTCTTGCTGAGGCACCCAATGTAGTGTTCTTCCTTCCTAATAAACTTTCCTTTTTCAAACCTATACTGTTGTTGGTAAATTCTTTTTACCAACCTGTGAGTTGACCACTTCCCACTGCCAGGGCTCTGACATCTTTCTGGCAACCTCCTTTGTTTATAAATTACCTAGTCTCAGTAGTATCTTTACAGCAGTGTGAAAATGGACTACTACAGTAAATTCGTTATAGGTAGTTAGGTATGAGTGGGGCAGGCGAGGGCTCTCTCCCCACCCATTATACATGTCAGGTGATGGTTTGGCAATTATCACATTGCCTCTCTAAAAATGATAGTTTGGCAGTGCTAGGGAGAGATCATTTCCTGATGGTCCACACCTGTTAACATCAAACTGTTAATTGAATGCAGGCCCCACAGAGAAGCAACTTCCTGGGCATGCGTGTTAAGAGACAAAAAAAATGGCCTGTAATCCCAGCACTTTGGGAGGCCGAGGTGGGCGGATCACGAGGCCAGGAGATCAAGACCATCCTGGCTAACACGGTGAAACCCCGTCTCTACTAAAAATATGAAAAATTAGCCGGACATGGTGGCATGCGCCTATAGTCCCAGATACTTGGGAGGCTGAGGCAGGAGAATCACTTGAACCTGGGAGGCGGAAGTTGCAGTGAGCCGAAATGGTGCCACTGCACTCCTGCCTAGGCGACAGAGCAAGACTCTGTGTCAAAAACAAACAAACAAACAAAAATGGCAAAGTATGATCTTCCAGGTATATTCCACTGGAAAAGGGAAGAAAGCCTCAGATGGGCATGCATACCAACTCCCTAAACACACTGCGTGTGTGCACAGTTATAAAAGGTAAGGAAGACACTGCGCATGTGGGCTGCCCCAAGGGAAGAATCGTGGGAAAGAGGTGAGCCTAGGATCCAGGTTAAACGCCTCGTTTTTGCTGTTTTCTTTTGCTCTCTATTCTCTCTTGGACCTTCAGGTGCCCGTTTGGGTCTCTGGGTCTCTTTCAAGTGAATTTTCCTTTCTTTCCTGTTCTAAAGGCTTTTAAATAAACGTCCACTCCTGCTCTGAAACTTACCTTGGTCTCCCTTTCTGCTTTATGCCTTTTGGTCAAATTCTTTCTTCTGAAGAGGCAAGGACTGAAGTTGCTGTGGGTGTGTACGGATTACTGCTGGTAACCTGGGTAACTTGGATCTCTTCCACTGGTAACAAATTGGTACTGCAGAGAGTAGGGTACTACTATAAAGATACTTGAAAATGTGGAAGTGACTTTGGAACTTTAATGGGCAGAGGTTGGAAAAGTTTTCAGGGTTCAGAAGAAGACAGGAAGATGTGGGAAAGTTTGGAGCTTCCTAGAGACTTGTTGAATGGTTTTGGCCAAAATACTGATAGTGATATGGACAATGAAGTCCAAGTTGAGGTAGTCTTGGACAGAGATAAGGAGCTTGTTGGGAACTGGAGCAAAGGTCACTCTTACTATGCTTTAGCAAGGAGACTGGCAGCATTTTGCCACTGCCCTGGAGATCTGTGGAACTTTGAACTTGAGAGAGATGATCTGAAATTGGAACTTATGTTTAAAAAGGAAGCAGAGCATAAAGGTTTGGAAAATTTCCAGCCGGCCATGAGGTAGAAAAGAAAAGCCCATTTTCTGGGGAGAAATTCAAGCTGGCTGAAGAAATTTGCATAAGTAACAAGGAGCGAATGTTAATAGCCAAGACAATGGGGAAAATATCTCCAGGGCATGCCAGAGGTCTTCACAGCAACCTCTCCCATCACAGGCTTGGAGGCCTAGCAGAGAATAATGGTTCCTGGGCCAAGCCCAGGGCCCCCACTGCTCTGTGCAGCCTTAGGACTTGGTACCCTGTATCCCAGCTGCTCCATCTCCAGCTGTGGCTAAAAAGGGCCAAGGTACAACATGAGTCATTGCTTCAGAGGGTGCAAGCCCCAAGCCTTGGTGGCTTCCACATGATGTTGGGACTGAGGGTGTACAGAAGTCAATAATTGAGACTTGGGAACCTAATTTGGGAGCCTAGATTTCAGAGGATGTATTGAAATGCCTGGATGCCCAGGCAGAAGTCTGCTGGAGGGGCAGAGCCCTTATGAAGAACCTCTGCTAGGGCAGTGTGGAAGGGAAATGTGGGGTTGGAGTCCCCACACGGAGACCCACTGGAGGACTGCCTAGTGGAGCTGTGAGAAGAGGGCCATCGTCCTCCAAACCCTAGAATGGTAGATCCACTGACAGCTTACACTATGCACCTGGAAAAGCCACAGGCACTCAACACCAGCCCACGAAGGAGCTGCACAAGGCCATGGGAGCCCAACTCTTGCTCCCAGCATGCCCAGATGTGAGAAATGGAGTCAAGGGAGATCATTTTGGAGCTTTAAGATTTAATGACTGCCCCGCTGGATTTTGCACTTGATCGGGGCCTGTAGCCCCTTTGTTTTAGCCAATTTCTCCTATTTGGAATGGGAGCATTTGTCCAATGCCTGTACTCACATTGTATCTTGGAAGTAACTAGCTTGCTTTTGATTTTACAGGCTCCTAGGAAAAAGGGACTTGCCTTGTCTCAGATGAGACTTTGGACTGTGGACTTTTGAGTTAATGCTGAAATTAGTTAAGACTTTCGGGGACTGTTGTTGGGAAGGCATGTTTGGTTTTGAAATGTGAAAAGACATGAGATTTGGGAGGAGCCAGGGACAGAATGATATAGTTTGGCCCTGTGTCCCTACTGAAATCTTATCTTGAATTGTAATCCCCGTGTGTCAAGGGATGGAGGTGACTGGATCATGGGGCAGTTTCCCGCATGCTATTCTCATGATGGTGAGTGAGTTCTCATGATATCTGATGGTTTTATAAGGAGTTATTTACCTTTTGCTCTCTCTTCTCTCTCCTGCCACCCTGTGAAGAGGTGCCTTCTGCCATGATTGTAAGTTTCCTGAGGCCTCCCCAGCCATGTGGAACTGTGAGTCAATTAAAACTCTTTTCTTTATAAATGACCCAGTCTCAGATATTTCTTTACAGCAGTGTGAAAATGAATTAATACAATTAGTGATGTTGGGCATTTTTTAAATATGCTTGTTGGCCACATATATGTCTTCTTTTGAAAAGTGTCTGTTCATGTCCTTTGCCCACTTTTTAATGGTTTTTTTTTTTTTTTTTTGCTTGTTAATTTGTTCAAATTCCTTATAGATTCTTGGTAACAGACCTTTGTTGCATACATAGTTTGCAAAAATTTTCTCCCATTCTGTAGGTTGTCCCTTTACTCTGTTGATAGTTTCTTTTGCTGTGCACAAGCTCTTTCATTTAATTAGATCCTATTCATCATTTTTTGTTTTCGTTGCAGTTGCTTTTGGCATCTTTGCATTGAAATCTTTGCCAGGGTCTGTGTCTCAAATGGTATTTCCTAGGTTATCTTCCAGGTTTTTTAGAGTTTTAGGTTTTACAATTAAGTCTTTAATCCATCTTGAGTTGATTTTTGTATATGGTGTAAGGAAGGGGTCCAGTTTAAATCTTCTTCATATGACTAGCCAGTTATTCCAGCACCATTTATTGAATAGGGAATCTTTTCTCCATTGCTTGTTTATGTCAAGCTTTGTCAAAGACCAATGTTTGTAGGTGTGTGGCATTATTTCTGGGCTCTCTATTCTGTTTCACTGGTCTATATGTCTATTTTTGAACTAGTACCATGCTGTTTTGGTTACTGCAGCCTTATAGGGTAGTTTGAAGTCAGGTAGCATGTTGCCTCCAGTTTTGTTCTTTTTGATTAGAATTGCCTTGGCTATTCAGGCTCTCTTTTGGTTCCATATGAATTTTAAAATATTTTTTTCTATTCCTGTGAAGAATGTTACTGGTAGTTTCATAGGAATAGTATTGAATCTGTAAATTGCTTTGGACAGTATGGCCATTTTAACAATATTGATTTCTCCTATCCACGCACATGGAATGCTTTTCCATTTGTTTATGTCATCTCTGATTTCTTTGAGCAGTGTTTTGTAATTCTCGTTGTAGAGATCTTTCACCTCCCTAGTTAGCTATATTCCTAGGTATTTTATTCCTTTTGTGGCTATTGTGAATGGGATTGCATTCTTGATTTGGCTGTCAGCTTGGATATTGTTGATGTATAGAAATGCTACTTATTTTTGTACATTGATTTTGTATCTTGAAGCTTTGCTGAAGCTCTTTATCAGATCTAGGAGCTTTTGGGCAGAGACTATGGAGTTTTCTAGGTATAGTATCATATCATCTATAAACAGGTATTTTGACTTCCTATCTTCCTATCTACATGCCTTTTATTTCTTTCTCTTGCCTAATTGCTCTGGCCAGAACTTTCAGTACTATGTTGAATAGGAGTGGTGAGAGATGGCATCCTTGTTTTTTCTGGTTCTCAAAGGGAATGCTTCTACCTTTTGTCTGTTCAGTATGATGTTGGCTGTGGGTTTGTCATAGATGGCTTTTATTATTTTGAGGTATGTTCCTTCAATGCTTGAAGATTTTTAACATGAAGGGATATTGAATTTTATTGAAAGCCTTTCTGCATCTATTGAGATGATCATGTGGTTTTCATTTGTAGTTTGGTTTATATGATGAATCACATTTATTGATTTGCATATGTTGAGCCAACCTTGCATCCCAGGAATAAAAACTACTTGATCGTAGTGGATTAGCTTTTTCATGTGCTGCTGGATTTGGTGTGCTAGTGTTTTGTTGAGGATTTTTGCCTCTATGTTCATCAAGGACACCCAATAGATAATTTTAAAGACCCTGACCCCCTTCCCACCCTTCTCCCTTTTGGAGTTCCCAGTATCTATTGTTTCCATCTTTATGTCAATGTGCACCCATTGTTTAACTCCTACTTATAAGTGAGAACATGTGGTATTTGACTTTCTGAGTTATTTCATGTAGGATAATAGCTTCCAACTCTATCTATGTTACTGCAAAGGACATGATTTCATTCTTTTTTTGTGGCTGCATAGCATTCCATGGTGCGTATGTATCACACATTCTTTATCCAGCCATCATTGATGGACACTAAGGTTGATTCTATGACTTTGGTATTGTGAATAGTGCTGTGATGAACATGTGAGTCTGCCTGGGTTTTCTTGACACAAAATTTCTTTTCCTTTGAATGGAACCCAGAAGTGGGGTTGCTGGGTCCTGCTAATTTCTGATCAGCTCCCATCTTGAAGTCTCTCCCAGAAGCACTGACCTTTTAAAGAAGAACTGTAAAATATATTTTTTAATCGAGAGTAAAATAAAATGAGTCTACTATGATGGGAAATAAGGGCAGCTTTCATCTCTGTGGTCAGCTCCCTCAAATTTCACCTCCAAGAAAGGTCAAAAGACTTATGGGATCGAGTATTTGATATTCTTACACATTTTAATGTCTTGGAGGCTCCAAATGCCAGGGTGGCATTCGCATTTTGATCGTCACTTTTCAGTTAGTAAAATTTCCAGCCACAGACAGGATTTCTCATTCTTGGGGCATGAGATGACAGCAATTATTTGACTTTGAGAAATTGCAAAATGTTTTTTCTCTCCTTTGTGTGTTTTTCTGGGAGTCAATTAAGAGCAGGCTTTCCTGGTTGCTTAGATACTCATCTGTCACCTCTAAAGGTCCCATCTTATCATTTGATTACATACTTTTGACTTTTATTTCATTGCAACTGACTTTGTCAAACTTTACCCGAGCCCTAGTATCCTTGGAAACAGTGATAGTAAAGAGACCCCCCAACTCTTGGAGTTCTGGAAATAGCTTACTGCAAACAGCTACCTTTCCCTATATGACTTAGATAAAACAGATAGATGCCCCCTTGTTTACTGAGGACAAGACCAGGCTTGGTCTTAGTAGACAGAATGTTGAATAACCAGGATTGCTGAGCTGGGAATCTGTCATGGAATATGTATATGTATATGCATCTGCATATAATATGTGTGTGTGTGTATATATAAATGTATAAAGTGTGTACACACCCATACACATATGTACATATTTCACGCTGCCCATTGTATTTCCTTAAAACAGGGTTCCTTTCCAAGATCCTTGATGATTCTGAGATTTTGACCCATCAGCTACATCTGTTCACTTGCAACCCATTTGCATAGTAAACCACAGGCCACAAAGGGGAAGTGTTCCATGCCAAAGGGCTCAATCTGGACATTATTACCGCTAAAATAAAAACAGGGGTTGGAGACTCTGGAAAAAGCTCTTTTGGCTCAAGAAAATAATCAACTGAATAAACCAAATCTACCCCCAAAGGCAAAGTTCACAGGGATTTAGTACAGTCAATGAGATTTTTTTTCCTTTTCATTCTAGCCTTAGCATAGCATTCTTGAGTCCTGTAGAGAGAGATTTACATAAATAGTTTACGAGGCTGGAAAGCTCCAAGCCACAGTGTCCCTGCGATTCTCTTACTGGCAGACTATAACTCAAATTAAATCTGAGGGTACATAATTTACATTAATGTTTTAAGGGGGTCTTTTTTGAACTGTTAAATAAGACAGAAAGAAAAGGGCTGCATTATTTCACTTAGACTTTTCTTTGGTTCGTAAACTTTATTTTTTTTATATAGTCCTTCTCCTGGCTATTTCCTGAGGCTTTCAGGACTCTAATTTGAATGGAAACTTACTGCTGGGGAGAGCACATCACAATGCCTTATAAAGATCCATCATCTGTCCTTTCTGTAGGGTACCATTCCACTCTCCAAAGTGAGGCATGAATTCAAGGGGAAGTTGCAGAAAGTGGTTCAAGTCTTAATGTTCTTAAAGGATACTGTCAAGTAGGAAACAAAGGGCTTAGCAAGGAGAGACTTTACAGGTAATTGCGAGGGAGGGAGGATTGCAATTAGGGGAGGGGAAGTATTTGCAGTAGGGAGATTGCTTATGGGCATGTCTCAAGAGTTAGGCAAAAAGGGTTTTGCTTTTATAAGAAGTAAACAAGAGTAAGAGCCAGGTGTTGGGGAGTCAGATGCAGGATGATGTTATAGGACAGTCAGAGAATGCCTTACCCTTAGCCCAGCCTGGTCTTAGGAGGGGCGGTCTGCTGGCGCAAGCTGAGGGTGGGGTCGAAGTTCAGGTACCCATGGGAAAAGGAGAAGCTTACACAAAGTTTGATTCACAAGCATTTTGTTCCATTGGTCAATAGGGAAGCAGTTCAACTTGTCATTTATGAAGCAAAAAATAGGACTTTGGGTGACACAGCTTTCAAGGCATCATCTTGGAAACAGAGATCAGACCTCACCAGACACTGACTTCCCAGCCTCCAGAACTATGAGAAACAAATTTATAAATTACCCAGGCTGTGGTATTCTGTTACTGCAGCACAAACAAAAATATGGTACATCTGTCAAAACGAAGAATTTAACATTGCTACAATACTGTTAACGATATTAGAGACTGTATTGGGATTTTCCAAGTTTTTCCACTAATCACCTCTCTCTGTTCCAGCATCAAATCCAGATCCCACACTGCATTTGGTCATGATCATATCCTCTAGTCCCCTCTGATCTGTCACAATTTATTGTACTTTCCTTGTCTTTCATGACCTTGACAGTGTTAAGGAGTCCTTGTCTGGTGTTTTATAGAAAGTCTCTCAATTTGATTCTGACTGATGTTTTGTCACAATTAGACTGGGGTTTTGGGATTTGGGGAAGGACATGACCGAGGAGAGGTGCCCTTCTCCTCACCATATTCGAGGGTACGCGATAGCCATGTGGCTTCGCCCTGGTGATGTTGACTTTGATCGCTTGGTTCAGGTGGTGCCTGCCAGGTTTCTTCCCTGTAAACTTTTTCTTTTCTCTTTTCGATGCAGGGTGATTCTTTCAGAATATAAGTTAGTTCATGGCTACCGTGTCCTCAAAACATTCTAACAGCTTCCCACCTCATTCGATGCACTCAGGAATGTTCTTACGATGCCTGCTAGGGTGTCTGTGGCTGGCTCCTGCTGCTGGGCTCTTCCTTCCAGCAAGTCCCCCTTGCTACCCCATCCCCGTCTCACCCATATTGGCCTCTTGCTCATCCTGAAGCATCTGAAGCCCTCTCTGGTCCCAGGGCCAGTGCCAGTGCCTTGCGCTCTGTAGAAACATTCTCCCCACGGCATTGTGCTCCTTTCAGTCTCTGCGTTTCCTGCTCAACCTGTGTAAAATGTCACTGTTGCTCAGCGCTCTGCCTCTCTTTCCTAGTGCCATGTGCTTGTTTTACCCATGGATACCTGTGCTTTTGATGACAGCAGCTTTAATTCTGTTCACTGCACAATCCCCAGCATCTACTACGGGTACAGCCCTGTAGGAGCTCAAACACATGCATGGCAAATGAATGAGTGAACAAAGGGAAGGTGATCAGTAGCAATCTCTGCATTTGGTTTTACATGCAGGTTGGGAAAATGAGGTATTTTCTGCTCCAGTGGTGTATGAAGAAGAAATGCTTCAATTGCAAACTAGGAAACCACAGTGGAGCTTTCATCTACCAAAATTTTCTATGCTATGTGCCAAAGTTTAGGGTTATTATGAGCTCTGTGACATTGACCTGAATTTAAATATCATGATATTAAACCAATAAGTGAAAAATGTGAGGATTTCCTAAGAAAAGAAATAAGGCAACAGTTTAATCAAATATTTATGTGCATAAACACCTCAGAGGATCACCTGTTATGAGGTGAAAGAACTTTGGGGGGCACACTCAGAAGTGGCAGTTGTCATTTTGAAAGAGTTAACTTGGTTCACTTGGGTAAACCCTCTATATCTCAAGAAGTAGCTTGCTTATTATAGGATTAAGCAAGAATGAGTCTCTTTCAGTATCTATTACCCAATAGAACAATGGGAATTCTCACTGGGGAGCAGCTGTTTAGATGAAAGAAAACTACTAAGGTCAATTTTATTTAATAGAATTTCACGTATTCATCTTCCTAAGTTCCCATGGGTTTTTTTCCTCCGATCGTCTGAATCTCTGGACAGTGAGGTTAATGGCCATTCTCATCTGGATGAATATTGTCAATGTGAAGGCATTTGCTCTTAATATTTGCCAAGGAACCAGTCTGTTTTCCCTTCTTTCTTTCTATTTGTGAACAAATATTTGGAGGAGAATGATTCTGCACCCAGCAAGTACTATATCATCCAGTATTTATGGGGCCAAAGAAATAGTCTGAAGACAGAGCAAGAGAAGGGTAGAAGCTACAAATATAAAATGCTTTATGACAGACTTTCCCCATCATTTATTGTAAGTGAGCGTAATGATCAACAACCATCCCCAAAATGAGATCAGTAGAGGTACTCCGCAAAATTTTAAATAGACAATTATAGAACTAGTAGTGAATATTTTCATATATTATCCCGGTGGCTGTAAATAGAAATCTCTTGTTATTAGAAATGTTGCTTCTGCTAATGATATGTTTGGGAAAAATAAATAGTAACTATCGGTGGTCCTTATTTCCCATTGTTGCTACAGACTCCAATTTTTATTTACCAACTTTGAAACTCAATATTTCTGTATTTACAGTTACAAGGTCATTTGAGGAAGAGGAAAAGAAAAATTTTCTTACCATCTGTGATAATAGTAGCTCACTTGTGCTCACCAGTGTAGTGCATAATTAATTAAACACCAATAAGCAAATTCCTAGACTAATCCAGTCTGTTTTTGCAACTTTTTTCTAGTGTTTTCCTTTATTTTCAGAGACTGCAATATATATGCTGTAAAGAAATTTCTATGTTCCTTTAAATAATGGATAATACAGAACTACTGTTGTTAGTAACAGGGTCTCAGGTAAAACACTAAGAAATGCTTTCTCTGGTCAATAGAGTACTCATTATTTTTTGAAGATGAACATAAGATTACTTTAGTAGAACTTGAGGTCATAATTCTTCAGAAGAACCAAGAAATCCTTAATAATATGAGAACATTATTAATTTTGAAGAGTTGTACTGCTCCTTTGGCAATCCAGTTGACATTACGATGATTTTTTAGCAAGATTTCCAAATAGTAAGGAACAGCGATGTTCCTTATGTTCCCTAAATTCTTCTCCCCTCCAAGTTATTATTACTAATAACTCCTCGAATAGTACACAATCTAATTTATACAGGTACTCCGCAAAAAGCTTTAACACAATTTTACATTTTGTCGTAGTTGCGCTAGAACATTTTAAAAGAAACACAGTAGCCCAGACGTGGTTCTCCAGCCGCCATTCCTTCCCTTTCTCCCAGAGCCGGTCAATGCTGTTTACATGATCTTTCCAGGCCCTTACTCTATAAAGGTTTTTCTAAATTTTTAAAAATTCACATAAATGATTTATTTTACCAAAGACTTTTCAGCTTCTTTTTTTTTCCATTCCACATGGTGTTTTCAAGTTGACCCATGTCTACATGAACAACTCCAGCGTATTTGTTTTAATTGCCATGGGGATTTCATTTTGTGAATGTATGAGCATCGATCCATTTCCCTATTGCTGTATCTTAGGTATTTGTTCATTTGACTTGTTGTTTTCTGCACCAATCATTGCTGTAGAAAACATCTATGTGCTTCCCTCTCTGTGGGCATGTGGAAGAATTTCAACTGCAGGCAATTGCAGGCTCAGTGAGACAGTTCAAAGTTGCCAAACGAGAGACCAAATTCAAAGCTAGGGCAAGCTCGCATTCCTTCAGATTAAACATCTTTCTAATTGTACACTAGAAAACTAGGAAACAATGCATAAAAGCATAGGCTGTACTTTTGGACAAAATCAGAAAAAAATTCCATCTTAAAGTTTTTTTGTTTGTTTTTGTTAAGGAGGAGGTGGAGGTGTTTTTATATGAGTGCTAAGCGAACCTGGGTAATTTGAGATAATCAGCTGTAATGAACCTTATTGGACAACAATAAAGTAAGATGCAATTTGGGGCATTAATAACTATTAAATGTCATTGCCAGCATTAGCTATAAAAAAGAGACTGGCCTGGTATGGTGGCTCATGCCTGTAATCCCAGCACTTAGGCAGACAAAGGTGGAAGGATTGCTTCAGCTCAGGAATTCGAGACTAGCCTGGGCAACATAGCAAGATCCGGTTCTCCACAAAAAGGAAAACAACAACAATAACAACAACAACAACAAACAAGTTTATGAAAGAGACTGTGCCTTACAAAAGAGACTGGCTGATAGAGAAAGGTACTCAGTTCCCTGAAACACCAAAGGCTGAACTAAAAGGGCTGCCTTTTGAAGCCGTAAGATATAATTGCAGGGTTGAGAAGAAACCCTGCAGTTTGGCTATTAGGAGGATTATACACCAACCTGAGCACCATACAGTAAATGTAAACAGTATGGAGCTCAATGGCTGTTGAAGGGAGCTGCTTGGTCTGAAACAGAGCTGGGTCTCCCAGCAGGTCAGCTGTGCCATGAAACGTGTCTTCTAGATGAGAGGTTTGCATCATTTGTGCCTGTGCTCACCACGCAGTGGGAGGCCACAAAATGCCAATCAGCCAAAGTCTGTGATCTAGTTCTCATGAGATGGAGGAAAGAGGGAAGGAGGAGCTTATGGGCAGAGAAGCAGGATGGCAACTGATAGATCTAAACAACAGAAGAGCAACTGTGCTAATTTCTGTGTATTCTCTCCTCCGTGGAGCAGCTCTCATAGCCTTCACGTGCCGTATGTGGTCAGCTGAACTGGGCTGTCCTCCAGCTCTGCTGTTACTTTGTCTGGATGTGATCTGGAGCACGTTTCATGAATTCTCATGAGCCTCCATCTCCTCAATTGTAAAGTGACAAGTGGTAGGCCCTTCAGAGGGTGAGATGAGCCCTGTATGTGACGCAGCCAACATACCCGTCACTGGTTAGTTCCCTAACCACTGCGTAATGTGTGCCTATTTGCATCCTGCTCAGATGCTGCTCCAAGAAGGCAGGGACTTTGGATTATTTAACATTGCATTAGAAACACCCAGACCTACTAGAGCTGCATGCTTACATCTAACCCATCGTGGTCAGATCAAAGCAAAAATAAAAATAAAAATAAAAAATAAGCGAAGAAGCAGCTTTGCCTGGACTATAAGGCCAAGTGTTGCTCACACATTAGACATAAGCAAACTGCAATTAGGAAAGGGATGTCTGGAAAGTTACCCAAGCTTATGGAGCTGTTGGACATATTACCCATCCGATTCCCCAAGCAGTGCACACCAAGTGACGGTCGCAAACATAAATGGCAGATGTCCAACCAAAGACCTTTAAAAAGGAATCTGGCTGTGAAAAATACATAAAAGATAAACTAAGGGGAAATGAGTCTGAGTCCTTTCTAGATGGAAAGGAGACCTCAGCACGAATGCCATGGAGCTTGCAGATGGGATTGTCTTCCACAGAGACAGCCTCTCCAAGCCAAGGTGACATGGGTGTCACAGAGTGGAGCCGTACGTAGTACACTTCACCTGCATTGGCGTCTGTCACTGAGTCTTGTTAAAGCAAAATAAATCCAACTGAGCCTCCATGTATCTCCTACCAGGTCCTGTTTGTGGAAATAAACAGGAGCAGGAGAGCATCCCCTAGCTGAAATGCAGCCTGGCTGTGGGACACCCTGCTGCAGAGGCCGGTGCAACAGTTTGAGCCTGGCATGACCATGGTGCTGCCATCCGCTGTCCCCACGTGCAGGCAGAAAGGATTTGCCTGCATTCATGTGGGATGTGTTCCCATGGAAACTCATAGTCACTGACATCTCAGATCATGGTACCCACAAGGGGGGTCCTGTCTGTGGCCTGTTCATTAAGGTAAGAAGCAGGCATTTTACCTTTCCCTGGTCAAAAGCAACACTGGGTGTATTTTTCCTCTCTCCTTCCTTGTCTTTAGGAAAGGGCTTGAAAGATCCACATTGTCTGGGCGAGATGACTCACACCTGTATTCCCAGCACTTTGAGAGGCAGAAGGATTGCTTGAGGCCAGGAATTTGAGACCAGCCCTGGCCACATAGTGAGACTCTGTCTCTACAAAAAATTAGCTGGGCATGTTGGTGCATATCTGTAGTCCCAGCTACTCAGGAGGCTGAGGCAGGAGGATCGCTTGAGCCCAGGAGTTCAAGAGCCTGGGAAACATAATGACACTCCGTCTCCAAAAATAAAAAATTTAAAAATTAGCCAAATGTGGTGGGGCAAGCCTGTGATCCCAGCTACTCAGGAGGCTGAGTTGAGAGGATCACTTGAGCCCAGGAGTTCGAGGCTGCAGTAAGCTTTGATCATGCCACTGCACTCTAGCCTGGGAGACAGAGAGAAACCCTGTCTCTAAAAAAAAAAAAATCAATCAATAAAATAAAACAGAAAAGTCCATATTGGGCGCTTTTCTATCTGGGATTGCCCTACAACACCCAGTGAAATTTCATCGAGATGCCAAAGATAATGCTGGGGAGTTAAAGGAAATTGTAAAATGGAGTGCAAGACTACCTTCTCTGCGACATTGCAAACTCATCTCCACTGAGTGCTTTTGAACTCTGGGTGATGTTCTTAATTTGATTTCAGATAATTTTGGATACGGTGACAAATGGGTCACTGTATCTAAAATTGAGTCTCCTTATGTGCTTTTATAGCAAAAACAAACAAAGAAACAAATAAATCAAAAGTTAAGAGTAGAAATTATTAGCCTGGCTTTAAAATTAGCAAATTGATTCAATTTTTGTGCCTTGTGATCAAGAAGCCTGGCTTGTTTGTGAATGTGTATCATAGCTTCACAGGTAAGAGGTATACTGTTTTCTTCAAAACTATTAAGAAAAAAAAATGCTCAGCTTAGTTCTATATATTGATTTAGTATCTTAAGATTTTTGAATGTCTTTTATAATCATTATCTTAATCATTCCCAATTCTGTGTTTTAAAGAGAAGGTATTTTCATGTATTGTTATGGGCTGAATTGTGCTCCTCTAAATTCAGATGTTGGAGTCCTAACCCCCAGGACCTCAGTATGTGACTGTATTTGGAGATAGAGCTTTTAAAGAAATGATTAAGGTAAAATAAAGTCATTTGGGCGAGCCCTGATCCAACAGGACTGGTGTCCTTATAAGAAGAGGAGATTAGGACAAAGACAAACACAGAAGGATGACCATTTGAGAACACAGCGAAAGAGGGCATCTCCAAGCCAAGGAGAGAGGTCTCAGGAGGAACCAGCCCTGCCCACACCTGGATCTCGGACTTCCAGCATCCAGGATGGCAAGAGAACAATTTCTGTTAAGTCCCCCAAAGGCAACCCTAGCAAACGAATGCACTGATCTGACATGGTATTTAAAATGTTTCAAAACTTACGAAAGGAATGGAATTTGAAGGGAGTAGTGTAGATGAGAAAGCTCCAAGTAAACCTGTAGTTTTAAGATGGTAAATATAGATCTGATTGACTTAAAGAGAACTCTGTCAATGTAATGGCAGGTTAGACAGAGCAAAGCTATTGATGAATATAAAGGAATAAATTTGCTTATTAATATGTCCTTAATTCCTCATCTCTGCTAATGGCAGAGTTTTCCAAATTGGGTACTATTGATATTTGGGTCAGATAATTCTTTTTTACGGTGGGGGCCACCCTGCTGTGTGGGCTGTTCAGCAGCAGCCCTGGCCTCTACTCACTCTATGCCAGGAGAACCCCCATTTCCCAGCTGTAACAACCCTAAAATACCTCTAGCCATTGCAAAATATTCCTGGGGCTAAAAAATTACCCCTCTTCCCCAGTGGAGAACCACTGGTTTATGGGTACTGTGGGCGACCAGAAAAATGGAATACACGCTGTCGCTTGCAGGTTTTTCTAAATCTGGCCTGCAGATTCCCCGTGGTAGACAGAATAATGCCCAATCCTTTGCCCTGGAAAGACGCTTACGGCCCAGAACCTGTGAATATGTTGCTTTAGACCACAAAAGGGATTTTTGCAGATGTAAGTAAGATTAGAGACCCTGGGATGAGAGTATTTTGAATCATCTAGAGGGCCTGATGTTATCTTAAAGTATTCTTAACATCAGAGAACCTGCCCAACTGAGGTTAGAGAGAAAGAAACAGATATGAGGAAGAAAGCAGGGTCCGAGAGATAAGGCTGCCTGCTTTGAAGACAGATGAAGGGGCCGTCAGACAAGGAATGCAGGTGGCTTGAAAGCAGATTCTCCACTCTAGAAGGAAAACAGCCCTATTGACACCTTGATCTTAGTGCAGCAAGGCTCTTATCAGACTTCTGGCCTGCCAAACTGTGAGATAATAAATTCATGATGTTGGAGGCCATTGGGTTTGTGGTAATTTGTTATAGCAGCAATAGTAGACCAATTATACCACCTCCATCAGAATGCCCTGGAGTGGGCTACAAACACAGATTCTTAGGCTGTGCTCCAACCTAAAGGATCAGAATCTTCTGGAGGTGGAGCCTAAGAATCTGCATTTTAAACCAGCACACAGAACGGGATTGGTGGCCATCTAAAATCTGAGAACCATTGTGTTGTGTGTCTAAGGACAGTTTTCCTGTGTGACTGTTACAAAGTAATCCTCCACCTCTGAAGGCAAAAGATTTCTGAAAAAAAATCTTTCTAAAACTCTAAGCATTTTTCCCCCTGAAATTAGGGGGAAAAAAGGAAGAAAAAGTTTTTGTCCAGCATTATAACCGCATTCAGTTTGTATGCAGTGGATTTGACTATTTTAATGAAAGGAGCTGACATTTCTTTATTCTCTTTGGAAGCATCTGATTCCAAGTTGGGACCAGGGCAGCTGTGTCCCATGGGAGTTCCAGACTCAATATCCCAGGTGTTAGCAAAGCCCTACTATCTAAGGCATAACCCAGTGCCCCCGACAGGTCTCTCCCGGCTCCAAACAAATTCGCATGGGTGTGCCAGCCTCCCCAGCACTCCTGCCATCGTACAGATCTGATGCCAAGATGAGCTTAGGAGATGATGTTTATGAGAGCAATGCCGAGTTTCATGGAGTTGACATGTCAATCTTGAGAAAGAACTAGACAGGCTGTGTACTCCCAGCACCGCTCACCTCACCATTGGTGTGGGTCCCAGACAGGGAGGCATGGTTGACGTCGTGCTCTGGCCCCGGATTTCAATAGGAATCAGGGCTTCTAAGATTCTGCACCTGTCTAGCCAGATGATAAATAATTCCCTTCTTATTTGTGAGGCAGGAAGTACACAGTTATCCAGGATGCTTTGTTAGGCTTCATGGGGAAAAAGAAAGAGAGCTGCTCCGGGTGAGGATCTGACGGAGGTTATTTTAGTGCAGGTGTGGGCTAAAAGAATGGAGAAATGCTACAGGTTTTGTCTGTCTCCCATCTCATCTTCCTGTGTGGGTGTGGCAGGGCTTTCATGCTCAAGAGAAGAAGTTTTTCACACAATTATATCCCCCAAAATAGTAGTATAAAACTGACTACTTCGCCAGAAGAAGGAAGGTTGAACAAGATGTCTCAGAAACTTCAATTTCACAAGAATAAAGACACATCTATTGTTTTACTGAATTATCAACAATGGCATAAGGAATGAGTATTGGTCAGTCAGGAACTGAGAATTTGACTCTAATTCCGTTCTACCCCAGGGGCTGTATATATTTTTAAAAGCTCTTTAAAATGTTCCACTGGAAATTCTTACAGGTTTGGTATCTGTTAAAATTACATAATAATGGAAATATAGGTCAAGGATTTCAACCTTTTGTATTATTGAAAAAAGGGATGAAGCTTACGTGGAGATGCTAAAAAAGCTAAACATAAAATTGCCATACAATCCCGTGATCCTACTTGCAGGTATATACCTCAAAGAATTGAAAACTGGGACTCAGGTACTTGTATGTCAATGTTCATAGCAGCATTATTCACAATAGCCAAAAGGTGGAAATAACTCAAATGTGGGTCAACAGATGAATGGATAAACAAATGTACATGTACATGCAATGACCTCTTATTCAGCCTTAAACGGGAATGTTCTGATATATGGTACATGGATGAACCCTGAGGACATTGTGCTAAGTGAAATATGCCAGACATAAAAGGACAATACGTTATGATTCCACTTTTATGAAGTTCTTAGAGTAGTTGAGTCCATAAAAGCAGAAAGTGGAATCCTGATTGCCAGGGGCTGAGGGGAGGGGACCGGGAGTGATTATACAGTGTGTGCAGTTTTAGCTTAGGATAATGAACAAGTTGTGGGGATGAGTGGTGGTGATGGCTGTGCAACAGTGTGAATGTACTTAATGACACCGAACTGTACACTTAAAAATGGTTACGGTGGCAAGTTTTTACTGTTCCTGATATTTCACCAAAAAACGTCTTAATAAAAAGAGATTGAAGATTGGGGTGATGAAAATGTTATGGAAATATATAGTGCTGATGACTGCACAATTGTGAAAATATGAAGCCACTGAATTGTACAATTAAAATGGCTAAAATGGCATATTTTATATGTATCTTATCATAATAAGAAAAACAGTCTGTTTATCCCTCTCTCAGTGTCTCTGTCTTTAAAAAAATAAAAAATAAATTGAAATTAAAAATTAAACCAAAACCTCATGTGGAGGAAGATGGCCCATGGCTCATGATACAGCGCTATTCTTCAGCACAGGGCCCTTGTCTGAAACCTGGGATTAATTATACAGGCACAGAAGACAGAATCTTCAGCACTGGGCTGGGGATATTGGTGGGACATCATGCATGGCCTGGCCATTTTGGGAAATCCCAGGGCCATGTGGATGATACTGTCAACATCCTGAGGACTCAGAGGTACTCCCCGTCTCTGGCCTGGGGCTGCAGATTATGAAGGTGAGGAGTGAGGCTTTGTCATGACTGCTGCTGGGACTGCCCTGTCCCCAAACATCCCTGCTCAAGCCAAGCTGAGGTCTCCTGGTGCTCCTTCCCTCCGCCATCTGAAGAAGTACAAGCCAAAGGCACAGGAAGCTGTGGATACAACCATTGAGGTCAGACTCCTGGAGCATAGGTAGGGTAAGAAAGGTAGAAAAGGGAGCCAGATGCAATTAGTAATTAATTTAATTAACAAAAGTAATTTATTTTTTATTTTTTAAGAGACAGAGACATAGAGTCTCTGTTTGCCAGATGCAAACAGAAAACGTCCAACACAGACACATAGGGTCGCTTTCCAGTTCTTGCCCCTTCCCAGTAGCCACATGAGCAGAGACGTGAGCCACCCTCAGCATGGCTTCACAACATCCCTGCAGCTGCAGAGCTCAGAGCACCCTGCCCATGTGCTGCTCTCTGCCTGTGCTTCACCGTGGACTCTGGATGGCCCCTTGCTTCAAAATCTCAAGCACTCGCTCACCGCCAGATGCCAACAACTCCTATCCATTGTGCCTGAAGTTGGAAGCATTTCCTGTTCTCTCTTGTCCAGAGCCATCTGCTTGCTTTTCCTCATCTAGCCCTTGTCTCTCATGACGAATGAAGATAGGAGACCCCAGCTTCCCATTGTTCCTTACTCTTTTCCTGCGTCCCAGATTCAGCAAAATAATCTGCAGTGTTCCTGCTTCTCTCTGAGAAGAAAGATTCAAGTGCTGACATGTTTCATCTGCACTTGTCTCACGAAGCTCTGTACTTTTGAGCTTTATCCACCTAAGCGAACCTCTTATTGGAGCTATGACTGGGTTCTGGACACTTCTTACCCTGATCTGGGGCTCCTTCATCAAATGTACCTGAGAGCTTGATGACAGAAACTCTCCACGGGGATAGTTTCTCCTGCTCTGCCAGGAGAGTTAGTATGTGAGGAGGGGGTTCAGTCAAGCACTGGGTATACAGCTATCATATCTCTTTGAATTTTCCCATATCCTTTTATTTATATATTCCAACATCTTGTATACATTTTGCATCTGTCCAGACCAACGGCTTCTTTTCTTAAAGTTAATTCCTTTTTAAATCAATATATAAAAATTACATGTATTTATGGTGTAAAAAGGTGATGTTTGGAAATATGTATGCATTGTGGAATGGCTAAATCGAGTTAATTATTATATGCATCACTTTGCATACTTACCATTCTTTTGTGACGAGAACACAAAATCTGCTCTCTTAGCAATTTTCAAGTATGCAATATATTGTTATGAACTATAGTCACCATGTTGTACAATACATCCCTTGAACTTATGCCTCCTGTCTAACTGACATTTTGTATCCTGGGATCAACATCTCCCCAACCCTCCCTGCCACCAACACTCTTGGTCAACATTCTACTACTCTACTTCCAGGAATTCAACTTCTTTAGATGCCACAACCAACGGCTTCTAGGGTTATTTATCATTCACATTTTTTCCTAAATACCTCTGAGTTTTAATCCTTAAATTATTCCTGAGTTAAATTACACCACTGGCTCCATCACAGAACCACATTAGATAATGCTGTTTTTCGTGTTCCTCCATAATCTTTATTACTGAAATAAATTTGCATCAGTAAATTTTACTAGCACTCTCCTTATCTTAGCCCTAAGATCATGAAAAAATACACCTTCCAGCATTTTGATTCTGTACACCTGGTGGGCATCGTGCTGCTGGAAATTCTGAGTTCTGGTAGAGGAGGTGACTCCGTCCAAATGTTTACATCAAACACCTCGATTACACATGGGCTTAGGACCCAGTCTGTGGATCACATAATATTCTCACTTCCCTTCTACCACTCTCCCTAGGCTTCCAAAATCATTTTCTTTTTTAAGTAAGTTCATCAGGGAAAGGAAAAAAGAAAAAAGAAAATGAAAATAGCATCAGGACTAGGACAAGGGTAAGGTGAGTGATCAATTGCCTGAAGCACAAAATTTAAGGAGGCACCAAAAAACCTCAGTAATCAAGATATGTGACATTGGCATGCAATATTTTAAAAGATGAAGTTGGAAAATGACAGTCCACGTGCCAGCTGGCTGGTCTTGTTTGTTTGCTTGTTTGTTTGTTTGAGACAGAGTCTCGCTCTCTTGCCCAGGCTGGAGTCCAATGGCACGATCTCGGCTCACTGCAACCTCTGCTCCCCAGGTTCAAGTGATTCTCCTCCCTTAGCCTCCTGAGTAGCTGGGATTACAGGCACCCGCCACCATGCCCAGCTAATTTTTGTATTTTTAGTAGAGACAGCGTTTCACCAGGTTGGCCAGGCTGGTCTCGAACTCCTGACTTCAAGTGATCCACCTGCCTCGGCCTCCCAAAGTGCTGAGATTACAGGCATAAGCCACCGCGCCCAGCCCAGCTGCCTGTTTTTGTAAATAACCTTGACCTCACGGCAGAATTAGGGAAAGGTCGGGGGCTGGGTCTGGCTAGTGGAAGTGGATCCTGTCTTTATTTTAAATTCTGGCGCTCTCATTTTATTTTCTATGATATTGCATTGCACTGTAATATTAATTTTCTTGTTGATGGAGTATTCGGCACCCTTTAGACTTTGTGCCAGAGACCAAGCATTCTTCTCACCTAGTCCTAACCTTGCAATCAATGTCACGAGTCAGAACTAAAAAAAAAAAAAAAGGCAGTGAATGACTTTAAAAAGGAAAAATGGACATAGAGCAGCTTTTAAAGGATTTGTGGAATTTGCTTTGACCAGTTATCCACAGGGGGAAACTTGATGGAGGGTGGGGTGATAGGATTAGGAGGAGTATGGTGGGGTGCTTTGGGGGATTATGAAATGCCTGGAAATGGATTGTGGTGATGGCTGCACAATTCTTTGAATGCACTAAGACCCACTGAATTGTACATTTTAAATGGGTGAAATCTTTGGTATGTGAATTATGTCTTAATAAAGATGTTACAAACCCAAAACAAAACAAAGAATAAATGCAAATCACGTCACGTCAGCATTCTTTCAAGGATTGCTCCATGTACTCTGAATACATTCTAAATGCATTAAAAATTAAATGGCAAATATACTCAATATTTATTCTTCCCTGCACACTTACCCCTCTGCCAGCCCTCCACATACCTGATTTACCTGGAAAGCCTGGGTCGGCTAGAGCTTGAGATAGATTTTTACCCTAGATCTGGGACTTTCAGGAGAAGGGGCAGAGAAGCTCAAAGCTCCTCTCCAGCCTCTTCCCTAGGGCTGTTACTAAAAGTGACAGGCAATGGAACTTCCCTAGGGAACATTCAACCTGGAAGGGGCCTCGGTGGTGCACAGTGCCTATTTGCAGATGAAGAAAACACATGTCTGAGAGGCTCAGAGTCACACAGCTGGTTGTGAAAATATGATGGCCAAGCTTACATGGTGCTGCATTTCACTTAGACAAGACTATTCTAGTCTGATTCAAGTCAATAGACAAGACAAGTCTATTCCTTTTGTTAACTCGTCTTCATCTTAGGTTACATCTATAGCAATTCTCTAACACTGCTAAATAAAGTCTTTTTCAGCTGAATTGATTTGAATGGATGACTAACATGCATTTAAATGTCTCATTTTCAGTGCCTTTTAAAATTTGAAAAGAAAAATGTTGTGGTGAAAAACGTGGAAACGTTTGCTCTTTGTAATTTTGAGTATTGATGATAACTGTCTTAGGACCCTAGATATATGTGGGATTGTCAAGGGCACTTCAGAAAATCTTTAGATATTAACATTTTCTTGGGAAATTTGAAGTAAAACAATTATTAATGATTTATTTTAATTATATACTCGCTTTCTCGACTTTGATATTGTAATTACTCTTTTCTTTTAAAGACAGAATTTTGTTTGAGAGGTTTACTTGTTTTGAATTCTTGACTAACTCAAGGCTGAGTTTCAATGAGTATTCCTTTTAATGACGACGTTGCTGATGAGACTAGGTATTTGTGGAGTGCTTTCTATGTGTAGATTGGGGTTGGCCCCTGTGACATTTGTGGCTGGATACTTCTCTGTTGTAGGGAGTTGTTGGGTGCATTGTAGGATGTTTAGCATCATAGCTGGCCTCTCCCCTTGATGTGGGTGCACTGCTCTCCTCAGGTTGTGACAATAGAAAATGTCTGCAGATACTGCCAAGCTCCCCTGGGAATAGAATTGCCCTGGTTGAGGACCGCTTGTGCATCTATGCTGGCCTGAGAGCTTTGATAGCGTCACCTCATTTAGCCTTCATGAGACATATAAAATAAGAAATATCATTGCCTCCACACTTAAAAGTAGGAAATAGTCTTAAAGCGCTTAAAGAGCTTGAGCTCAGCCAGTATGTAGGGGAGCTTCACTGGGTGTGTGCTATCTCTTAATATGAGAAAATAGTAAGTATAATGATTAGAAAATTTAAACCACAGAGAACAGATTGGCCATATTGTATAAAATAAAACATACACTTACCATAAGACAGAGCACTACCATTTCTCTATATTTATTCTAGAGAAATGAAAACTTATGTTCCGACGAAAACCTATACATGAATGTTCAGAACTTTATTTGTGATAGTCAAAAGCTAGAAACAATCCAAAATCCTCTAATGAGTAGATGGACTTAAAAATTGCTACTTTATATAATCATCTATTATTCAGCAATAAAAGGAAACAAACTATTAATATATACAACAGGGCCAGGCACTGTGGCTCACGCCTATAATCCCAGCACTTAGGGAGACTGAGGAGGAAAGATGGCTTGAGCCCTGGAGTTCGAGACCAGTATGGGCAACATAGGGAGACCCTGTCTCTACAAAAAATAAAAAAAATTAGTCAGGCATGGTGGTGCGCACCTGTAGTCCCAGCTACTCAGGAGGCTGGGGTGAGAGAATCACTTGGGCCCAGGAGGTTGGGGCTGCAGTGTGCTAGGATTGCGCTACTGCACTTCAGTCTGGATGGCAAGTGAGACCCTATCTCTTAAAAAATCTATCTATCTATCTATCTATCTATCTATCTATCTATCTATATATAGATAGATATATACACACCCACACACGTATATGCATATGTGTGTGTGTGTGTATATATATATATACATACATATGTGTGTGTGTATATATATATACATATATATATACACACACACACAACTTGGATGAGTCTTAAAGACATATACCTACATGAGCAAGACGCTAGATTCAAAGAATTACATACTGTATGGTTCTGTTTATTTGACATTCTCAAAAACAAACCATTGCAATGAAGAACAGATTGGTGGTTGCCATAGGTTAGGGTTGGGGGATGACTATGATGGCATGAGAGAGTTTTGAGGGGTGATAGAACTGTTCTGTATCCTGGTTATGATGGTGGTTATAAGACTCTTTAGGCCAGGTGTAGTTGCTCACTCCTGTAAGCTTAGGACTTTGGGAGGCTGAGGCAGGAGGATTGCTTGTGGCCAGGAATTCAAGACCAGCCTGGGCAACACAGTGAGACCCTATCTCTACAAAAAATAATACATTAGCCAGGCATGGTGGCATGTGCCCGTAGTCCTAGCTACTTGAGAGGCTGAGGCAGGAGGATTGGTTGAACCTGGGAGGTCAAGGCTGCAGTGAACTGGGATCGCAGCACTGCACGTCAGTCTGGGTGACAGAGCGAGACCCTGTCTCTTGAAAAAAAAAAATACTATATGTGTTAAAATGTATGGAACTGTACACCAAAAGAATAGTCGATTTTATATATGAAAAAATTTGAAGATCTAAAAAATCCATAGAGGAGATTGCCCAGTGGAATTTTGGAAGATAGAAGAGACTGATCTTCAGTCTCAAATGCTTGCTGGGGAGACATCTTGCTTCCGCTCCTGGTACCATCTTGTTTCTGGCCCTGAAAGAGTTTGCACCTTGACCAAAAGCCAAGCATTGTCTGCTCCCTGCCCAACTTTGTAAGAGGCCAAATCTCAGGCGTCAAAAAGTGAGTAGTGGAGATTACTGGTTCATTACAAATAGGATATTGAAAATTACGTAACTAGTACAATTTTAAAACTTCAGTGATCAAAGCAAGTTTCCATCTTTCTTTGTTGAGATTCCTTCAATGAAAGTTGAATCATGTTTACTTTTTCTTCCACCTCATTGTTGGCTTCCATCTTCAAGTGTTTTCAATTAGTCTCTTAATGTCCTTTCTTCCCTCTTCTCCTTCAAGATTTTCTGCCTTAATGAGGAGACAACCTTCTTTTTGCTTTCCTACCCACTAGGACAGCAATCCCATGGTTTGAAGGAGTTGAACAGCCATTTTTGCTGCTGGTAATTCAGAATTCTGTGTTAGAGCCATTCTGCTAATACCCTTGAGAGTTATGTCTTGGACTTCTGTTTTAAAAGCCAGGCTTTTTAAAGGCATGGGATAGCAGAATGCAGCAGTGAACCCTGATGAAGAGAAAGTGCTGGCATATAGATATTGTGAATTTCCTCATCGTGTGGGTGGACCTTGCTGGCAAGCAGGTGTCTAGAATTTTAAGTTAGCTTTTATGACAAATGGAAATTGCTTCTGTCTTTGGTAGCTAATGAAAAATGCAGCTAAACTTAAATTTTATTTAAAGTGACTTTTTCTTAGCTCCCTCAGGCTGTGCACATGCATTTTAGTTTATTTTTCTCATTTCTATAGTTGTATCTGTTTTGAGAAGCATAGATGTATGCTATTCTGTAGCAGGGGTCGGCAAACAACCACCAATGGACCAAATTTGGCCTGCTACATGTTTTTGTAAATACAATTTTATTGGGACGTAGCCACATTCATTCATGTATGTGTAGTCTATGGCTGCTTGTGTGCTACAAGAGCAGCGCAAAATATTTACTATCCAGCCTTTTACACAAAAAGTTTTCTCACCCTTGGTCTATAGTACACTGCAACCTTGACCTCCTGGGCTCAACCAACCCTCCCACCTCAGCCTCCCAAGCACCTAGGACTACAGGTTCATACCACCATGCCTGGTTAATTTTTAATTTTTTTGCAGAGATAGGGTCTTCCTGTGCTTACCAGGTTGGTCTTCAACTCCAGGGCTCAAGCAATCCTCCTGCCTTGGCCTCCCAAAATGCTGGGATTACAGGTATGAGTCAGTGCGCCTGGCCTATATCATTTCAATATGGTCAAAACAATACACTTGACTTGTTTAGTAAAAGAAGATTTAAAAATAATAGTATGATTTTACACCAAATTCTATACCTTGTATACTTTACATCCCCAAATAATCAGTGTCCTCTCTCTCCTTTGTTTCACAGATGTTAATTTTCTTTTAAAATGGCTGTACTCTTTGATATCATACAATTTTTTGCAACTACATAATTTGTAACGACCACTGTAAGGAGGTGAGAGAACACATAAATTCATGTAATCTAAACATGATCTTGAAACATATCTCAGCTCTTTTCAAGCTATTCGCAAATTGGGAAGAAAATCTTACATACAAAAATGAACTACTTTAATTTCATAATTCTCTTCTCATCAGGCTCATATCTGGCACAATGTTTCATTTTTGGGGGGATGAGTCAAATGCTTCTTAGTAGGAAGAAGAAAAATGGAATAAACTAGTGACAGCAGTGATTGGTAAACAGATCAGCATTGTTTAGTATATGAGACTAGAGTTTATTGACATTTGCACAATATTTATGTTTTTGTTCTTGCATTCAAAATATCTTTTTTGTTATTCTTCTGAAAGGCCAGCAGGAGCAGCATTATTTACTTGTTTTATATTTTGATTTTGATTTTTTAGTTGTCTCCATGGTGTGCAGTTATTATAAGTGTTTATGATTTCCTAACATGCTAACAAATAATTCTTTCTCTATAACCTTTATCAGTCAATGTAGTATAGAAAAAGAAACAAAGATTATCCTTGATTTTTTTCCTGATGGCCTTAGAGTCCTGATAAATTGTGGCCCTGCTACCTCGAGGGGCCAATTGCGAGTCACTTTCAAGCCAACACGCAGAGTCTACGTGGAAGCATTTTTCACTTCTGACACTGGATTAGAACAATGTTTTTCCTGTGGTCTTTCTCATGTCAGTTCCTCCCCTCTTTGTTTAAAAATAAAAGACAAAACACATCGACTCAGATTTAAAACACATTGAACACATAAGGTATAGACTTTTAGCATTGAAGATCTTACACCTTTATAACCACAGGCTTAGAGACTAGGGAAATAACACAAATTGAGCACCGATCCCATACAAGACTTGGCAGTAGGTTCCTTACATGTATAAGCTCAGTAATACAATTGTACATGTGTGGTAGATGCATTTTAGAGAAGAGATAAGGGCTCAGAGAAGATGAGTGATTTGTACATTAAACTCTCAAGAATTTCACTAGGGGAAATAAATACTCTTGTGACAGGAAAAAGGGAAAGAGCCAGAGAAGGCCATCAGAGGGTTCTGATCCCACTAGAATCTGACCTGGAATGGAGGAGAAAGAGAAAGTCGAGTGGAAACATTCCAGACTGCCTTGAACTCTCAGGAAGTTTCAGTCAAGCTATTGGGAGTCCTTGAACCAAAGTGTGCAGACGAAGACATCCCAAGTCTCCTAGAATGGGTCTGTGTCAGTGCTGCCACTAAATCTAATCATCAGCGAGAGCTGCTCACAGGAGGCATTACTTCACTGCAAACACAGGGATTCTAAAGCAGGGGTTCTTGGCCCCTCACACTCTCTGCCTTGAGACATGGCCGAGAAGCACCCTCAAGCTGGCATATAACGTTCAAGTGCTTGGCTTCTCCCGAGAGCAAAGCAGAGCCACTGTGAGACGTTAAGCAGTGACACAACCAGATGACTGCTTTACAAAGATCAATCTGTAGCTACATTGAGGGTAGACTGGAAAGAGAAAATCTAGAGGTCATGGGAGTCAGCAGAGTGGTTATTTGCAATGATTCCATGAGGGTATAAAAAGGATCTTCCTTGTATGTGCCGAGGTGAACGATTCCAGAAATACGTCCAAGGAAAATTTGTGTGGCTTGTGATCCACTGGAGGAGAGCAAGGGATGAAGATGGTGGCAAGGGGTGCCTATTGGTGAGGGGCTGGGGAAATGACTCATGTAGTTTTAGGGAGATGATGAGGGAAGAAGCTCCACATGGAGATACCTAGGAAGGTGCCGAAATATAGTTTGGAGTCTAGAGGAGAAGATGGGGCTGGAGATCGAGATGTGGGAGGGAGGAACAAAGATAGGTATGATTGGAACTCATGAGAGCAGATGAAGATGACAGGACTAGGACTCCTGGAGAGCTGTGGTCTTTCAGAGCAAGTGGAGGACAACTCATTGCAAGTTAGCATGGAGTTGTAATTTGGATTTGAATTAGAAGAAAGTGATAGAGTAATAGTTGAATGAACAGAGGTTTTGTAGAGAAAGACTTAAAAAAGCCATGAAAAAGCTAGAGAGGCAAAGATGGATGAGGGCTGCAAAGAATTCATTGCATTTAGCAAGTAGGAAGTCAATGGCATCCCCAACAGAAGCATCAACTTTTAGTTGAGCAGCTGTTACATGTGCTGTAGTTTGAATGTGTGCATCTCACCAAAATTCATAAGTTGGAAACTAAACCCCAAGCTGACAGTATTAAGAGGTGGGCTCTTCAGTATGTGATTAGGTCATGGAGGCACTGCCCTCATGAAGGGATTATGCCCTTATAAGGGCCTTTTCCACCACTGAAGACACAGCAAGAAGGTGCCATCTTGGAACAGAGGGCAGCCCTCACCAGACACTCAATCTGCCAGCGCCTTGATCTTGGACTTCACAGCTTCCAGAGCTGTGAGCAATAGACCTCTGTTTATATAAATTACCCCATCTAAGGTATTTTGCTACAGCAACAGGAATGAAGTATGAAAATGTGCAAAAATGAATTTTGGATAAATAACAATGAGGATGTTTTATTTTTAGTGTTAGTTTTCAAAGATCTTTTTATTTATGTCTATTTATTTGTTAAAACTCCACAAATTCCCTCACAATTCTCCACAAATTATTATTTCCATGTGATAAGCGAGAAAAGAAAGGGACAGGATAGTGACACTGTGGTCAGAGAGTAATTACCAGTGGAACTGTAATCCTCAAAGCCAGGTGCACTCATTCTCCAGCTTTGCAGGAAAGACTGCTGCCAGACATTTGTCACCTGTCCCATATTGATGACTCACCCTTTCTGGGACGCTTGTGCTTCTTCAATATGATCGGAGTTAGAGGTATCAAAAGGTTTTTAATCTGGTCTTATGTTTTGCTTCCCTGTAACATTTAATTAATTTAAAAGGAGCCAATTATGTGCTGTTACACATGGGTTAGCTTCTGCTGTGCATGCACCAAAGATTGTTTTATAGAATTATTTCTCTTTTGCCCTAATTGTCCAAAAGTGAGTGAGTCACTGAACTTTGAGAAGCTTCTATCTCTTGTTACAGCTATTAAATTGACGCCTGTCTCAAATGGAAAAACACATAGTGGAAAATTTTAAGATATGCTGCTTGCATCTGCTCAGCCAGGAAAAACCCACAGTAGCATAACGTGCTCCTTGTCTGTGCAAACCCATTGGATAATGGTGTGTTTCACTAGACATTTGCACACACCCTTACCTGAGTTATGCCTGCTCTTGTCTTTTCCTTGGCACATCAGTATGTGTGTATCTTTTATATTTTCCTGTTGTAAGTATGTCCACTGGGCTCTTTGAAAATTTGGCCTAAGGTACAGTTTGGGTTGTCATATTTGTTTCCCATACCTAAAACATGCAGTTACATCATTTTCTAATTATTATTATGATCATGTGGAGAATTAGTAATGGATGGATACTCAGCCTACTTATTTTGGATCTGGAAATCCAATTTGGATGGAAAGAACAAATCTGTGGAGTCCTAATAAAATAAGTAAGCAACAATGAGGCCCCAGATGGGGAAGAGCAATGAACAATTGTTCTGAAAAATAACCGGCAGGCACAACAACCTTGTTCCCCAGGCATAAGAACAGTAAGAACAGGGTTGCACAGGCACAATGACCTTGTTCTGTGGGCACAATGACCTCGTTCAGCAGACAGCCCCCTCCAGCACAACCTTATGAAACTTCCCTCCAGCCTCTGTCTCTTTGCAGACAGCGCCTTCTCTGCTTTGCTGCCTTGCAACATATTTTCATACTTTTTCTAATAAATCTGACTTTCTTTACCCATCTTGGTAAATTCCTTTACCACCTATGCCACCAGCCACAGATAGTCACTACCCATGACAAAATCTAGTAGTTGAAATCAAATGTGTTACTGGGGGCTTCACATTCAAATAAAAGGCACAACAATATCAGATTTTTTGCAAAGATGACCAGCCTAGTAGAGAAGTAACTTTCTAAGACAGCCATTGTCACCTGCAGAGCTAGGCCAAGGAAAAGTATGACATCAGTTACTTAACTTAGTTTTAGATCCTTCCATTTTCACTTCTGACCTATTCCTTTTTGCTCTTTCTTCAGTAAGTAGCCAATCCTTTCTTGCTATTCCACAACTCTTTCTGGCCCATAAAAAATTCTTATAAGCAAAATGTGCAAACCACAGTGCCTTACCTTTCTCAAAACAATCATCATTTGGAGAGGCCAATGCTCAATGGAAAAAGAAAATTATTTGTATCCATAAAATTTCCAGCTTCTGGTGCAGCAAGAGGGGCATCAATTTCTGTGTAGGGAACCTCAAATCCTGCCATTGAACATAAAAAAAAGATCCTATTCCTTGGAGGTGTTCCTGCTTTTGCTGGGCAAGCCAATAATAGGGATGCAATCAATGCTTTGTGATTCAATGCCTGTTACAGGTCAGTGAAAAAATGAATTCAGAATTGGTGGCTGGCAAGATGGCCAAATAGGAACAGCTCCGGTCTGCAGCTACCAGCAAGATCAACACAGAAAGTGAGTGATTTCTGCATTTCCAACTGAGGTACCCGGCTCATCTCATTGGGACTGGTTAGACAGTGGGCGCAGCCCATGGAGGGTGAGCTGAAGCAGGGTGGGGCATCACCTCACCCAGGAAGCAACAAAGAGTTGGGGAACTCCCTCCCCTAGCCAAGACAAGCCATGAGGGACTGTGCTGTGAGAAACAGTGCATTCTGACCCAGATAGTATGCTTTTCCCATGGTCTTCGCAACCTGTAGACCAGGAGATTCTCTTGGAGGCCTACACCACCAGGGCCCTGGGTTTCAAGCACAAAACTGGGCAGCCATTTGGGCAGACACCGAGCTAGCTGCAGGAGTTTTTTTCATACCTCAGTGGTGCCTGGAACGCCAGTGAGACAGAACTGTTCACTCCCCTGGAAAGGGGGCTGAAGCCAGGGAGCCAAGTGGTCTAGCTCAGTAGATCCCACCCCCATGGAGGCCAGCAAGCAATGATCCACTGGTTTGAAATTCTCACTACCAGTATAGCAGTCTGAAGTAGACCTGGGATGCTCCAGCTTGGTGGGAGGAGGGGCATCTGTCATTACTGAGGCTTGAGTAGGTGGTTTTCCCCTCACAGTGTAAACAAAGCCACTGGGAAGTTCAAACTGGACGGAGCCCACCACAGCTTGGCAAAGCTGCTGTAGCCAGACTGCCTCTCTAGAGTCCTCCTCTCTGGGCAGGGCATCTCTGAAAGAAAGGCAGCAGCCCCTTTCCGGGGCTTATAGATAAAACTCCCATCTCCCTGGGACAGAGCACCTGGTAGAAGGGGTGGCAGTGGACGCAGCTTCAGCAGACTGAAACGTTCCTGCCTGCCAGCTCTGAAGAGAGTAGCAGATCTCCCAGCACAGTGCTTAAGCTCTGCTAAGGGACAGACTGCCTCCTCAAGTGGATCCCTGACCCCCATGCCTCCTGATGGGGAGACACCTCCCAGCAGGTGTCAAAAGACACCTCATACAGGAGAGCTCCAGCTGGCATCTGGCAGGTGCCCCTCTGGGATGAAGTTTGCAGAGGAAGGAACAGGCAGCAATCTTTGCTGTTCTGCAGCCTCCGCTGCAGGATCTGGCAAACAGGATCTGGAGTGGACCTCTAGCAAACTCCAGCAGACCTGCAGAAGAGGGGCCTGACTGTTAGAAGGAAAACTAACAAACAGAAAGGAAGAGCACATCCACTCAGAGACCCCATCCGAAGGTCACCAACATCAAAGACCAAAGGTAGATAAATCCACAAAGATGGGGAGAATCCAGCGCAAAAAAAAAAAAAAAAAAAGACTGAAAATTCCAAAAACCAGAACACCTCCTCTCCTCCAAAGGATCACAACTCACCAGCAAGGGAACAAAATTGGACAGAGAATGAGTTTGATGAATTGACAGAAGTAGGCTTCAGGAGGTGGGTAATAACAAACTCCTCCAAGCTAAAGGAGCATGTTCCAACCCTATGCAAGGAAGCTAAGAACCTTGGAAAAAGGTTAGATGAATTACAAACTAGAATAACCAGTTTAGAGAGGAACATAAATGACTTGATGGAGCTGAAAAGCACAACATAAGAACTTTGTGAAGCATTCACAAGTATTAATAGTCGAATTGATCAAGTGGAAGAAAGGATATCAGAGATTGAAGATCAACTTAATGAAATAAAGTGAGAAGACAAGATTAGAGAAAAAAAAATAAAAAGTCAAGACCCATTGGTGTGCTGTATTCAGGAGACCCATCTCACGTGCAAAGAAACACATAGGCTCGAAATAAAGGGATGGAGGAATATTTATCAAGCAAATGGAAAGCAAAAAACAGCAGGGTTTGCAATCTGAGTCTCTGATAAAAACAGACTTTAAACCAACAAAGATCAAAAAGGACAAAGAAGTGCATTATGTAATGGTAAAGGGATCAATGCAACAAGAAGAGCTAACTATCCTAAATATACATGCACTCAATACAGGAGCAGCCAGATTCATAAAGCAAGTTCTTAGAGACCTACAAAGAGACTTAGATTCCCACACAATAGTGGGAGACTTTAACACCCCACTGTCAATATTAGACAGATCAATGGACAGAAAATGAATGAGGATATTAAGGACTTGAACTCAGCTCTGGACCAAGCAAACCTAACAGACATCTACAGAACTCTCCACCCCAAATCAACAGAATATGCATTCTTCTCAGCACCACATCGCACTTATTCTAAAACTGACCACATAATTGGAAGTAAAACACCTCAGCAAATGCAAAAGAACCGAAATCATAACAGTTTCTCAAACCACAGGACGATCAAATTAGAACTCAGGATTAAGAAACTCACTCAAAACCACACGGCTACATGGAAACTGAACAATATGCTCCTGAACGACTACTGGGTAAATAATGAAATTAAGGCAAAATTAAATAAGTTCTTTGAAACCAATGAGAACAAAGACACAATGTACCAGAATCTCTGGGACACAGCTAATGCAGTGTTGAGAGGGAAATTTATAGCACTAAATGCCCACAGGAGAAAGCGGAAAAGATCTAAAATTGACACCCTAACATCACAATTAAGAACTGGAGAAGCAAGAACAAACAAATTCAAAACCTAGCAGAAGACAAGAAATAACTAAGATCAGAGTAGAACTGAAGGGTATAGAGACACGAGAAACCCTTCAAAAAATAAATGAATCTGGGAGCTGGTTTTTTGAAAAGATAAACAAAATAGATAGACTGCTAGCCAGAATAATAAAGGAGAAAAGAGAGAAGAATAAAACAGACACAATAAAAAATGATAAAGGGGCTATCACCACTGATCCCACAGAAATACAAACTACCATAAGAGAATACTATAAACTCCTCTATGCAAATAAACTAGAAAATCTAGAAGAAACGGATAAATTCCTGGACACATACACCCTGCCAAGTCTCAGCCAGGAAGAATTTGAATCCCTGAATAAGCCAATAACAAGTTCTGAAATTGAGGCAGTAATTAATAGCCTACCAACCAAAAAAAGCCCAGGACCAGATGGATTCACAGCCGAATTCTACCAGAGGTATAAAGAGGAGCTGGTACCATTCCTTCTGAAACTATTTCAAACAATAGAAAAAGAGGGACCCCTCCCTAATTCATTTTATGAGGCCAGCATCATCCTGATAACAAAACCTGGTAGAGACACAACAAAAAAAGAAAATTTCAGGCCAATATCCCTGATGAACATTGATGCGAAAATCCTCAATTAAATACTGGCAAACGGAATCCAGCAGCACATCAAAAAGCTTATCCACCATGATCAAGTCAGCTTCATCCCTAGGATGCAAGGCTGATTCAACATATGCAAATCAATAAATGTAATCCATCACATAAACAGAACCAATGACAAAAACCACATGATTATTTCAATAGATGCAGAAAAGGCCTTCGATAAAATTCAACACCCCTTTATGCTAAAAACTCTTAATAAACTAGGTATTGATGGAATGTATCTCAAAATAATAAGAGCTATTTATGACAAACCCACAGCCAATATCATACTGAATGGGCGAAAATGGAAGCATTCCCTTTGAAAACCAGCACAAGACAAGAATGCCCTCTCTCACCACTCCTATTAAACTTAGTATTGGAAATTCTGGCCAGGGCAATCAGGCAAAAGAAAGAAATAAAGGGTATTCAAATAGGAAGAGAGGAAGTCAAATTGTTTCTGCAGATGACATGATTGTATATTTAGAAAACACCATCGTCTCAGCCCAAAATCTCCTTAAGCTGATAAGCAAATTCAGCAAAGTCTCAGGATACAAAATCCATGTGCAAAAATCACAAGCATTCCTATACACCAATAATAGACAAACAGGGAGCCAAATCATGAGTGAAATCCTATTCACAATTCCTACAATGAGAATAAAATACCTAGGGATACAACTTAAATGGGATGTGAAGGACCTCTTCAAGGGGAACTACAAACCACTGCTCAAGGAAATAAGAGAGGACACAAACAAATGGAAAAACATTCCGTGCTCATGGATAGGAAGAATCAATATCATGAAAATGGCCATATTGCCCAAAGTAATTGATAGATTCAACACTATCCTCATCAAGCTACCATTGACTTTCTTCACAGAATTAGAAAAAACTACTTTAAATTTCATATGGAACCAAAAAAGAGCCTGTATAGCTAAGACAATCCTAAGCAAAAAGAGCAAAGCTGGAGGTATCAAGCTACCTGACTTCAAACTATACTACAAGGCTACGGCAATCAAAACAGCGTGATACTGGTACCAAAACAGATATATAGACCAATGGAACAAAACAGAGGCCTCAGAAATAATGCCAAACATCTACAGCCATCAGATCTTTGACAAACGTGACAAAAACAAGCAATGGGGAAAGGATTCCCTATTTAATAAATGGTGTTGGGAAAACTGGCTAGCCACATGCAGAAAACTGAAACTGGACCCCTTCTTCGCACCTTACACAAAAATTAACTCAAGATGTTTTAATGGCTTAAACATAAGACCTAAAACCATAAAAACCCTAGAAGAAAACCTAGGCATTACCATTCAGGACATAGGCATGGGCAAAGACTTCAATACTAAAACACCAAAAGCAATGGCAGCAAAAGCCAAAATTGATAAAATGCGATCTAATTACACTAAAGAGCTTCTGCACAGCAAAAGAAACTATCATGAGAGTGAACAGGCAACCTAGAGAATGGGAGAAAATTTTTGCAATCTACCCATCTGACAAAGGGGTAATATCCAGAATCTACAAGAAACTTAAACAAATTTACAAGAAAAAACAAACAACCCCATCAAAAATGGGCAAAGGATATGAACAGACACTATTCAAAAAAAGACATTTATGTGGCAAACAAACATATGAAAAAAAAGCTCGTCATCACCAGTCATTAGAGAAATGCAAATCAAAACCACAACGAGGTACCATCTCTAGCTAGTTAGAATGGTGATCATTAAAAAGTCAGGAAACAACAGATGCTGGAGAGGATGTGGAGAAATAGGAATGCTTTTACACTGTTGGTGGGAGTGTAAATTAGTTCAACCATTGTGGAAGACAGTCTGGTGATTCCTCAAAGTCTAGAACCAGAAATACCATTTGATCCAGCAATCCCATTACTGGATATATACCCAAAGGATTATAAATCGTTCTACTATAAGGACGCAAGCACACATATGTTTATTGCAGCACTATTTGCAACAGCAAAGACTTGGAACTAACCCAAATGCCCATCAATGATAGACTGGATAAAGAAAATGTGGCACAGATATGCCACAGAATATTATGCAGCCATAAAAAAGGATGGGTTCATATCCTTTGCAGGGACATGGATGAAGCTGGAAACAATCATTCTCAGCAAACTACACAGGAACAGAAAGCCAAACACCGCATGTTGTCACTCGTAAGTAGGAGGTGAACAGTGAGAACACATGGACACAGGGAGGGGAACATCACACACTGGGGCCTGTAGGGGGGTTGGGGGTTAGGGGAGGGATAGCATTAGGAGAAATACCTAATGTAGATGATGGGTTGGTGGGTGCAGCAAACCACCATGGCACGTGTATACCTATGTGACAAACCTGCATGTTTTGCACATGTATCCCAGAACTTAAAGTATAAGAATTAAAAAAAAAATTTTCAACACCCCCACCAAAAATATATGTATATATACAGCATTAAGAACTGCCATTACTTAGAACTAGTTATCATTTGGACAGAAAACAGAAAAACTTCTAAATAGTATGTCCATTTTCTAAAGATAATAATTCAAAAGACTTCCTTGTAGGGCTCAACAGCCCAAATAGTTTAAAAATTACATTGTAATTAAAAACCATATGAATCAGAACTAAAAAAAAGTGAATTTAGAATCACAAAGAAGATTCATTCTCTGCTCTTAAATGGAATTGGAGAAATGGAATTTCAATACAAAAAACAAATACATAGCAAAAGAGAAGTTTATAAATATCATTAGAAGGCCATGTAAAGAATCCTGGGATTCAGGGTATCAGAAAAGCTTGCATGGAGGTCGTGGCTTTAGAGATGGAATTATGGGAGGAGTAAACTCTCAACATGTAGAAATTGTTATGTTCTAGGCCACAGAACAGCACATAGACCTCTGCACAAAGACAAAGACTCGAAGTGCAAATTTGATAGTAGAGATAACAAACATTTAGGGGAGACATTAAAGAGGATGGGAGGAACCAGAGGTAGGGAGACCCCAACTTTACATGATATCATGGACAGAGCCTTGAGCAGGAGAGAAAGCATTCATACATGACTGTGTCCTACAACTTTCCCAGCCTCCTAACTGTGGCCAGACCCAGAAACTCAACTGCAAACTGCTCCATTTCCTAACAAGGCAGTAATCTCATTATGTTAAGGGATTACACAAGGGTTGTATTGTCAACAGGGGCACAGGGAATAGCACATTGACTATGAATTAGTTAACATCAGTGGCATTGGAAGAGAAAAAAGCAATTGACCATGTTCAATACTCATTGCTGTAAAACCCACTCATTGGAAATTTTTAATGCAATCTCTGGCTGGCCTGGGACTTACCTTTCTCCTGCTGATGAGGATGTATATACTCAGCAAATTAATTGTGTTAGCACAGCTCAGCCTTCTCAAGCATCTTAAGCCAGGGTGGCAGAGCTAATATTTGCAGACAAACATTAAGTGGCTTCCAAAGGATTTTGTCTATTAATGAAAATAGGTGCCATTTGGTAATGGCATCTCAACCATTTTTGCTATTATTTTTGTTGAGAGTGACCAGATAGCCAAAAAAGGAAAACTGAACAGGTGAGGCTGTAAATTCCCTGGACTGATGGCATTCACATGTGCACAGAGGATGCTTACAGCATATCCTTCCGAGTAGATAATGACATGCTAGGTTTCAGGGAGAAGCCATAGATTTCAGTCATTTTTCTGAATGCTTCACAGACCCAAGGCTGTAGAAACCTTTGGGCTGCTGTTGCTTCCTCATGGGGTTGCTGCCGAGACCTGGCACCAGTGCACCTGATGCGCTTTTGCTGGTTAACGCAGGTGACCTTTCCTCAGTGTCTCTGCAGGAAGACGGATCACTGTCTGGGCTCAGGGAAGAGGTTCCAATCCACAGTTTTAGGTCTCCAACTTATAGCCTTTTACCTCATCCCCACTTGCCCAATCATTGTCCCCAAGGTGGCTGCTCAGGGGAACCCCTGTGCTTGGCCACTGGCTTTGTCAAATCCAGCTCTTCCCTATCACTCTTTACGTCCTATAATGAGTACAGAACACCAGCCTGGATGAACCGTCCCCTCAAAGGGGCTCTTGGTGTTGTCATCTGCCAACAAGCCATCCTCATTTGATGGGAGGTTCCAAATGCGTTTCACTTAGAAAAGGACTTTTTGTGGTTACCTTTCTGATATTTGGGGCTATTAATAATTTCTGTGTAAATTGGCCAATGGCTCTGATACCAGGGGTAAGTGGAAGGGCTGGTGTTTGTCAAAGGCCTGAGTGGGGGAAGAGAGAAGTTCTGTATCTCCTTCTCCAGGGCCCTGGGTTCAGTTTGCTAAGTTAGAAGGGGTGACTCGGCCAGGCGCGGTGGCTAACGTCTGTAGTCCCAGCACTTTGGGAGGCCAAGGCAGGCAGGCAGATCTCGAGGTCAAGAGATGGAGACCATCCTGGCCAACATAGTGAAACCCTGTCTCTACTAAAAATACAAAAATTGGCAGGGTGCGGTGGCTCACGTCTGTAATCCCAGCAGTTTTGGAGGCCGAGGCGGGTGGATCATGAGGTCAGGAGTTCGAGACTAACCTGGCCAACATGGTGAAACACCGTCTCCACCAAAGATACAAAAAATTAGCTGGGTGTGGTGGTGCTCACCTGTAATCTCAGCTACTCGGGAGGCTGAGGCAGGAGAATCGCTTGAACTTGGGAGGCAGAGGTTGCAGTGAGCTGAGATTGCACCATTGCACTCCAGCCTGGGCAACAAGGCGAGACTCTGTCTCAAAAAAAAAAAAAAAAAAAAAAGAAAGGAAAGAAAAGAAAATTAGCTGAGCGTGGTGGCATGCTCCTGTAGTCCCAGCTGCTCAGGAGACTGAGTCAGGAGAATCACTTGAACCTGGGAGGCGGAGATTGCAGTGCGCCCAGATCGCACCACTGCACTCTGGCCTTGTGACAGAGTGAGACTCCTTCTAAAAAACAGAAACAAAACAAAACAAAAAAACAGAAGGGGTGACTCAAGTTGGACATGGTAGAACACAGGTTTGCAATTTCTGTGTAGGAGAAATTACAATTAGAGAAAGTGTTACTTAACATGGCATTAAAGCTTTTTAGCATTTTCTTATCAGCCAATCCCCTAATCTCCCTTCTCTGTTGATGTTACCATTGTTTCAGTTAGCCTTTTCTCTTTTACATTAAAAACATGTAATAAGATATTTGACCTGGTTCCATATTTTTGCAATTGCAAAGTGTGCTGCTATAAACATCCATGTGCAAGTATCTTTTTCTTTCTTCTTTTTTTTTTTGAGATGGAGTCTCGCTCTGTTGCCGCAAGTATCTTTTTCATATAATGACTTCTTTTCCTCTGGGTAGATAACTAGTAGTGGGATTGCTGGGCCCAAATGCCCATCAATCAACAAGTGGATAAAGAAAATGTGGTGTACATATATACCATGGAATACTACTCAGCCATAAAAAGGAATGAAATAATGACATTTGCAGCAACCTGGATGGAATGAGAGGCTATTACTCTAAGTGAAGTAACCCAGAAATGGAAAACCAAACATTGCACGTTTTCTCTCATAAGTGGGAGCTATGAGAACGCAAAGGCATAAGAGTGACACATTGGACTTTGGGGACTCGGGGTAAATGGTGGGGTGGTGGCAAGGGATTAAAGGCTACACATCGGGTACAGTGTACACTAGTGAGTGATGGGTGCACCCAAATCTCAGAAATCACCACTAAAGAACTTCTTCATGTAACCAAACATCACCTGCTCCCTAAAAACCTATTGAAATTAAAAATAAAATAAAATAAAGATATTTGAAAGCAACTTCTTTTACCTCTACTGCTTAGGGCTTAGAACATTTATACTCACTTTAACACAAATTCATAGTCTTGTGAATTATTTGATAAATTATTGAAAATTTAAGAGAGAAAAGTATCTCTTGCAATTTATTTTGAGAATTTATTGTTTTCCTTGAGATGTACAGATGTGTATATCACCACGACTTTATACTGCACACATCTGAAAAACTAAACATCAATACGTTTGAATCAGAGGAAGAAGAAATGTTTGCTTGGAGTTGATTCCCTGTTTCTTCATTTCTTATTCCACACATCTAATCAGATGCTGGTTATGTAAGCTCTGTCTTGCATGGCGTCCCTCCTCCCTAATGCTTTTTGAAGTGATGGGTGGGTTTTGAAGAGTTTTTCAGTGGTTAATTTGTGAAGACGTGAGAGAGTGGGGTATCTTTCTTCCAGGACTCCTCTCAATTTTTGTATAATGGCCTCCTCATGCGACTGACCTGAGAGCGGTGACCATGCCCCCTGGAGGTCCTGCTTCCTACAACGGCAGTTGGAGGATGCTGGTGCCTGAATGCTGTCATCGGTTCAAAACTTTCTTCAATCGCAGCAGACTACTCATTCCTCCCAGATCTACTGACTTTCTGATTTGAGCAAGTAGGAGAAAAGTTTTCAAATAGTGCTTATATTTTAAATTTGCTTTCCTATAATCGTGTTCAAATGTCTAGTGAGATGAAGTGATGTTTTTCTTAAATGCTGGTAACATTTATAATTTGTTTCAGAGCCAAGTAAGATTCAAAAAGGCTGAGACTTTTCTTTTTTTAAAGCTGGAATTCTCCCTGGATTTGTGCCACTCTCTGTAGAAAAGGAAAGGAGAAAATAAATCACTAACATTAGACCTCTGACGGCTGGCACAGAAGGCTGTGTGGAGTCTCCGCCACCAGGGAGAGCGCTGCGGGGTCTGCAGCGGGAGACAACAGTTGTTGCTCTATATACAGACTTTACATGCAGCCAAAAAAAATTTAAATAAATAAAAGAAAGAGGGAGAGAGAGAGAGGGAGACAGCAGTGGCGGGAGGAGAGAGAGAGGGAGAAAGGAAGAAAGAAAAGAAGGAGGAATGTTTCAGTCAATCAAATGTTTATTGTGAAACATACTATGGAGCTACAAAGTCTCACAGGTATAGTTTTGTATGTAGGTGATAAATGCCCAGGGAGTAGCAAGGCTATTCCGAATGAACAGAAGCCAGTAAACCATTCAACAAATATTTAGTGGGGTTTAATGATGTGCTAAGCACAGTCTGGGCATGGCCAACACTCATATATCCATAAGAGAGACAAAGTTACAGTCCTTAAAAGATTTGCGTTTCGTTATGGGAGACCCTGATCATAAACAAGAAATGATGACACAATACCCTAATGGAGCGTACCACTTGGGTAAATCCCAGGGGTTATAGGAGCAAGTAGAAGAGAAATTAACCCAGTTAAGGGTGATGGAGGGAGGAGGAGGGAGGAGTCTGAGAAAGACAAAGGAGAAGAAATGTCTAATCTGAGATCCCAAAGGGAGGCCCAACTGAAACAGGGAGAGGGGCGTTTCATAGAGAGGAGACAGTACATGGGAAGCCACCAAGTCTAAAGGAAACATGGCACCTTCTGAGAGGCTGATAGTGCTTTGACATGGCTGTAGCCTTGCTTAGAATCAATTTTCCATCTAAAATCTCTCTGTTCTCACTCTTACAACAATGAAAAGCCATTGAGCAGTATCAGCTGGGCATAGATAACATCGAGTTTGCATTTTCAAAGATCCTCCTGGTCAAAATGTGGAGTTAGGAGTGTGGATGATGTCCAAGACATTTGCAGTTTTCCAAGTGTAACAAGATGCAAGCTTGCCAGAGAAAAGGTGAGTGTGGTTGTTATAGCAACCCTAGGGAGCTAATATAGATAGACTTTGGAAATTTCTGATGTAGTTGCCATTTACTGAGAAGGAATGGTTACTGATGTCTTGGGGACACTGTTTTTTTTTCTTATTTATCAATTTATTTATGGTTCTACATCCTTCCCTATTGGGCTTAGATTATATGTTCCATCTCTTCAAATATTTTATCAATATTTTTCACATTTGTTCTTCTGTCCAACCTGCTTGGCAACAGTACTTCAGTCCTGGATGCCCCCATTTAATACAAGCCTGTGTCTTGGGGAGAGGAGCCTTCTGTAGAATGTTATAAAATCATGCATTTGGATTCCATTATAGATTATTGATTTCCACTCTCTGGAGGGCATGCAGAGTTCCATATACACCGTTCCTGTTTCCATGATCACTTTCTCCTAATCTCTATGGGCTTCTGCCTTCTTCCTGTTTCTCATATCTCTCCCCTCTCCCTACCTGGCCCACCATCCAATTTCTACCAGTTTGAAGCAGGTCATCCCACAATCTTCAAAATGGAAGGAAATGCAATCAACTTCCTGCTGCAAAACTATAGATATAAGGATCTACACCTGTTGTTTCCTTCCTATCATACCTTCTAACAGAATAAATTCTTCCACCCACCAGCTCCCTTTCACTTGCAAGACTAACCCTGACCTCGACGCACTGGACTTCATTTCCTCTTCCTTGTCTTCTGTGGATTCATGCTTAAGTGATTTCTCCAACTTCTCCTGTACTTTCTGCTTTTTCTAATCTACTTGCTCCTTTGAAACGAGGTCAAGTTTTCCCTCTCTTTAAAAACAAACCTAGCTGGGCATGGTGGCTCATGCCTGTGGTTCCAGCTACTTGGGAAGCTGAGGTGGGAGGACTGCTTGAGTCCAGGAGTTCGAGGCTGCAGTGACTTATGATTACACTACTGCACTCCAGCCTGGCTGTCAGTGAGAGGCCTTGTCTCTAAAAACTAAAAACAAACAAACAAAAAATCCCACCATCACCACCACCAAAAACCAAACCAGCAAAAATCCATTTGTTGATGCCACGTCGCCTTCCAGCTCCTACGTAATCTCTCTTCTTGCTTATGCAGCCAAAATTCCTGAAAATTTTGGAATGTTTTTGAGCACACGGGACTTCACCTTATACATGGAGATGATGGAAAGTGAAAAATTGAAGATGACACCTGGAATAGGGTCTCAGGCAATCAGGTGAATAGTAGTGCTGTTCCTTCATTCTGGGGGGACCAGGGAGGGGAGCCGGTTTGGAGGCTCTTAGAATCAAGGGTCTGTTTGTTCATTTCAAGTTTGAGCTTTGTAGGCATCCAGAGAAAATAAGAGATGTCTGATGATTAGGCGAGAACTTGAGGCTGAGGACATATCATCATACTACACAGTTGACCCTTGAACAATAAGAATTGGAACTGTGTGAGTCCACTTATACGTGGATTTTCTTCTGCCTCTGCGACTCCTGAGACAGCAAAACCAACCCTTCCTCTTCCTCTTCAGCCTACTCAACATGAAGACAAGGAGGATGAAGAGTTTTGTGATAATCCACTTCCACTTAATGAATAGTAAGTATGTCTTTTCTTCCTTATGATTTTTTCTTTATGACATTTTCTTTTCTCTAGCTTACTTTGTTATAAGAACACAACATATATAATATGTAAAACATACAAAATGTGTGTTAATTGGCTGTTTTTGTTATTGGTAAGGCTTCCACTCAACAGTAGGCTATCAGTAGTCAAGTTTTGGGGGAGTCAAGTTATATTTGGATTTTTCGACTACCCAAGGAGTCGGTGTTCCTAACCCTTGTGTTATTCAAGGGTTAACTGTTTATTGTATATAAAGTTGTGGATAATGGAGGAGGTCACTTAAGAAGTGAATATATATGAAAAAGAATATCTCCAAGGACTCTGAGGTGCCTTGCTGTTATATTTCTGTGACAATTAACATCTGCATTGCCAACTTTGCCTCCATGTATAAAGACATTTTGCTATTATTTTTTCCTCATATTTTCCTTATATTGCTTGCAAAACATTAAAAAATCTAGTGTGTGGTTTCTTGGTTATTACGTGGCTAAGTTAGACAAGGACTCTTGCATTATTGAGTGCTTTAATTTCGATTCTCACTTCCAGCAGTTGGAGTCCATCTTCAAGAAATGTTTACAAAGAGCTTCTTCTGGATGGTGTTTGAATGCACACATGCATGAGAACAAGTTTATTTTGCCACTACATTTGAATGAAACCTTGATTATAAAATTCAAGGTTTATAATATTAACATTTTTTCCCTCCAAAATTTGAATATGTTTACTCTTTATCCTTGGGAATTTACTTTTTGGTGGAAAAGTCTGTAATTAGCTTGGTATTTATTTCTTAGTACACAAACGCATGTATTTGCTTGGATGCCAGTAGATATTTTTTATTCCTATAATTCAGACATGTTGTTAGCACTCCCGCACTTCCTTAATTTTATCTCGACAATGACAGGCTTTTTGACCTCTGAATTCAAGTTGTACATTCTAGTTTGCCATTCATCAATCAGTCTCCAGTTAATGACTGCATTTGCTCCAATTATTCTTGCCCTTGACTTGACTCTGGTGAAGGAAGCGTTTGTAATTCTCATGTTGGGACTCTGTCCTCTTACTCATATTCACCCATTGAGGTTTACCCCCTGTTCTTTGCTTCACATCATGGGAGAGAACCATTTTTCTTCATGTCACCAACTTGATCTTCCACAGTGTCAATTTCTCAGGAAAATGGAACTATCTGACTTCCTCCACTGAGGGCTGGAAATTCTACCCTTGAAATTCTATCAAGCCAGAGATTTTCCTTATTTTTCTCCAGTTCTTTCTTTATATCCATGCCAGCTCTGTGTAGTTCATCACATCATCTTTTAATATCAACTCACATGGCAGATTGCTTTTGTTGAAACTATGATTTTATTATTATAAAAGTTCTTCTGTAGAAAACTTTTTAAAGAATGTTCTTTGAATACATTGGTACAACATTCAAACAAACAGAATAATTCTTTTTTAAAAGTGATTTAAAAAGAAATATAAAAATATAAAAGAGGAACTGTGAGATTTGGGGGCCAGAGTGAGACACTATCACATTACTTTAATAGGAGTTTCATAAAAGATAAGTGGCTAGAGAATGGATGGAGTTGTAAATAAACAACATTTGAAAAGATCATGGCCAATGTATTTTTTCAGAAAAATAATATTCAACATGATTCAGAATTGAAATCTTTGTATCAAAAGTACACTCTATGATTTGAAAAGATAAATATAAATCCACTCCATGGCGTATAATAGTTGGCTGCAAACCATTGAGAATGAAGATAAATTCTTAAGATACCACAGAGAAACACTGGATTACCTACCGGGGGATGACAATTCAACTAATGGTGGGCTTCTCATTTATAGCAATCCAGGTTAGAAGGAAAGCAATTGCCAACCTAACATGCAACAGATAACATAAAATAAGGACATTTTTTCAGACACAGAGTTCATATAAACAGACTATAAAACTACTACTTAAATAAATATTCAAAGGTGTTCTTCATCAAGAAGATAAGGGACAAGGAAAGAGAGAAGAGTTGAGTGGAATTCAAGAAACATTAGTGTACACAGAAGGGGATGAAATAATACCAATCAATTTATCTAAATAGTGAACGTAACAATAGCATTTTTGTATTAAAAATTTTAAATAAAAAAATTTAGGCAACAATAACAAGACAGGAATGCAGTGTTTTTATCAAGAATACAATTTCCAGATAACTTCAGATTTTATTAGGCAAATTAATATTAGTATATATAACAATTAAAGTAACCATTACAAGTATAGAAACATGATACATAGCCAAAATCCAGAGGAAATGAAAAAAATTTAAAAATTACAAATAAAGAGAGAAAAAAATAAAAGGAAGAAAAACAATGGTAATATAGACCACACAAAATAAAATGGTGAAAAAAGTCCCAATATATTAGTAACTACCATCAGTGTGAATGGATTTAGCTACTAAAAATCCACATAAAATGACACAGCTAAAAGAAAGTCAAGCAGAATACTAATAAAAAGAGAGGTTAGTAATACTAATATCCCACAATATAGAATTTAATGCACAAATTATTTTTAGTAAAACAAAGGGTATCTAATATACACAAAACGGCAAGTTTACCAAGAAAATAAAACAATATGAAATTGTACACACCTTGAACTCCAGAAAGGAAAATGAACAGAATTACTAAGAGAAATGGACACGTTCATCATCAGTTTCAAGATTTTAACATCCTTTAATCAGAAATCAGTAGATCAAGATAATAGAGTATTAGAAAGTAGACAGAAGACTTAAGCAATGATATTATGAAGAGTGATACATTATGCATACATAAATTTATACCCCTGATATAGAGAATGATCACAAGGCAATAAACTGGAAACAAACAATAAAAAAAAACTTAATAAAACCCCATGTGTCTGGGAATTTAAAAATGTACTCCTCAACAGCTCATGGGTTATAGGAGAAATAACAATGGCAATTAAAAAATGCTTAGAACCGTAACAACACTAATGGTACTCTAAATCAATTGCAGGCTACCAGTATCTGGGGAAAAAAAACCCTGAAAAATCAATGCTTTTTATTATGCACCCATCCATTCCCTAAGAAATCAAGACCATATCCATTTACACAACCCTGCTACAAAGGGTTTGTTGGAAGCATTTTTACTTGATGGCAGCTATTTGATATTATTGATTCTAATCAAAGTTCTCATTTTGTCAACAAAAGTGTGAATCACTGTTTATCCAAACTTGGAACAAAGGGAATATTTGTGCAGATCATTTTACAAAAAGTGAGTACTGAAATTATAATATCATTTGGAAGCTGTTGTAACCAGCTCCTTGGCAGGGAAAACCGCACCTTCCAGACCCCAGCAAGAGAAAAACCATGGCTTTATGACAAGGTTCATCCTTTAAGGGATATGGGGAAAATCCCCAAGATAGCCCAGCTAGGATAGGAGACTATTCCAAATACCACTTGATAATGTAGCAATGGCAAACATGGCAGTAACTTTACTATGTGTTTGTTTATTCATGGGCTATAACAGAGATACAAAAAGCTTTTTTGTAAAGGGCCAGGTAGCAAATGTTTTAGGCGTTATGAGTCAGATGGTCTCAATTCATGAACTAATGGGCATGGTTGTGTTCCAATAAAACTTTATTTACAAAACAAGTGGTGGGGCAGATTTAGCTCAAGGTTAGTAGTCCTGTGCTGACCCCTTGATCTAAAACAAAAGGCAAGAATGGAAAACCTAAATTGGGAAGCAACTGTTTTATCTTGACTCATTTTTGTGTTATCTAAAGATTGCAAAAGCTTTGCATTCTTGCATACTTATTTTCATTATAAAATATACTTTGTGAAAATACGGTCCAGTATCCATGCAGGATTGGTTCCAGGACCTCTTGTGGATACCAAAGTCTGTGGATGCTTAAGTTCCTGAAATAAAATGGTGTAGTATTCCCATATAATTTATGCACATCCTCCTGTATACTTTAAATCATCTCTAGACTACTTAGAATACCTAACACAATGCAAATGCCATGTACATAATTGTTATACTGCATTGTTTAGGGAATAATAACAAGGAAAAAAGAGGCTGTACATGTTCAGTACAGAAGCAATTTTTTCTGAATATTTTTGATCCATGGTTGATTGAATCCTTGGATGTAGAATCTGCTCATATGGAGGGCTGACTGTACATTACATTTATCTGCATAAAATCTTAAGACATTCAGGTTACTCTTGAGTTTATTATGAGATTATTTTTGTGCTGTATCATATTTGTATTTTTCCTGCTCAGCAGTGCTTATGATATAGTAGAATTCATAAAAAATTTGCATTCAGTTACTATTCTTAGATTTTGATAATGAATTGGCCATTTGATCTCGATAAGATAAAAATGATTATGTATCAAACCACCAAAATATACAATAAACAGATATGGAGGTAAATAAAAACAGTCATTTTTTAATTTTAGACATTTGAATATACACAAACCTAGTGTATTAGTCAGGGTTCTCTAGAGGGACAGAACTAATAGGAGATATATATATATATGTGTGTGTGTGTGTGTGTGTATATATATTATATATATGTATATATATATTTTATATGTATATATATATTTTATATATATATATTATATATATGAATGTATTAAGTTTAACTCACATGATCACAAGGTCCCACAATAGGCCATCTGCAAGCTGAGGAGCAAGGAGAGCCAGTCCAAGTCCCAAAACTGAAAAGCTTGGGGTCCGATGTTCCAGGACAGGAAGCATCCAGCGCAGGGTAGGCTGGGGAGGCTAGGCTAGTCTAGTCTTTTCACGTTTTTCTGCCTGCTTTATATTCTAGCCGTGCTGACAGCTGATTAGATTATGCCCACCAAATTAATGGTGGGTCTGCTTTCCCCAGCCCACTGACTCAAATGTTAATCTCCTTTGGCAACACTCTCACAGACACACCCGGGATCAATACTTTGCATCTTTCAATCCAGTCCAGTTGACATTTAGTTTCAACCAACGCACCTAGTTTTAAGAAAGTAAATTTAATCCTATTTTTATTTTTTCTGTAATGTGTTATTTGAATTGTGTATCATACATACATGTAAAAAATTGCTTTCTCATATGAAAATGTTATTAATGTTAAATCTGAACTCCAAGTATGAGTATAAGCCATATAAGTAATCTCTCAAAATAAAGTAGGAAGTGGTCCTTGAAAGCAATCTTTGAATTTCATAAGCTTTTCTCTTTTTATTCTGCCATCAAGATAATTTGATATCCTGAGCAGTTTGCTTCACTGAATCAATGATTACGTAATAGCAGTACAATAATAGGAATATCCTGTGGGAAATAGCCCGTCGCTAAAGATCATGTATATTGTCCTTGCGTCTGTGAAGAAATGCATTTATTTAAATGTCACAAAAGACATTTAAATAAATGATTAATAAATTGATTAATGTTATTAGTAGCTAAGAATAAGATTCTGTTTACCAAGATAAAAAAAAAAAGTGGAGGCCATGATGTTAAACAGTCTCCAGGAAAAAGAGCATTTAGTTTTTCTTATCATTTAGATATTTATATATGGTAAGTGTCAGAGTCAAGAGAAAAATATTTTTCTGTCCCAATGGGGGAAAATAACAACTCATAAATATATTTCATATCATTGATTGAAACTTATTTCCAAGAATTGATGATCTCATCCATTTATGAAGACTAGAAGTTATAGAAACATTCAGAATATCTTAGTTTTCATAAGGCACCCATATATATTTTTTAAGTTGATGGGATTCCTGTGAAACTGGCCAAGCAGCCTGGGCTGCTGCTTCCTGCCTTCAACAACAACCATGGACTGCAAATGATGGAAGAGGGCAAGATGCTTCATGAAGCTAGGGCCAGGCAGTTGAAGATGCAGTGAGAGAATGGGCAGAAAGAATGAATTTCTCCTCTTACCTCTCCCCTGGTTTGCTCTGGGGGAGTCATTGTCTGCCCCTCTACTATAAGGAATTGATTGCAAGAGCCCAGGACACTGTTCTTTGTGGGGGCTTATCAGATCAGGGCAGCACAGGATCCTCACTGAAGTGAGGAATTTACGAAAAGGTTGTTCCCAGGGGCTGACCTGCCCTCCTTAGACATTTCCTCCTGCCAGCACCCCTTCCAAAACTCAGCCCTGATGAACCTCAGACTCAGGGAGACAAAATGTAGACAGGAGCATTAGGGAAAACTCTGACCAGAGGGTTGCCCTGTGTTGCTGAGGGAAAGGAAGTGTTCAAGGTGGTTCTGTGCTGCTAGGGGCTTTCTCCCTTGGGACTCAGCCTCTCGTCACAGGGAGCAGCTGAGGCTGCTAGCTCAGGGTTTCTCAGCCTCAGCAGTAGTGACATTTGGGGCCAGATAATTCTTTGGTGTGTGTGTGTGTGTGTGTGTGGTGGGGACTGTCCTTTGTGTCACTAGGTGTTGAGCAGCATCCTTGGCCTCCGCACACTAGATGCCAGTAGCATCTCCCTTCACCCAGTTGTGACAACCAAAAGTAACTCCAAGATTGCCAAATGTCCCCTGCAGGGAAGCATTACCCCCAGGTGAGAACCCTGTCCTTACATAGCATACACGCACTGACTAAAATAACTAGACACCCAAAACGCAGAAGCGCTAAGAAAGCAAACTGAAAAACATATACCCATAGAAGCATAATGACAGAAAGAGATGGCCCAAAAATGTAAACATAATGAATAAGCTCAATGAGTGTGGCAATATAAACACAAAATTGTAAGTCATGCAAATGAGCCAAGTAGAAATATGTAGTTATGAATTCATAATACTTCAAATAATGCACACAAGTGTTTGGCTGAGCTGCAGAATGAATCCTGCTGAAGAACGAATGGGTGGGCTGCGAGGTAGGTGCCAAAGTAGCTTGATCCTTACACTTCTCATTTCTTTTACTTTCTTTATAGTAAGGTATAGGACTTCTTGTACTACCTATAAAATGCCACGAAAAACTAAAAAGAAAAGAATTATAATAGAAATGTCAAGGATGTGGGGAATACAAATGTAACTAGCAACAAATAGAGGAGACCCAGAAAGTCTGAGAAAAATTGGAAGGGAGACATTGTTTGAAAAAAAATAATGAAGAAAAGTCTCCATTATTTTAAAAAAAGAAAGAAAAGAAAGGGATCTTAGGTCTTAGATGGAAATGATTCAGAGCTCCCAACATGATAAATAAATAAAAACTTCACACCTAGGCATATTATAGCTGTCTTAGTGCATTTTCTGTTGCTTATAACAGAATATCTGAAACTGGGTAATTTATAAAGAAAAGAGATTTCTCTCTTATAGTTATGGAGGCTGAGAAGTCCAAGGTCAAGAGGCCACATCTGGTGAGAGCCTTCTTCCTGGTGGGGACTCTCTGCAAAGTCCTGAGCTGGCACAGGGCATTGCATGGAGATGGGGCTGAGTATGTGCACTTGCTAGCTCAGGTCTCTCTTTCTATTCTTATGGAGCCACCAGTCCCCATGATAACCCATTAATCCATCAGCCTATTAATCTGATAATCCGTGAACGGATTAACGCATTCGTGAAGGCAGAGCCCTCATGACCCAATCATCTCCTAAACGCCCCACCTCTCAATACTGCCATATTGGGAATTAAGTTTCAACATGAGCTTTGAAGGGGACATTCAAACCATAGAAAGAGTGAAAATCAAAAATGCCAAAACAAAGGGAATTTCAGAAGGTCTAGGGAGAAAGCAGCAGACTTCCAAAAAACAAGAATCAAATGGGTAACATAATTCTCAACATGAATGCTAAGCCAGGGTAATATTTTAAAATCACTTTGAACCTAAAGACTGTGTATCCAGCCAAATCGTCACTTAAATGGGAGAGTGTAATAAAAATATTTTCAGGCTTGACAGTCTTCAAAAGGTTTTCCAGACAAAAATCCACTTTCAAAATAGGCTGGGAAGAAGAGCTCAACTTCAAGAGAAGGTTGTACCAAATATAGAAGAAAGGTAGTAATCTATGTTAGGTACATTAATTATTGTCTAACAAAAACCAGGGTAAGAAAAGAAAGAAACAGGCACAGTGTATCTCAACAAATCAGAACTCAAATTCTAGGCAATACCAAACAGTGGGCAACACAGTGGGGAGATCAAAAAGATATGATAACTTACTCAAATGTGTGTCTTGATAGAAGAAAGATCTAGATTCTAAATAATTTAAGAAATCAAAGTAAATATAGATCTTAATAAAGGATGGCCATGAACAGAAGAAAAATGTATTATATTTAAATCAGCAGGAGGAGGGAAAAACCCCTTCATCTGTCTAATAGAAAGCAGGAAAGAAAAATAAAAACAAACGTAAAGTATAGCAAATGGCAAACATGAAATAAGATGGAAGAAACAAATCAATATGAAAATTTAAATATGCTATAGTCATCAATTAAAAGATGGAGGTTAAGTGACTGAATCACAAAATAAGATTCAACAATGTTTGCTGTTCTGGTAAGAAGTATGTTTATCAAAAGATAGAGAAAGCATGAAAATAGGAGAGTGTCAATTATGAACCAATGAATGCAGGAGTCACAAAATTAAACTCTGACACAATAGAATTCAAGACATAAGTATTAAAAGGCACAAAAATATGATATTATAGAAGGGAAAATACTATAAGAAGACTCAATCATTGTGAGCATATATTCAAGGAGAAATAGATTTATGAACAATAGTTGTTTGAGAAGGTAACATTCCTCTAGGAAATGGTTATATCAAACTGATAAAAAAGCAACATTGTAAAAGTTCTGAATGATATAATGATTAAGCTTGAGACATTATAGTTAGATAGACCTCTATAACCAGCTAACAATATGCGTTGCAAACTCACAGCATATGCCAAAGTAGCTTGATCTTTACACTTCTGATTTCTTTTACTTTCTTTATAGTAAGGTATAGGACTTCTTGTACTACCTAATTTCAGATGAAACAATCTTTTACCCACAAAACCCAACTAAATCAATAGGCAAAATATTATAATGAGAAAGAGTTCAACAAGGTTACTGGAAGCAATGTATGCTTACAAAAAACAGAAACAATTCTGTACACCAGGAATTTGGCTATATAGCGAAACATGGTACCATTCACAGAAGCAACAAAATCTTTCAAGTATCTTTATGTATAATGTCTATGGAGAAACACATAAAGATCTTATTAAGGACATACAAGGTAGATATTTTTTTTTTTCCTGAGGTGGGGCAATTTTAATACAGAGATGTTAATTCTTCTAATCTGTAAATTCAGTATTTCAGTTGGATTTCTTTTAGAAACTTGATGGACCTAATCTAAAATTTGTATTTAAGAATAAATTTCTATGAAAATGACAAAAATATGATTGAAATAGCAAAAAAGAGAAGACTTGCGGCCGGGCGCGGTGGCTCATGCCTGTAATCCCAGCACTTTAGGAGGCCAAGGCGGGTGGATCACGAGGTCAGGAGATCGAGACCATCCTGACTAACACGGTGAAACTCCGTACAAAAACAAAATTCGCTGGGCGTGGTGGCGGGCGCCTGTAGTCCCAGCTGCTCAGGCGGCTGAGGCAGGAGAATGGCGTGAACCCAGGAGGCGGAGGTTGCAGTGAGCGGAGATCGCACCACTGCACTCCAGCCTGGGCCGCAGAGTGAGGCTCTGTCTCAAAAAAAAAAAAAAAAAAAAAAAAAGAGAGAAGACTTGCTCCAATAGATATTAAGACACACAGAAGCCATAGTAATCAAGACAACATAGTTTTGATATAAGCACAGATATCTATGTATTTGTATTTGCATGGGACACCACAGAAAGACCCATATGAGAGCAATGCAAAAATGCATAGTGTTCAATCCAATTAAGTATAAAAATAGCCAATGACCCAAATTTTTACTCTGGGCATATAACCAAATAAATTCTTACAACAGGTCCACTAGGAGACACACATACAAGAGGATTCACCGCGGTGGTGTGTGCTCTGGCTGGGAACTGGAGACATCATTGGGAGTGGGGATGTGCAGAATGCTTGGAAACATTATCCTGCAGTCAGAAGCCACTTGCTATGTGTGTGCACTGTGTGTGCATCATGGATAGATCCAGAAAGTGTAGGGTTGACTGAAAAAGGAGTGAGAAGCAGAATGTAATCTATTACACAGAACAACTTTACCCATTATACAAGAACACATACAACAAAAATATATTATGTAGACGTGCATCTAGAGCTGAAAACCATGATATACATTTTAAATGAACATGTTCAACAAGTATACGTTAGGATGTCTGCTTTAAAGGCTAACAGGAGGCAGAATGTAAACAAAAGAGAACACACATACATGCACGCTTGGAAGCAGTATCCTGCAGTCAGCAGCCACACACTATGTATGCATCATGGATAGATCCAGAAAGCACAGTGTTGAGTGGAAAAAGAGTAAGAAGCCCAACACACACAACTGTGAGTTGCCTTATGCTGATGAGTAATGATAACGTGCCAGTATCTGTGGATTCCAAAATGAAAGAAATTCCAAAAAAGGGATTATCTCAATTGTCCAACATTTAGTTCATTTAAAAAATCTTGTGACGATAAAAACTGGAAAAAAAACTCCAAGGTACCTATTTTGACAAAGCCAGAAAGCTACAGCAAAGGTAACATTCCACCAATGTTTCCCAGGGAAGTCCTTCCTGCAAGAGCATCCGTAGATTTATATAATACAAGAAGAATGACTGGGAAGAGATTTCTAATTTCCCAGAGGAGTTGCAATTTCAGAGGATTTGAAAAGATTGGCAATTTCATTTATTTTCACCGTCTATGCCCTTCCTGGGTGGACAGAACGACTTGCACAAATCTCTGGATCTGGTAAACGCATCCTACTTGTTGAAGAAGAGAGTAGTCTACCTTTCTGTCCTGGGAAATGAGTTTACAGCTTGGACAGCTGGCTCCACTGCGCAAGCCAAAGCACCTCCTAACTTATGCAGTGGACAGCTGCAACAGAGAACCACAGAAACCGACAGCTGGGCAGCAAAAGCAATTCTGTCTGTACTGTAGGAACAAAGATGGAGAGATTAAAAAAGGCCACAGTGTGAGGCAACAGGGAAGACTTGGAGAGAGTTCAAGCTCTCTCTGGCTTCCGAGAACTCCCTCACAATCCCAGGGAGAAACCCGTATATTAGTAACATAGGGGCTTGCCAATGTCCTAAGGTTAAGCTAAAATTTCCAGGGACAATAGTTATAGGGTCAAACACACGAGAATTTAACTTGGGCTTGAAAATTATTTTTCCCTTCCTAGTTTCATAGAAAGGCCAACTCTGGCCATAGAAATTCAAAGGCAGGGAAATGTAAGCACATTTTATGAAGAAAGTTTGGAATTGGCCCGAAGGGAGTACTCAACTGAGAGAATAAAGTCCAGCTCTCTTTGGAAATAGAATCATTTCCCAATATAGGCCTGAAATGAGTCAAAGTTGCAAATAAAGCCAAGGCTAGTATGCTTGCCTGCCAGACTCAGCCTCTGTTTTGTTGCCAAATATCTTAATCCCTTCTTGGAGTTTTTGACTGCCCAGAATCCTGGTCTGTGGTTTCTCAGCATGCCCTGGATGATCTCTGGAGCCCCATTCCCCAGTGTCCAACCAAAATCCTTTTCTCAAGGCTTCTGTGGGGTCCTCCAAGTCATACAACAGAGGGACTTTGGTTTTGAATTGAAATGAACATTGGGATTCTGGATACTATTTTACATGACAAAAATACTCTGCTGTTGAAACAGTCAAGAACATAGATTACCAGAATACTTTATCAGAATACAGAAAAATCTGGTGTGGTGAACTGAGTGTGATTGACTTAAAACACTTGACCTCCAGTTCCTAGAACTCTCAAGTAAGTCGTCTAGCTGCTGTGAGACTCAATGTCTTCACTTTAAAATGCCAGCAGTGATTCCCACCATGTGCAGTGATACCCATCATGTAGCAATGATGTGGCATGCCTGGGTGGGAGCTGCCGATGTGTAGGGCTGGGCGGTAGTGGGAGTGAGCCCCCAGGGCGCAGGCACTAAAGTAGTGCCCGTAGGAGGGAAGATCATAATCAGGCTGGAGCGCCATGAGAAGGAGCTCTGGAGAACTAAACACAATGACGAAACAGACTCAAAGTCCATCTTCTTTATATTATCATCATGCACTGGCAATTCTGTACAATGGCAGTGATATAATATTCCAACTCTCAAGAGTGGACAGCTTCCATGCTATTTCCCCAACCCTCCTCCTGGTCCCTTCGTGCACAGCTGAGAGCAGCCTACCTTTCTGTCCTGGAAAATGAGTTTACAGCTTAAACAGGTGGCTCCACTGTGCACCTCCTGGCTTATACAGCAGACAAGCAGAGGGACTTTGGTTTTATCTGAAATTAACACTGGGATTTGGAATACTCGTACTGCTAAAGTTCAATGCAAAAGAGGGTTCCCCATTATCAGGGACTTTTGAAGAAAGTGGTTAACCCAGTGGAGTGATGAATAGGAGACCTGGTGGGGAGTTTCTGAGATCTCCACATTCTATGTAAGGTCAGCTCACTCCAGTCCTCAAAAGTGATGGCCAAACAGCAGTCACCGGTTGCTCTTTAAAGTACTCCAATTCTTTGTCCACACGAAGTATTTCATCCTAAACAATATGGTATGGTTGCTTACATAGCCATTAACTTTATTAAAATCAAATCATTGCTTTGTAACATGGGTTTGCACATTGATTTTTCCTTGAAAAAACTAATTACTGATGTTTATATATTTTAGCTCTTGGCCATTTTTATTAGCATTGCATCCTTAGTGAGGAAATGAAATATTTTCAATTGAGGAATGGACAACAAAGTCCTAAAAATGCATATAATTTGAAATGTAGTATTTATCAATGTAGGGAAATGTTAACCAATGAAAGACATAGTTATACATTTAAAGGTGCATTTACTTGTAGCAGGAAACAGATTGCGGTCATATTATAGGCACATTGTTTTGGGTATATTCAAATACTTTCTTTGGATGAGAGGACTGAGGAGTTTTGGGTTATAAAAACCTTGTTTATTAAGCACTGATATCCACAACCAAAGATCTTTTTAGAGGTCAATTTTGCATGTGGACATCATTGCCTATGGTAGCCAATGTCGTTGTGTGTTTTCAAAAGCTATATTCTGGCCGGGTGTGGTGGCTCACATCTGTAATCCCAGCACTTTGGGAGGAAGAGGCAGGTGAATCACCTGAGGTCAGGAGTTCGAGACCAGCCTGGGCAGCATGGTGAAACCCCGTCTCTACTAAAAAATACAAAAATTAGCCGGGCATGGTGGTGTGCGCCTGTAATCCCAGCTACTCTACTCGGGATGCTGAGGCAGGAGAATGGCTTGAAACCGGGAGGCGGAGGTTGCAGTGAGCTGAGATCGTGCCACTGCACTCCAGCGTGGGTGACAGAATGAGACTCTGTCTCAAAAAAAAAAAAAAAAAAAAATATATATATATATATGTGTGTGTGTGTGTGTGTGTGTGTGTGTGTGTATTCTGTCTTAAATATATGTCAAAAGGATCCAAAATCATTGAGACTCTGGCTATGCAGATTCTACCGTGGGTTTTGTCTAAATGTGAGCAGAGTACAACACAGTGGAAAATCCTGACAGACTCCTCTTTCTGCTCCATTGCAATGAGAAGAATTATTCTGTAGACACACCACCATCACCGCTATGACACTGGCAGTTGCTCAGCTGGGAGAGCTCACCCTGCAAGGTCCAGTGGATTTTGATAACACGCGCTATCCCAAGTTTAGGAGGAGAACAGACATGGGTTACATAATGGAGAATAATTTGGTAGAGGAAAGATACACTAAGTGCTGTAGTTGCTTTCAGAGTGACTTGAAAGGAAAGATTAAGTAGTTAAGTGTCATTATCTTTAAGTCAAATGGTAGGAGATAGAATTCAAGGATCCTAAATTGCCCCAGTCACTCATGCTGAAGTCATTTAGAACCCAAGAGCAGTGGCCTGGATACCCCGCTATCCTGATGGATGCCATCCTTTCTCTCTTTCTCTTTCTTTCTTTCTTTCTTTCTTTCTTTCTTTCTTTCTTTCTTTCTTTCTTTCTTTTCTTTTCTCCTTCCTTCCTTCCCTCCTTCCTTCCTTCTTTTCTCTCTCTCTCCCTCTTTCTTTCTTTCTTTTTTTGTGGACATGGGGTCTTACTATGTTGCCCAGGCTGGCCTTGAACTCCTAGGCTCAAGCAATCCTCCTTCCTTGGCCCCCTAAAGTGCTGGAATTACAGGCATCAGCCACTGTGCCAGGCTTGTCGTGGGCTGTTGATCAGCACTTCATCTCTAGGACTAGCTTTTCGCCTGAGAATGTTTACATTGCACTCTTTGAGAAGGGAGGGCTGATTTAAAGCACTGCTTTCAACTGACAGGGATGTCCGAGTTCCCAATTGGACAGGCCGGCTGGAAGAATGATGGGTTGGCTGTGGATAGAGATGCTTCAACCATTTCCATTTTCAAGGCAGTGGCACCCAGGATCCAGTCTCATTCCCCTGAGCTATGAGCAAAGAAGGAAAACACAAACATTCCTGGAGAGCTCATGATCTCCTCGAGTATTTGCCTGAGTTTTCTATTCACGATTTGTTCTGTTTTGACCAAGAGTATTTGTAATGTGCTGCTGTAAGCAGCAAATGCATTTCCCAATGCAATCAGGTTCTTAAATGATCTCTAGGTGCCTCATGTGTCCAGAGGTCCACCTCATAAAGCATTGAGTAGCGCCCAGCCAGGGGCAATCAGACTGCAGAAAAAGGCTTCTTAGGTAGCTTGAAAAGATAATCCTTGGAGAAGGGAAAGATGTGTGTGCTTAAATTAGCCATCCCTGGTAATTTATGGTTGTGTGATTGGGGATCCACCCAATGGCAGATGACGTTTCTCCTAGGTGGGCATTGTTCAGGGACCCTACAAGTGATCATCATTCAGGGACTCTACAGGTGATCATTGCTTAGGGACCCTAGAGGTGACCACTGAGGAGGTGCTTCTGAACAGTTCAGGGGAAGATGGCCTTAACCCACAATTGAAACAACCTCAGACAACATAGAAGAGCTTGTCAGTCCAATGAAAATCTGCCCAAATTGAGAGTTTTAGAGCCACATTTGCATATTATTGCATACATGTGCCTTTCCCCAGCAGTCTCCCATGGACACATCTAATTCTATTTCCATGTAAATCTATTCCCTGGACAATTTCTGCAAGACTGTTGTTGCTCAGCGATACTTATTACCCAGCAGTGTGCTTACCTGGCAGACGCCTCCTCACTCACACGCTGTGAAAGTGCTGTGGACATAAATAACCCTCTTGGGAGCTTTCATGCTTTCTGACTTTTGATGATTGAAGTATAAGGGACCAGCACAGCTGGGGATCAACACAAGAGAAAACACAACTCTAATGATGCCTCCCAGCTTCCTTCCCTCCTCCCATTTATTTATTTTATTCTGGTTTTTAAATTTTTTTATTAGTTATGATTTATTGGAAAAAACCTTACATGTACATACTTAAAAAAAAATAGTGGGGCTGGGCATGGTGGCTCACATCTGTAACCCAGCACTTTGGGAGGCTGAGGTGGGAGGACTGCTTGAGACCAGGAATTTGAGATCAGCCTGGGCAACATATAAAGACCTCATAGTCCCAGCTACTCAGGAGGCTGAGGCGGGACGATTGCCTGGGCCCAAGAGTTCGAAGCTGCCCCTATTATCACACCACTGCACTCCGGCCTGGTGCAGTGAGAGCCTGTCTCTAAAATAAATAAATAAACAAATAAAACTAATAGTAAAACAAGACAATCAAAAGTAATCTAGATCCACCCTCCTCAGAAATTGTTAGCAGCTTACGAGTGCTTTCTGGAAATATAAATGTATATTCAAGGAGACATATGTGTATGTGTATCATGCATTGCTCATGTAAATGGGGCATGTTATATGCACTCTTCTGGGAACAACCCCCTTGTGTGAATATTCTGGCTGTATAATGAGGTGATGTGTAGTGTCTCCTTAGTAATAACCTGAGAGAGAGAGAACTGAGTAAGTTGGGCTGAATGTTTGGGTCCCCTCAACATTCGTATGTTGAAGTTCTAACCTCCCCATGCAGATGATGTTAGGTGGAGCCTTTGGGAGGTGATGAGGTCACGAGGGTGGAGCCCCATGAATGGGATTAGTTTCCGTATAAAAGACCACAGAGAGAGAGCACCCTCGTCCCTTCCATCATGTGAAGACACAGCAGGAAGGTGCTGTCTATGAACCAGGAAGCAGGTTCTCACCAGATGCTGAATCTGCCACACCTTGATCTTGGACTCTCAGCCTCCAGAGCTGTAAGAAATAAATGTCTGTTGTTTATAAGTCACCCAGTCTATAGTATTCTGTTAGAGCAGCCTGAAAGGACTGAGACACAGGTGTTTCCTTCCCTTCCATCCTGTCCATCCCTGCACCCACCATGCACACATACACACAAATACATACACAAAGACACACTCCCCAATGAAAACAAGTCAAAAGACTACATGCTGGTACTTTTAATAAAGCCTTGTCAGTCAAAATTAAATTAAATAAGATTTTCTTAGCAACAACAAATTATTCCAATCAACCTAGCTCAAGGAGCATTAAAAACAAAACAAAAATAATTTCAACTGACAAGACCACAAGTTTCTGGACAGTGAGAATTCTATTTCAACTTTATGAAATAAAGTTTTGGAATAGTGTTTATTAAATTCCAGCAAATCATATTATCTATGATATAACTAAACCTTAAATTATTTCTGCACTGGAATATAAAAATATAACTTTAACACATAATCTTTTGTTTGGATTGCAATATTAAAAAATTCTTGAATTGCCTGCCAACCTTTAAAAATAAGAATATTTTACATTAAAAATATGAATTTTCAGCTTCTCCTGAGAAACTGGAAGAATTTGGTAATACTGGTCTTGCATATATATAGACTCCAAATCATCTTGTGGACACTGAGTGAAATACCCAGTACAGTGATCATTCACTTTATGCCTAGGTGTTTTCTTAGATTTGCTCCTGCAGGTAAGCATTTAAATCTGTCACCCTTGATTTATGCACAATAAAGATGGGTGTACCTTATGTAGCATGAATGTGCAAAGGGCACATCGGAGTCCTCATTTTTGCGATTTTGACTTTGAAATGCTCCACTTCTCCAGTTCTCCTTCCCATTATAAATACATAGTCATCATAATGCATCTCCAAATTCATCCTCTTTTTTTTAACAACACTGCAGTTAACGATAGCTCCTTTCCCTCAGTTGTTCAGACAAACCTCATAAAGTCCATCTTGATTGATCTTGTTGATATTTAAGCAAACACTTGAAGGAGGCTGCCCAGAGACCTGCAGGATGTCAGAAAGAAGGAATAGTCATTTGGGCAATGCCCTAAGGCAGGGATACGCAGCATGAGTTTGAGGAATAAAAAGGCATCCAGTGTAGCTGGATTTGAATGAGAAATAACTTCAGAGCCTAGGAGATTTGTTGGCATGGGGTGGGGATGGTGTGTGTGTGTGTGTGTGTGTGTGTGTTTGTTAATGTTCCCTCTACTTTTTTTTTTTGCCATAGATATGTGTGGATTCATGTGAATGTAAATGACTTCCTCTTATCATTCATATTTGTGGAAAAGTTCATTATTTTATGCTGCCTCTTTGGAGAAATACTATGTGGGGAAAAAAAGAGTGGCAATGGGGCAGCTCACCTTTAACGTAGGTTCCTAAGAACATCCCTCACCAGCACTCTTCCCAGAAGCATAGCTTTGTACCCAGAGAAAGCAGAAAGTATTTCCAGCTTGGGAACTCCTATGTCACAGGACAATTGCATGACCATTTCATATGCATTTGTCTTCAGCTGACCAAGGGCTACAGCTGCAGAACTGCTGGACACCCTTCTCCTCTGCCCTACCGTGGCAGCCTACTTCCTGCACATATGGGGTGCTTGCATATTTTCTTGTTCATTTTTACATTGCTTGACGCTCTTTGTTGTCAATCAATCACTCAATAAATGAACAAAAGCCATCCCATACCCCACCTCTATGCTTGGCCTTGCTGCTTTGTCCCGCCAGTTTTTGCCCATTCTTAGAGAACTCTATCCTCTGCCCAAGACTTCCAGGGTTAGAGGTCTCCTCTGGTTGTCTTCTTTGCGATTATAGTTTGGGATTGGCCTACTTCCTGGTTTCATGGGACAATTTTCTGTGAAGCCTCAAAAGAAGAGAGATGCAGCTGGTCTAGAGAACAATTTAAACTCACTGCAAGAGGCTACCTTCCAAATCACCTCTCGCCAGCCTACCTCACTCTGTGTCCTTAGAAGATGTCTGTGTGCGATAACTCTCACTGCACTCCAAATGAGTTTCTTGAGAATGAAGCCTCTTGTGTGAGGCTGAAGAAGCACTATGTGCTCCAACTACTTGGAAGGCCAGTCAGCATCTCCCATCTTGAGTATACAAGGGTCGAAACAAGAACTCTCTCTCTAGCCTTCTCCACCACCCACATAAGCTTGAATGTCATAGTTGGCATGCGCATGCCTGATCGGTTTTGCTGCTCTGGTTACACTTTTAGATGCAGCTGCATCCGGAACTGCATGTTTGGCTGGGAAAGCATAGAGGACAAGACTGGAGGAGGGAATCCAGGCAAGCCTGAAGGGCTGCGTGGAAGACTCACATGTAAAATGTGAAGACTACATATGGTCCATTGTTCTGGGGCTGTGGCTCTGAATTCAAGCATTAGACATGAAACAGAATACGTAACACGTGTGGGAATGTGGTACGTGAAATAGAGTGTGATTAGGCAATCCCTAAACAGAGTCCAAGACTGAGCTGGAGTGAGTGCTCCAATACTGAAGCTGGACAATTGCCGGGCAAGAGGTTGATTCTGAAGAGCTGGGAGGCTGAGATCTAGATGCAGGAGTGAGATGGAGCATTCTGCAGGGGCCAAAGGTGGAGTGGGGATCAGGTGTTAAATTAAAGCAGCACAAGAAGCAGGACCAGAAGAGAGAAACACAAAAGAGGAACCCATCCCTGAGCAGATTCTTCACAGTACCTGTGGAGGACATGTGAGGACTGAGCCTCGAGGTAGGGTGAATAATTATGTCTACCGGCCTTGGAAGCAGAGGGTATCGGCCACTTTGCAATGCCGCTCTACACAGTGGTTCTGGGAGATAGGACGTCCAGATGTCTGTCTAATCTTAGACTTGTGGACAACATCCTACATTTAGGAATGCTGTTTCACTCATATGGAAAGCCAGGTTCCTAAAATTGCTAAGTAAAATCTGGGCTTTGGAGTGTCACAGATCTGTTTCAGAATCCCGCACTTGCCAGCTGTGAACTTAGAGCAAGTTACTGTACTTCTCTGAGCCACGATTTTCTTGTCTTCAAATTGGGGATCAAAAAAATACTGACTTCAAGAGTGATTGTGATAATAGGAAGGCATCTAGTGCTAATTTATAACCTCTTTGTACTTCATAAATGTATAAAAATTGGGCCCTGTTTCTGAAGTCTCACAGAGTGCTCACCTTTGTAATCTTTATAAAGCATATGGAATTAGGAGTTCAAACCACCCTGAGGTTGATGTGCATTTGAAGCAGCCAACAGAATTGAGATTTCTAAACAGCCTTATTCTGTTCTTACAAGTCCTCCTCCTGCTTCAACCTAAAAAAATATTAACAGGAAAAAAAATGAAAAAACAAATGCTTGCCTGCTAAGGATAATGGACAAAATAAAAAACTACTTCTCACATTGAACATGCAATCCTCATCACAAGTTGACCTGGTTTCATGTTTCTTCTTTCTTTCATGTCTCTTCTTCATTCCTCTCTTGGGTGGATGTATCTGCCAACACCTGAGTGAAAATTCTAGAACTTCTCTGTAGGAGAGGCTTGGGTGACAAAGCTATTATGGAAGGTGAAAACAAGAGAGAACGGAGGCACTATTTGGAGGTCGACACAGCAGAAATTTTGAGACATGTACTGTTCCTTAGGACATCTGCTGTTCTAGCAGAGACTGGGATTGGAACAGTTAGAAACATGGTGATTTTTGAAATGACTCACTTTTAATATGACTCTGGTATAAAGGAGAAACATATTAGAAATTATTTCTCCTCTTATGGTTAAATGATAAGAGGGATGCACAAAGAGGGTCCACAAACCCGCAATCGCCACTGAGGTTATTGGTTAAACCTCCTCCAACTGTCGTCATTGTGGTGGCTGCTAATATATAGTAAACTTGACCCTGGGGGATCTCCTCTTTCTCCACAGCGCTGAAAAGCAGTGAGATGCAGAAAGATGGGGAAATGCAAATAGTCTGCAAAGCCCACAGATTTGTAAATAGACTTTGGATCATTGCACATTGCCTCTGTATGTGATGAGGGCTTGAAAGCTGTAAAGAAGTATCAAGATGTAAATTATTATTAGTAGCTGTATAGTTGCTGTTTAAAGTAGGTCATTCTGAAATGTATCCTTGTTTATATAGAGAGGTGACCTGTGTCAAAATGACTGGCAGTAATGTATGCCTGCAGCTCTCAATCAATTATACTTATAAGGTATCCATAGTCAGCAGACAGCTGGTTGGAATTTTCTGGAGCCACTCTGCATAGGATCCTCCTCCTTTTCCTGTCAGCTGAACCCACAGCTTCATCCCCACCTTTCACCTGGTCTATTGTTAGGATCCTTAGTTTAATCCTCACCTGTAGAGTCACTCTTTTTCCAGAAACAGAGAAGGGAAGAATAGGAAGGAAAAATAGAAGGAAAAGAGGAGGAGGTTGGAGCAATTTTCAGGCCAATGATGAGTTGATTTAAAACATTGCTTCTCCATCTTTCCCATAATGTACCCTACAGCAAAGGAAAGTAGACCTCCAAGATTGGGAGCAGAGGTGTGGGTGGCAGGGCCCACTGATGAAAACAACCTAATATCATCAGTCACGTGTTCAAACTGTCAAGATTCTTCAAGTCTGTTCCTAATCTTGAAAATTATTGCATATTTTCTCTTCTGCATCATAATATTTTAACTATGAAATGATATTTCAAGTTATTTTTCACCAGAAAATGTCTTGCCTAGCTCTTGGTTATTGTTAGAAATACTATATAATGCAGTCCATCAGTTTTGGAAAATTGGGCTGATGTGAGGAGTGGCGAGTGGTAACACTGCATATCAGCTGTTACAACAGAGCAATTTCTCCTCTTTGTCTCAGTGTTACAGCAAAAAGAAAAGTCACATAAATATCATATACAAATAAAAATATTAATTCATGCTTTACCACTTGTCAGGATACTCTCTGAGGAAAGCAGTATAAATTTTCAAAAATTCTGAAGCAGACTGTGCAACACTTTTAGGTCACATTGGAGAAGTTTTCGTTGAGGGTATTTGCTGAGAAATCAAGTCATTTGCGCCATATGCCCAAAGGGTCAACTAGTTACTCCCTTTTCTTCAGAGATATACTCTTCAAAGCCCTTTTCAATAGAGAGCAGAGGATGATTACTTCTTACTACTAACAGAATAATTTTTGAAAAATTAAATGTCAAAAGACTCAGTGAATGCTGAAAAATTCATGTCAAACTATCATATTTGTTCAAGTGGTTGAAATGGGAGAGAAACATGAGGAAGTTATTAATTTCTTCTGTATAAATCTCTTTGATTGGCTCCCATAATCCTAGGATTAGTGGTCTTCATTCGAGTTTCAAATTTTGTTGCCATTTCAGTTTCCAGATCTTTTCCTCTCGCTTGTCTAAATCCCCAGATTTGAAGGTCGCATCTTCATGTTATATTAGCAGTATCCCATCACCATTGCTTTCATTTCACAACTCTTGGGTCATTTGTGCTCATTTCTGGATGATTTTAGCTCCTGGCTTTCTGTCCTTTTCTTTAACATCACTTCTGTCTTAATCCTTGGTCATTTAATTAGCTATATCATTGAATTTTCATGTATATAATTACTTTTCCTTAAATACATCTTCAACTGCTAAGTCCTCTACTCTAAGCCACTTACTCCTCTCCTTCTTATTGTTAGTAACTATTCACTTTCAGAGTCACACTTTCATGAGTCTTACTCCCTTATCACCACCTTCCATCTTGCCAACATATGCCTTCTAGTAACACTAGCCAGTATTTATTTGACCTCAGTGGGAGTTCCATCCCATTAATCTTATCTCCTTTCTTTGGCGCTCAACTCTCTAATGACTTCTTTCCCCTCCATACCTGGTTTAAAATCCATATGAATCTTCACCTTTGCATTTATCCTCAACTTTTTTCTATGTGCTTGGCCAAATGACAGTGCTGGTTAAATTAAAGCCTCTGCCTCCTCTAGATTAACAGAGAGCTGAACATACTGCAGCCCTGTGAAATATGGCTGCCTGGAGAAATACTACAGCCTGGTCTCTGTTGAAAACCATGACCTCAAAGAATCACCCTTAATGTTGCCAAGACACCATATTATAATTACCTATGCCAGTTTATGGTTCCACTTCCTACATAGCTATTTCCCACTGTCTATCTCTTCCTTTCAAAACTCCACTTTACAGATTGACAGGAACTGAGATGCATTTACTTGGAGTATGGTCCCAAGTACGAATCAGTCCAGTAATGTCAATAATAATTATAGCTACCATAGCAGGGATCCTTAGTATGTTTTAGATCTTGATTAGTTTGTGTATGTGTGTGTTCTTGAACATTGACCCTTTGTGGTAGACTGTTACTATTTCCAAATCACAGAGGAGAATACTGAAGTCCAAAGACGTTAACCTCTGAGTTGTAAGAAGAGCATCTGGGACTGAAATCTAGGCATGTCTGACTCACAAACCTGTGTCCTCGACCAATATGTTTTTGGGCTTCTGAACATTTCTGTGGCCAGTTTGTTAACATATCAACTGAGTTTTTGGTCCTTTATAGAAGATAGTTTATTGGGTAAATTTCAGGAGTAATTAGGTACTAATAGGAGTAATTAGGTAGTATCTAGCCTCTATCAGTGGTTCCATCCATTGCCGTCCTTGAACCAATGAGAATGTTTTTACCCTAAAGGGTTACATAGTTTCATGATTAAGTAATAAAAACTATAGGGCAATAGTGTGGCCTTCATCTCTCTTATGCCCAAATTTACATTATGGAAATAATTCTAGGTAACCAAATGTGTAGCATAATAAAAAGAAATCTAAATCCACATGTCACCCCTTTTGGTTTTCCCACTACAGTCGTTTCCTAATAATCCATATTTTACCTGCTACCTTCTTTACCACTTGGTGTCAGTTTCTTGGTGAAAATATTCCCTGGTTAGCTTTTCACAAAACTGAAGAATACCATGACAAGACGAGTAAACTCTGAAGATATATGTCATATAACGATATACATATGGTTGCCTGTAAAAACATTTCTTTAGCAAAGTGGTTTCATAGAAGGAAAGAGATAATTGTTTTCCAAGTAAAGAAGAAAAATAGCTCCAATTTTCAATTGATTGTATGATGGATTATTGCTTCTCTTGTTATCTACTCAGTCAATGACTGCTCTCACGATTGTCCTTTCAATACAGAGAGTAGGAAGAATGGCTAACATTAAAAGTTAAAATGTAAATCCATTCCATGTAAATTTAGATGCTATATTTAATTAGTTTCCATGCATTCATTTTCACTCTTAGGACAAACACTTATGCCCTGAAGAACCGTTTCTGAAAGACCCACTATGATAGATAGATATTTGCAATCATTGACTTTGATGTATTATATAAGATTTTTATATTCAACTATTACTAATGATATTTAAATCCTGTGTATTGCTAGATTGCAGATTTTCCTCTCAGTGGGGCTGCCTGCAGAGTTACTGAGTGTTCTGTTCTTATCTCCTGCTGTTCTGTGGATTTCCATGCCATTGCTGAGTGTCGTCCAAAGTCTCATTTTATTTAAAAAACCAGCTTTATAAGGTTGGAGTGGGCACGTGACAGAATCAAAAGGAAGCTAGTAATCAGTAATAGGAGAGATTCCCCACCTTAGAGAATAAAGAACTGAAGCATAAATTGCTTTTAATTCTTAAAGCAACAACAGAGGGGGGAGGAACAACTTATCATGATGGAGGTGTTTGCTTCTTTCATGGAAGGATGGAGAGATGAACTTGGCTGCAGACAATTTCCTATGAGGACCGAAAGGACAGAGCTGTTTGGAAGGTGCTCCAGCTTCTGATGGACCTCAGAGACATTGAGACTTTTCCACTTAGCAGCACAAGGAAACCTCTGTGGCCAGAGCTTGCTTTATGCAATGACAAAAGGTGTGGGGAGAGGCACTGATTGAGAAACTAAATCCTTGAATAACATGAGCTTTGATTTGGAAGAGCAATAGTAAAAACAATTCTTATTCTCTGCTTTCTTGTTGGGCCACATTGCTACTGAATTATCTTTAGAATCACTCCACTATTCCACATTATTTGGCTTTCTAAAATAAATATGCTTTCTTTTCTTTTAAATTCTGAAGTCTTTAATACATCTTGCTATCTCATTTTCTTTCTTCCCCGTACTTTAGAGTAACTCTCAGTTATTTCACAAAGAGATGAAAAAAATCCTCAGAGGACAGTGTCGTGTCCACACCACCCAAAACACCTTCTTGTCTGGTCTTGTTTCTGAAAAGAAATGAGACTGATACCTCCCTATAATCAGGCATCCTAGAAAAGAGAGCCTTTTAAATTGTTCTTTACACAGAATTGTTAGCATTTTCTATCTTAGTGAGTCCATATCAAATTCTTTTTAGGTCAAATTGCCATCCTTTCTCTATTTGTCTTTTTAGCCTTCCCATCAGGTGGTTTAAGAGAGTTGTAGTTTGTCTTGACAGCTCCATTATAACAGTGACTATTGGCTTGGTGACATTTGAGAAGAGGCTGACGTTGTATCCTAGCTCTGGTGTACACAAGCCCTTTCTTCCCTAATTATAAAAACACCAAATTTGTGAGGAAACGTTGCTTACTGATCATGGTAGGCAAGTCGGAAAGAGACAGGCACGTTGCATGAGAACAGGCAGCTCCACACTTCCAATCTGCCTGGTTGGGCTTTGGATGGACTGGTGGTGCCTTTTAGTAGGTAAAGCGTTAGAGCAGGGCTGGCGAAAATTTTCTAAAGGCCCAGTACTATTTCAGGCTTTGTGGCTCAGGCAGTCTCTGTCGCATCTACTCAATGCTGACTTTTTTTGTAAATGATACTGACTTTTTTTTTGCTTTAAAAAGATAGACTTTTAGTATAAAAACAATAATGCAATATTTAAAAGTACAAATAAAAGAAAATCACAGCAAAGCCTACCACCCAGGAATCATTCTGGCCAACACCTGATGATTGTGGTAGACATCTCTCTTCAGATTGAAAGACGCTCCTTGACTTACGTTGGGGTTGTGTCCCGATAAACCTATTGTGAGTTGAAAATATTGTAAGTTGAAAGCACATTTAATACAGCTAACCTATTGAACATCATAGCGTAGCCTAGCCAAACTTAAACATTTAATACAGCTAACCTATCAAACATTTAGCCTACCATTGGGCACAGTTATCTAACACAAAGCCTATTTTAAAGCTTAAGTGCTGAGCCAGGCATAGTGGCACATGCCATAGTCCCAACTATTGTGGAGGCTGAAGTGAGAGGATTGCTTGAGCCTAGGAGTTGGAGGCTGCAGTGAGCTATGACTGTACCATTACACTCTAGCCTGGGTGAGCACAGCAAGACCCTGAAAAAAAGAAAGAAAGAAAGAAAGAGAAAAAGAAAAAAAAAGCCTAAGTGCTAAATATCTCTTGAGCACTATATTGAATACTGCACTGAAGATGGAAAACAGAATGGTTGTGTGGGTACTCAAGTACGGAAGTACGGTTTCTACTGAATGCCTATCATTTTTGCACCATCGTAACCCTGAAAATCCAAAGTCCAATCATTCGAAGTCGAGAACCATCTATAATGATGGTAGCTAAAAAAAAAAAAAATACATTAAAATAGATCAAATTTACATGTTATTTTTAATAACAAGGATCATGTTGAGCTTCACTTTGATCAAAAAAGTAAATTAAAATAAAAGTGAAGAAATTGTTAAATGTTACATGAACGCTTCTTTTTATAAGTTATATCATGTCATAAGAGTTATACACAACTCATAAGTTATGTTGAAGGAGCATAAAACATTAAAAGTTGGAGTCATGCTGTTTTTAGCTACATGTTTCAGTGTTAGCCATTATCTATTCTCTATCTGTTATAAAAATGAGGCTACTTATTACAGTATAATCCTCTTTGCACCTTTCCCAGTGACCCTCAATTATTATTTTAATATTTTTTCTTTGTTTTCAATCATAATTGCATTCCTGGATCTAAAAGGATTTGGTTCTTAACCTCAGTCTTTTTCTCTTTCTCCATTCTTTCTTCATTCCTGAGTTATTTGCTTTGATTTTTCTTTTATTTCCTGGAATCGGTCATCCAGGAATGTTTCAAAGGCATGTCCATGAGTGCAATGTTCTTTCAGTCTTCATGCTGGGGAATGTCTATCCATTCCTCTGCCATGGGTAGAGGAAGCCTAAGCAACCCCATGGAAAGGTCAACGTGTAGATGAACTGAGGCCCCAAGTCAACAGCCCCAGCTAAGCTCCCAGTCAACAGGCAGCACCCACTTGTCTGCCGGTGAGTGGATACTGCAGCCCCCTGTTGAACTTCTCCACCTAATACTACAGGGAAGGAAGATGAGGCATCCCTACCAAGCCCTGTCCCAATACAAGAGTATAATGTTTTGAGACACTTGATGTTTGGGGGTGGTTGTTGTGCAGCAACAAAATAATAGAACACTGCTCAGTAAACATCTCTTGAGTGAGTGACCTGGGAAATCAATATTGTTAAAGGTCTATAATTAGGATAGCAAGAAGGCTTTGAATTATTTGCAGCACTTGGAAAAACACTTAGACAATGAAGAAATAATGGTAAAAATCTAAAAAAAAAAAGGAAGGAAAGAATGACAAGAAAAATATATATTAATAACACTGTTAAAAGGCCAGCAGTTCTGTGATACGTATAAAAAGAGCTTTAGCAAACAGTAATGTGATATTCCTAATTTTCCATTAAGACTTTCCCTGTATCATGGTGACCCACATTAGAGAGACAAGTTCATTAGAATTGAAGTTCCACTTCTGCAGGGATGTTTTGCTACGTTGGTGGCAACTATATTCTGAGAACTTAAAACAGTGCCCAGCACATAGTAGGCATGCAATACATATTGGTTAAATGAATGAGCAAATTGCAATTGGCTGAACCTCAATCCTCGACATCACGTGTACTAATACAAATTATTTGTTTGGCACATTATGTTTAGAAAAGTTAACCTACTGGAAATAGGCCAACCCAGGAGTCCTCAGCATCAGACTCAAGATGTTTCCTATTCGCTCATTAGGAATTTTACACTTTCCAAGGAGAATGCTCCAGGCCCCGAAGCTCACATTGTAAGAAAGTGCTTGGAAATGATCTCTCGAGTACCCAGACTCCAAAACTTCTTCAGAAATATAATGGAGACACTTTCAGTTGGCTTTCTTCATCATTTGTTTCCCTTTGTCACTGTGATGCTAATAACCAACAAAAAGGTGTTGTACATAGATGGAGTGGCAAGTGCATAATTCAGACGGGATAATCAGATGGTGAATTATCAAAAGTAATAATACATGTATTAAAAGCAATAATAGCATATTGTTTTGGTTATGTAATAGGCGTTTTATTTCAATCATCCTAAAAGCAGGAACAGCTGCTGGAGTTGGAACAGAGAAAGATTAATTGGAGACCGTGGAACAGATCCCTCTGTTGATAACACTCCAACTTGTAGGTTTGGATTCAGTGACACCAGAGTCCAGATTGTTCCTTAGCAAACAATAGCAATCTGGGGGTATGACTCAGGAAGCTGACGCATGGTAGACAACCAAATCAGCAAGCACTAACTTTGAAATTGAAACTTTCATTAATATTTACTAAAACATATCTCCTCTACTTGAAAGCTTGGGAATATGCTGATATTTTGTATGTCCAGAAACAAATCAACAGCTCGGATTATAAGAACAGAAATGAATGAGACCAAGATAGACAACACAAATGTTTATAGACCACATAGCTATTAAATGTATACATATAATGTACATAGGTAGTTGCTGCCCATATACAATATAGCTATGGAAATGTGGCCTCCCTATCCTTTTTATGTTACTTGTGTTGGACTAAAATTTAAAGTGGGTTTGTGGCATATTTGATGTGAAACCTATGTCTATTGACATCTCCCATAACCATGTTATTTACTCTCCTATGTCCTGCAGATTTCAAATGTAACTTAAACATTATGTGGGGGATATTTTGTTTGTTTTTGCTTTTACTGAGAAAGAAGCCATAAAATAGAAGTTGGCAGATTTTTTTTTTTTTTTCTGTAAAGGACCAGAGAGTAAATATTTTTGGCTTTGCAGGCCACCAGACTCTGTTGTAGCTACTTAGCATGGCCAACATGGCTGGAAAGCAGCTATAGATAATATGTAAATTGGCTGCCTGACAATAAAACTTTATTTATAAAAACAGGTGCAGGCTGGTCCTGGTAGAGTTAACACATTTACTTAAATTTATTAGCATTGTGGTGTGAAAGACTACAGAGGCATTCCTGAAGGCAAGAGTTGACAAGAGAGGGAGGTAAAATATAAGTGAGGGAGGCGTCCTGAAGTTGCCAAATAAATGCAGGAAGTGGGGGTAGAAATGTTGGCTCTCTAAGAGGGTTAGCCCACTGATTTGACATTATTTACACCATCACTGAAAACCTAAGCACATTGCAGCTATTCTAAACCAATATTCCAGTAACACTAAAAGTAACCATTAGTTTGCTTTAGATTGTCTTGAATGTGTGACAGATATTTAAATATCTTAAAGAGCCATGAAAAAATATAAATAAACTTGCACTAAATGCTGTCTTATTTTTTAAATACTGATTATTTTTCTAGACTTTGAATCTGGAACTATTTGGAGCTCATTGCATATTTCATGAGGAATTTTAATTTAAGAAAAACAAGGAGACTACAGTCACACTCCTCATAATGATGTTTTCATGAGTGAATGACTCCCTATAGCAGGATGATCCCATGAGATTATAATTGGGCTATATAATGGAGTGGGCTATACCATCTAAAATTGTGTACGCACATTCTGTGATGTTTGCACAATGACAAAATTGCCTAATGATGCACTTTTCAGAACGTGTCCCCATCCTTAAGTGATGCATTACTATATTTACTTCAGTAGGTTTGAATGGGTCAAGAATTTCAGCCTGGGGCTTGAGCAATGGCTATTTGTTTACTAACACATGTACACCAGAGAATAGAATAATGCATCTTTTGTGGGTTATTCTTGGAATACTGTAATGAATAGCTTCTAATCTGTAATATGTCAAAGGAACCAGAGCAAGTTTGACAATCATATTAGTTTCTTAGGTCTGCCATAACAAAGCACCACAAACTGTGAGGTGGTGTGGCGTATACCACAGAAATTGATTGTCTCATAGCTCTGGAGGCTAAGAAGCCCAAGATCAAGGTGTTGTCAGCAGGGTTGATTTCTTCTGAGAGCTGTAAGAAGGAATCTATTCTATGCCTCTCTCTTAGGTTCTGATATCCTCAGGCATGCTTTGGTTTGTAGATGACGTTCTTTTTTATTTTATTGTTTATTTTTTTCTTTATTTCTTCTAAAAAATGGGACACATGTGCGGAAAGTGCAGGTTAGTTACATAGGTATATGTGTGTCATGGTGGTTTGCTGCACCTATTGACCCGTCCTCTAAGTTCCCTCCCCTCAACCCCACCCCCCAACAGTCCGTGGTGTGTGTTGCTCCCCTCTCTGTGTCCATGTGTTCTCAATGTTCAACTCCCACTTATGAGTGAGAACATGTGGTGTTTGGTTTTCTGTTCCTGTGTTAGTTTGCTGAGGATGATGGCTTCTTATGTCTTCACATCATTTTCCTTCTCTGGACGTCTGAGTCTTTGTTGAAATTTCCCCTTTTTATAAGGATATTAATCATATTGGATTATTCCCCACCTAATGACCTCATCTTAACTGGACTTGCTGCAAAGACCCCATTTCCAAATAAGTTCATAATCATGATACTGGGCATTAGGACTTCAACATCTTTTGGGGGGACACAATTCAATCTATAACATTTTACGGGGATGCTTCACTTCAGCTCTGAAAAAAATTCAATCTTGCAGGAATGGTTATAAAAGCAAGAGAAAATTTATGGTCAATTATGATTCTGGTGCTAAATCAGCTTCAACATTCATCTTAGCAATTAAAATTACAATTCTAAAGAAGCTGATATTTTTATATTGAATATTTTCCATTTATGTGTTGAATGTTCTTTTGCAAGTAAAAATTATATCCAACTTTCAGAAAAATGTGCATATTTTAGAGTTAGTCCCTTTCTGGATTGTCTCTGTATGGAAAACACCTTAAAACATTTTACGGATTTTTTTGAGGGGAAATAAAGTCAGTTGTTTGCCTCCTGGAGTGGATAATAAATGGTTAAAAATCTGCTAAGAGCCATCAAAGCACCTTCCCTTTATATTTTGATCCTCAAATCAGATCTTGTTGGCTGTCAAGTGATCTGAAATGCTGAATGGAATATTTGAAACTGGGACTGTCCCTGTATGTCAAGAGCGAGTGTCATCTTAATCTTAAGTCTTCAAACTCCTTCCTCAACCACATCTTCCAAATGCAGGCAGTTTTGTAAAACAGGTATTTTACTCATATCTGCAATATCTAGTGATATCAAATTCATACCACCATCATCAATTAACGTCACTGAGATACATATGGCACAGGAAAACATGTTGTCAATGAGCATATTGGGAATTTTCATCAGTTATTATTACAACCCAGTCCAAGAAGAAAATTGGACAGACATGTCACTGTCATTTTAATCGGACCTGTATTATTGACCATTTCATATCTGTAACAAGATGAGTAAAGTCTGTGTAATGGAGTTGAATTAAATTTTCTTTGGAGTCATGTTTGAGGAAATATCTAAGTTCCTGGAAGAAGCTCAGATTAGAATATGTTCTTTCAAAATCTTTGGAAATTCTTAACATATAACTGGGTCCACCAATGTCCAAGAGAGTAGGATGTGCAGTAAGTGTTATGTGTAGATTTAACAGATGTCAGAGCAAAACTTCAAGCATAATTGTAATTCTTCACTGTGTCAGGGCAATAGACACACATGTCCTGGAAGCCTCACACAGCCTGATACTTTTTACTTCAAGCTTTAAACCAAGTACAGCTGTATCAGCTAGTCATTACCACGATATTGCCACATAACAAAATGTCCAAAAGTTTATTTTAATAAATCAACAAACCCTTTTTTTCTTCTCTATCAGGCATCTGTGTATTGGTTGACTCAAGGTCACCTGGGCATGGCTGATTGGGTTTGGCCTGGCTGGAGCTGTAGGTTGGAATCAGGTCTACTTTATGTGCCTCTCATCTTCCTTAGTACAGCAAGCTATCTAGAATGGGTTCTTCTCATGGTAATGACAAAACCATAGGAGAGATGAGTGGAAACATGTGTTGTCTTTTCAGGCCTGGACTTGACTAGCAAACCATAACCTCTGCCTTTGCTTCTCTGACCAAAGCAAGTAACTTTGCTGTGTGGGCAGAATAATGGTCCCCCAGTGATAGATCTGTTTCAATTCCCAGCAGCTGTTAATTAATATGTTACCTTACATGGCAAAAGGGACTTTGCAGATGTGATTAGGTTAAGGACTTGAGATGGGAGATTATTCTGGATTACCTAAATGGGCAGGAGGATCAGAGTGAGAAGGAGATATAATCGTGGAAGCAGAGGTCAGAGTAATGCCAGTGTTGGGGCTGGGGCATGAACCAAGTAATGAGGGCAGCCACTAAAATCTGAACAGCAAGGAACTGATTCTTCCCTAGACACTCCAGGAGGAACAAAACATCCTGACTTTAGCCCTGAAAGAACCATTCGTGGACTTCTAACCTCCAGAACTATAAAATAATAAGTTAGTGTTATTTAAAATCACTAAGTTGTGATAGTTTGTTACAGCAGCAATGAGGAAACTAATACAGTTGCCAAGCCCAGCATCAATGCAGCAGGGAAATTGACTCACTGGTAATGGGAAAAGTCACATGAAAAAGGATGGGGCTGCTAGGGGGGTTGAAAGATCAAGAACAAAATGTAATCAACATGGCAGTTATTGAATTGTATTCCTCAGTTAACGCATTGTAGATCAATGTGGGAGGGTCAGAGTTTTAAAGAAATGTAGGGAGAATCTGGCTGTCTTGTTCTTTGGAGAAGACTGGTGGATAGAAAAGGATTCCAACTCAGTGTCCCATTATGGACCAGTCTGTAGGTCTCAACATGCAATTGTACCTAGAGATTCAGCTGCCCCGCAGAGAGAACTACCACCTTCTTGAGCATGTACTCATCGACTCCAAATCCTAGTGAGCTTTCAGCCTGACAGGATGGTGTTCCAGAATGTGGCTAACCACCCAACATTGCAAAAGTGATTATCATCCTAACCCCACAACTTTTAGATTTGGGTGGACATGAAGATAAAATACCATCTGGGTTCTCAGGGGCAACTGTTCAGAAGAAATGTGAAAGATGGCAAAAAAAAAATTTGAGGTCCACTGACAACTTATCTCCTTAGGCAAGCTGACTTACATAAAGCAAAATGAATGCAATTTCTTTGTTTAGCAAAGGGTTACAGATCACACCATGAGTCTATGAATAGACACTATTTGTGGGTGGTTGTTAAGCTTCTTAATCAGGAAAGAGGTATGTTTTATTTTGAGAAAACTCTCTTTTCCTTCAGACTGTAAGGTCCTTGGAGAGGAGCTGTGACTCAGTTTTTGTTGTACCCCTGGTAATTGACAAATTTGTGAAATATAAAATTTGATTGGTGGAAGAAGTTGTGAATTGGAATTACTGAAGGTTGGTCCCAGATACTGATTTTTACAAGTCTCAGAATATTAGTTTCTTAATGCTGCTGTAATAAATTTTCATAAACTTTGTGTCTTAGAACAACTCAGTATATTATCTCAGAGTTCTAGAGGTCAGGGCACAAAATGGGCCATGGTAGAGTTGAGGGGCTGCATTCCTTCTGGATGCTCCAGAGGAGAATCTGTGTTTTTGCCTTTTCCAGATTTGAAACACCACCTGCATTCCTTGGCTTGTGGCCCCTTCCTCCATATTTAAAGCTTGCAGTGTGACATTGTCAAACTTCTCTTTCTCTCTCTCTGACCCCTGTTTCCATCTTTCTATCTCCTTCTCTGACTCTGACTTTCCTGCCTCTCTCTTATAGGGACCCCTGTGATGACACTGGGCTCACCTAGATAGCCCAGAGTCATCCCCCATCTCAAGATCTTTAACTGAATCACATCTGCAAAGTCCCTTTTGCCATGTAAGGTCACAAGTTCATAGCATTAGGAAGTAGGCATGCTGTTTCTCTTGAGTTCTTTGCAGTGCTACAATTCCAGCATCACTAAACTAACAGTGGAAACCAGAGATAGGTTTTTTTCCCTTGGCAGTTGGACAGTGCTACAGACATTTTGAAAAAGTTAAGTTAATAATGAGAATAATTACAGAAATTGTCTAGAAAAGTCTTTGCTGGAGGGAAGTGAACTTGCTAATATTGAAATAATCATTGTCTCTTCTTGTACCTGTTTCACTGTTTCAGCTACTCTGACATCAGAAGGCTAAATATTTGGATTCAAATCTGCCCAATGTCACAAATAATCCCCCTACTGCCCCAAAATCTTAATGAGGACTGAGAAAGGACAAAGTTAGTAGTAACACTAATTTGCTGTTTAAGTTTCATCAGATTCCTTAGTCTTTCTGGACCTTATTTGCCTTTTGTGTAAAAATGTGATGCTGTGATAAGTGACTAAGGTTTCTTACCATGGTAAGATTTTTGTGTTAGTCATGGTTCTCCAGAGCAACAGAACCAACAGCCTGTGTATGTATATATAGAGAGATTTAGTATAAGAAATTGGCTCATGCCATTATGAAGGCTTACAAAACCCAAGATTTGCAGGGCGAGTCCGCAAGCTGGAGACCCAGGAGAGCTGATGGTTTAGTTCCACTCTGGGTCTGAAAGCCTAAGAAGAAGGAGAGTCAATGGTGTGGTTCCAGTCTGAAAGCTAGCAGGCTTGAGACCCAGGAAGAGCCAGTGCTTCAACATGAACCCTAAGACGGGGAAAAAAGCCAATGTCTCAGTTTGAAGGCACTCAAGTAGGAGGAATTTCCTCCTACTCAGGAGAGGGTCAGCCCTTTTTGTTCTATTCAGGCCTTCAACTGATTAAATGAGGCCCACCCACATTATGTAGGGAAATATGTTTTACTCAGTCTACCAATTTAAATGTTAATCTCATCCAAAACCCATCTCACAAAGAATAATCTTTGACCAAATATCTGGGCACCTCATGGCACAGTCAAGTTGACACATAAAATTAACCATTACAATTTTAAACTGAAGTTTTAGAATAGCCCTTGAACTCAATCCAGTCACGCTGGTGACCCATCCATAAGCCTACTGGCTATATCTCCATAGTAATGGGTCTTTGGTTTGCACAAGAATTTACATGGAAAATACTGACATGATGTTCAGAATTAACCATTGATGGCATGGAAATTCATACCAAGGAAGGAGAATTCTTAGGACTTAAAATTAGAGGCTCCAATCCAATTTGAATATCATACCACTTATTGCTTGAATACTGAATGCATAAAATTAGATCATTGTAGGAATTGGCAGGGGTGGTATTTTTTTCTATCCACTTCCATCCTGGCCTGTGCCTAATTTGCCCTAACTATCTATCTTTTTATGCAGCTGCTCAATCTCTCTTCATTGAAACAGGCACAGCCTTTCTCTGTGTTTGCTGCAACTGGGCTATTCCTCATGATTTAGTCAACTGCTCATGGAATCCCAATTTGCTTCTGGCCTCTTTGGCTCACTCTGTGCATGTCACACAAGTATTTCAGTAACTGTGATAAATTCAAGTCAACACATCAAAAATAGAAAGGAAAAGAGGACTTGAAAGAAAAGAATGAAGCAGGGGGAGGAAGAACTATAAAAAGACAGAGGAATAAAAATACAAGAAAAGCAGCTACCAAATTGCAGAAGATGGGGAAGAGAAAGCATCTAACATCTCAGTAGAAGGGAGAAATAAAATGCAAGCAGGCAGATAAAAGTGGAAAAGTATAAAAAAAAATTTAAAAAGGAACAGAAAGGGAAGATAAGAAGATAAGCCAAAATGAGATGGTTAAAAATAGAATGATCATTGCCTTTTAGAAGATAGTCTAGGGAGTCTAGGAAAACAACCCCTTCTTCTAACTTTCCAGCCTGACAGTGCTCTGTGCAATGTTTCTGCTGGCCTGACCACCCTTTCTACAGTTAAATATGATGAAGAGGATTTGGGGGACACAGAAGATTCTGAAACAACTCATGTGTGGATCTGTAGCTCTGAGGTTAACACATTTCCAATTATTTCAAAACAACAGAGAAAATACAGAGAGATTTCAACATTATCAGCTACATTAATGTGTATTTGATAAACATGATGACCTCAATCAAGTATGCTAAAATAATTTTGTTTTTCAGATTTATGGGTCCATATGTAAACATTTCCAAAATGATCAACCAACTAAAAAAAAAAAAAAGCCTTTCACAAGCTTTTTATTCACCTTCTGGTGTAGGTAAGGACAGTAAGAACACACATACACACAAACACACACACACAACAAGCAGACACCACCACCACCACCAACAAAAACCTAGAAATTCAATTGGAAGTGTATGATGTGACTTTTAGTCTTTGTTTCTTCTTGTCAGTCAGATTTTTTCTCAAAGTAGGAAAACCTATTTAAGAGTCTTCTTAAAGTCTATTTTCTTCCAAAGATTCATCTTACAAGTGGAGACCTGGAGATTCCTAGATCTAATTGTACTGCAGTTTGCCAATCTAACAGAAGGACAAGTACTTGGAATGCCATGCAACAATGTCTCCAGATCACTTGCAAGTGGACACCCAAAACTTCAGAAATGTCAGAGACAGGCTGAGTCACCTCAGGCAACACAGTTGCCTGTGAATGTAGAATTAAATGTGTTTTTTGTTTGTTTGTTTTTTGGGTTTTTTTTTTAGAGGTAGGAAATAGATGCATGATAAAACGTCTTAATTTTGGTCAGAACAAACAAAACTTCCCCATTTCTTCACCTTCAAAAAGTGAGTTCAGAGAAAATCCTCAAGTGAGAGAAGAGTGAATCTAGCATTTTCAAGGCTCTTGGGAGGTCAAGGGCCCTAAAGAGAAGAGGTGAATGGATCTAATATCACAGATGAGAGAACTGAGATTAGGACATTAGTATCATATCCAAGACAAAGCAGCTAGGCAAAAAAGCCAGAGTGCCACATGAGTTTGTCTAACTCCAAGAATGTTACTCCTGTGTACTATTTTCCCAGGGACATCATAGCCCAAGAAGCCTAGGTGTTTCTGGAAATGAGAAGCTGTGACTTAACCATACCAAATCCACTTATGCTTGATGATTTGAAAAAAAAATTGATTTTTAGTTTTACATTAAAATTACCATGCATATTTCATTCAAAAATAGGCCAAAAACCAAAGTTAAAACAGAAGTCTGCCTACTGATGGCCCCAATTCATGTACGAGTTAAGCTATTTCAAACCACATCCTCAGTTCTTCCCAAAAGTTTACATTCATTTTCTCATACCTATTTTTCTCCCTCTAAGCTGTATGTTACCTGAGGGCAAAAATTGAGCTTTCATCTTCACAACTCCTCAAGAATTATGCACCTGTGCACTCAGTAAATACTTGTTAAATTTACTAACAACAAAATATATCACTGAAGTATGTGAGTTTTTAGACTGTTTAATTGCATGTAATTCTTTACCTTCACTGCATACAGGAAGTTACCTCCATCTTGTCAGAAGGCTATCTCTAGGAAAGCAGAGAGCTAATTCTTTCTGTTCAGTTTTCATTCTTCTTTTCTTCATTCTGCAATGTGGCTGTCTCTACATTTCTAGTTGGTTTAGGTTTGTAGACTGCCATCCTTGAGCCATGCAGCTCCCCTAGGTTTGTACCTTACCTTACCATGAGTCGAAGTAAAATGCAGAACTGACATAGCTATGAGATGAGTCCAACTGCCACATCAATAGGATACAGACGAATTATTTTAGCTTTCTTCTTTTGCTAGCTTGTTGAAGTCTCTGCCAATTATACATTTTAACATCCCTTACAGAAAGTTCCATGCAAGGAATTCCACTAGATTTAGTCCCAAGGAAATTGAAGGACAATTTTTCTTGTATTATAAAATAAGAGAGAGCTTTGTTCTGTATTTTGTTTTGACATGGCTACTAGGAAGCCCAAAGGTAACTTCTCTGATCAATGATGGCAACAATAACATCATTGTGTAGCTTTTGTTCTTTTGGCCTAGTTTCAATGATCCAGAGTTTACAACAAATATGTCAGAATAGTAGCTACATTTATACGGAGTTCATTACTTGGTAGGCACTAAATGTTTTGCATTTATTAACCTATTTAATTTCTACAGCAACCAATTAGGAAGTGTTACGATTATTATTATTAACCCCATTATAGAGATGGGGAAACTGATAATGAGAAAGTGTAAAGTTACTTTTCCTAGGCATTTAGGACATGCCAAGGAATTAGCTGTGTAAAATCTTAGCAACCATTCTCATATGTTCAGAGTTTCTACATAGCAATTATCCTCAAACTTCCTGGAAATAGACCCACCCCCACCCAGCACATTAGTAATGGAATTAGGGAACTGAGGCACAGAGGGGCTAAGTAAGTTGACTAAGCTCACAAAGCCACAGAGAGTGGGGCTTGCATTTGGCTCCAAGGACTCTGCCTCCAATAGGCTATTGAAGTTTCCTGATCTAAAATAGGGGATGGTGTTCAGGGTTTTGACCGAGTTCAGGGTTGGTGTTTTTGAGGAAAGAAGTGGAAAAAGAAAGTTTGGTGATGACAGTGGGTTGTACTGCACTTATTAATCAGCTGGAATAAAGGCAGGAGTGTGCAAATGTCCAAAATGTCCTTAGGCAGTTTAATTCCGGAAAACTTTATCGCTGACCCTTGAATGCCAATTGATTTCTTTCTCAGCTTTTTGGACAGAGTTGCTTGTTTTGCTGCCAAAAGAAAGAGGACAAGGCTTTTTAGGGACAATGTATCCTCATTCTCTCCTTCCCCAAGAGTAACATCAGAAGACTTAAAGTGATCTGGTGCCTCTGAGCTACTGTTTCCTGATTGATATTGTGTGCTGTGGGGAACTTCTAATTGGAATTCAGAGGATATCAGAAGGCAGATAAGATAAATCTTTGCATGCTACTTTTTTTATTCCATAGGGATTGTATTTTTCAGTGTGGTGTATTTATAATGCTGCAGCTGCCCTGAAGTAGGAATATTTTTCCAGGCAGTCAGGAAAAACTCGATTGACTCTAAAAGCAATTTTTAAAAGTACCCCTTCTTCTATAAAACACAATGAATGTTGATTTTTTTTTTTTACAAAGATGATAGCTAATTGCATTTTGGTCTATTCTATGACATTTCTCATCACAGCTGGGTCTCCCTTGATTACTTTAATTACGCAGTGGATAAGTAAAGGTCATTTCATTTCAATCACATTTATTAATCACCCACATTTTCTCCTCATTAACATTTTCTCTATTTACATGAAGTGAAGCTCCTAAGTGATTCTATCAGAGCCATTAAGATGTTAATGTCAAGTCTGGCCGCAGTAAAGTACTCAATGAAGGCAATCGAAGGGTTTTTGTTCCCCCGCCTAAACTGTGTTTGTTTTCATTTGGTGAGTATTAATAATTGAGACCAGGAATAATTCTAGGTCTAATGGGCACAGATTACTGGTTACCAGTGGGAAATTCATTTATTTTTTCCTTTTGGAGAGGGTTCCACTGAGAGATGATGCCCTGGTTGGACAAAATGGGGATTTTTCTGGACAATTCTGTAGGTCTTTTGATCAGCACTCATCCTTTGAAGGGTATAAACACTGAATTTACATCTTTGAAATACTAAATATGTTTCCTTAATATGTAGCTAGACCAACAGTTATCAGTTAAAGAGAATTCACATTTTGAATGCTCTACATGCAGGCTTACTATATAGTTACCTTGGAGACACACACACACACACACACACACACACACACACACACTGTGGCAGGCCGCTTCTAAGATGTCCTCCAGGGATCCTCATCTGTTGGTATTGCAAAAAAAAAAATATTGCCCCAGACACTTGCTAGAAACAGCAAGGAAGGCCTTATATAAGACTTTTGCAATATGAGTCAAGACAATTGTAATAGGGGAGATAAACTGAACTCAACTCTGCAGAAACAGGAAGTGGACTCCTTGGCCAGGTGAGATGGCTCATTTCTGTAATCCCAGCAACACGGGAGGCTGAGGTGGGAAGATCATTTGAGGCCAGGAGTTCAAGATCAGCCTGGGCAACAGTGAGACCTTGTCTCTTTTGGTGGTGCACCTGTAGGCCCAGCTACTTGGGAGGTTGAGGCAGGATGATCCAGGAGTGTCAGGACGATCCAGGAGTGTGAGGCTGCAGTGAGCTATGATCACACCACTGCAGTCCAGTCTGGGCAACAGAGTAAGACCCTGCTTCTAAAAAAAAAAAGAAAAAAAAGTGGGAGAGACTTTAAGTGCTAGGAAAAAGTATTGGAGGATATTAGAGGGGTGGTTGCCCAATGTGATGGGACATCCGTGTTTGCTAACTGGTAGGACTCTCCCACAGAAACTGAGAGATAGTTACTCTTCCTCCTTTGATGGTTATATTTCAAAGGTGTGGCTCCTAAGTTCTTGAGAAAGACATTCCTTGGTTGTAAAATCAGCAAGGGGCTGGAACAAGATTTAAATCTCAAAGGGGTAGAGAAAGAATTTGCATTTATGATTTCCTAAAGTAAGTGTCCTGAGAAAGGAAGGGCAAGGAGTTATGATGGTCTGAATATTTGTGTCCCTGCCAAAATCCATGTTGAAGATGAATCTCCAATGCAATATTATTAAGAGGTGGGGTCTCTTGGGAGGTGATTAAGACATGAGGGCAGAGTCCTCCTGAATGGGATTAGTGCCCCTATAAAAGGGGCACAAGGGAGCATGTTTGCCCTTCCACCATGTGACATACAGAAATTGTGAGATAATGTTTGTTGCCTTGGTAACTAAGTTTCATGGTATATGTTATGTAACGGATGACTAACACAGGTACACATAATGCATGCAGACACATGAACACACATCTACATATGAAATCATACAAATACCAAATACTGTATACATTAAATACTGCATGTTAATGTATGTGTATATGTGAGAGAGACATCTAAGAAAAAAACTACATTCCCTAGTGGAAGGTGTAAACTCTTTTCGTGTTTAGCCTCTAACCGCCTCCTACCAGCAGGCTCAAATCATGCTCACCTTTCCTTGTGTCTAGACATGGTGGTTCCTTGGCTTCCTTAAACATCTCACTCTTCCTTGACTCTGCATCTCTGTCACAGCTGTTTTCTGTGTTGGCATGGATTTTTTTACTCTGAGGCCATAATTCATGCAATTCATCTTTTAAAAGATGTCTCAAATGTCAAAATGTATTCACTCATTTATTTCTATTCACTAATTTATTATTTTATTCAGTAATTCAATGTTTACTGAACTAGAGAGCAAAATAATAAGCAGGTCAATGGGAAACCTTTGGGCATTTTAAACAGATACGTGGCACAATCTGGAGTGTCTTATTACATTGCTTTGAATGCTGTATGGAGAGAGTATTTGGGTGGGGAAGAGGGAGAGGAGAAGTAGTGAAGGAATTCGTTGAAATCATCCCAAGTGAGAACGAGAGTGTCTTGGACTAGGATTACGGCAGTTATAGTTTGCAGAGAAAGTGAATATTCTTGTGATGTATTTTAGAGACTGGATGTATAAGAATTTTATATGGATTGAACATGAATATAAGGCTAAATTGAGAAGAGGGCTGAAAACTGAGTCCTCAATCAATCAGCATTTAAGTTTGGTACAGAAAAATAGTAAAAAAAAATAAAGTGAAGAAACCACCTGTGCAGCCAGAGGAGCACCGGGAGGTTGTAGGATATCAGCAGCCAAGAGAAGAAAACATTTCAAAAAAAAAAAAAAAAAGAGAGAGAGAGAGAAATAATCAGCTGTGTGAGATGCTGCAGAGAGTTTCAGCAGCATGGGCTAAGGAGAGTGACCATTTGATTGGGAATATCAATCACTGATGACATTTAAAGGCATATTTTCGGGAATCCATAGAAACAGATGCCACTTTCAAAGGGTTAAAAAATGAGTGGTACATACACAAATTAAAGCAAGATAGTGATAGTCAATAGGTGGGGAAAAGGAGATTTGATAATATTCAAGTCAGAGGTAGGGTAACACTATTTAGCAACTCGTGATAAAAAGGATTTTAAAAATCCAATAAAGACTACCTACCACAAATACTCATCAAGCATTGTAATTTATGAAAATATTTTAGAAGCGGTAATTTGAAAGTAAAAAACAATGCAAAGGCATTCATTGTCACCAATATTATTCAAACATTGTACTGGGAGCTCTAGCTAAAGCAGTAAGACAAGGAAAAAAAATGAAAAATGATGAGGAAAACTTGTCATTATTTGTAGCTGTATAATATCTTCCACAGTAGATCCAGTGGATACTCAGATCAAGTGTCTACATTATTAAGAAATTCAGCAATGTCTCTGGATAAAGATCAACACATAGAAAGCTCTAGTGGTCTGTTACATCATCATTAGACAAATTTGTAAATGTAAAAGGAAAATGGTCTCATTTACTGTAACAACAAAGTATCTCAAGTACCTAGGGATACACCTAATAAGGGAGGTTTAAATTCTGTATAGAGAAAAGCTACAAAATAATATTAAATGATGTAGAAAGACCCAATAAAAGAAATGACATAAATTGTTTGATAGGTAGACTTGCTAATAATGATATTGATTATCCAGAAAACAATGAATATATGCAAAGGGCATCCAGTAAAAGTCCTAACAAGTTTTGCTTTGTTGGTATTTGGAAAACATTTAAATTTATGAATAATAATAATTTTCCCCAAATACAAGAATAATCTTGAAAATTCTGAAAAAAGAACATAAAGGAGGGGTTCTTTCATAACTTAAAATCAGGATGTACTACAAAGTGCTATAATAAAATCATAGAATGAGGAGTCCAGAAGCTGATCCACAAATATATGCCCTTTCATATATTTGAATTCAGTAAAAAATAAATTCCTATCTCATAGCATAGACAGGGATAGATTAAGACCTAAAGACGAAAAACAGACCTTTGAAAACATTTGGATAAAAATGGCTAATATTTTATATTTTCAGGGTAAGAAGTAAATTTTAAAAGTCATATGTAAAAATGAAAGTCATAAACAAAAGATTGATAAATATGTTTGTATCAAAATCTAAAATGTCTTCATGATATGAGTCACCACACATTTAAAAGTTAAAGGTACATATCAGAACAGATGAAGATCTATCTATCTATCTATCTATCTATCTATCTATCTATCTATCTAATCTATATATCATCTGTCATAATCATCTATCTATCTATATCAGACCAATATAGTATTGTTTAAAATATAAAAATCTAATAAGCCAATTGGAAAAAAAGGCAAAGAGATCAAAAGAAAAATGAATAGAGGTTTTGGATGAAAAATTCACCAACATATGTAAATTAGTACTAACAATTATATGGAATAGCAACAACAGTTTGAATTTGGGACATGCATGTATTTGGGAAAATGCAAATTGAAATAAAAATAAGATACACTTTTGTATTCATCCTGCTTGGCAAAATTTCTGAATCTGACCATATCGTATTGGCAAGGACAGTATGTGTGAGTAGTTTGCAAATATTTGGTAAAGTGGCAAATGTACCTTCTCTATGTCCCGGCAGTTTCATGCCTAGGATATGCCCTAGAGAAACTGACGTATACAAAGATTCATCTGAGGAGGAAATATCTGAGAAGTACATTGCATTTCAAAGTAGATGGAGTCCATAATCTTTGCCCTCATCATGTCTGGCTTATGCATCCAATAAAGAATTTATCATGTTCTGCAATTATTTGCTGATAGATATAACAAGAGGGCCATTTCGAAGTTTGGGTCAAAACTCACAGAGGACGGATGTCAGACACCCAAGTCAGGGGTGAAACCCAAGGGCACATTTTCAAAGTAGATGATGAACTCATGCAAAGATTTTGAAATCCTTCTTTAATAAAAAGGTGACATATGAAAGTTTTATGGTTAGAAATGTTTTTTAAAAAATGCTTTGTTTTTGTCTTACTGTATTTAAAATAAAACCTTTAAAGTAAAAGGACTTCCTCACTCAAAGAGATGACTTTATCAGTAGCTATGGGCCTTTCTTTACTGTAGGACAACCTTCCAGTCTCCATGCTTGTGTTATTGCTGTTGTACAAATTCATGCAATTAAAAAATGTTGCCATAATTGGTGGCTAGCCAACTAATAATCTTCCAATGTGTGTCTATGGGGAAGCAAGGTATTATGTAGAAAATAATTTGAAGGTTAACTGCAAAACAGCCTGTTTTACTCACCACTGAATCTTCAGTAAAGTATTTGTGGAATAAAGTTCTCAATTGTCCTCTCTCCAAAGTTGTTTTCTAGCTACCCACCTCCATATGTAACTGATACAACTATGTAAATCAAAAGAGCAAACTTTGTGAGTATAAAGCATAGTCAGTTTCAGCTGACATGATGTGTTAACTACTTAGACCTACAACATGTTAGTTTTATACACAGAGACTGTACGTTTCTTCTTACCTGAGATAGTGCAGGTTTATGTCTAAATTTTCCCTTTTAATAATACAAAAGGCCAGGTCTGAGCAATAAATTTATGGTTATCCTTCAGAAATTAACAACAACACTCGCTAACATTTATTAACTACTTTCTTTTTGCCAAGTACTGTTGCTAAGCAATTAACTCATTTAATCTTTTATAATCCTATTATGAGAACCTTTAGAGATCAAGAATGTGAGACTTGGGCACATAACTTGTTCAAAGTCACAGTTCTATTATGTATGTATAAGGAATGCAATTTTGTAACATATGTCAAAGAATATGTACTTCACACTATTTTCCAAATAACTGTTATCTCTGTTTTAACAGTAATTATTTTAAAAGTTGGTATGGTTTTAAGGTTCCTTTTACTATTCCCGTAAATGCAATTTTGGCGCATCTGAATACAAATATTTTAAATAAATTTAACATACTATTAATTTACATATAAAATACATTTAAGATATTATTAACAAAATGATACAAATATTTAAAATAAATTTAAGATATGCCTGGAAATGAACCACAGTCTTGGATCCTTAATGAATACAAAATAGACACTATAGCTGGAATCACAAGACGTCTTGAATTACAGAGACATCTTACAAGCATGCGTCTGATTTAATTTCCCAGCATTGAATTCAGGAATGTATGTGGACCAGGCTGTGCTTGCCGAGAGAATCAGAGGATGATAAATACAGGCTTTGTGCTTGCTGGAGAAGTAGGTACTCCTATACCCTACCCTGGGATCGGGTTGTATGTCACTTAATCCCAGGACTAATGAAGTGTTGTTAGCTGGGTGAGATGCTACAAAATATGTACTCAGACTGGCCGACATGCAGAATTTCTTGAGCTTCATGTACATGGGGGGGCTCAGGGGACTCTCACTCACTCAGTACCATCATGCACAGCTATGCCCTGGGCAGACTACCCGTTCCTTGCCTATCCCTCCCTTCCCTGTGGATTTAGAAGCACATTACCTGTGCTGATCGCTCTGCTGTATTCTGGCTGCACTGACATCTCTCTGTTCTTTTAAAAGAGTAACCCCAGTTGTATTCTCTTGAATTTATTTCTGTTGAGACATTCCATTCCATCCAAGCCATCTTTAGTCAATACAGTGCTTGTGCAATAAGATTATGCCCTGTAGCCAATGCTGTCAGTGCACCGTTCATATCACTGGAACCTTAACCATTTCATTTTGCCAATAACTTCCAGAACCATGGAAAGCTTATCTGCCTGTGTGCCCTCGGGTAACTGACACCCGCCTGTGCAGTTTTCCGTGGATGAGTGCTGCAAGTTGGTATACAATACCCCAACTTCCTTGTTACTTCAGTGAGATAATTCCAGAATTTGCACCTTGCATTATTCTCTACATTTTGCCTGTGGGGTTCAGCACCAGTTGCTTCCCATGGTAGCTGGCTTAATAGGGCCCCTTCCCGGTTTCACTTCCCCTCTTCCCCACCAGGGGGCCTGCACCTCCAAATACACCACTGAGGTTCAGGATCTCTTTCTGTGAGGGCCCCACTTTAAATAGGTCCATCTCTGATCCCTTCGGGCAGTCTGTTTATTTCTCTAGTAGCACCTAGCTCAATTGTGATGGTGTAGTTATTTGTGTATTTCACATCTGTCTCCTTTGCTATGTGGTAGGTGCCCTGGATGAAGGAACTTGTGTCCTTCTAGTTCACATAAGGCTTGGCAAATATAGATGCACAATAAATATTTATTTTAAAGATTCATCAATGAATTTAGTGAAAGCTGTGTTCACTAAATCCCAGTGGGCACAACCTATAAGCTCAAAGACTAAATGAGTCCTGAGAAAGCAAATCAGAAACAGAAGGTGGCAAACCAAGGTATTAATATTTCCCATTCTTGGGGGAGGGAGAAAATCACAAAAGAAAGTCTTTAGAATGAAGGCTTCAGGAGGAAAGAATAAATGAGAACCATCAGGCTCCTTGCTTCTGAGTCGCATTATTGCATTCTTTTTCCTGACTCTCACCTGAAGATTTGCCCATGAATCTAAGGGGAATGCGCTGAAACCCAAAGTAAACCCACAGCTAGAAAAAGTGCTGCAGTGGTGGCTCACATGGCCAGCTTAAAACCCCGGTGTCATTGCTTTTAGGAGACTTAGGATCCTTCTAGGAAAACTTCAGGAAAAATCCAGAGACTGGGATCCCTTCTTATTAAAGATACCTAGCCCCTGAAAACAAAAGATAGGATTAAGTCTAAAAAATTATCTTAATAGACAAACATTTTATTCAATGTTTGAGAGATTTTAACTAGCTTCCTTTATCGGTGGCTGTTTTCTTAGCTAACTTTTATTATTGCTAATATTATTACTATTAAAACTCGAATTTATTTTCTATATACTTGCCTGTCAAGTGGATTAACCACAATTTGTTCGGTGATACCTTTATTTTCTATGTTTAGATTATTTCTAATTCTTTGCCATCATTAGTAATATTCTGAGATGAGTCTCTGTGCTTAATATTTTTTGTTTTTGGATTATTTTCTTAAGGAAAGATACTAAAAAATATTTGCTCCCTATTAACACAACTTTTACTCTAGTTCTTCTCTAAACTTCAAGACCCAGTCTGACCTTCCAAAGCCATGATCTTCTAGAGAAACCCCATTGCACTTGGGTAATACTTAGGTGAAGATTTCTTCAACTAGCATGCTCTGTGCTGTTTCCCAGCTTGCGGGGCTGGTCAAGGCCTTGGGGATCTTCACCTAGGATGTATCTATGCTTTCAAATCCATGCCTTCATTCCATTTTGCATTCAGTAAATGGACCCAGATTCCAACTCTTGTCTACATTTTGTCTTGATTTTAGCTCATGTACAAGGTTTAGGTTTTTGAACCAAGCCTTCAGCCTGACCTCCTCTGGTGTCCTTATAGTGTTCTTATTGCAGTTGCATCTCCATATTGACAGCTGAGCTCTATACCTGGATACTGGACTCAGATCCAGCACCATGACCCCTTCCTTTCCTCGAAGGCCCAAATCTGAGGTTATACATGTGTCCTCAAGAGAAGGAAGACTTGTTTGCAAAGCACCTAAGAAAATAAATTTTTGAGGGAACACTTTTACACTGCTGGTGGGAAATGTAAATTAGTACAACCACTATGGAAAACAGTATGGAGATTCCTTAGAGAACTAAAAGTAGAACTACCATTCTATCTAGCAATGCCACTACTGGGTGTCTACCCAAAGGAAAAGAAGTCGTCATATGAAAAAGACACTTGCACACGCATGTTTATAGCAGCACAATTCACAGTTGCAAAGATGTGGAACCAACCTAAGTGCCCATCAACAAATGAGTGGATAAAGAAAATGCAGTATATATATATACACATACCATGGAATACTACTCAACCATAAATAGGAATGAAATAATGTATTTTGCAGCAACTTGGATGGAACTGGAGGTCATTATTCTAAGTGAAGTAACTCAGGGATGAAAAACCAAATGCTGTGTGTTCTCACTTATAAGTGGGAGCTAAACTATGAGGATGCAAATGCCTGAGAATAATATAATGGACTTTGGAGACCCAGGGGAGAAGGTTGGGAGGGTGTGAGGGATAAAAGACTGTATATTGGGTACAGTGTACACTGCTTGGGTGACATGTGCACTAAAATCTCAGAAATCACCGCTAAGGACTTATCCATGTAACCACGAACCACCTGTATCCCAAAAGCTATTGAAATAAAAATAAAAATTCAAAACAATAATAAAAATAAATAAAAACAGAAAATAAACTTTTTGTAGGTGAATTTCAATTTTTTTAAAATCGAGTGCTGCCTTAGTCTGTTGGTGCTGCTGGAACAAAATACCTGAAACTGGATAATTTATAAAGAAGAAATGTGCATTTCCTCACAGTTCTGGAGGCTGGGAAGTCAAAGATCAAGGCACTGACAGATTCAGTTTTCTGATGAGGGCGACTCTGTGCTTCCAAGATGGTGCCTTGTCACTGCCTCCTGCAGAGGGCACAAATGCTGTGTTTTTATATGGTGGGAGGTGGAAGGGAAAAAGAAATGAATGCTAATTCCCTCCAGCCCTTTTATAAGGTTGTCTTATGAGGATCCACCCTCGTGGCTCAATCACATCCTAAAGGCCCACTTCTTAACGATATGACATTGACCGTAAATTTTATAGGGCACATTCAGGCCATAGTAGGTACCCAGTGTTTAAAACGTAAATTAAGTGTCCCATTTAATTTTATTGGAATGAATTGGGGAACATAGGTTAATAAAATAGTCAGTGTATATAGTATATATGATATCTGAGAGTCCACATGATCAATTATATTTATGTAAGCAAAATAAGCGTAGAGAAATAATTTTTACCAGGTCTTAGAAATATGAATTATTTATATTTTTTTAGAATTTAAAATTGACATTAACTTGAGTATTATTCTAAGTCTATTTACTCTTACAGTAGAAGGTATAGAGTAATCATGTAGCTGCAGATTTTATTTCCTAAAGTGGTGGTAACATTAATTATTTTATATATATATATATATATATATATATATATATATATATATACACACTCAGAAAATTCAAAATTTGCTTTTTGCTTTTGAACTGAACAGACAATGACCAAAATGGCTCATTGTGAAATCGTTTAATAAGCCAAGATCACTCTACAACTCTTTGTTGAGGTACTGTGTAAACAAAGGCATTGTGTCATGACAGCTGGTTGCCATGGCTACCTGATTTTTAATATGCCTTTAAATAACTTATAGTTCAATATTCTTGGAAAGTTAGACAAGAGACAATTTTCACCTTTAATGAACATCATGACTAATTAGAGCTGGCCAGTAGAATTGGGACCAAAACGAATTTGGGGCATATGTTGTGCTTTAAAATAAATATTTGTTTTTGTTTCATGTCTGTGGAAACAAGGCTGTTTGCTAACGAAGCGTATAGGTGTATAGACGCCAGGTAGGCCACAACACTCATCTTGTCCTTCTTCACCATTACATTATGTGGGTCAGAGGAACCCTGTAACAGTGCTCAGCATGTGTCCCAGGGTGAGCCTGCTCAGGGAGAAAAAGGAACACGGGAAACACTTGGTGTCTTTATTTCTATCTATATCTGTCTATGTCTATACCCACTTCTAGATCTATTTCTAAAACTTTATTTTTCCTTGTCTGTGACTATGACTATAACTTCAACTATACCTACATTTACTCCTGCACCTATACTGTCTTAGTTTGTCCAGGCTGTTATAACAAAATGCCATAGACTAGGTGGCTTATAAGCAACAGACATTTATTGCTTACAATTCTGGAGGCCATGAGTCCAAGATCAAGGCCCCAGCAGATTTGGTGTCTGGTGAGGCCCCACTTATTGGCTCACAGACAGCACCTTCTCCCTGTGTCCTCACATGGTGGAAGGGGTGAGGGAGCTCTCTAGGGTCCCTTTTATAAGGGCACTCATTCCATTCATGGGGCTGTACTCTCATGATCTCATCGCCCTCCAAAGGCGCCCCCTCTCCTAATACCATAGCCTTATGGGTTAGGATTTCAACATTTAAATTTTGGGGAGGTTCACAAACCTTCAGGTCGTAGCATACACCTATACCTACACTTAACATTATATTTTTAAATACATGTATGTTTACACCTACCTCTATACATGCACCTAAACCTATGGCTATGTCAATGCCCACAGCTACAATTGTAACTATTCATACATCTCCATCTACTAACCTATCTATAACTATACCTGCACCTGCACTTGCACCTATATTGTGTACATCTAAGTCTATATTTTGGTATACTCATCCATGTTCTAGATGAACTTCCCTGAGCTGTGAGGCTGGCCTAAGGGAATTACAAACAGTGTATATGTCATGTGTCATGAACCAAGGCTTCCCAAGCCCATCTACTCCACCCTTCTCCCTCCTACTCCCTGACCTGCCACCATTTTCCAGAGCCTCATCTCATGCCACCAGTAGGAATTCAGGATCCCTTTTCAGTCTTCCTTAAAGAGAGCAAAGAGTCCTCCCCTCTCCACTCTCAGCCTCTTAATAGTCTCTCTGGAGCCACACGTTGGTCCACAGCGGCTAAAATTACTCATGTCAATAAGCAAAGTTGCTCAACTCCTTGTTATTCTGCATTTCTCCGTTTGAGAATAGCATTTAGGCTTTCCCTTTACATATCCAAATGGTCCATTCAGATATTTTGTTTCCCTGATATGGAAACTCTATCCTCCAAAAATGAGGTTTGCCTCTCCTGATAGAATAAAGAAAAATGCCAACAGCTGTTTATCTACTTCTAATGATTGAGCTTCCAGGAATATTGGAGTCTGGCCCTAGAAATAAATATATAATATTTTCCATTGCTCCTAGTAAAACATCATCAAAATGTTCTCTAATTTAAATCCACTCTTGGGGTGCATCCTGGATGCTGTCAGTCAGGGCTTTCAGAAATGGAATCATGGGCTGGGTGCAGTGGCTCATGCCTGTAATTCCAGCACTTCGGGAGGCCAAGATAGGTGGATCTCTTGAGATCAGGAGTTTGAGACCAGCCTGGACAACATAGTGAAACGCTCATCTCTACAAAAATTAGCTAGATGTGGTGGTGTATGCCTGTATTCTCAGCACTTTGGGAGGCTGATGCCAGAGGATTGCTTGAGCCCAGGATTCCAAGGCTGCAGTGAGGTAGGATCACACCACTGCACTCCAGCAACAGAACAAGACCCTGCCACTTAAAAATAAAATGAAATAATGGAGCCAGGATCAATTGGAAAAGACAAAGCACCTGCTACAGCCCTACCCACAGCTCCCTCAGGCTGCATGCATAGAGTCGATGAGCTGACTCACTGGCCCTGCTGGACCCAGCGGCCTATCCTCAACCCTGGCCCTCCCAGCCCCTCCACCTACTCAAACACTGTCTTTCTGACCTGGGCTGAACCATCTGTCATCAAACTTTTGATGTCTTTTCTTGCCGCTGCTCTGTGCCAGTCTCTCATCCCTGTGTGTGTGACCTCACCTTCGGTCCTGGCCCCAATTCTGACTGCTGCCAAAAGCAATGTCTCCATCCTATCTTTTCCTGAATGAAATCTTCCAAGCCATTCCTCTTCTTCACAAGCAGATTCCAAACTCTCACGGGACCAGTTCTTGCTCCCAGTCCTCTTAGCATCTTGCACACAGCCTGTTATAAGGGATTGTTGGATGAAATTACAAGGAATTGGAGCTCAAGTGAATTAACCAGGCCTCAACTCCTCAGGGTTCCCAGACTTGGAACCTCTTTCACACACCTTGTGGCCAGCTGGCAGGTCTGTGGGCTGTTTCCTAGCCAGATTCTGCACACGGCCTGCCTTTGCTTTGCCAGGTGTGCCCTTTGCTGGAGCTGGAAGTGTCTCCTTTCTTAGAATCTCTTAAGGGTCATCTGCAACGTCATGATGCCACAATGCCCTGTCTCACTCCCCACTGTCTCACAGTCTCCAGCTGTGAGGGATTCTCCCTGTTCTCCCTGCCTGGAACTGCCTGCTTGTACCTCTCCGATAGAGCTTCCATGCATCATGTTGTGATTTTGATCGTCGGGCTTGCCTTTTGCCTCTCCCACTAGACAGCACCAATATCTCCAGGGAGCATCTTGCAAATGCAGATTGTTAGCCCCACCTCAGACCTACTGTATTAGTCCATTTTCACACTGCTGATAAAGACATGCCAGAGACTGGGTAATTCATAAAGAAAAAGAGGTTTAACGGACTCACAGTTCCACGTGGCTGGGGAGGTCTCACAATCATGGCAGAAATTGAAAGGCATGTCTTACATGGCAGCAGGCAAGATAGAATGAGAACCAAACAAAAGAGGTTTCCCCTTATAAAACCACAAGATCTCATGAGACTTACTCATTACCATGAGAACAGTATGGGGGAAACTGCCCCCATGATTTAATTATCTCCCACCAGGTTCCTCTCACAACATGTGGGAATTAGGGAAGCTTCAATTCAAGATGAGATTTGGGTGGGAACACAGCCAAGCCATATCGCCTATTGAATCACAAACTCTGGGAGTGGCGCCTGATAATCTGTCCATTTAACAAGCTCTCCCTGTGATTCTGTTGCTGAACTCAAGTTTTCAAAGTGCTGACCTCAGCTATAAGCTCCTTAAGGACAAAAACTTTAATTTACTACTGACACAGCAATAATATATGGCAGGTGGTAGTTTTGTAACAGGGACTATACTGTAAAAATATTCCATTTTTTCCTCTTTGGTTCTCTTTTTCATTTTTGAGCAGTCTTTCCTGTAGCTCTCTCAGGGGCATCCTCTGTTTGGGTAGGGATGATGGTGTGAGTGAAGGTTCATTCTCTTATAGAAGAAAGGAAAGGGGTGGTATCAGGGTAATGTTAGGTTTTAGGGGTTCGCAACTAGAAAGTAGCCTTGTGACCCAGACAATAAAAACTCTGAATTCCTTATTTACATATTTAGTATTTCAAGAACTGTGCTTGATGAGCCAGCTCATAGAGCTTTATGCCAGGAAGAAATATCTAAGGAAGAGGGAAAGGAGGAGGGGGCTCATGGTATTTTAGACAGGGGCAAAATAAGGGAGATTGAGAAAAACATCTGTCTTGGCCTCCTGCTGCTGCTATAACGAATTCTCTCACTTGGTGGCTTAAAACAAGACAAACTTATTATCTGACCGTTCTGGAGGTCAGATGTCTGGAATGGGTCTCACTGGGCTACAATCAAGGGCTATGTTCTTTCTAGACATTTAGAGGACAATCCATTCCCTTGTCTTTTCTAATTTCTAGGGGCTGCCTGCATGCCTTACTTCTTGGCTCCCTTGTTCCATTTTCAAGGCCAGTAGCATGGCGTCTTCCCATTTCTCTGTCTCTCTCTGGCCTCTGCTTTCATCCTCACATCTTCATCTCTCATTCTCGCCCTTCTGCCTCTCTTCACAAAGACCCTTGTGATGACATTGGGCTCACCCGGACAACCCAGGGTCATCTTCCCATTATAAGAGCCTTTGCTTAATCACATCTGCAAAGCCCCTTTGTTGTGTAAGGTAACATAGTCTTAGGTTTTGGGGATTAGGATATGAATATCTTGGCAGGGAGGCATTATTCAGCTTACCCAGCACCCCTGCTGCATTCAGCTGCAAGAGGTCTGGTGCAGACGTGACTGTAGAGCACAAAGTGCCTGGGCCCTCGGTCATATGTAATCCTTGAGTTAGAGTAGCATGTCCTCAGATATGCTGCTTATTTTACAGAGAAAGGACTATGCCTATCTGATAGTTTCCTGCTTTATTAAGCATGGCATAGCTGTAGTATAGCAGTCTCTGCATGTTTGTAATGCACTCCTCTCCATTGCTTCTTAATTTTTCAGTTTGTGAAGAAAGCACACCTAGAGCACAGTGTCACTCAAAACTATAATGATAATACAAAACTATGCAGCCATCATTAATCCACATTAGTTCTTCACCAATGTTTCTTAAAACACCAGCTATTGACAAAAGATATTTCTTTCTAAGTGACAGGGAAGACCAGACTGCTAAGTTACCTTTTGTTATGGAGGTGTGATGCTTGGTAAGGGATCTCATTCCAAATGCACCTGCCTGACGCCACTGGACAGCTCAGCCCACTCTGCAACTCTTGGATCTCCCACTGGTGTGTGGGAATGGAAGAGTTAAACTGTGATGCTGCAGACTGGTGGGCAGATGACTTTTAACTCATCTCCTCTAACCATATGAACATTGAAAAGTGGGAGACTGGGAACAGCTCTAGAGGAAATTGCTTTTGAGTATCTTGGGAGCGTCTTTCAGAAAACGCTAACCTCAAAGATATCTTTTCCAGCCTAGAGCCAATGGATTATATAAACTCCCTTCCACCACGGTGCCAACACAGCATTTTCAGAAGTAATTATGTAGCTGAGTTCACAGGCCAAAATAGAATATTTTAAAATATGTTTTTCAGAATTGTCAGACTTTCTTCAGTTCCTGAATCTGCTGTAATTAGGATGGAGGTGTTTGGTGTTGTGCTGGTGAAACTTGTGTATGTGAGGTAGAACTATGAGACTCTGTAAGCAGAATGAGCAACTAGGTCTTTCAAGGAGCGTAGCAGCCCCAGTGACAAAAGTCATTTAGAGCCAGATGGAATATGAGCAAATCAGAGAACCCAACAGAATCAGTAAAGGAGGTTAGGCCAAGCTGGTCATGGTTGTATTTCCATAGCCTGCCAGATGTGCCTCCACCCTTCTCCATCCTCTCTGTACCCTCAGGAAGTGACTCCAGTGGACTACATCTGTGGGCCTTGGCTAGCTGACTTCCTGTTGGCTTCTAGGAGGAGATTGGCAGGAGGCAGGAGACTGCCTTTGGGACACAGGTGCTGCATGGATCTGGTAACCACTTCTATCCATGGCCACTTCACCTCTGGACATAGGAACTGTTTACCAGAGATCCTAGCCCCAGGGAACTTCAACATCCCTCTCCAGTATCTTTGCACATAGTCAGTGCATTAGATTCTCCTTGGCATTGATTTCTTCTGGTGGGACTTTTCTACATTATTTTATTTTCTTCTCTTATCTGCTTTATAAAATCTGCAGAAACTACTCTATAGTGTGAATTCTATTCTTTTCAACTTACTATTTTTTTTAACAAACTCTTCAGATGAAAGATGACAGCTGTGTTACTGAAGCAGAGTGATCCTCCAGGTACTCATAATCAGTAGTCAGGTAAATGACTCCCAAGGATAATGGTCCTGGAGCAGGACCTAATTCCTGAGTGAGAACCGCCTGACTGCTACTCTAGATACAGTAAGGAGCGGGGGTGAAATGTCGCATTTCCTGTGGCAGAGAGAGTTGCTTTCAAAACTTTTCTGGCTTCCTTGCCTGTGCAAAGTTGAGCAATTATAAGAACAGAATTGCTTGTCTATAAAATGGAGACAAAAATTCATTCCTCATAGGGCAGTTGTGAAGATTAAAGAAGATTAGAGATGTCATGATTTTCTTCCTCTTCTCTTTCTCCCCCTCCCTTCTCCCCTCTTCTCTTCCTTTCCTGCTCCTCCTCCACATCCTCCTCCACCTCTTCTTCTTCCTCCTCTCCTCCTTATTCTCCTTTTCCTCCTCCTCATCCTCTCCTGATACTCTAATAAAGCAGTTTGCTGATTTGCTCTTCATTTGAGAAAAATAATATAACCTTATTTTGAATCTGTTTTTAGATCCACATCAAAACAATACCTTTGGAATCAGTGTAATTGCTTGCATTATATACTATAGAGTTGTTATCTTAGATCAATGCATCTCATTATTCCTTTGCTTTTTTTTTCCAGAAAACTTAACCCTCTTATCTAATACAGGAACATCTACCTTGCCAGGATGGCACCATATTTATCTTATCAGAGTCTCTGAAAAATTTTTACAGTATGCCCTTTAGAAATTATGCAAGTCATTCCATTTTTGTAGTCACTTTTGTTAAAACTTTAGACATAGCCAAATTGTTCTGCTTCTGGAGAGCATCCTGGAAAATATTTTTTTCTTCTGGGTGCCTACTAGTGACTCAAACCTGTAGTTCTGGTAGAATTTAAAAATCCTTATAGGCTGAATAACACTCCTTGTCTTGTGCTTGGTTCTTAAGCAAAAATAACTCAGGGTTCAGACTGTGTGTGCAGAGGTGTTCTCAAATGGGGGTAATGGGTTGTAATAATACAAGCAAGCCAATCTCTGTGGTGTCCATCGTTAGCAGGTTGACCAACTCCTCCTGGTTTTAAAACCTTCTCAGTCTGGTGCAAACTGGAGTTGTTGGCCATCCTACCTATTGAAAACACACTAAACACATTTCTGACTTCAAGGTTTATGATGCAACTAAAACAGGAGGCAAGAAAAGGCAAAGTAGGTGAGGTGGGGGTCCTTACTCTATTCCAAGCTTCATTATCTTCAGGGGAGGACATTATTTTTTAAGCATCCAGGGAATGGTGTATTTTTACAATGTATCAAAATAGAGCATATGTGCACATCATTAAATTTCATGAGTAGGCTATTTGCATTTCCCAAATTCTCACTTTGTATCAGGTTGACAGGTATGCAAATGGGAAAAAGACATAAAAACATATTTCAAGTTGTTGATAAGTCTTCTTAGCGTTACACTGGGGTAGACTAATGGTAATTCATGTAGAGGAAATGAGCTGTCTCCATGCCGAATGGCAGCCAGCTGAGCAGATCGCTTGCATTTCAGGTGCTACCATGTTAGGGATCCTTTGTGATTTAAAAAATTTTAAAAAGTTTCCATTTCTCTATGAAGAGTTTCCTTAGGCTACTTATATTAATAATGAGCTGCACAGTGACATCTAGTGTAGGAAGCAGAGAAAAATTAGAGACAACACATAGGTTAGTCACCATCTCATGCAATTTCCAAAAGAACATAATGAATAATACTGAGAAACAACTCTCCTTTTGCTGAACGACCATTCTCTTCCTTTCCTTAATTAGCACTAATGAACAACCTCATGGATATATGCTCAGTTAGGATATCTAACCATAGCAGGGGTTGGAGGTGGAAAATGGGGGCAGCGGGGACAATCTCCATTGATGCTATAAAGTTTAAATCTATCATATAGCTGAGACATTTTCCATCCTGGAGTTCTCTTTCAAAGAACAAATGTCTGATGGGGAACAGAAAGGGAAGATTGTTGCATGAACTCACATGTCTATGGTGTTTCTGACCACCACAGACAGTAGTGATTCACAGCTGAGTGTGTTGGATAGGAGTGGATTAATCTTTGGGGGATGCCACTATCTGTATAGGGCTGGCGGACGTGAGAAGCACAACAGGAAATGCAGGAGTATCTTGCAAGGTATGACGCACGGGGAAATGGGGAGCAGAAAGTGCAGGAGAGGCATTGTCAACACAAACTTTACTCACCTCATAATTTTGATCTAGGGTCAGCATAACTCAGCCTTGTTTAGTATGAGTCATCCCCAGTATTAGTATTATTTTGGTGAACATAACACACCAAAACCATTTAAGAAGTACCTAACTTACATGCAGCCTTGCAAATGCAACCTAATATCCTGTTTTCCAGAGTTTACAAAGTTAATGGGCAACAGTCCATTTTTTTCACAGCTCTCCTCTCTGGCCTCTGCACTCTGACCCGCCAGCCCTTATTCTGCTGCTCAGCACAGCAGTGTGTTCCCATCACAAGGCCTTTGCACTTACTGCTCCCATCACATGGGGTGCTGGCCCTGCTGGTTTCATATGGCTGCACTCAAGTCACCATTATGGTCTTTGCTCAGACTATGCTTCAGAAAAGCCTGTGTGATCAGCACTGGAGGTACAGTAGCCATCCCCTTCACAGGAGCATACATTGTTTATTTTTTAACACTTTACTGAAATACTCTACTTATGTGTCTGCTCATTAAAAATACTAATGATGTGATAGCCCCAAGTCATTGAAATACCTCCTTTCCTGCAAAGCAAAAAGATTGTTGAAAGTGTCTGTTGGTTCATTTTAACTGAGTATGATAGAAGAGTCAAGGTAGAGAAGGAACCAGATACTTTCCAAGTAGAATTTTAAAAGACAGTATAGGGGCCAGGCTTCACTTGGAAAATAAATCTGTTTTTCATCTCCAGTACTATAGTTTAGATATTTGTCCCCCAAACCATATGTTGAGATTTGATCCAATGTTGCTGTTGAAGCCTATTGGGAGTTGTTTGGGTCATAGGATAGATCCCTCATGAATAGATTAGTGCCCTCAGTGGTTGGGGGTGGATGACTTCTCATTCTATTAGTTCCCATGGGAACTGATTGTTACAAACAGCCTGGCACTTCTCTCCTCTCTCTCTCTCTCTCTCTCTCTCTCTCTCTCTCGCTTCCTCTGTTTTTGTGTGATCTCTGCACATGAGTAGAAGCATCCTGAATCCCTCACCAGATGCCCAGTGATCCAGCCAGCAGAATTGTGAGCCAAGTAAATCTCTTTTCTTTATAAATTACCCTATTTCAGGCATTCTTGTATAGCAACACAAAACAAACTAAGACATCCAGCTTCTTCGACTAGTAACAGATTTTCAAAAAAAAAAAAAAGTGGCCTGGCAATAAAAATAAAATCAAGACTGTGTTTCTAGGAAACTTTGTTAAAATCACTGAAAGATTTAATGTGCTGTAGAATAAATAGATTCTTTCAGCTAGACAAAAGAATTTCTAAGAATCTTAAGAACATTGCTATTAACAATTTTACTCTCACAAACATTTGCAATTAGTGTCTTGGTGCAGAAATACCAAAGTTCCTTTTCTGGGGTATGATACCCCATGGAGGGGCGGGAGGTGAAGTGGAATAGCTGGGATGGCTACATTGTAGAGTATACACAAACTCAATTTGCTGGGTAATATCGAATCACTTTCAAAGTCATTTTTACCCCTACCAACAGGCTATGGGAGTTTCTATGACTTCACATCCTCACCCATAGATGATGTTAATAGACTTCTTAACTTTTCATGCTCTACTGGATATAAAAAGATGGCTCATTATAAATTTAAACTGCATTTTGCATTTTGTTTTTCTGTTTACTAATGAAACTTGGCACTTTTTCTTTGGCTTATTGGCCATTTGTGTCTTCTATTTCATGAACTACCTTGTCACCTACTCCACAATTAGGATTTGTTACTTGATCTCCATGTGTATATGCAAATATTTGCCTGTATTTATTGTCATCATCATACTTTGGGCACTGGCCATGCTACCTCTGTGAGGAAAGAAGGGAAAGGAAAGGAAAAATAAGAAAAGAAGAAAACATCCATGTAAGTTTTTAATAAGTATGGCATGCATGACTCAGAAAATCTGTCAAAATTTTTATTGGAATTACATTGAATCTGTAGACCAACTGGGTGAGAATTGACAGATCTATGATATTAAGTTTTCTAATGAAGAACATGTTGTTTTGTCCCTAAATTCTGTTCTTCAGTGTTTTTCACCATCTGTCTGTAATTTTCTAGATAAAGAATATATAGGGTTTCCTCCATAAATCTGTTAATGGAGTAGATTAGAGTAACTGACATTCTAACTTTGAAGCACCTTTGATATTGATGTGTTACCTTTCATTATATATTGCTGATAAGTTTTTAAAATATTGTATTTAAGATTTTTGCACCTATGTTCATGAGCGATTTTGGATAACACTTTTAAAGCAGTTTTATTGAGATATTACCCATATACAACATTAGTCGTCCATTTAAAGTGTACAAGGTAGCCAAGCACAGTGGCTTGCATCTGTAATCCTAGTGCTTTGGGAGCCCATGGCAGGAGATTTGCTTAAGGCCAGGAGTTCAATGTCACAGTAAGTTATCATTCCATCACCACACTCCAACCTGGGGGACAGAATGAGACCCTGTCCCTAAAAAGTAATGATAAAAAATAATAACTTGTAAAAATAAAGTATACAATGCAATAGTTGTTAGTGTATTCACAGTTATTCAGGCCTTACTCTAATCAATTTTAGAGCATTTTCATCACCCCCAAAAGAAGTCTTATACCCATTAGCAGTCACTATCTTCTCAATGCCTGGCAACCATTATTTTGCTATCTCTGTGGATTTATCTATTCTTGATATTTCATATAAATGGGCTCATAGATGCTAATTTTTTCAATATTTTTGTTTGCTTTAGGTACCAAGGTTATCTTAGCCTGATGTAGTTTGTTAGTGTGTTGTCCTTATTTTTCCCTAAAAGGTATTTTATAAGATTGAAATATTTGTTCTTTAAATAGTTAGAGAAAGTCATCTATTAATTGTTGTGACTACCGTTTCTTTGTGGGAAGATTTTTAACCATTAATGGTTATGGGATAATTCTTTTATTCAAGGTAAGAATATCTATCCATTTAATTGGCTTCATTAATAGACTTATGGAGGAAACCCTATATACATCTATCAACAAATGCAGAAAAAATTAATAATGTTAATCTATGATCTTAAAAAACATCCTCTGAAAAAGCTAGGAATAGAGTAGACTATCCTTAAGTTGATAAATAGCTTTAAAAGGTTTGTAGCAAAAGTCAAACTCGAAGAATCTTCCTTTCAAATCACGAGGGGTAAAAAAGAAGCCTGCTACCATGTCTACCACACTATAGTATCTGGTATCTGTCATAGCCAGCAGAAAAATAAAGAGAAAAAAATAAAATCTAAAAGATGGAAAGAAACAAACAACTGTCACTTAATGATAGGGATATGTTCTAAGAAATACATTGCTAGGTGGTGATTTCATCATTGTGGGAACATCACAGAGTGACTGACGCAAATCTAGACAGTATACCCTACTATGCACCTATGCTGGATAGTAGAGCCTATTACTCCTAGGCTGCAAACCTGGACAGCATGTGACTATATTGAATACTGTTGGCAATTGTAACACAGTGATAAGTATTATGTATCTAAACGTGTCTAAAACATAGAGAAGGTATAGTAAATATATAATTTTTAAATCTTATGGAACCACCGCTGTATATGTGGTCCATTGTTGACTGAAACGTCATTATGTGGTGCATGACTGTATTCGTAAATGATAAATTATCTATACAGGAAAAACTAGAGAGTCCAAGAAAATATTAAAATGAATAAGACACTTCAGCAGAGTGTCAAAAAAGAAGAACAATATGTAGAAATTTCATTTCTATGCACCAGCAATAAAGGCTATTTAACCACATATACATAGCACATAATAATTATCAAAAAATGACATGCAATAATTTTCTGCACATACTTTTGTAAGGCAAGTAAAGAATTAAAAACACAGGACACTATTAATTAAAATGTTGGCTTAAGGTTTTATAGGCTTCACCAATAATGTGTCTTCAAATCTGAAAGTGTACAAATGAGAATTTAAGGTTCAGGAATTTTGGGAGACTATTTCCTGCTTTCCCTCACTCCACTAAAGCCAGGTCAGACAAACACACTTATCACCCTCCTCTGCATGTTTTCCTCCCTCAGGTTCCTGTCCTTAGAGGCTCAAGTTTTATGCAGAAGTCTCAAAACCGATTTTCCTCCCAGCTTGGTCACAGCTTTGCCATCATATTCTGGGTACTGAGAACACTGGCTTAAGGCCAGCAGGATGCAGCAGCGGTTCTCAGTGACTCTGGCTCCAGCCTGGCTTACGTTTCCCTGGTGACGCTCTCTTGTTGTTCCTGGCCTCCAGTGGCCCCCCTTAGTTTATTCTCATGCAGAATTTATTCTAATGATATTTAAAAATACATTTATCCAGAATACGTAGATGATTTTTACCAAAAGTGGTCTCTAGAAAAGGAAGTCCCTTATTTTGGTTTAAGTTATACAAATTTGCTTTCTTTATTTGACAATTGAAAATGTCTTTTTTTTTTTTTTTTTTTAAGACAGGGTCTCACTCTGTCACCAGGCTGGAATGACAGACTGATAGGCAGACTCACATAGCCTTCTTGCCTTTCCCTGAGGAGTTGACTCCAATTGTCCTACACATTCCTTCTCTATGATATAGAAGCCCTGGGTCTCAGCGGTAATGGCCTGGGATTCACCATCTCCTCTTGTGGCCACCTGAGACATGGCTTCTGTTCCTAAGCCCCTATTAAATGTTCCTTTCAGAGAAAATGGATATGTCAGCCTCTTTCTTCCGCCTCTCAGCTCCCTCAGACTTGTAGGTAGGTTTTCATGTTCTGCTCACTGCAGAACAAGGGGGACACAGACATTCAGTCTGTAACAACCAATAAAGATGTCTGGATACTTACATGACATTAGCCATGTATATATCCTGGCAACATGATATCCATAAAAGCCTGCCTGACTCCGGTTTTAATGAGGAAGCCTCGTCTAGGTCAGTAGGTATAGTGGAGACTCTTAGGATGGCCCTAGTGATCTCTGCTCCTGGTGCTCACACCCTGTGGAATCCCCTCTCCCAGGAGTGTGGATGGAACCTGTGACTTGTGTCTAACCAATAGAATATGGCAAGGTTGGTGTTTGTCATTGCCATGGTTGCATTACACTGGACTCTGACCTCCACCTTGGGAAGAGATTCTCCCACCTGCTGGCTTTGATAAAGTGAGTAGCCATGCTGGGGGGCTTGGGTGGCCAGAAGCTAGGGGCAGCCCATAGGAGTTGAGAGTGGTTTCTGGCCAACAGCTGACAAGAAAAGGAAGCCCTCAGTACTATACCCACAAGGAACTGAATTCTTCCAACCACCATGTGATCTTGGAAGCAGATCCTTCCCCAGTTGAACATTAGTTGAGACCCTAGCTCTGGCTGACTCCTTAATTGCAGCCTTCTGAGAAAGCTGGAAAAGAGGACCCAGCTAACTGTGCCCAGGCTTATCACTTACAGAAACTGGGAAGTAATGAGTGTGTGTCGTTTTAAGGTGCTAAATTTGTGCTATGTAGATAACTAATACAGGAAGTGAATGGGTTATGGAGAGTGTCCAAACAGAATCCTTTACTGCAAGTGAGGACATTTTTGGGATACAATATTTAGGTAATTGAATCTAAATTACAATACTTTTGAGTGACACCTAACACTGGCAGTTCTACATAAAGCAAAGCTCCTGACCATGGTAACAGCACAGAAACTCCCACCGCAGAAATCTTTATTAGCAGTCCACAGCATCATGGGTCCTGAAAGAGTCCCCCAAAGTTAATCTGTCTTATCTGCAGATTTGAGCCAGATTAATATCTAAACCATTACTCTTTATCACTCCCTTCATGGCTTCTCAGTAATGTCTGATAATGAGTTTCAATCTTTGCAAGGCTAGTGAGGGAAATTAATGGAGGCAATTAGAAAGGGCTGATGAGGAAGGTGAGTTAATCTGGTTAAGACTGAAGACTCGACATGAAACCAGAAAATCACTCAAGTTCCTTTCCCTTCTTCTCTCCTCTTCTCTCTCCTTCTCTCATTTGACAAATGCTTACTGAGGTCCCTCAGTGTGACAGGTATTAGGCACTAAGCTAGAATAAGACCTATGTCTTACATGTCTTATGTAATAAATGACACACAGGTCTTATTTACTGACCCGTGTCCTGAAAGATCTCATTTCCAAGACAGGGGTGGGGGCAGACACATAATCAAATAATTGTTATAATCAGGTAAGTGCTGATGAAATCATGGACAAAGCACTAGAGGTGGCCAGAATTAGGCTGAATATGTCTCCCTATTTTTCTTTCTTTCATACCAAGACTTATAGGGAAGACAGTAGATGGGAAATATCCACAAATACTCCAGTTAGAAAATTTTAATGCACGGTATGGAATTGTGTCTCCCAAAAAGCAATGTTCAGGTCCTAACCCCTGGTGCATGTGTCTTATTTAGAATGAGCCTCTTTGCAGACACCGTCATGCTAAGATGAGGTAATTAAAATGGGCTGTAATCCAATGACTGGTGTATGTAATTGATGAGGGTCATTTAGCCACAGAGACACAAAGGGAGAATGCCATGGACAGTGGAGGTAGAGTGTGAATCAAAGCAGTTTCAAGCCAAGGGATGCCAAATATTGATGGTCACTTCCAGGAGTTGAAAGAGGCAAGGAAGGAGGCTTCCTCAAGGCTTTCAGAGGCAATGTGGTCCCACTGACACCTTAATTTTGGACTCCTAGCCTCCAGAACTACAAGACAATACATTTCTGTTGTTTGAAGCCACCCAATTTGTGGCTCTTTGTTACGGCAGTCCTAAGAAGCTCATCCACATGGTCAAGTCACATTGACCTGGCTCAGGGTGAGGGATTGAGGACATCCTCTATGAAAAAGCAAAACACTTGGAACCCAGGGAATGCAGTTGTGTGCTGTTTTCATTACAAGGCAACAGAGATTGTAGAGTCTGTGGGGGCATTGCTTATGTTCAGCTGGGAGCATTTGCGAAGCACTCGCTGTATGCCATGGGACACAGTTGGAGGCATGTCCGCCAGGCAGCTTCTATCGTGAACTTGATAATTGTGTAAGCCATGGACAACGTAGTTTCTCAGAGAGAGGCACAGGCTAAGTGCCATCAGCAAACTGAACAAACCCCCAAAAAGCAGAAAATGAATGATTAGGATTTATCGTGTATCTTGTGTTTAATACACACACACACACACACACACACACACACACACACACACCCCAAAACTAAACGAAGCTCTTCCTGTATTTTTGACACCTTTGTGATTCTGGAAAGATTGCTTTACTCCACAACAATGAACACTTGGTTCTCCAGCGCTGGCTTGGTTCTGCAACTTCCAGCTCCCTTGAACACTCATCTCTGCCCTGTTGAGAATGCCAACGGCTCTGCTCACAGCGAGTGGCAGCTCCACAGCACAGTTCACACCAGAAACCTGGCGGCATCCGTGGTGAGCATCTTCCTCGTTACTCACATTCCTTCTCCAAGCCCTGCCAACTTCTGAATATTCCTCAAGTACAACCAAGTCTTTCATCTGCGCTCTGATCTCTCTGGGGCAATGTGCAGTTCCTTCCCGCCTGGACAATGAGCAGAAAGCATGAAAACGTTTGGCCCTCCAGTCCCTGTCCCCATATAGCTAGAAAGATCATTTTCAACATGCCAAGTGAGTCATGTTCTACCTCCACTTCCCCACCCTGTCCTTGATAGTCTTACTGTTGGTTCCTATTGCTCTTGGGACAGAGATTAGCTCCCTGTCATTAACTCTAAGCTCCAGCTCTGAGCACCTCTCCTGCCTGGTCTTACGTGGGGCAGGATCTGCGTTTTAGTTAATTCTTGTATCTCTAAGTCAAGAGCAGTTTTTATGGGAAAAAATGCATTCAAAATATACATTTCTTATGCAAATTTTGAACTGTTATTCAAAATAATAATTGAGTTCCCAGTTCATGGACTTTACTTTCTAGCAGGATGGAATTCTTAATTCCTTTGTGATTCTGTATTCTGTGTCTTATCTTTCTCATAGCAAGCTTTAGGATGAAATGATCTCTCCTCCTTTCTCTAGAGGTGCAATGAAATTAAGCAATAAACAATGCATCCTAAAATCTGAATCTTCAGGGTACAAGAAAAGAAAGACACTTGGAAATTCACACTACAGTAAAACCCATCAATATTCATGGCAGGGAAAGTTCAAATAAGAAAATCTTGAATTAACTTTAGATAAATATCAAGTGTGAAATTCATCAAAATAATTGGAAATCGTGAAAACCTATACCATGATGTGATCATGGCTCCCAGTTCCATGGACTGTCTTTGTCAATAAAAGCAAGACTGATTCTAATTACCTCTTATATTTTGTCGTGCTATTTCATTGTCTGTAATGATTCCATTTATTGATAACCATTAATATTTATTGAACTTTTATGATGCTTAATGCTGTATATTTGCTTAGGTGATAATATAATACTGCATGTGTAAATTGATAAAATGTAATGTACAGTGCCATAAGTGAGTAAAATAGTGTTGAAGAGGAACCTGCCTAGAAAAACAATGTGCAGGGCTGTGCTGTTCAATATGGTAACCACCCTTATGGTTATTTAAATTTAAATATAAATTAATTACCATTAAGTTAAATAAAAGATTCAGTCCCTAAGATGCATCATCCACATTTCAAGTGCTCCACAGCCACATATGGCTAGTGGCTACTTCACTGAACAGTGCAGGTAGAGAATTTTCCATTATCATGGGAAGTTCTGTTAAACAATGTGTGGCTAGGAGGTTTTGTGAACTGTAGCCTTAATAGAAAGAAACATTATGCTTCATTGTTTAAAAAAGAAAGTTAAACTGTATTAGCAGGTTGGTAGGCAGAGAACTCATGGTTTCTACTGTACAGATTAGTTAGAGCCTCCTTACTATGAAGGTTGAAGCTGAAGTGGAATAAAGACCTGATGGGCATTTGTGGAGAAGATTTCAGCCCCAGTAGAGACGGATGGTAGAATCTCCCAGGTAGACCTTTCTGGCTTCACAGCTCCACTAATGACCATGATAAAAATCCCTTTCCAAGAAGAATGTACTTCCACTTATACACCTAGCACCTTCAATGAAATAAGTCCATGAATTCCTGAACTATGCATCTCAACTCTCTAAGAATTCTTCCAATTCCCAAATTCTATGAAATAAAAATGTTTTTGATCATACAAAATCTACATCTAAAAAGAATTTGGGACAACAATACATATATAACCAATGTGCACATGGCTTGAAAACATTGTCTTCTCCTAGGGAAGTTAAAACCAAAGATAGGCTGGGCACAGTGGCTCACATCTGTAATCCCAGCACTTTGGGAGGCCGAGGCAGGTGGCTCATCTGAGGTCTGGAGCTCAAGACCAGCCTGGCCAACATGGTGAAACCCCATCTCTACTAAAAATAAAAAATATTAGCTGGGTGTGATGGTGGGTGCCTGTAATCCTAGCTACTCGGGAGGCGGAGGCAGGAGAATCGCTTGAACCAGGGAGGCGGAGGTTGCAGTGAGCCACGATAGCACCATTGCACTCCAGACTGGGCAACAAGAGCGAAACTCCATCTCAAAACAAACAAACAAAAAACAAAGATAGTGTGGACAGTGTTGTGACCTGGGAAAGCTTATTTTCATGGTAACCTCAAAGTAAAATGATTAATTCCTGGAACATAGAATAGATATGAAATAACATTCATGTTTGTAAAGGTGTTTTCTTGAATTATAACCATAATACCTGTTTAGGGTTATCCTAATGACTGACTTCATACTTTAAGTCCTTTATCTCTTTCTAACCACATTCTCAACAAGGTATTATGTTGAATAATAACTTCTTTTTCTTTCGTTGAAAACGTGGTCTGATTTCCTGTCTTTGACTTAAACTCCCATAATGTAAAAAATCCAAATCAGGTACTAAGAAAATGCACAAATGAAAAATGTTTTAATATTGTTATGGGAATTTGTTATACATCCAAATCATATTATATCATCAGAAATCATAATAATACCATTATACTGTGCAATTATGTGCTTCAGTGGCAACTTATCATGTGTTTACTATAATTATACCATTCGACTAATTACAGCAATCATGCCATTTAGTGGCTGAATTCTTAGCTCTGAATTCCATTGATTGGGTGGACTTTATAATTCTATGAGGTTTTGTGCCTTGAATTTGATGAATGTAGAACTCGAATTTTGTGTTGCTAGCTTAAAAAAAATTCCAGCAATAATTTCGAGGTTTGGGGATGAATATGTTTATGATTTATCAAAATGTCCGAAGGAGGGCAAATTGCTGTTTTTCCATCGCAAGCCTGGGCCCTAAAGCGGAGTGGGCTATTAGACTAAGTCCTTGTCTGTAGAGCAGAGACTCATGTCTGCATCACTCAGGAGCCAAAGGGTTAAAGTGAACTGACAGGTTGCTGAACTGAAAAGAGAAGTAGTTTGGTTACTTAGTAAAATTAGTCAATCAGTTTGACTTTTTTCATTCCATTGATCACTTGCTAAACTAAATGGATTAGATGGACAAATTTTATTTGTTAGCACTGTACAGCTAGGAGTCCATAGAAGGACACTCAACAATCGTCAACACATCCTGTAAATAGAGGTTCAGCTACAAAAATTTGTCCACATAACCTGTATTATCAAATGTCTATTTCATGCAATGCACTATGTTACCTTCTGAGAAAGGAACAAAGCCATTTCAGACACAAGTCCCATATTCACCCAGCATAACCTATCAAATAATCTTCTCATGTTTGTGAGGCTGGGAAAAGGTAGCCTTCCAAAGGAAAATTACATAAAGCGCATCTTAAATTTCCTAATCAACTTGAGTGTTACTCTCCATACTTACCTCTGAGAAGGAAGCTAAGAAATCATTTGGGTGGGGTTAGATCTTCTAATCCTTCTGTTGGGTAACAGCTTCAGCAGGGTAGAGTGAAGTGAATCTTGCCAGTGTTTTCGGGCCTGGATCTGCAATTTGAACTGTTAGCCTTTGGAAAACTCACTAAATGTTCAAGTCTCAATTTTCTTATCTCTAATAAGGTAATGAAAGGTAGCTACTCTGTAGGACTTTTGTGAGGTTTAAGGGAGAATACCAACACTTTTTAAAATCTATGTATCCAAATATATAGAACTTTTACCCTCTGGGTTTCAAGAGGAAATACTTTAATAAGAAATTCACGTTCGTCCCCTGAGAAAGATCTTAGATGTGATGCAACTGTTTGCAGGGACATGAATATCTACAACTTTCTAGAGCATTTCCCATTAGATTAATATATTGAAATAAGCAAAAGCTTTGACATTAACGGCTCTGCTGAGTTGTCTCTCTTTTTCAAAATCAGAATAACAGGATTAGATGATCACATAAAACTGCTTGGGGGTGAGTCCCGGATTCTGGTGGGTTCTTCCACTCAGGCTTGGTGAAGCGCTTCCGGGTCTCCACTGGCTGCAGACCCTGGTGCGAGGAGGACACTGAGGCCCAGAGAGGTTAAGTGACTCGGCCAAGGTCAAACAGCTAGTAAGTAGTGGAGCCAGGACTCAAACCCAGTCTAGGAACCATGTCCACTTTGTTTCCCTCACTCTTCCTTTGTGGGACTGAGACACTGTGGTTTAATCTGGATCGACCTTGTATGGGAGAGACAGAGCTGCAGCAGCAGGAACAGCAGCATCAGACCTGGCTCGAAAGCATCACAGAGAAAGACAACAATCTGGTTCCTATTGGCAAGCCAGCCTCAGAGCACTATGATGATGAGGAAGAGGAGGATGATGAAGACAATGAGGATAGTGAAGAGGACTTAGAGGATGATGAGGACATGCAGGACATGGACAAGATGAATGACTACAATGGGTCACCTGATGACGGAGAGGTCAATGAGGTGGACATGAAGGAAACGAACAGGATGTGGACCAGTGAATGATCTAGGTAGATAAGGCAGGGTGCCCTCAGGGAGATTCCAGGCCAGCCCAACCTACCCTGCATCCCAACCCCCAACCCTTGCCCACAGAACAAACTGAAGGCCCCAGTGCCTGAAAGTGCCCTTGGGCACCTCCTCAGCTGCTGCCAGGATCTGGTCTCCTTGGCCTCTCCCAGGCCGTCAGTCTGCACTTGAAATCCACAGAGCCTGAGCCCACTCCACCTTCCTGGCCAGTACCTCACCCCTTGGTTGCCAGGTCTGGTCTCTTTCTAAGTTTCTTTAATAAAGACAAAGGAGTGATTTCCCCCCAACTTCCACACCCCCCCGCAAAAAAAAAAAAACTACTTGGAACTTGAAAGAAGATCTTAGGAAGAATATCAAATATTTACCACTAATCAAAATTTGATAAACAACGTGAGAGCACAAAAGAATGTCATCCCATATCAACTTTAATATCTGGTATTTAGATTTCAATTTTTATTTCCAAGTTGCATTAGATCATTAATTAGTTATAAAGCAATTGAGTCTTATCATAATACCCGGGAAAGAAACAAGTGTAGGAGAATGCAGCACAGACATATCTTTTTAATTTGGTGGTGAAGTATTAATAATGAATAATAATTGACATTAATGGGTACTCATAAAATAGTTATTATTTTAGCATGTTCTGAATAAAACTTATAATGTATTCCATTCGATTATTCTGTATTACTAATTCAAGAGCAGCACAAATTATGAAACTGTGTCCTGCATATTTATTTGTTTCTTTTGGCTACTCTTGTCCTCTTAAAAGCTCATTTTTATTGGGACTAAGCTTTTACTCAGCTGTCATAAGCATCCAAAAACCCTTCAAGGGACAATTCAGAGTGGCTTTAGACAGCTATCTTTAGACTATGATCATGTTTTTCTGCCGAGTTTGTAAAATAATAATTCCCAAATGACAATAATGAATGCAATAGCCCAGCTATTCTTTAAGCCACAGAACTGTGATAAAACAAAAACAATGAAATAGTACTTCCTCCAATATGTCAAGCATGAGCTTGCTTTCACTGCCCAGGAAGTCATTTGAACCTTGTTTATGCAACAATAAAAGACGATTGAATCCTGCTTTGTGCATGTATAGCCCAAGTCAAACATCAGTTGGAGCAGTAAGTTCCTGGAATGTCTTCAGTGAAAGGTACCTGAGCCCTCACCCGCTCACGTATCCCCCACCACTGCCTGGATGGTTTTCTCCTCTTGAGGTGTGATCAACATCTGCCTGCACGCTTCCCTTGAACACTTCCCAAAGATGAGTCCAGCTGGTTGCTTTCTAAGTTTGAAGGCTTATGAAAGTCCTTAAAAATGGCTCCTAGACTGGACCTTATTCTAGATGTGGCTTGACAGGTGTAGAATATCATTGCCTTTCTTTCAACCAAACAATTCATTCTTGTTGGTGTAGCCTGAAAATGCATTCGTGGGTTTTGCTCACCATATTATTGTCTTCTAGGGTGTCTGTAATCATCCCTAAATGTAGAGGACCTTTCCTTGTTTTGCAAAACAGTGACATGTTTGTGCACCTAAATCACTCATCATTACTTTGCTTGGTACACGATGAGGGTCAATCATACTGATCTACAAAGTTGGGTCATTTTTTTTTCCTTCGGTAAAATTTTCACTGTTTGTTTCTTTCATTAGGGGTATGGAATGTCAGGTGTTAAGTTTAGTCAGCCCGGGATTTGATTTCTGGTTTATCTGTTGAGTAGCTAACTATGGGTAATTTACAGGCTTCCCATACTCTTTACATTTTTTACTTAAAAAATGGATAAATTAGTTTGTGTCTCAAAGGATTGTTGCAATCAAGAAAATTGATAATGAATGTAAAGTGCTTACTGCAATACCTAGGGCATAATAGTTACATAATAAAAGCTGTAATTGCTTCTTTTTCAATTATTCTGGTAGCTTCCAGAGAAAATCAATTTCTTTATACCCAATCTCTGTTCCTATCCTGTATTTTTCATGTGTTTTGTTCTTTTTCTCTGAATCCTTAGAGTATCTCGTTATCTATTTCATTGATTTAGCTTTTTCTCTATGCCAGTTTGGATCTTTTGCTATCCAGTGCAGGTTTTAATTCTGCTTTTGTAATTTTGGTTTCCTTGAAAGCGATATGGCCTCTATCTTTGAGTTTATGTTTTCACTTCCACTGGTATTTGCATCTCACTCTGTTATGTTTTCCATTTTCACTTGTTCTCTTCTTGGGGACTTTCTGCCTGTTTGTCCCAGGAGCCTCTTGATTCTAGTAGGAGATGTAATTCTTAAACATTTTGTTCTATTTCTATAGTAAGCACTTTTGCTACTAGAAGTTTCCTTTCTTGAGATTTTAAAAGCTCCATGTTCATTTTCTCTTTTCTTATTTCTGAAGAAGCAATCAATCTATCTTTGGAATTTGTCAACAGAATGAAAAAAGGGAGTCCCTTAGGCTTCACTGACCTGCTATGCAAAGACCTGCACCAGGGATTGGCAAACTTTATCTGTAAAGGGCCAGAGAGGAAATATTTTAGGCTTTGCTGTTGCGGTTATTCAACTCTGCTGATGTAGCATAAAAGCAATCAAAACATGTAAACGAGTGGGCATGGCTCTATCCAGATAAAACTTTATTTGCAAAAACAAGCAGCAGGCCAGACCTGCTGTCGGTTATAGTTCACTGACCCCTGGTCTTGACTGTGAACTCCTTGAAGGCAAGGAGCTTTTCTGTTTCGTTCACTTCTGTGTCTGAAGCACCCAGGACAGTTCCTAGCTCATCTTAGATCTCAGTAAATACTGATTGAGCAGCTGAATTATTATTTTATGATGAGTAGCTGGAAGAGGGAATGTGCACTTCCCCTGGCCCTATTTCCTCCATCATCTTGTGTGGATCTGCTGAAATATCTCAGGGTAGGGTCTGTCTTTCCCCTTGTGGCTGACTTTGGTTTTATTGCAATGGCCAGTTGCATGTGTCAGCTGGGCTTGACCAGCTGTTTGGCCAAACACAAGTCTAGATGTTGCTGTGAAGGTGTTTTTTAGACATGATTACATTTGAAGCATTTGAGTTTAAGTGAATCAGATTACCCTCCAATATGTAACCCTCCAACCTTATTCATTTGCTTGAAGGCCTTAAGAGCAATGACTGAGGTCTCCCAAAGAAAAAGGAATTCTGCTGCAACAGGGAAATTCTGCACAGTTTCTAATTTTCAAACTCATGACTGCAACATCCAATCTTACCTGAATCTCCAGACTGCCAACTTGCCCTGAAGATTTCCAACTTATCATCGCCTCAAACTGGATGAACCAATTCTTTAAAATCAATCAGTATATCTATATCTACCATCTATGTATCTGTCATCTATCTATCTATCATTTATCTATCTATCCATGTATCCTATCTATCTACCTATCATCTGTCCACCTACCTACCTACCTACCTACCTACCTACCTACCTATCTATCTATTATTGGTTCTGTTTCTACAGATAACTTTTATACATATATTGATGGAATACATGAAATAGCGTGTCCCCAGCCTGCACTGTGAAGGGCCTGCTTTTGTCTCTGACACCCCTCTCCTTACTTCCATCAATGAGGCCCACACCAGATGCAGGTCCATACTAGATGTGCATGATCTGTCAGGATTCTTCCTGCCCCATTCATTGCCTTCCCAAAGCTGCAGTCTCCAATGAATGTAGACATAGAGCAATGAGCAACAGATGGGGCAAGGGAGAGGAGGGGAGCCCTTCTGCAGCATGGGACCATATGTGCCAAGGGCGGGCTTGTTCTGTTTTATCTTTTCTTCGCATTCCCTTTTTCTTTCTTCATGGTTCTGTATAAGGGCCAGGCTTTCCTCTATTCCTTGTTCCTAGAAAGAGGAGCAGAAGGGCCTCCTAGAGAAGTGCCCAGAGCTGGGCTTGGAGGAGCATCCCCGTCAGCCCCAGAGCTCCCTCTTCCAGCATATCCAGCCTGCTTGACTGGGCTCTGCAGGTTAGTGGTGCTGGATGGTCCAACTCATATTCAATTCAGCAGAGAGGGCTTGGGGGTCACACTTGGGCAACCATCCTAGGCCATGTCTCCAATCTAGCTTTCACCAGAGAAGCATGAATTCAATAGATTATTAAGCACTGGCTTGGCCACCAAAAAATATATATATTTTTTATTCTCATTTGGAAACCAGTTCTTTTAAGGAATCCTAAAGAGAAGGAGGACCTTCTAACACTTGAGGAAGCCTTCTACAATGTTCTCAGACAAGGAAATTTATCTCCTATGTGAGATCTTCTAATTATCCTGTTTGCTTTTCTGTAATAGTAATGATCACAACTTTTGCACACATACCCTAACTAGAAGGCTCTGTGAGAGAGATAAATATCAAAGCATCCTCTTTTATTTACCATGATCTAATAGGTGCCTATCATAGTCCCTGTCTTTGGTAGTAATTGCTATATGAGTACTTACAGTACTTATATGCTATCTAGGTAATTTCTGAATGAATGGATGCATATTTGGCTACGTGGATGGTTCTACTAGGATCTTTCTTTCTGGTAGCATAGTAATTAAGGACATGATAGTACATTTCCATTATTTATTTAAAATGTAACCAGGAATTAGTGTGATGTAAAAAAGTGGGTAGTTTCTTGAACATAACCTTCTTCATCCCCTTTTGGAAAACTGGGGTGTTTGCCTGAGTCTACAGTTTCACCCCTATCTATCTCTCTCAGTTTTTCTTTCTTTTTTTTTCTTTTGTATTTTCTGTAGTGACAGTCTTGCCATGTTGCCCAGGCTGGTATTGAACTCTTGGGCTCAAGCAATTCTCCTGCCTCGTCCTCCCAAAGTGTTGGGATTACAAGTGTGAGCCGCCATGCCCGGCCTCCCTCTGGTTTCCTGAGGGTGTGTCTATGTTCATGTCTTCAAATCTTCCTGATAAGCTGTGATAGACTCAGTCTGAGCATAGGCGTAATTTCTTTGAAGCAATCTAATACTCCTTTACGTTCACTTCTAGTGGACTTTAGTTTCCTCTGACTCATGTTTTCCTCTATATCCACTCTGAGGATTATTCACCTACACATTCAAGATACAATAATAAAGAACTGTAAAGCTTTCTTTGTGCTTCATTTAACACTATTTCATCAGCCCCAAGCACTGAATCTATCTCTATCTCCTTTGCTCCACTTTTTCTGCTTCGAATATAGCTTTCAAAATAGTTTTGCTCACAGAATTTTTGCCAAACTTGCTAAATGTTTCCTGGGATTTACCATCTGGTATATGCTTTGGAATGAGGAGGAAAAAAAAACAGTGTGGAAATATGCAATAGGATTACGATTTAGGAGGATAAAGCAAAAGTTCCATTTGCCGTTGCGTAGAAGGTCCAGTGAGTGACAAAGACCCCCAAGGTCGTGGAAACGACAGGATTTGGAAGCCAGCATGAATAGCAGTAATCTAGAAAGCCTGGAATATCTCCTTGCTACCTGAGCTGATCTAGCATTCCAAGTGAGCAAGTAGGAATTATGGGAAGGGATTGGAAGGGAAGGTTACTTTAAAGGGAAGCATCTCTTCCAACCACCCATTCTGCTCAGACTACAACTTCTTTTCATTTTAGAAAAGCATTTCTCTTATTCTGTAGCACATGTATGGTTATAAAAAATTAATAACATAGTTTACATTAATTTTGTGCATTTGGTGGTTGCAAACTGAAGTATATGCTTTTTGCAAGATGGTGTATTATTTGCTATTGCTGCATGACAAATGACCACCAACTTAGTGGCTTACAGCAACACCAATTGCTGTCTCACAGTTTCCACGAGTCAGGCATCTGGGAATGGGTTACCTGGGCTCTCTGTTCACTTCTCACCAGGTTGAAACCAAGATGTCAGCTGGACTGTGTCCCTTTCTCGTAATCATGCTCACAGTTTCATTCTCAGCTCACAGCGTTGTTGGCAGAACGCATTTCCCTCTAGCTGTGTGTTTGAGGTTTCTCCTTTCCTGCTGGTCATCTCCCAAGGCCTTATTCAGCTAGTAGCTGCCTGACGCTTCTTGCCACATGGTCCCCATAAGCAGTTTACAACATGGCTGTTTGCTTTCTTTGTTAAGTAGAACAGCTTCTGCTGCTACTTCTTGTCACTTTTAAGGGCTCAGCTGGCTTGATCAGTCCCACCCAGATGATCTTCCTTTTGATTAATTCAGTGCGAGCTGATTAGGGATGGAATCACTGGAGTGGCATCCATCATATTTACTGGTACTGCCTATCCTCAAAGAGAGGGGATTACATAGGGTATATATGCCAGGGGCTGGGAATCTTAGGGTGCATCTTAGAATTCTGCCTGCCTCAGGTAACAAAAAGGGGGAAAATGAGATACAGGTCTGATGGGGAAAGCTGATAGGTTTCATCTTGAAAGCCTGGACATGGCTGCCTGGAGAAGGATCGTGAGACTCTACCAAGGGCTAGAAGGGAAAGTGCAGCAGGGACTGATGGGAGGTGTTGCCTGGCCCACACTTGTCTGTTTTGGTCAATGGTATCAACCTACGGACTGTGCCTCTAGAGGTGTAGCAGAGTTATTGCAAGAAGGATTTGCATGCATATAGGCATCAAAGCAGTTTTTGTAGATTGAATAAATAGTAGATTTTACACACTTGCATAATTTTCAGAGGTATCTTATGGTATATGAGTTTTCTATTGCTGCAGTAACAAATTACCACACACTTAGTGGCTCAAAACAACTCAAATTTCTCACTCTACAATTCTGGGGGTAAGAAGTCTGAAATGGGTCTCAATGAGTTGAAACCTAACTTTGGCAGGGCTGGTTCTTCCTGGAGGCTCCAGGTAAGAATCTGCTTTTCCATGTCTTTCCAACCACTAGGGACTACCCATGTTCCTTGCCCGGCAGCTCCTTCCTCCACCATCAAAGGTGTTAACCTGAAATAAACAAAGGGATCAGAATCCAAATTTAAAGAGTTTATTCAAGAGCAAAGTTCGAATTTGTCCTCTTGGGAAATACAAACTCCAAAGGAGTGGAGTCAGTGCTCAGAGGTGGAGAGGTCAGGGTTTCACACTCATTTAGATAAATACAAAGAAGTTTACCATGATTACAACACTTTCACATAAGACTGGGTTATGAGTTGCAGTAATTTTGATTTGTTACAGCTTATTCCTTTTAAGGAAAGGCATATTTAATAGTCCACATTAAGCCAGACATGGTGGCTTGTGCCTGTAGTCCCAGCTACTCGAGAGGCTGAAGTAGGATTACTTGAGCCTAGGAGTTCAAGGTTGCAGTGAGCTGTGATCACACCCCTGCACTGAGCTACAGAATGAGACTCTGTCTCTAAAAAAAATAATTTTTTAATTTAAAAAAATTCTGTCTTAAGCAATTTGATAGCCACGGGATATTTTGCACCATCTGGTCTGAGTTGTGTGCAAGAAAAGAAAGAAGGCAGTTAATCTATAATAAAAGGTTAGTAATTAAGAGTGAAGGGGTCTTCTCTCTGGTGCCATTTACTCTTTCACAACATTTTACAAAACAAGGAAAACTTAGGAAGAGGGTTAATTTATCATCGGTGAAGCAAAGGTTACAGCTGCTGGCTGCATGACTCAGATCTCACAATCACATTCCTTCAAGCCTCAAAATAATTTAACATTCCAACAGCTTCAATTTGATGAATTTATTTTCACAAAGGGCATCACTTCAATCTCCGCCCCCATCATTATGTCTTCTTTTTCTGACTCTGACCCACTTGCCTCCCTCTAATGAGGACCCCTGTGATTATACTGGTCCATGCAAATAGTCCAGGATCACCTCCCTTACTTAAAGTCAGCTGATTACAGACTTTAACCACAACTACAAAACACCTTTTGCTATACCAAAATAGCAACACCTAGATTGGTGTTTGATTGGATAACTGGGAACTGTAGCCTAACTGCATTGACTTGTAAAACTGAACATCACAGGTGGGATGAACAAAATACAAACTTATTTTTAAAGGTACTGCAGGATTTTTAAGATTATGTACCTTATCAACTGTGACTCATAACTGTGGCCACAGGGGAGTGGCCCTGAATTCTTCCGATGCTGTTCAATTGTATTCATGCTGTAACAGAATGAACAGGGACACTGATCAATGAGAGAAGGAGAGCATTTCCGGGAAAGGTGGAAGCTCCTGAGACCCTAGAATTCGCCATCAAGGCACCAAGGACTCATTCACACACCCCAGAATGGGTAGAAGAGAGGAAGGGAAACAGAGAGATGAGAGGGAGCTGAAGACAAACTTCACCCAACTTGCCATTTTGTAAAGCTTTGTTCCTCCTTCTGTTGCCTTATCCTACTTTATCCTGAATTTTATTTATTTTGGTCTTAGCTCAAAATGCAACATGAGGCTGTCATCAGAAATTTAATGCATTAGCATTCAACGTCTTCTGAAATGTACTGCCTGAAAATCACAAGGAAAATGAGGAGAACAATGATTTTGCCTCCCCTCTACTGAGCAATTAAATGTGAAGAATATGTCATACGCAATGGTGAATGTTGGAATTAATAAGCTGAAATGTCGATGCATGACTATTTGTATACTTGACATCTCATAATTACATCATTTATCATAAAAAATCTGGCAATCTTAAATAGAGAGCATTTATAATTAATTTTCTTGCCCTGGAAAATCCAATTCATTCCACAGTCAAAAAGAGTCAGTGTTAATTTCTTTTCTATCAGCTGCAGGCCACAAGTTAATGTATTAAAATCAGAACATTTACAATAACAGACTAATTAAATTATTTCCTCTACTGTAGCAGAAAAATGCATGGTTCTTATGCTGATAATCAGTCACCACAATAAATGCCATTTAATTCTCCTTGAAAGTCAAATTCTTCCTAATGGCAATTTTAAACTGTCAAGTGGGTTGAGAAATTCAGTTTGTCTGTGTAGTAAAGAATATTGACTTTTGCATATCATTATTGTTAATATTCTTTAAGAGAGACTAATAGGAAACTCATTCAAATAATGTTTGCCAATAAATGAGTTTGAGTCATCAACAAATGAATGAAGCAGACAAAAGTTATCTCAGTTCTACAGAATAATGAGTGCAGATTTTGAAATGTTTGTGCTGATACACTTTCTCTGACAAATATGATCCAGTAAACAAGGTACATATTTCAAAATAGAAACACAGGGCATGACAGCTTTCCAGCTGAGGGCAAGATCTGGGTCACCAGAAGCAAGAGAAGAAATGTGAGTATACTCGTTCTGAATGTTCAAAAATATGGCAAAAGAAAATAAGTTGTCTAGAACAGTTGTTCTGAAAACATAAGCAGGAAAAAATTATGACAAGGATGGTGTCTATGGATCAAAGATATCTAGATGTGTTCTAAAACCATAAGAAAAGAGTGAGTGCGTCAAGAGGCTGATTTTGTGCATAACATGACAAGAATGAGAATGACATAATGACACAAATCTATTTCAGGTCCCCCAAAAGGAAAGAGAATATGTATTTTGGTGGCTGTGGTTTAGGATCCAAAAGCTTTCAGGTTATCTCATCACTCTCTGGTAGAAAACAAATCTACCAGATAATTCTGAGGCTACACTGAAAACATTTTCTTCATAAAAGATGTAAAAGGCTCATCAGAGAAGATGGCTTTTTTTTTTGTTTGTTTTTTGAAACTGAGTTTCACTCTTGTTGCCCAGGCTGGAGTGCAATGGCGCAATCTCGGCTCACCACAACCTCTGCTTCCTGGGTTCAAGCGATTCTCCTTCCTCAGCCTCCCAACTAGCTGGGATTACAGGCATGCACCACCACACCTGGCTAATTTTTGTATTTTTAGTAGAGACGGGGTTTTTCCATGTTGGTCAGGCTGGTCTCGAACTCCCGACCTCAGGTGATCCGCCCATCTTCGCCTCCCAAAGTGCTGGGATTACAGGCGAAGATGGCTTTCTTGATACAGCCAGTACTTGGCAAATTGCCTGGCATATAGCAGGTGTTCCCTATACACTGGTGGCACAAGTGTAATTCCTTCCATGATTCATTATTTATTAATCAATGTCACATGGTAAGCCAGCCAGTTTTCCATATATCTCCCTTACGTTGAAACAGCTCTACAATGTTGGTTGGCATCATTGTTAAAATGTTACAGATGGAGAGGTTGACATTCAGAAATGTTCATGAGAGTCAAACAGGCTGGCACTTGGCAAAGAGGGATCTCAATCCAACCACTTTCCTCCACCTCCAGACTCAACACTTCCCAGTTGCCTGCTATGTGTGACGAATGCAGTCATGTGGGAGATCCGTCTGGCTACACTTAAGGAATTTCCAGACAGGCTGCAACGCAGCTAAGTTTCTCTTAAAGGCTATGGAAAACGTTTGCATGTATCTACAGAAAAAAAGGGGAGAAGGAGCAGGAATAGGAGGAGGCAGAGAAATTGAAGAAGAAAAATTGGAATTAGAAAAAAATTAGAATTACAAGAAGACAAAGATGATGAAGAAGAATTAGAAAAAAAGAAAGAAAAGGAGTAGAAGGAGAAAAATTGGAATGAGTAGAGAAAGAGGAAAGGGAGAAAGAAGGAGAAGGAAGAGGAAGAAGGAAGAGGAAGAGGAGGAGGAGGAGGAAGAGGATAAGTAACATTAACTTATGGCAAGAGAGAGCCAACTAAAACCAAGAAACAGTATCGTATTTCGAGCGATAATAAAAAAGAACTCCTTAAGGCAGGTATGCACTTTTTAGTTCCCTTAAAATCTTTGGTAAGACAGAAGGTATTTAATACACCTTGAAGATTTACTATATGCAGATGACTTTACTGAAGCATCTAATTTAATCCTCTTATAATCTTGTAAGGCAACTATTCTTATTTACATCTTATGGATGAAAACAATTTGCATTCATAGGAGGTAAAGTCATCCTTTTACCAATGGACAGAGCCAAGCTTTGAGGCAGGGAAGACACAGACAGCAGAACTCCAAAGGAATGGCTACGGAACCAATCAGGAGTGACTGGAGTTGAGGCATTAGCTGTGCTGCTGTGTCTCTATCCAGTGGCTGGAGTCATGGATTAGGAGCGTGCCCTAACCCGTTGCAAGGAATGACCATCAGGAACAGACTTTTTGTTTTTAAAGACGGAGTTTCGCTCTTGTTACCCAGGCTGGAGTGCAACGTCGCGATATCAGCTCACTGCAACCTTCGTCTCCTGGGTTCAAGCAATTCTCCTGCCTCAGCCTCCCGGGAGCAGTCTTTAGAGGACAATGCTAGGTCCTCTCACAGGAGCCCCGAAGATTCTCCTCTTGCCAATGTGGCTGCTAAAAACCCGATGCTTGTAGCTCAGAAACACTGCCGTGCCTTGGAACTTAGTTCCTCTCCACCCCCAGGGAGGACCCTTGACCGATGATTCACAGCTGCACGAAGTTGAGAGGGATGGATGGAATCCAGCTCTTTTGCTTTGGGTGGGGCCAACTCTGAAGCCCAACTCACACTCCAGAGTCAGCCTCTGCAGGACTGTATCTGAAACTACACCCTTGCTTGGTTTCCCTCACCTGCTTCACCCACTGCCTTACGGAGTTATCCGCATACTTCTTTGGTGTCTTTTTGTTTTTGTTTTTTGTTTTTGAGACGGGGTCTCGCTCTGTCGCCCGGGCTGGAGTGCAGGGGCGCAATCTCGGCTCACTGCAACCTCTGCCTCCTGGGTTCAAGCGATTCCTCTGTCTCAGCCTCCCGTAGCTGGGATTACATGCGTGTGCCAACACGCCCGGCTAATTTTTGTATTTTTAGTAGAGATGGGGTTTCACCATGTTGGCCAGGCTGGTCTTGGACTTCTGACCTCAAGTCATCCGCCCCCCTCGGCCTCTCAAAGTGCTGGCATTACAGGAGTGAGCCACCACGCCCAGCCAGCATACTTCTTTGTTAAGTAACTTGCACACCAGTTCTCATCTCAAGGCTAGCTTCTGGAAATCTGAACTTTGGACATACCCACATAGCTCATTCTTATTATTATTATCTTTTTTTTTTTTTTTTTGAGATAGAGTTTTGCTCTGTCACCCAGGCTGGAGTGCAGTGGGGCCATCTTGGCTCACCGCAACCTCCACCTCCCGGGTTCAAGCGATTCTCCCGCCTCAGCCTCCTGAGTAGCTGGGATTAGCAGATTAATTTTTAAGAAATAAAATCCACTTTCACAAAGATTATGTACGTCTTGATTTTAAGATTATTATTCATTTAAATTTTATAGTTCCCTTTTTGTATTTTGGAGGCAATACTTTGTTCCAGGATGTAAACATTTTTATAGGTGCTTGAAATGCTTGTGTAAACACTGGGCATCTTGCTCATCAGGCATGACAGAAAAAAACAAGCTTTCTACAAATAGTTGAAATTCTGGATGTCCAATGTGTGAACTACCACAGTCCCCCTGAAGAGTCTAATCTACCCTTTGTAACTCTCCCATTAACTCAGAGCTGGCATTATGGGTGGGCCACACAGATTGCTCTATGTTAAACAAAATCTGAAGCCATGGCAGCACTGAGCTAAGACTTTTAGAGATTTATTTCTTCAGGTATCTTAATCTTAAAGACAGAAGACAGGTTAGAGAGCACATATTGTAATGAGGCTGGTCTGTTAGAGCTAGGACAGCACAGAGTGAAAAAAAGAGAGATTCTTAAAAGGCAGTATGTCAAAAATAAACCACCTGATGTTTCTCTAGGAAGTCTAACTAGACCCATCAGCAGTGGGAGCAAAAACTTTCTGGAGTTCTACCATCTGTACTGTTCCACACTCTATTAAACAACCCAGATTCCACTATTTAATGTAAATGAGGTGGCTTCAGATCAAGCTGACTTCTGAAACCAACAGAAAAGAATATCTATTCCTCTTTTTCTCATTTATTGAAGCAAAAAAGGTCATATTGAAGCAGCATCTGAACTTACATTATTCAGCAGGGGCCCTTGAGAATGTCTTCTTGAAACCATATTGCAAAATCTTAAACCTAACTCAGTTACAATTTTGCTGGCAAGAGAAGATAAAGCCCTTCCTCCATTTTCTTCGCATTTTCCACCATGCAACTTTTGCAGATTCTTGCCAGGCATACAAGGCATACACAGTAAACACACAGATGCAAGCGTGCATGCGTGCACACGCACACACACACACACTCACACACACCGGATTAAAATCATTCATTACCAGCTTATGGTAAGAGTTGACACTTCAAACTCCAATTGTAGAAGGTTTGACTTTGAAGAAGAAGTTGTTCTGGCAACTCTTGCTAAAATGACTAGATGAATTGTCTATTTCATTTCTATGCTAGAACCACAACCAATGCATTTGTCCAATAACAGCTCTCGTGCTAGTCTGACATGGTTACAAGCTATAATTTTGAGAATTACTGCTAATCACAAGAGGGCCATTCCTTTTAATAATCTGGAAATTCTTTAGAATGTGTTAACTCTGTTTTAAGTCACCAGTGTTCTTCCTGTGTGTAAGGAATGTATTATGGAATGAAATGCACAGTAGTAAACCTTGTTGGGCTCTGAACATTTAACGCTAGTGCACACAGAGGGAAGGGAGCCAATATTAACTGTCTTCTAATTATGTCGGCATTTCAGAAAGGGGGAAATTTCGGGGAACAGAATATGAATAGATGTGAGACATATTTTTAAAAGAACTAGGAACACAGATGTTTTGATATAAACTTGGATACTCCCTATATTTGGCCACCATTGGAAACTCCCTATGTTTAGCCACCAATAAATACCATATGTCCTTAAATCAAAGATAAAGACTTTAATTTATCTTATTTTCTGTCTACATTTTATTATTTTAAAAACCAGAATGCATGTTACCTTCAATTTAAGGGAGTGGTATTTCTTCTTCCTAAAAATCTTCATTACTAGGTTTTTGCTATGATTTATGAAGAATAATGTCTCAGAATTAACGGGGTGCAGGGGATGTTGAGAGCTATGCTGAGAATCAGTGGCCTATTGCTGTTATAAATAATTACTACAAATGTAGCACTTGTACATAACACATGTATTATCTCACATATATTGTCTCACAGTTCTGTAAGAGAGGAGTTTGATGTGGATCTCAGTAAAATCAATGTATTGGCTGAGCTAAGCTCTTTTCTAAAGACTCTAGAGAAGAATTCATTTTCAGGCTTGTGCAAGTGGGTAGCAGAATTCAGTTCTTTGATGAGGTCTGAGGCCTCCGTCTCCTTATTGACTATCAGACCCGGTCATTCTCAGCTTCTAGAGGCCACACTCATTCCCTGGCTCATGGTCCCTTCCATCTTCAAAGCCAGCAACGGTAAGGTGTGTCCTTTTCATCTTTCATCTCTCTGACTCTCTTCTGCTGCATCTTTGTGACCCCAGCTAGGAAAGGTTCTCTGCTTTTTAAGGGCTCACGTGATTAATTTGGGCCCATCCAATAATCCAGGATAATCCCCCCATCTCAAGATCCTTAATTTAACCACGTCTGCAAAGTCCCTTTGGTCATGTAACCTAGTGTATTCCTAGGTTCCAGGAATTAGGACCTGGACATATTTGGAGCTATTATTCTGCTGACCACAAACCACAATGCGTCTTGTATGAACTAAAGGCCTCCAAAGCCCCAGTGTGGAGCCAGAACAGCAGGCGGTGAAAGCCACTATACACAACAGTGAAACAGCCAGTGTTTGTGCGGGTTGGCTTTGGAAAGAGGTTTTTGACCTTGTGATAGGGAGAAATACTGTCACTCTTTTAAACACACGGTAGACACACCTGTGCATATGGCCATAAAGAGGATTTCTGCATATTGAAAGAATGCATGCTAATGCTACAAATAAACAAATTTGGACTGCTCTACATCTGGCATTTTATGGGCGCCTGTTAACAGTTGATGGAATTGGCTCTAGTCTGTAGTGAAAATGCCTTACTGGCTTTCTAGTGAAGCCCCTCAGCAAGTTATTCCCTAACTTTCACTTCATTGAACAACAACAAAATACTAATTTTCTGGAGGGAGATTGGGACATATTTCCAGACAATTGAACATTCTTTTATGACCCTTTCATTAAATAATTGGCATAAAAATGTAGCTCCTTGTTGGGTCAGTGGAGTGTAATGAAGTTCTAGAATCTAATAATCTTTTGGAAATACTACCGTTATTCCCATTTTACAGAAAATACCACTGTTTTAATGAGCTGTATCATTTTTTCTTCAATATTGGTGTGGTGGATGGGGCTCCATGGGGTAGCATATTTAGTTTAAAGGCTATTTACTATGACTCCATAAGAACCAAAGAAAATGGAAGAAGAAATATCTGTTTGATAGCGGCAGGAGCTGATTCCTATGAGGAAAACTGGACTGTAAATTTCCACATACCTGGCTTTACGGGCTATGCACTAGAAACATGAAAGCATTTTTTATAACTCAAATTCGCAAATAGCATACATTATTTTACACGAGGTATATTAGTTATATGAATGAGTCAGCTATTACCTCCTTAAGTGAAATACTTTGAATAAATGACTACAACACTTATTGAAAGCCTCCATCTACTTAAACCTGCTTAAATTCACTTTTTCAATCATTTAAGCACATTACAATCGAACACCATTTCAACTGAGTATTTCAAATGGCACTGGCTATTTCAGAAGACAAGCTGTGATTTTCAGCTGAATTGAGCAAGAGGCCAAAAGTAAGAAAATCCTGCCTTTCAACAATTTCCCCAGTCTTCAGAGAGTCATTTTCATTTTCATTGAAAATCCTTCAAAAAATTTTACAGGACCAAAAATAATATTATTTACATTATGCAGCTTAAAAAATGTAACAATAGACTATCCATCCCACCTCATTATAAGAAAATTTAAGCGGGGATTATTGCATTTCTATAGGTACCATGACTTGGTCAAGTGACTAAATTGTTCACCCAACAGAGTGCAGGCATAAAAGTTCTCAGCACCTGCTATTGAGAAATGTGACTACTGAATTCTTCAGATGAAAGATAATCAATACTGACACCTATTTTTATTGCATTTGCATATGTGATGCAAATCTCTCTGATCACGTGCTGGCCAGGCTGCCATGAAATTTAAACCTCTCAGTTCTGTGTGGGTTTCCTCTCTGCTTATGGTTAGAAATGCATTTTCCTTTCAACCCCTGACTTCTCAGGCTGATTGTTTTCTCTCATTTTCCCTACAGGCAGGACTGTCCCTTATAATCATGTACATGTGCATATGTATACATATCTACATATATGAATGTATAAATTCAATATATATTTTTAAAATAGCTGGGCATGGTGGCGCATGCCTGGTCCCAGCTACTTGGGAGGCTACAGTGGCAGAATCACTTGAGACCAGGAGTTGGAGGCTGCAGTGAGCTATGATCATGTCACTGAACTACAGCCTGGGTGACAGAGCCAGACCCCCATCTCAGAAAAAAGTAATGGTACAACAAATACATATAATGTCTTATCAGAAAGAACTCATCTGAGAAATATTCATATTTAAGCAGTCTTCTTTAGGTGCTTGGGATTAAATTATTCATACTTGAATAATGTATGGATCTCATTTGAAGTTTAAAAAAGAATTTCCTCATTGAACTTCAGTCCAGCATTCAATTACTTTTATTGTAGAGAAAAATTAGGTGAACACCTAAGCATTGCCACTAAGCGTCCCTTTCCAAGCAGTGGGATGCAGCCCTGAATCTTTGCATCTCTTATAAATTGCAAGTACAAGTAGGTGTGCAAACTCTGCCTTGGCCAGACAGGTTCTATTGACTTCCCTCTCCACCTTTGGAAAAGCCAGCTTTGCTGCCATTTTGTGATTCAATTATTTTGTTCCAGGTACGTTTGTGCTGTTTTGACTTTTCTGGTGAAAGGGTTCTAACATCTGTCTGGTTCCCTCATTCATTAATGACTCAAATAAAGTCATGAACACATGTTAACTTTTATATATGTACGCAGTCATGATTTTACCCTTTCCGAAAATTATCTTTTAACAGCACTATATTTAAATGTGTATAAATATATAAGTAGGTAGGTATATTTTATGTGTGTGCCATATGTTTCTAACCTATATAAGCCATAAAAGTAAACATCCAAATTAAGCATAAACCAAATTCTAAAGTGCGTAAATTTTTTAAAATTTTATTAACGAGTTTATAATAGTGTGTTAGGCTTAAATTTAAAACAATTTTGTGTATTTAGAGGGTGCATAACCCATAAAATTAAATAAAGCTGACAACATTAATTTCAAGTGATGAAGTTGCCACAATTGGGTTGGGGAGTAAGAAGATGATTTTTCGTGATTACAGTTGTACTGCCATTGACTTGGCTTTGACTTTGAGCATCATGAACCATCATTTGAACGGTAGTCTCTGCCATGATTACATTTTCTTTCTGAACGGTGAATGAACTCAATCATCAATGTAGTATTTGAAGGCATAATCAATGTAAGAGGTCACCGTGAGATAAATTAACAAATTAAAAATCTTAATTTAAGGAAGTGTTTTTCCATGTGCTTTTGAAATGACTACACTTTCTGCCAATGAAGGCTTGCATGAGTAAGGATCAGATCCGGCAGGACTTCTGCTTGCTGCAGGGAGACAGGTGCAGGGTGCTGCCAGGTCGGCATGCCCATATCACTCCATCTGCTGAGATGACTGAAGCCTAGTCTGGCTTGTCCTATTAAAGTTGCTGCAAAGTCTTCATTTGTACATTACATAATGACATCATTAGCCTTCTGTTGGTGCATAGCCATTACTTATGTATTAAATTGGCCTCTGTTCTTTTACATTACAGTGCAAGACAACTGAAGAACTATATTATTACTCTATGGCACTGAACAAACATTTAGAATTTAGAGAATGCCTTTATTATATATATATATTTTTTGTTTTTACATGGTATACCCAGTAAGTATTATATGTAACATAAAAGATTACATAGTTTAGTTACTAGTTATACATGTTCTTCTATGATTTCAATTTCACATTATCATAAAAACTGAAGTTGTCAAATTTCTGCATTTTGCAATTTTTAATAAAATTTTTTAAATAGAAAATTAGTGTGTTTTTAAAATTTCCTTCTACAATTTGGTCTACAATCAGGTGATTTTTTGAAGCATATGTAAGCAATTATTTAAGTAAAGTATAACTGTTTAATACCATATGTTGTCTTAAATATATCTTAAAATAATGTTCCATTGAGTGGGCTGATACAGCCTTTACACTGATTCACCCCTCCTTTCTATTTTCCATAAAATCAGGCTTTGAGCTCTGCTCTGGGCTACTGTCACAGCTGCCTAATTGATTTCATGTTTCCTCCAAGCTCTCTTTCTAAGGAAAATAAATTTTAAAATATCAAAAGGTCTGCATTACGTATTCATGAAATGATCTATATTTTTAAGGCATATTTAGCATATCCTTTCCATATGTCCAGCCAGTTCTATGATCAGCAAAGAACCTTGAATTCAGATTTTTAAGGAACCTTCCTTTTAAGAATAGACATAGGCAACACCCAACAATGCATGATGGATGCCTTGGAGTATGCATGATGTTAAGAGAGCCCCATGATGGCATGGAACCCCATCTAGCTGTGATATCTGGCCTGAGGGTGAGAAGCAAGGAGAGTTACATTGTGGAAGGGGGCAGGCTGGAAAGGTGCTCCAGGCAGAAGGAACAGCACCTGCAAAAACCCAGAGGCAAGCATACACACAGAGTTTTTAGTGAATGGAAGCCACACTTTTAATTCTGGGGCTTAATGATTGTGGAGTGGATGTGGAGCAGAACATCACAAAGAGAAAGCTGGAGGGTGGATCCTGAAGGACACTGTAGGTCACGTCTAAGAACTAGGGCTTTATCCTTAAGGCAAAGGGAAGCTACCGAAAGGTTTCAGTTTCAGGCAGAAGAGAAAACATGGTTAAGATCACCATTTAAAGAGAAGGCTCGTGCTGCTCTGAGGAGAGTGGTTAAAAATGGGGGCGACAAGTGAGGAGTATTTCCAGGAATGCCAGAGGAATGGCCTGGATCAGAGCTCTGCAGAGCAGGTGGTTCAGAATGATCAGGCTTCTGTGCTTTTAGGACGGGGGACTGAGAGAAAGGGTGTTTGGGAATCAACCCTGGAGTAGGTGGGGATAGTTTCTCCTGGGTTATAACACCCAGAGGAGGGGCAAATTGGGAAGAAGATGGAAAATTCAACTGAGCATGTTTGGTTTGAAGGGTCTGTGTCATGTTCACATGAGGTTCCAATGAGCTGTTGGTTCTCCGGGTCTGAAGCACAAGAGACACACATGTAGAAGGCTATTGATGTCCAGAAGCAACTGGGAGATTCTAAACCAGGGCCAGGAAACTTTTCCTCCAAAAGGTCTGATAGAAAATCTTTTAGGGTTTGTGGGCTGTATGGTCTGTGTTGCAGCTACTACTCAGCTCTGCCGTGGTGGCCTGAAAGCAGCCACAGAAATACTTCAGTGTGTGGGGAGAGGGTGGTGGTGTTCCAATACAAGTTGCCTTACAGAAACAGGTGGTGATCTAGATCTGGCCAATGGGTTGTGGATTGCCAATGTCTTTCATAAACGATACATTGAAGACATGGGCAGATCTCTGAGGAATATGAGTCCTTGCAAATATGCTTCTGAGAGGTCAGAGTATAAGAATCTTCTGGGAACTTATTTCATATTCAGAGATTTCCAACCCCTACATCTGCTTCAGTGTAGGAGAACACACAGACCAGCTTGAATTTAGGTGACGGACAGAGAACATGAGCAGAAAGGAAAATTGGAGAGGGGCCTTCCTGGAAGCCAGGTTGAAGGGGTTCAGCTGTATCCAGCACCCTTAAGCTGCCAAGTATGATATGGATGACACCATGCCCACTGGCTATAGCAAGAAGAAAGCTTCGATTAAGCAGTGGGTGCAGAAATAGGCCTACAGTGGGTTATGGAGCACAGGGGAAATGGAGATGGAAAATAGTGACTATAAACAGCTTTTAAATAAGGGGAGAGGAAACATGGTTTTTAATTGGAATAGGAGAGCCAGGAATTTTTGTTTAACGTAGGAGAGACACTGCCATATTTAAGCGCTCATGACCAGAAGCGAGTAGAGGCTGGGTGTGGTGGTGCACACCTGTAATCCCAGTGTTTTGGGAAGCTGAGGCGGGAGGATTGCATGAGGCCAAGGATTCGAGACCAGCCTGGGAAACACACCAAGACCTTGCCTCTACAATTTTTTTTTATTAATTAGCCAGGTCTCATGTCTCACTCCTATACTCCCAGGTACAGAAGAGGCTGAAGTGGGAGGATTGCTTGAGTCCAGGAGATTGAGGCTGTGGTGAGTCATGATTGCTCTACTGCCATGCAGCCTGGGTGACAGAGTGAGACTGTTTCAAAAAATTTTTTTTAAAAAGTCAGTAGAGAGGAGACTTGAGCAATGCAGGAGAGACAGAAGGGATGCTGATAAGGTCACAGTTTGGCTTTCATGGGAAAAAGCATACTTATAAAAAGAGAATAAAAGTAAAGTGTGCAGATGCTGGTAAATTTAGAGGTAAGAAGATAAAGTCATTCCAACTGATGACTTCTATTGTTCCCATAAGCAGGGCTTCTTTTCATCTGCTGAGGGTAAGTGGGGTGGGTCCTGGGCTGGTGGCCCCAAAGAGAATGAAGAGGTTCTGCTGTAGACAGTGGGAGAATAAAGCAAGATGGAAAGAGGAGGGTTTGCGGGCAGGGCTCCACCCCCAGACTCAAGTCTAATTCCTCGGATGAGCCTTTTATTATCCTCTCCTGGGTGGTTTTCGCTTTCATTCATTCAGTATAAAAATATGCGCGGCGTGCTCATTGTGTGCCTGGCTACCACAAGTTGAGGATGCAAAGACCAACTGAATGCCACCCTTGCTCTCAGGGAGACGTGTCATGAAAGAAGAGCGTTGTCACACCTGTAGTAAAAGATAAGCCAGAGTTTTGCCCAGAGAGGCAGGCGAACATGGGGGAGGATGGAAGTCTTTGACACTTTACACGCACACCCTGCACACCCAGCCAGAAGTGGGCAGACATTCCCAGATATACCCTGTTCCTCATGCCCCTCGATGAGTTAAAAGTTGTATCCATCTCAAGAAGCCTAACCCAAACCTTTATGTGTCTTTCTTCTCCCATGAAGCACTTGGTGTGTTGAATCCCAATAAAGCATCCTCTGTACTTTCCGGCCCAACCTTTTATCATGGGGCAAATGAGATTAGAGATGGCAAGAGGATGCTGATTCTAAGGAAAACAGAAACCAATAAAGAAAGTCATCTAAGAAAACTGCTATAAGTCATCATTCCTGCATGACATTTTCTTATTGGAAATGAATGATCCTGAGTCCATTATGATGACAAAAACAGAAACAAGCAACAGAGAAACTAGAAGCTAAATCTATCCTGCATAGAATCACTTAATTCTCATATCCTCCTGTCAAATAACGTTCAACACTTCTACTCACAACAAGGATATCAAATCAATTACATGAATTGATCGTCCCTTTTCAGGACCATACGTTTCATGAATAATAGAGATGTATCTTAAATCAAAAGATCGTTTTCTATTCCCCAGACTCACAAGGTAAAACCATTATACATAATGGATCAAATTAATTGAATTATTACCTGTAACGTTACCAGAAATGGTTTTCACAGAGTGAGCTATAATCATTGTCAGTGGGATTAATTGCATTGATTCTATGTTCATTTTTTAAAGACAGCTACACAACATTAGTTTTTGGGATAATCAGTAAATGCATAGGGAATCAGAACTATCCACTTGGCTGGTTGTTCTAAACTCTGTCCTAAGCAATTATTCAAATATTCACATACAACAGCTGAAGTTTATGTCCTTCACAGGCTGAAATGTCCTAAAGTCCCATTTCACTGCACGAGCTAGCCATTCCTGGAGCCCATCACACCGGCCACAGCCAGTAGTTCAGGAATGGTGTATAAATCCAACCAAGTCCTTCACAAGTCTCTGCCTCCCATTCAAGAGAATAAGAAAAATGCCTGCATCTTCAGGTTCACGGGGCTGGAAGTATTTGATACTATTTCTCCCAGCCAGTAGGGCAGCTTCAATATTACCTCCTACAAGAGCATTCATCACACACACTAAGTAGCCTTTATTCTGCAATCTCAGCAATTATTTTTGTCTTTGTAATGTGCTTTATTTTTATAACACTTAGTAGAAATTATATTGTTATTAATTTTCTTCTTTATTGACCTGATTCTCCCTCTGCAATGTAACCCCTGCAACATCTGGAAACTTGTTCTGTTTTCTTTCTTTCTTCACTTAACCTTAGCACCTAAAACTGTGTGTGGTTCCTAAGAACTTGAGATATTTTTAAGGAAAGAAGGAATTCCTGAGACTATTCTGTGATGTTTTATTTTCCATACTTTATTATTGTAATATTAAAAATAAAATTACTTTAAGATATGGTATTATAGGTAATAGGCAATATAGATTAAGTCTACCCTCATTAATTGCTGCTTGGAATGTGCAGTGATACAATCATTTTGGAGAAGTGTTAGTGTCTAATAAAATTTCCATGTGATCCAGAAATCCTACTTATAGGTACACATTCAAAAGAAAAGAATGTTCACATCTACAAAGAAACGTATGCAAAAAGTTCACGATCACTTTATTCATAATAACTGAAACTGGAAAAGACCCAAATGTTCATTAACAAGATAATTTATAAACACATTTTGGTCTCTTCATGCAATGAAATACTAGTCAGTCATACAAAAAACAAACTGAAGAGAGATTCAACATGGCTGAATCTCAAAATCATTACGTGGAGGACAAGAAGACGGACGCAAGAGTTACGTACTGCATGATTCCATTGATGCAGAATTCAAGAATAGCCAAACGCAGCCATGTTGAGGGATGTCACAGTAGAGATCAGATCAGGGAAGGGGAGAGGAGCAGGAACTGGGGCAGCAAAATGTTTCTATTTGTGTATCTTGGTGGTGTTATGTGGCTATTTACAAATGTAAAAAGACATGATGCACTAAACAGTGAAGGTTGTACTTGAGTGCTTATAAATTCTTCTTCGATATATAAAACACAATGGGGAAAAAAATGGAAGGGCTGGCACATAGGTTCCATCTCCCCATGTGCAAAAATCAGCTTAGACCAGCTTCTTTTGCCAGCTGAGCTCATCAGAGAGAAATCCCAGCCATGGATGCTTCTTTCTGAAGCCTCCCTCACGGGGAAAACTCAGGGTAGTGATGTTAGAATTATTTCTTTGGGGTCTTCCTAGCCCAGTGGAGCCACTATGCCTTCTGAAGCCTCAGAATGTCATCTGGAAAGTAGAACATATTTTGATATCATGTGCCAAGTGGTTTAAATACAGAAACTCTCGTGTTCAGAACATCCCTGAACATTGTGTGATCAGCTCTATTTTCTCAATGGTCACACCCCAAGCAAACCGTTGTCCTGGATCACCTAGCAGAAGGAAAAGAATACCTATACCAGATAAAGTCAGAGTTCACCAGTAAGGACATACCGTTCTATGAAACAGTTTGCAGGAAAGATGCTGCCCTGACGATGCAGCCTGAGAGTGGAGTGTCTGTGATAAAGGTGAGTTACTTTACCCTATGGTCTAGAGCACACATAGTCACAAAGCTGTTTCTGTGAGGTTTTCTTTGTCCCATTTTGGTAGTAAAATATTTACATCCAAATGGGTCCAATGAAAGGAAACATCCAATAGTGGATGCATCCACAGCTCAACCATCATTATTCTTATGTGGATGGAAGTCTACTTCCATTATGACTGGTTGTAGCAACATTTTAAAAAATATTATCATAAAATCATTGCAACAGACAACATGTCATTTATTTAACCTTTTAAGTGTACAATTCAGTGACATTAATGACATTCACACTGTTGTGCAAACATCACCACTGTTTCTAAAGCTCTTTCATCATCCCAAAAGGAAAACTCTGTACCCATTAAGCAATAACTCCCATCCCCCACTTGCCCCAGCCCCTGATAGCCTCTCATCTCCTTTCTGTCTCTGCAAATAGCAACAGTCATTTTTGATGGGGTTTATAGGAGATATCAATTTCTTAGAAGTCAAGGTTCACTTCAGTGCCCTTGGTTGAAGATGCCCAAATTAAGGTCTTTTTGTTCCCCACTCTGTCACCATAGACATTTTGACAAATAACTGAATTACTTTGTCATGAAACACTAACATTTCCAGGAGAGAAAATAACATATTTTCTCATCTTAAGGGGTTGTATTTATTTTCCCAGTACATTGCTCTGTCAATTAATATATGTGTGCATGTGAGTTTGTGTGAGTGTGTGTATGTATGTGTATGTGAGTGTGTGTGAGTGTGTGTGTGTGTGTGTGTGAGGTATACATGGTAGAATGAACTATCTTCTATCAGAGTCTTTGGTATATAAAAATACATTAACAGCAAAATCACTTCTTTGCCAACATCTAACTTTAAAGATAATTATGGACAATGAGACACCCACCAAACCATCAGTACTAAGCTATATATAAGCAATGTTCTCCATTCCAGAGCAAGCCTGCAGCTGGGAGACCTAATTATCCCCATTTGGCACAGCAAGAGAGGCAGGCATCACCCTGTTACCTTCAGCTTCTCCTGTCTTAACAAACTGTATGACATCTCTCAGAGAAGCGGAGATAAGATTCTTTTTTAATATTCACTTCTTGGAAGCCCATAATCCATTTCCAGCATATAAAGGTGCAGCAGTTTAACTGTTTGTACCTGAGATGGAGTCCTGCTGTCAGATGCAAAAGCTAAAGGTAATAATCTCGTGACAAGGGAGAATGGCTTCATCAAAGCAAATCTTGCTCTGCTTTCAAGATTTCATCCTTCGGACAGTTTGTGTTGCATATTAATAATGTCATTTTGTATTTCCTGTTTTCCTCTAGTAACTGACTATATATATTTTTTTCTTTTTATTTTTTTTGAGACAGAGTCTCACTCTGTCGCCCAGGCTGGAGTGCAGTGGCACAATCTCAGCTCACTGCAACCTCCGCCTCCTGGGTCCAAGCGATTCTCCTGCCTCAGCCTCCCGAGTAGGTGGGACTACAGGCGTGTGCCACCACACCCAGCTAATTTTTTATTTTTAGTAGAGACGGAGTTTCACCATGTTGTCCAGGCTGGTCTCGAACTCCTGACCTCAGGTGATCTGCCCACCTCAGCTTCCCAAAGTGCTGGGATTACAGGCGTGAGCCACCACACTCGGCCCTGACTCCATATTTTTATTGTATATTTTGCAATGGTAAAATTGGGCTATGCTGACTTGCACCAGGGAGCAAGGATATTAATCTATAAAAAAGACAGGGAGGAAGAATTGACTCCCCCAAGTTCTCAGAAATTTTCTCCCTGTGATTTCTTCCTCTCATTGCTATCACCATCATTTTAATTTTTTTATCAACATGCCCTTTTCACAAGCATTCTTTTGGCTACAGTAGGCAAGCTGTTGACATCTTATAATCTGTTCATTTGAATAGAAAAATGTCTTTCTAATATTCAAAGGCTCTTTTCACACTCTTGTACCCTTGGCTAATTTAAAACTTTATATTATTGCAATTGAATGTGACTAGTTATTGAAACAAATCCTAATGATTAACTGAATTTAAGTGTCATTCTTTTTCCTCCCCCACGCTTTTTCCTAATAATGCTTCCGGAGGTCACCTGGAATGGGGAACTTAATTTGCTAGGTTTAGTATCTAATCAAAGCAATTGAATGTGAACTTAATTCAGGCCTCTAAAGGGAAGGGTTTATTCATCCTTTGCCAAACAACAGCCTTTCCTTTTAAGGACAAAAGACATATTCAGTACTTCTTGTCCTTTCTGATACAGCGTGCAGGGTTACTATTTGTAGAAATAAGTAGAATGTGAGTGTAGGGATATATAATCCCCAAGTGGAAAACTTTAAATTAGAGAAGTAAATATGTGGCTGTTTTATGGGTCTTGAAAATGAGTATCTTATGGGGTCTGTACTCTTTATGCTTTCAGGGTATGTGTTGATTTTTAAACATGCCTTAAAATTTTCAGGAATGCAGCTGTACCATAAAGAGAGGTGTTCTTGGGGAGGAGAGAATTAGTTTCTGTGGGCACTGGATGTTGCCTGTACAGTACTGTTCTCCAATAATGAAGCATTGTTTTGAGCACCAACTCTCAAGTGAAGATGTCTCTTATTAGCACTAACAGCTGGAATTGACCTGGTGTGGGAAAAATAGTATCCCCTGTAATGAAAATCCTATTTGCCAATTCAGCAAGGACAGCTAAAAGGGATGGTTACAGTCATTCTCAAATAGGGTTTGTGAAACAATGAAACTATGACACTTTCATGAAGGAAAGAGCTTCCCAAAGGGCACCTTCTTTGACAACCTCAGACTTCAGAGCTCAGTGATGTCATAGGCACCCACATGGATGAGACTTTTCTTTATGCTTTTCCAATGGACTGATAATGATTTTAAGGCCTGATGGGAATTAAGAAGGGGGCACTGGGCGGGACACTTCAGCTTCCTAGAGAACCCTAAAGACGGGGTTCCCTCATCCCAACTGCATATGATGTAGAAGTTTTCAATCACCATTAGAGAACCAATTAGGCTGTAATCAGTAGAACAAAGTGACTAGCCAGTTCACAAGATCAGAATCCATCTGTACTCACAAATGAAGATTGAGTTGAGATACGCTGTCTGTCATCATTTAAGCTACCCCATAAGTCATTGTGCAAACATGACATAAGTAAATGCTAATTAAACTCAATACGCATTTATTGACCACTGAGTCACTGGACTGGAAGTTCCTTAAAAGCAAGGACTGTGCTTGTTCACCTTTACATCCCAAATATCTTGCATCAGGGCACCATAACTGGTTCATTATGGGGCTGCTGTTCTTGTTATATATTGGACACTAAAACAAATGAATGGATGCTAATCTCAAGGAATTCACACTGTGAGGCATAACCAGCCTCATAAACAGCTTAGCATCATACCTGTGCTTTATAAATTATAGTTTACAAATTACAAACAGAAATAGAGAAGAGAAAGCCATGAATTCTACCTTGGGGCTTGAGGTGGTCCATGATGCCAAATTAGAACTGAGTTTGAAGGGTGGATGTAAGTTCATCAGTGAGAGAAGGGAGGAAAGGAGGCAGCTTTCCACAGAGCAAATGCATGGAAACCTGAGTGTGAATGGCTTCATCAGGTAACAATGAAGTGTCTGTCATAGCTTAAACCCAAGATTTGAAAATGGGGTGGCTCTACATTAAATGAAATGAAAGGATATGATCTGAGTTTAAATGTTCTTGAGGCTGTGCTTTTAGTTTTATGTAGTGGGAAGCCATTATATACTAAGTGAGAAGAGCCCAGATTTAGCAAGCCAAAGAGAGATTATGGACATAATTCAGGCAAGACACAACTTGTATTTATATAGAGTCTGGCAATAATTTTGGGGACAAATTGCATGGATAAACACAGTAGAAATAGAATTGAGTGGACCTTGTAACCTATGATTGATGGTGTGAAATAGAGGGAGAGGTTGAAGGTGACAGAAGTTTCTCTCTTACTCCAGAATATTGTTGCCCCTGTCTTGCCTCTGTATCTATACTATCCCCGACCTCTGAAACTCAGGTTAAGTAAGAATAGCCCAAGAGATTTTGTCACCAACAGCCAATTGTTCGTATTTCTGCTCAAAGTTTGCTGAGAAAGTACTGTTTATAATTATGCCAAAGTCTTAGCCCAATGCAATAATGTTCCATGAATGAATAGTACTTTTTTGAAGGAAGTAGAGAAGGGATCTTGCATAAAATGGGGCAATAAAGAGTTCACCTTTTGAAATTCCAGAAGCCTTAGATAATTCCTCACAGCCAGGGCATCTTTTCACCTAGAAGATAGATATACTCTTGATGCAGCTTAGAGCATACAATTTATTTAACTCTGAAAAGGAATGAGGTGTCCATTTTCCTAAAAAGCACAGGATTAAATGCACTTCTTGCTAAGAAAGCTAGAAGATGCACAGTCAGATGCAATTTGTGATACATGCTTAGCACAAGACAGGAACACAAAGGCCATGCTTATAAGATATGTGAAAACTCTTAAGAAAATGAAAAACAAAACATTTAACTGGACAAAATCTGGAAAATGATTGATTTATGACAAGATTATGAAGGTATTTCTCATCCTGGAATGGAGGATGGTTGACGTCTTCTAAGGGAGCACATCAGATTTCTTGGAAAAAGAGAGATACATACACAGACACACACACACACACACATATATATACATACACACACACACGTGATATATATATAATTTGTGAATGCACCTCCTAAATTGCAGTTTCTTTATTTGTTTTTATTTTGCAATTTTGAATGACATTAAGTGAGAGCATGCCACCTTTTTGCCTATTCCCATGAGACAGTTCCTTCATATTTCTTTTTTCTTTGCATGGTTGGGGAAATTGGTATAAACTTCTTTGGTTTAATTAGCACTACAAATTAAAATATGGCTTTGTTCTTTTGCAGCATTAATCATCCGTTTAATTAATCAATTAATTAATTAATTTTGAGATGGAGTTTCACTCTTGTCGCCCAGGCTAGAGTGCAATGGCGCAATCTTGGCTCACTGCAGCCTCCCCCTCCCGGGTTCAAGCAATTCTCCTGCCTCAGCCTCCCCAGTAGCTGGGATTACAGGCGCCCACCACCATGCCCGGCTAATTTTTGTATTTTTAGTACAGACGGGGTTTCACCATGTTGGCCAGGCTGGTCTTGAACTCCTGACTTCAGATGATCCGCCCTCCTCAGCGTCCCAAAATACTGAGATTACAGGCGTGAGCCACCGCTCCCAGCCCAGTTTCATTCTTATCAGCCTTACTGGTTACCGAAATCCAAGTGCCAGGAACTATTTTCCATGTAGCGAAATATTTGGCTGCATAGTATTAAGAATTTAGAAATTGATTTTTAAATTTTGTTAGCCTGTGTAATTTAGCTATGAACAAGCAGCCTTATTATTAGTTATCTTAGTCTAATGAAAAATATACATGTCAAAATATTTTGGAAACAGTTAATTACAATGGTATCAGTTTTATCTTGAGCAGATAAAAATCACTGTGTTGATTCAGTACAGTGTAATGTGTGGGTCTTTAAAAATAGCTTCTTAACTAATGCACTTAAAGAGATTAGGACACTTGATAGGACTTCTTTTCAGAAGAATTCTTGAATTTCAGAAAGTGTGAAGATGTGCTACCAATTTAGGGGAGAATAATCATATAACACCATAGCCAAATAAAGTGATCTTAAAATACCAATTTATAAGAACGTGTAAATTTAATTATTTAGAAAAGCAAACATTCATTTATTACCTAATAAAAACAGGAGACAAATGTCGATGAATTCTTATGAAGCATTGTCTATAAAGCCAGGCTCTTGATCTGAACTGGGGAAGAGTCTCCAGGGGGATTTTGAGCCCTTTAAAATATATGCAAATTTTAACATGCATGTTCTAGAAAAAGTTCCACACCTAGATGGATGTTAAAAACTTTATCTAATATGTGTCATCTTTCTGGGTTGCCAGTGCTGAGACCACCTCTGTCTCCCCATCACCCCACCTTGCACCTAGAACATACTAGAATTCAATGCATGTGGAGTGAATGGGTGGAATGTCAAAACTTGGAAATGATGAAAATAGAATCCAAGTTTATAAATGAAGAGAGAGAATTATCTCATTAACTGAAGAAGAAATTTAGCAGCAAGGTGGTCACTAGGGGCTGGAGAATTTGCAGGCAGCCAGGTAAAAATGAAAGCAAGAAGATGTTTAAATAATGCAAATGTAATGGTGCAATTTGATGAATTCTCACTATGGGTAATGTATGTATGCAACCACTATTGAGATAAGCCCGCAGAATATGCTCATCCACACGGGACCCCCACCCCATGCTTACTCCTTGTCACTACCTCCCTCCCTGCAGGTAACCACGAAACTGACTTCTGACACTATAAGTGACTTGAATCTCTTCCGAATTTTATGTGCATGAAATCATAGTGTGTTCTTTTCGTGCCTTCTTTCACTTGGTGGTAAATGTGGAGGTTCTTTCATGAACCTGGATGCAGAAGTAGTTCCTTGATTTTCACTGTTGTTGCAGCAGTCGGTTGTTTTCATTATACCACCATTTATTGGCCCATTCTGCTATTGTAAGATATTTGGATTATTGCCCCTTTTTTCTCTATTACAAATAGTGCTACTCTGAATATGCCTTAAAAACTTTGTTTTGGAAGTGAAATTCACTTAACATGAAAGTATTTATTGTAAAGTGTACAATTTAGTGGCATTTAGTACATTCAAAACTGTTCACCTGTCACCTTTATCCAGGTCCAAAATATTTTCGCCACCCCAAAAGGTTCTGAATATCCTTGTGCATGTTTTTGGTGGATGTATGTATGCATTTCTGTTGTGTATGTACTTGGCAATGCAATTGCTGGGTCATAATTATGGGTATATTTTTAAATAGCTATCATAAAACTGCCATGTAGCTTAGATATTTTATAGGATAACACCTTTTGGGTTTAAAAATAATATTTATTCATTTTAGCCAATTTGGAAAGCATATAAAAACATAAGGTAGAAAACCATAAAGAATAAAAATTGCCCATAATGCTCACATTCAGAGAGAGCCACTATTAAGGTTTCAGGATATTCTAGCCAATTTTTTACATACACATTTTAGTCACTGCATCTAAACCATTTTGCCTTTACTTAATAGTGAATTTTGTTTTATAGCTTTTCCTTTAGAAAATATTTTAATGGTTCAGTAATTATTCCATTATACATATCTACCATGGTTTATTTTCCTATTTTTAGACATTCAGGTCATTTCCAATTTTCTACTGTTTTAGATATCAGTGAGGCGAATTAATGTGCATCTATCTTCGTAGTATATACCTTTGATTGTTTTCTTAGAATTACTTCATAAAGGTGGAATAGCTGGGACTAAGGTTAGCATCAGTCTTGAGGTTTTTGGCATATATTTCCACATTGCTCCTAGAAGGAGATATCAGTTTATGTCTCATATTAAAAGTGTATGAAATGTAATGAATCAATATTTCACTGAAACTTGACTCATGCTGGTGGTCTAGAAAAAGTTCTCTGTCAAGTCGGGTAGCATAGGTTATACTGGGAATTACATGTATTCTAAAATACACCAGCCACATTATCTATACAGAAATACATGATTTTCTAGTGGTAGAGATGAAAAATAGAAACTTTAAACAATAGTAGAATGATTTGAAGGAAATATCATGCTGAGCTACAGGCATTGTAAATACTTATCAGCCTAGTAGTAAATAGAATGTTTTGGAATTGTCCCCGATGACCCCATTCTCATCTAAAGCACTTACCAGTAATTTACTATTGATACAAATATTGATGCTGTTCTTACACCTTTCTAGGTACTATGTTTAAAATATAACACACCATCCCTTCACTCAAAGTGTGCAATTTAGTAGGAAAATCTTACTTTAAGTCCATAAAATGGTTAAACAACATTATAGGAAATAAGCATTCATGACAAGAGTAAAAGCATTTTTACAAGGGATTTGATAACAGTAATCCCATGAGTTCCAAAGATATATGACTGTTATAACAAAGGAGATAGAATTTGAACAGATTTGAAGGGAGGGAAAGGATTGAATTGCTGAAAGTGGGAGAGGTATTCTAGGAGTTTTGAAAAGCATGAACAAAATCTCAAAGGAGAAAAACTCAAGACATTCTAGAAAAGTGCAATTAAACCAATGTTTCCTTGGATCCAAGGATTAATTTATTTTAAAATGTAAATTCTGGGACTAGCTAAGTGGATTAAGAAGAGATGGAACATATTGGAGCTATGTGGTTAAGAGCACTTAGCTCACTGTACATTAGTTTATGATACTGCTCTTCTCCTGTGGGCCGAGATCTCAGGCAAATGGGAGAAGGAGAATTTAAAGGAAAAGAGTGGTGGGATGCATCAGGAAGGAGGGCTTTTGAAGTATAATGTGTGGTTTGGTGATTGCAAGGCTAGATGATTGCGATGGACATAAATGTCACCCTCCAGGAAGTCAAGGGGCCAGGGTTGGGAAGAATAATAACAATGCTGAGACAAAAGTATGCAGGTATCTCTTACCTGTTTAATAATTTTGCCTCTTGCTTGTCATGGTCATCATGATTGCTCCTGAAATGGGTAAAGGTTACCTGGTGAGGAGAATAGAAAGATACTGTGCCAAATGCAAATTTGTCTTGCAAATTTCCATATGCACATCTGTTAAGGAAATTATGGTAGAGCATCAAATACATTTGCTTGTGTACAGCAGCCAAGGGAATGATGGAAATGCATCAAAGAACAGGCACCAGAGAGTTCAAAATGCTACTTCTCCCGCTATCTACCCGTATGCCTCCCCAAAAAACTTTGTCATCTTTGGAAGTTATTTGGGTACCAGCCATTTACTCTGAAAATGAATATTTTTTTTAAAAAAATACACATGTATCCTGACTTTTTTGTTTGGATTTTTCTCCAAGATAACCTGATGGTCAATGGTGGAAGTGTATTTGTTTTAGAAGAATCATACTAATAAGTGAAGAATGAATATTTGAAAGAGAAAATTGCACTTGGGTACTTGCCATGTTATTTTATGGTGTCATTGATATATTGATGATTACATATTATGGTGTCATGATATATTTATTTAGATCAAGGCAATGATCATCAAAATCTGCTAAAATCTTTAGGTGATAGGTTGATAAAGAACTTTGAAATAGTTCCATCAGGGTGACCCCTGCAGAACCACAGGTCTTCTTGGTAATTATTAATCTTCTTCCTGTTGGGATACAATGAGAAGTACCTAGCACTACCAGTAAGTATGAATGCCAAAACAAATTGTCCTGGTATCTAATCAAGTTTCTAGAGGTAATTGGGAATATATAGACAATTTATTCTATAAAAAAGTATGTAAAACATCACCACAAAAATATAACCTGCAAAATTTAAAATGCGGAACATTTTTATAGAAAAAGATGACTCAGATTCTTACAGAAATAAATGACACAGAAAGAAAAAGGCAGGGGGAACTGCTATCGATGAAAATAAATTTAGGTGATGTTTTCACCAAATGAATTTTTATTAAAACAAATTAACTGTAAAAACTGTATTTTTTGCTGAAAGTCAAGAAAAAATGAACACGATTGGCATTAGGTGATGTTAAGAAACAATTGTTAATTTTGTTTGATGTGATATTGGTATTGAGTTTTTTTAATCCTTTATTAATTATAGACAGTGAAAAAAATTAAAGATGAATAATGATATGGGTGGCTGCCATCCCAGAACCAAGGGATTCCTGAGATGTGGGAGTTTCAGTGCTAAGATCAGAATAGTCCTGGACAAATTGGGACAGTGGATCACTTGATTTCTGAGATTTGTTTTAAAATACTCCACTAGGCCTGGGCGCAGTGGCTCACACCTGTAGTCCCAGTACTTTGGGAGGCCGAGGCAGGCAGATCACCTGAGGTCAGGAGTTCGAGACCAGCCTGGTCCACATGGTGAAACCCTGTCTCTGCTAAAAATCCAAAAATTAGCAGGGCATGGCGCTGTGTGCCTGTAATCCCAGCTACTTGGGAGGCTGAAGTGGGAGAATCGCTTGAACCTGGGAAGCAGAGGTTGCATGAAACAGAGATTGTGCCACTGCATGCCAGCCTGGGCGACAGAGCAAGACTCTGTCACAAAAATAAATAAATAAATAAATAAATAAAATGCTCCACTAAAGGAAAACTAGATGGGTAGGACATATGAAAAATGTTGATGCTGAATGCACTGGGCAGAGTACCAGGAGGTTTGTTACCCTGTCCTTTCTATGTGGGGCTAGGTTTGAGAATTTCCGTAACAATACAGTTTCTTTAAAAAATATGTTTCCACTTTTAATAATGGCTTGCACTTGTTTCTGAATTCTAAGATCATGTTTTCTCCATTTTATCATCCTCTGGTGATGAAGGGAAGAGTGGGAATCAAATGTGAGACAAAATAAGAAGGAATCTCCAGGAATTTTTGGGAATGACGCAGACCACACAGTTTGTTATGGTGAGAACTTCTTGCAAAGATGCATGAAAGTGAAGAAACATCCTTCTAGTTGCACTGTATGTTTTCAAACTGGAGACATGATGCCAGTAATTTATTTAAAGGCTAGACAATGGCAAACTCAAGAAAGAGCTTATTTACAGAGAACATTATTTGAATCTGAGACTTGGTATAGGCTCACGTTGGAATTACATGGCCGATACGCTTATACAGCATCTTTTTCCAAGGAATACTATCAACAGCAAATTAATTCTGTGCTGCTAAACCTGAAGTAGGCAGCAAACAGACATTTTCTGAGACACTGAACTGGAACTTTCCAGTTCAAATGGCAGTTTAATGGCACAATTCGGAAGGGAAACAGAGACCCCTGTCACGTAATCTAATATTTGGCAATGTTTAGACAAATGTTTGGGCAACTTTCAGGTCAATGTTTGACAAGTGTTTAGGTGATTCATTCTAAAGGAGGCTGTCAAATGCCAGGTTGCCAGTATCATGCTAACGAAGTCAAATAAAATGGTGTCAGGAGTTACAGTCCGCCCCAAATATTTTTACTCTCTTATTGTATATACATTGACACTGTATTGATTTCGATAAATCCTTTAAGATGTACTTAAATAAAGAGAATGGGAAGCGGCCAAGGGAAAATAGCAAAGGTACCTGAAAGCTACAGAAGTCAAATAGGAAGGAGAGGGAAGTCTGGAGGAGACATCCATTGCCTGCAGCCCAGGGCCAGAGTTTCCTTGCGGTAAGTACATGATGCCTTGTCCAGAATTAGGGTCTCAGAGAGGCCATCAGTTCTCCACTCAGTCCTGCAAGCAGTTCCTGAAGTTCTCAATAGCAGAAGCAGAAAGGACTGGCTGGGCCCTCTGGTCTCTGCAGAACAATCTCATAACTCAGTCATTATAGGCTGTGTGTACTCACGAGCATGTGCTCTATATGTGCTCATCCAAAAATCCACACACTAACTAGGACACCAAAACTATCTCAGGTGCAGGAAACCACAAAACATCACCTAAGAACCAAGTAGCAGCAGAGGGGAGTGATGTGGGCTTTTTATCTGAAGCTCCTAACAGTGCCGTGGGTGAGAAAGTGCTGGGATTCTGGGTCATTGATTGGAAGCAGCCAGCTTGGCTTTATTTGACTGACTCTAGACTCCTTGAGAGTCTGATAAAAGGGATAAAATATGACCCTTTGTCTAGGATGGCATTTGGGTGAGTGCCGCTGAGATCTGCCTTGTGGGAGCTCAGCAAACAAGTCTGCATTTAAAGGAACATACCATGTGTTCCAAAGGCTGGAGGAGTCGGCTCTGCCTGCTGAAGGCCAGTTTTGGGGTTTAAATATCTGCAGCGCCATCACCAGGGCATTCTGAGACATACATGATCTTTGGAGTTAGTGTCAAGAATTGGGAAGAGACTTACATGGAGGGAACACTTAATCTGAGATCCTGATGACGATGATAATGGTGATGGTGATGATGATGATGATGGTGGTAATGATGGTAATGATGGGATGATGACAATGGTGATGGTGATGATGATGATGATGATGATGATGATGGTGATGGTGATGGTGATGATGGTGATGACAAAGACTAGAAGAAATCAGTGCCTGTAAATTCCACGCCAATACTCCATTCTGAACACCCCAAATAAATAGGGAACTCAAAGCCTAACCAACCCATCTGTCCAAATGAATTGAGAATGTGCTCCAGGGACAGTGAAAGGATGCAGGTTTGAAGCCTGAGTAGGATGGAGAAGCCCAGAAAAGGAGAGTGAATGTATTGGATTATGGTCTCATCTTTTCAGGGCCCCTGACTGCTGCAGTGGGGTGTGCCTTCTACAAAACTTCTCTGCTCAGCTGGTATTTGTGTTTCTTCTAACAAGGAAAGATTTGTCCAGGGTAGCCTGGAGCATTACCGAGTGCATGGACCAAGGGAAGAGACAGACCTTTGCTGAAACCCCCAGAATCTACACTTTGCTTGTTCTGGGACCTAAATCACAAAACTTCGTAGTCAAATCCTCTGTTTTTGGATTGTCAGATAAGCACAATGGAATAAAATGTGTATGTTTGCTTTGTACACGAAATGGGATACAACAGGCATCAATATATGTGTGCTAAAAGAATACTTTTTTCTTTTATTTAATAGTAATGTATAAAATCTAATCTTGATGAGACTAATAGTCAGTACAAAATTGGCAAAAAAATAAGGTATAATTGGCTTGATATTCCATCTGACGGAGCAGCAAAGCATAGGAAGAGGGGACTTGGGAGCTAGAAAGTTCCTAATTTCCTTAGGGTTGGGCTTCTTCTTGAATGATTCATACACCACATCCTCATTTTAAGATAATCTTAATTAACAAGCAATAATAACTAATCAATGATTTTTTAATAAGCACCTACTATGCTTCATATGTGCAAGATTAGGCAATTTCATGCTGGCTTCCTCTTTTACTACTGAGAACCAAGTGGGTGAAATTATACCTTTTCTTAGAAAAGAAGCAATTGAATGAGGCACTGAGGGTTTTTTAAAGAGCCTATAAAGTTTCTACAACTTCAAAGTAACAGACCTCACTGGCTTCACAGATACAAACTTTTTCAGATTAATTCTGAAAAGTTAACTAAGTGTATTTTTGCAACGAATTATGGAGTATATATGAAAAGAAAATTTGTTTTCCTTTCTTAAACGTGTATGTACATTTTTCATGTAATATGTATATGACTACATGTCCTTATGTATATATTAGTCATTCATGTAAGTATATTAGGCTCAGGTAAAGCTACATAGTTTTTTATTTAAATAAAGAAAGCCTTTAAATTGAGCCATAATTTGCTGATATTATATGCTAGTTTGGCAATTTCGCCAAATTTTGCTCATTTTTTCTTTTCATTGTTTGTCAATATTTATATGGGTTACCTACCTATGTGTTGCTGCTTCAGTAAATAAGAAAAATAATAATAATTGTGAACTGTTTTTTAAGTGAACTATATGGGAAAAATGAGTCACATATCTCAAGTATAAAGATAAATTTCTGATGTAAATATCTGTGTCTATTGTCAATACTGATTTTAAAGTCTCCCTGCCCGACATTGGTCACTATAGAAACACTGTTTTTTGTCTACTTGTGTATATACATATATATATACAAATATATTATATATATGTATATATATATATACACACACACACACGTGTGTGTGTGTGTGTGTGTGTGTGTGTGTGTGTGTGTGTGATCTAGAACATGGAAATACTGCCATCTGGTGTTATATCTTAAACATTATTCAACTGCCCTTGAGAAAATTTGAAATAAATCTTCAGATTTCTAGCCCTCGGGTTTTGCTAAGCAGGGAAAGCTCTTAGTCTCAGATAAATGTGTTCTTTTGTTTCTCAAAGGAAGAGGATTCTAAATACCGTATATGTTACATTCAATTAATGAATATTTGAATTAAGAATCCAACAAAGCAGTTACAAGATCATTTCTCTTCATACAAAAGGATCCTTCTTTAAGTCTGACACTGCAAAATTTTTTTTGCTTTGATCTCATTGCACGAAAATGTTATTCAGTTAGCCCAACAATTTTGAAATTATTATTTAAAAGCTTTTAATATCATGAATGACTATTTGCATTTGTAAAGTTGGTGTTCAAAATGCTTTTCAGCTACAAGAGACAGAAAAGGGCTTATGGCCTTCAAAAGGGAAGGGATTTATCACCCATGTGTCTGCAGGCCCCTATGGCTAAAGCAGGAACCTGAATTGCCTGAGAGTCCATTTTAAGGGAATTGGATCAACCCTGTACAACCATCATCAGGGCAGTCTGGCACATGCATGGTCTTTGGAGTTAGTGTCAGAAATTGAGAAGAAACTTACAGGGAGGAAACGCTTAATCTGAGATCTTGATGATGATGATGATGATGGTGATGATGATGATGATGACGATGATGGTGATGACAAGGGCTAGAAGAAATCAGTGCCTGTAAATTCCACGCCAATACTCCATTCTGAACACCCCACATAAATAGGGAACTCAAAGCCTAAGCAACCCATCTGTCCAAATGATTTGAAAATATGCTCCAGGGACAGTGAAAAGATGCATGTTTGAAGCCTGAGTAGGATGGAGAAACCCAGAAGAGGAGCGGGAGTGTATTGGATTATGGTCGCTTTTTTTCAGGGCCCCTGACTGCTGTCATGGTGTGTGCCTTCTACAAAACTTCTCTGCTCTGCTGGTGTTTGTGTTTCTTCTAACAAGGAAAGATTTGTCCAGGGTAGCCTGGAGCATTACTGAGTGCATGGACCAAGGGAAGAGACAGACCTTTGCTGAAACCCCCAGAATCTACACTTTATTTGCTCTGGGACCTAAGTCACAAAACTTCCTAGTCGAATCCTCTGTTTTTGGATTGTCAGATGAGCACAGTGGAATAAAATGTATATGTTTGCCTTGTAAACTAAATGGGATACAACAGGCATCAATATATATGTGTTAAAAGAAAACTTTCTTTTAAGTTAATAGTAATGTATTTTTCTTTTAAGTTAATAGTAATGTATAAAATCTAATCTTGATGAGAGTAATAGTGGGTACAAAATTGGCAAAAAAAAAAAAAAAACCCCACGGTGTAATTGGCTTGATATTCCACCTGACGGAGCAGCAAAGCATAGGAAGAGGGGACTTGGGAGCTAGAAAATTCCTAATTTCCTTAGGGTTGGTCTTCTTCTTGAGTGATTCATACACCACATCCTCATTTTAAAGATAATCCTAATTAACAAGCAATAATAACTAATCAATGATTATTGTTTTAATAAACACCTATTATGCTTAATATGTGCTAGATTAGGCAATTTCATGCTGGTTTCCTCTTTTAGTACTGAGAACCAGGTGGGTGAATAATTCCTTTTCTTAGAAAGGAAGCAATTGAATAAGATATTGAGGTTTTTTGTTTTTTTTTTTTAAGAGCCTATAAAGTTTATGCAACTTCAAAGTAACAGATCTCACTGGCTTCACAGATACAAACTTTTTCAGGTTAATTCTGAAAAGTTAACTAATTGTATTTTTGCAACCAACTATGGAATATACGTGAAAAGAAAAATTGTTTTCCTCTCTTTAACGTGTATGTACATTTTTCATGTAATTTGTATATGACTACATCTCCTTATCTATATATTAGTCTTTCATGTAAGTATATTAGGCTCAGGTAAAGCTACACAGTTTGTTGTTTAAAGAAAGAAAACCTTTAAATTAAGCCATAATTTGCTGATATTATATGCTAGCTTGGCAATTTCGGTAATTTTTTCCCTCATTTTTCTTTTCATTGTTTGTCAATATTTATATGGATTACCTACCTATGTGTTGCTGCCTTAGTAAATAAGAAAAAAAATAATAATTATAAACTGTTTTTAAGTGAACTATATGGGAAAAATGAGTCACATATCTCAAGTGTAAAGAGAAATTTCTGATGTAAATATCTGTGCCTATTGTCATACTGATTTTAAAGTCTGCCTGCCCGATATTGGTCACTATAGAAACACCGTTTTTTGTCTACTTGTATATAGATATATATATGTCTCTGTATGTGTGCGTGCGTGTGTGTGTGTGTGTGTGTGTGTGTGTGTGTGTGTATGTGTGTGTGTATGCCCTAGAACATGGAAATACTGCCATCTGGTGTTGTATATCTTATACATTATTCAACTGCCCTTAAGAAAATTTGAAATAAATCTTCAGATTTCTAGCCCTTGGGTTTTGTTAAGTAGGGAAAGCTCTTAGTCTCAGATAAATGACCTCTTTTCTTTCTCAAAGGAAGAGGATTATGAACTGTATATGTTAAATTCACTTAATGAATATTTAAATTAAGAATCCAACAAAGCAGTTATAGGATCATTTCTCTTCGTACAAAAGGATCCTTCTTTGAGTCTGACAATGCAAAAATCTTTTTGCTTTGATATCATTGCATGAAAATGTTATTCAGTTAACCCAATAATTTTGTAATTATTATTTAAAAGCTTTTAATATCATGATGACTATTTGGATTTGTAAAGTTGATGTTCAAAATGCTTTTAGGCTACAAGAGACAGAAAGGGGCTTATGACCTTCAAAAGGGAAGGGATTTATCACCCACTTGTCTGCAGGCCCCTATGGCTAAAGGGGGAACCTTAATTAACTTCCTGAGAGCTCGATTTTAGGGAATTGGATCAGCTCTGTACAACAGTGGTATTCAAACATTTTTACCTGAATACTCTCTAAAAGAATCTTGCCAACCTGTGCATCTCCCGGCACATTTTAGTTACATCTACAATTTGACATCATAATTTTAACTAGATGGAAAGAATGAAATTTCTGGCATATTCCAAATGTAAATATTTAAAGACAGAGCTGCAACATCACGCTTTTAAACTTTTCCGATGTAAGCTAATTATCATAACAGTTTGACACCTGTTATAGTTAATTAAAATCCCTAAAAATGCTCTTCTTTAACAGGGGAGAATTTTCAATCATTTGTTTTTTTCCTTGGGGTTTAATTTCTATTCTGCTCTCCTCAGACAATTTTATCTTAAAGTTATATTATTTGATATTTGAAAATCTTTTATTGATAACTTATTTTACTTACCTAAAACAAAACTGCATCAAATTGTAAATATTTACTTTTCAAAAATTCTTGCAACCACAAGACTCTAAGAGTTTAAAAACTTTCCTGTAGCTTGTGTTATTAATACATTTATTATTATCACATAGTTAATCAAAACAACATAAGATACAGCATTTAAAATATAAGTATATATGATTAAAACATAAACATTGATCATTTTTCAATAAAATTCATTGACATGAATCTCTTAATGGGATCAGTGGAGGTTTCCTCCATTTTTCTGTTATTATTTATTTACATATTCATATATAATGGTCTCTCACCTTTGGCACTATTGACATTGGGGGCTGGATAATTCCTGGAGGGGAGGGAGGACTGTCCTGTGTATTCATTGTAGGATGTTTTGCTGCATTCCTGGCTTCTACCACTAGATGTCAGTAGTATATTCCTAGTTGTGGTGACCAAAAGTACCTCCACACTGCCAAATCTTCCCTGAACAATCCCCCTCCTCATGAGAACCACTATTGACCATTCCTTCAATTTGGAGAACACAAAGATTTGGAAACACTGAATTTCAAAGGGATTTATTACTCATTACTATGAGTATTAATTTTACATGTTAATCTTTCCTATAGAGGGATTTTTTTATTCCAATAAACACAGGGTTGAGAACAATTGTAATATTGTTGAATTATAATAAGCCTTTCCCAAGGTGATATTTTTTAAAATAAAAATCTACTTTATGCATGTTTTTGTCAAAATCTTAGATCTATGTGCAAGGCTTTCCAATATATGGGAAATTTCAAATTAGTCCTCTTTTCAGTTAGCAAATCAGTCCTCTTTTCGAAGTACTCAGGCCAGGCATGGCTCACGCCTTTAATCTTTGTACTTTGGGAGGCCAAGGGGAGAGGAATCCTTGCTGCCAGGAGTTCGAGATCAGCCTGAGCAACACAGTGAGATTCTGTCTCCACACACACAAAAAATTTTAAATTAAGAAGTGAGCCAGACTTGGTGGTGCTGTAGTCCCAGCTTCTCAGGAGGCTGAGGTGGGAGAATTGACTGAGCCTGGGAGGTCAAGGCTGCAGTGAGCTATGATAGCACCACTGCACTCCAACCTGGATGATAGAGTGACAAAACAAAAACAAAAACAAAACAAAGTACTTAACCATATCAGACCTCCTTTTGTCAAAACAGTCAGGCTAAATAGTTCAATTCAAATAAATGAGCTACTATGCCTTTCATAAAACATGATAAGACCTACTGAGAAATAGATTACAATAGACATTTTTATAAGACTGATTAACAAAAGCAATCAACAGCTAATTAAATGAGCCTATCCACTTTTTATTATAGACTACATAAACAAGAATAAATCTGTATGTTGTTCCGCATTTTAAAATTTGCAGTATTGTAGTGTGATGTAAAAAACTACAAGTTCTTATTAAGCAGGGAATATGATAAATGGCATAATATTCTTTTGGTAAATATGGGTGTTGGTGTTAGGCTTTTGGGAATAATTAATTAAGGACCATCTATAATAATTCAGACTTAAATCTACTAATTCTGTTAGGCATTATGATCTTACTTTTCCTGTTTGTTGCATAAAAAAAATAAAGAATACAAAACTAAAAGTTAATCAGCCCAGTAGCCCATATAATTTTATGTGCTATTAATGGGAGAATATTAAACATTTTATAAGATGAAATAACATGGGATCGACTATAATTTAAGTATATATAGTATTATGTGTTTTGGTAAATTAGGTTTCCATTGGTATTGAACAACACATGAAATCTAAAAGAAATCATGTAGAATATTTTTATTCTGCATGTTTTAATCCAAAGTAACATGAAGATCTGGTAGATCCATACATCATCAGTTGCATTTGATCAAATCAGGATTATTAACCCATACTAGTTCAGGCCTTGAAGGTGCTTTGTTTTTATTATTATATGGCTAAAGGTATTCTTCTTCCCAATAAATGACACCATTGGACTGTATGTTGAGACCTGAAAAGAATTATTTACATTGCAATCCTTAAGGAAAATGACTTTTCTAGTTCAACATTTCTTCATATAGCTCTTTTTGCTTTATTACTGGACTCTGGTGAGATGATTGAGGATGACGGAAAAGCTGAGGTTGAGATTGGTGAAGCAAACTCACCATCAGGCTCACTGCTCATATTCTGTAGTGTATCTCAATTCAAAAACTCTCAGTCAGGGCCCAAATTCCTCATTTCTGACTGTACCCCTCCCCCAAAACAGGACAGAGCCTGTGTACAGAGCCCACATTTTAATTATACTTAGTTTCCAAACCAGGTAGTGCTTTTATATACACTTTCCAGTTTCCAAAATTTGCTGAAATTTCCTCTACTCCTGTCTTCCCCATTCTGTTTGTTCCTATGCATTAATACATTGATTTAACGTCATTATCGTGAACTTCGAAAAGGAGAGGAAATCATATATGTGGTTAGTCCACCACATAAGCAGACCTCTTCATCTTTTTGACCCTCACAATTTAGATGTTATTTAAAAATCTAGTTGATTTCATTCATAACTATCTGCCCTTAACTGCTCTTAGAATAGTTTGAATTTTTATAATCTCACCCACCTAAGCCTTTTCAGTTTCCTAGTTATTCTATGACAGAAGATTGACAGCATTTAATAATTCTTACAATTGTTTCTTCCTTTGAGAGAAAAAAAAAAGCTTATCAACAGAGTAAGAAGGTACCAACAAACTCCTTTTAGGTAGGGCTTGCAAACTAGAGCTTGTGGGACAATTCTGGCCCACTTCCTGTTTCTGTAAATAAAGTTTTATTGGGACACTGGCACACACATTCCACTGTGAGTGTCTGTGTCTATGCCTGCTCTCGAGCTACAGTGGCTGAGTTGGGTAGATGTGATAGGCTGTATGTCTGCACAGGTGAAAATATTTGCTATCTTTGTCTTTACAGAAAACGTTTGCTGAACAGTGCCTTAGATTATCATATAATGTATGTTACCCAACTTGCTGCTGTTGGGTTAGTCTGTGCCGACTTGCATTCATTATTTGTGGGAGATTTCAGATACTACAGTTATGGTTTTAGAGGACGTTTCTGAGTCTAATATGCCTCCCATGCTTTATTTTAGCTACGCACATTAACACATGTCTGGCATGTGAGAGTAAGTCTTTTATTTTGCAGCTGATCAAAGGTTTGCTTTGATTAAGGGAATTTTCCACCTACGTGTTTCTTGAGTGAAAATGAGTTGCATTATTGACTTGCATCCCATTTGTATTTTGTTATATTATTCACGAATGTAAACAAATATTAATGCATTCTCATCAAATGCTTGCTCTTTTATGGACATGTACAATGTTCATATATGGTTAGCACTGCCAAACTTTTAGCAAATAAAAATACAGGATGCCTATCGTTACAGCTGAATTTCAGATAAACAACAGATAAATTTTTAGTACAAGTATGTCTAATGGAAAAAAATTCAAATTTAATGGGATGTCTTGTGTTTCATCTGCCAAAACTATTTATGATTTACATTTGTAATGTGTATATTTTCTAGGGTAGCAGAGCTCTAGGGACATATGCCAAAGATGACAGGTAAACTTGAAATGAAGAACTGAAAACCCACTTTTATAAATGCAGGCCATTGTGTTTACTAATACCAACCTTCGAAGCAACAGATTTGTGCAGACAGTAGTTGACAGAGCGGGAGCATCTCCATCTTGAACAAACACCACCATTCTAAGTTCCCCTTGATTAAAAAACCACCTAAATCCAGCCCTAAAACATCAGCCTAATAGCTAATGTCAGCATAACCAGAAACATTCCAACCCTAAGATAAACCCCTCTCCAACCAGAAACATGCCAACCCCGAGACAGCCTCCCCTCCAACCAGAGACATTCCAACCCCGCAATTAAGTTTCCCTCACATAGAAACATTCTAGACCTACGATAAGCCCCTCCTTCCAAAGCCCTTAAATATCCTCAGTCTGTAAGAGAGAAGGCTCCTGACCAAAATTGGCCAGAAGACCCTCTCAAGTTTATTTCTCTAAAATAAACCTGTCCTTGATTACTAAGTCTCATTTCGTGTTTCTTTCCTCTTTCTTTAAAGTAGTTGGCTCCTTATTGGAAAAGAATTATGCTGTAACCTAGATTGATTAAATATTACACACACTGAGGCAAAACAAGGAAAGGACCCATGGTCTAAAGGCAGGAGATTAACATAGAACCTGGCATCGAGTAAGAGCTGAATAAATATTTGTTGAAGGTGTCTGAACAGCAGATACCCATGGAAGGAAAAACAATAGATATAGGTGTGTGCTGAAATTGCCACAAAGTAAAACGAAGAGCTATGTTGCAGCTACACTAGTTCATGCACACTTTTGCTGTATAACTAGCCTCATCTAGCTTTTGTTCTCCCCTTTCTAATCTTTAGTGTTCCTAACCCTGAGTGTCCAACACAGTTTCTTACCAGGCCATTCTCCAAGAAATATTAAGGGGGGGGGGAAACAGATTTTATTATCCAAGTATTTAAGAAAATAGATTTTTTACATTAAAAAATGTAAATTATACTGGGCCAACTGAGGAATGCAGTGTGGGCCAGGCACAGTGGTTCAAGCCTGTAATCCCAGCACTTTGGGAGGCCAACGCAGGTGGATCACTTGAGGTCAGGAGTTCGAGACCAGCCTGAACAACACGCTGAAATCTTGTCTCTACTAAAAATACAAAAATTAGCCGGGCGTGGTAGTGGGCGCCTGTAATCCCAGCTACTCCGGAGGCTGAGGCACGAGAATCTCTTGAAACCGGGAGGCGGAGGTTGCAGTGAGCTGAGATTGCACCACCGCACTCCAGCCTGGGTGACAAAGGGAGAATCTGTCTCAAAAAAAAAAATGCAGTGTGTTGGAGAGGTTAAGTACTTGGATTCCAGAGCTGACCACCTGGACACAAATCCCAGCCCCATTCCTTGTTAGCTGTGGGTCCTTTATCAACCTGTGCCTCCGTTTCCCTTATGTAAATTAGTTTTAATAATAGAGCTTGCAATGTGCAAGATAAATCAATGATTTTGCATACACACATAAACACACAGAAGCAGTCCTTAATTAGTAAGATTCTAATACTCCTGAATTTCAGTTACCCCAGTTTAGTCAAATAACATCAGTCTCCTTACAGCACAGTTCAAGCTTCAGTTACCATGTTATGTTAACTGTGAGGAATTGCATACAATACAAACTTTGCTGCTAGCTCTTCCATCCACACATCACTGCATTAAAAACGATGTGCATCATGATCACATATCCGTTTGTGCAAAGACAGCAAAGAGTGTGGTTGTGTTGCCTCCTTATCTCCCATGAAAAACACACACACAACATTTAACAAAGCAGGTTTTCAACAGAGGGATTTGGCTAACAAAGCAAAGAAATGAAGAGTGGTAAAGCTAGAATCAAACATAAAGGAGTCGTTGAAGAAATAGCTGACTGTGGGAGTATTGCCATCATTTGAGAGACTCTAGGTATGCAGCCACAGAAAAGTGGTGAGGCCAAACCTGTCAACAGAAATGAGGTGGCTGTGGGGAAAAGGATCGAGATGTCCCAGAGGAAGCAATGCTGGCAAAAACTCTCAAGCTAAAGAAACTCTCAAATATATCCTGATATTTCAGCACAAAGGGTAAAATTTCGAAGGCGAATCAAGCAGAAAAGAATGTGACAATCTGGTAAGGCATAGAAAAGATGCTCTCTCTGTAGCAAAAGTTATATAATAAAAAGACGTCAAGCAGAACATTTTCATCACTCCCCAAGGAAACCTTGCACCCATCAAAATACTTGATCATACTTACGCATTTATGTCCTTATGTATTTATAACTTAGAATATGAGAATTTACAATATTTTGGCAAAAATTTTAAAGGCCCACAGATAAATTATAATTTTCCCATTGATTATTAAGCTTGCTTCAGATGGCTTCAACTTGCATGCTTATTTTTGTGACCCTGCATTACTGTACCACTGTGCAAACTGAGTACCTGCATCTGCATCTGCGTGTGTGTGTGTGTGTGTGTGTGTGTGTGTGTGTGTGTGTGTGTGTGTAGCCTGGCCCACAAGAAATACTCAGCAGCAAGTATTGGCTGGTATTCTTAGCTATTATGGGTAAAGTTGCTTTGAGGTCAGTTAGCGGAGAAGGTGATTGAATTTCTGGTCACCTGGCAGGAGTAGGCAGTGTTTCCAGAGTTGTAGCAGCATTTAACACCTGAGAATTTCTGTTCACCTGAAACTCCTTCATTTGAAGGCGCTTTAGCACACAAATCAGGGACCCTCTGCCTAAGCACGTCCAGCCATCTTTAAAAAGGCTTCGGAGGTGGCTCATTGAAGGCTCTCAAAACCTATAAGTAGTGATGAGGTACTGTTCCCATACCCCTAAATGTATCCATAGGGCCCTGGTGTGATTAATTAGATTCCTGGATGCATTTCTTCCCATCTACAGTCCTTGTCAGAGGATAGATAGTTACCTTTACAATACTAAAGAATACATGTGATTAAACAAGTATGATATTTAAAAGCTTATAAGAAGAGTTGACTGAGTGAATATGTGAACATATTATAATATGTAAACTTTCTCAATATAGAGTAGAAGTGGGAGGCCAGACTCTGGAAACAGACAGCCTGGTTCCAAATCTACCCTCTGACCCAAACTAAGATCAACCCTGCTATCTCACTGTGCCTCTATAGCCCTCTCTGTAAAATGGGGATAATGGCAGTACCTACCTAGTAGACTTAAGATGAGGATTTAATAAATTCGTTCATAAAGCACTTGGAGCAGGTCTTGTCATGTGGCTAGCAATCTATACATTTTTACTCAATAAATAGAATGCAAAACTTTGGGCTCCTGTTGATTTCCTCGCTCTGGATACTTCCCCCGGGATATACCAAATTGCTATTCCAGGTGTAAACATTTCCAGAAACATCTCTGATACCTTTTCTACATTAGGAATTTCCACATCAATGGCTTTCAGAGGTCATCCACATAACCCTGGCTTTACACAAGGATATTGCAAGGATTTCACAGGAGCCAATTGTTTGAAAGAAATCAATTTCCAGAGCACCTCTTTCCTAACAAATGCAAACTGTTCTTTTCAGGGGAACTTCAGGGGAACTCTTACTGTGATTCAGTCAATAATAATCAATAATAATTATTGATTATTAATCACAATAATTATAGATTATTGATTATAATATTATTTATTATTGATAATTATTAATACCAAATTAATATCAAATCAATTATAAATTGATTAGTAATAATAATCAATAAAAATAACTTGATAATCAATGCCAGCACAGAGGAAATCCAGCTCATCACATTCTCCAGCCACTTCCAATTCACCAGTCTGGGATTGCTTGAAGCTTCAATGGAGCCTGTTGTCCTTTATAATAACATTAATAGCACCTCTTCACTCTCAAGGACAGCCTGTTAAATTTTAAGCTTAGGAGATTTTAGCAAGCACTCCCTAAGATCATACCCAGTTTTGAGAATGTTTACAGTTGTTTTTCTGGAGAGACATCTAAAACGTTCACGAGATTCTCAAGAGAGTCTATGGGCCCAAGAAGATTGAAGACCACTATTTTAGAGGAACAGTGGACCCTTCTCCACTCCAAGGCCAACTCCTTCATTCTCTCATTTAGACCCTCTCTCCTACATACTCAAACTTTGGTGTTTCCACTCAAGTCCTTCAGCCTACATCTATGCTCAAGTCTGAATCTTCATCTGTAAAATATTTTCCCTTTAGCAACCACCCTACCTTCCTTCTGTTCTTCCTGGCTCTACTTCCTCAAACTCTAAGTACTTTTCTACAAATTATGGTCTGTTTTTTGCCCCTGGCACTCCAGCAAGACCCTGATGATGCTCAGTGTCTAATGCAGTGTACACATTCTAACTCTGATATAAACTCTGTGTGTGTGTGCATGACTTGATATCATTTGGATAGCAATTTATGGCAGAAACATCCTCTGGTCTGACTCTGAGTCTTTTTACAATGGATAACTGAAACTATTACTTGAAGTTCTTCCTTCCTTTGGACTTGATGACATCATTCTTCACTTTTTCTTTTCCTAACTCAGGGTCTTCTTTCTCAACCTGTTCTGTGGCTTCTCCTCTCCACGCAGCAATTCACTTTATAAATATTATTTAAAGAATGAATGGATGGGGATTGGTTTTGGTGAGACACGGTTCCAAGCTTGGCTCTGCCTCTGACTGGCTGCCTGACTTTGAGCGCCTTCCTGGGCCTGTCTGCATTCAGTCTCCTTGCCAATATCATGGGGAGACTGAGATGATAACATATTGACTGTCCAGCACAGAGTAGATGCTCAATAAATTAGTTGATCTTTCTCCCTGCAGGCAAATATTGTTTCTCTTAATGACACCCAGTGTTTTGATGACCATTGTGATGTTGCAAACTCTTAAACACATATCTGTTTGAGGTCTCTTTACAACTGGAGACTTATTTTTCCCTTTGCTTACCAGGCATCTACATCTGAACCTCCCATGGGCACCCCAAAGGTCACAAGTGCGGGTGGCCCTGTACCTGTCCTCTGAGACTTCCTTTTACAGTCTCTCCAGCTACCCACTCTTCCAAACCAGCCACCTCGAAGTCATTCTGTAAACCTTCCATTTGGTGGCTAAACCCTTCTCACATGTAATTGGTAAAAAATTCCTTTTGATTTGACCTTCCTCTTTGCTCTCAGATCTCCACCTCCACAGACACTGCTACAGTCCAGACCTCCACTATTTCCATGTGAGAGTGAATTTTGATCTATATGGTATCCCAGCCTCTAGTCTCCCAGCCTCTAGTCTCATCCTGTTTCATCTGACGGTCCCCACTGCTGCAGAAAGTAGCAGTTGCCAATATCATGGGGGGATTGATACAACACATCGAATATCCAGCACAGAGTAGATGCTCAAGAAGTTAGTTGATCTTTCTCCCTGCAGACGAATATTGTTTGTCTTATTGCCTCCCAGCGTTGTGATGACCATCGTGATGTGGCAAACCTCCTAGAAGATGTCGCATCACCTTCCTAGAAAGTACCCCTTTACTTCTCTCCATGTGTAAAATCTTTCAGTTAATCTCCATTATCTAGAGCAAGGTTGCTCACCCTAGCACTGTCGACATTTGGGACAGAGTCTTTGCTGTAGGGACTTTGTACAGTGTAGGGTGCTTAGTGGATCCCTGGTCTCCACCTGCCAGATGCCAGTAGCCTGCCCCCCTCCCCAGTTGTAACAGCAAAAACTAGACCTGGCCAAATATCCCAGGGAGGGGGCACAAAGTTGCCCCTGATTGAGAACCACTGACGTGCAAAAATAAAACCTATATTATCTCTTGGCTTATACCCCAAGATATTGTGCCCAAATATCTTCAACTTTATCTCCTAAAACTATAACTCACACAGACTCTGGAATCTCTTATAGTTCTACAAAAGATTTACTCTTTCCAAGTATACCCCACCTTTGATGACTCCCAGACTAAAGTGCCCCATTTTTCTACTTTTTGTCCCCATTTTCTACTGGAATACCTTTTTGTCCTTATCCTTCCAAACTAATCTCAGATAATTTCTCCTGTTGTAAAATCTTCCCTGTCAACACTAAAGATAATTTGTCCTTCTTCCTTATGGATCCTACATCACTTACTATCTATTGTAGCACTTGTCACTGTAATTTCTTCTTTTCACAAATGTTTTAACCTGACCACTACTACCACCTACTTACAACTTTTTGAGTTTAGAAAAGAGATTCTATATACTTAGCATGTAGTACAATGCCCAACACATACTAGGAGTCTTGACAGCTATTAGATAGACGAATAAGGGAATGACTGAATGAGTGAATGAATGAATGACGTCACATCCTTCTCTCCCCGGCATGGAAATATGTTGCATGTTCTGCATGCAGAGTGAGTTGCCGGCTTCATGTCAAGAGGGAATCCCCCTTTAAGAAGAGAATCTGAGCTGCTGTTCCTGAAACTTCCTGAAATCCCACCTGTTCCTGAAACTTGCTCTATTGAGACTTGAGTTTCAACTTGATGCTAGAGAAAGTTGTTAAAATTTATTTTTTTAATTCATTGATGGATGCATCTCTAATGTCCCAGTCATAAAAATAATCTTATATTTAACAAATCCCAGTTATAAATATTTTGCGTGGGGCTCTGCTTAGCATCTTGATGTAAAATTTATACCTAAGTCTATTTTGGCAAACATCAAATTAAACTTGTAAGTATAAAGGAAATCAGAGTGTCCTTGACCTCCCAAGGCTTAGATGATCAGCAGTTTTTAAATGACATTCCTTGAAAGCGAACTTTGATTTTTTAAGCACTGGGCCTGAGGCTGTAATCAAAGGCACTGATGATATTTAGATGATTTAGAAGAGCACAAGCTGATCTGCCATCATTCAGCTTGCAGGATACATTTATCTTCTGTAAGCAGTATGAAACACCTTTGTTTTTGTATTGATTCTATTCCTTTAGAAAATTATAGGTTTTGTCTTGTTATGTTGCCTACAGTCAAAAGAAACGATTATGGAATTTACAATTACAGGAAGGAGGTCATTAAAGCGGGCCAGGTTGGTTTTATCGAGGCTCTGCTTTACTTCTATTGGAACAATTTTATGCACGCAACAGCACATCAAATAGAATGCACCAGAGGATGATTTTAGGAACTTAGTTAAAAGCCCTCTCAGGATTTTGCATACATTTTAAATAATACTCAGCTAAACACATAATCACATGTTTCTCATATACTTTCAAAAATCCCATATGGTTAGAAATTGCTGCCAGATTTCCCTGTGTTGATAAACAGAATGACATTTAATTAAACAGTCCTGAAAAATACTTTCTTTCTTGACTTTATACTCAGACAAGTTAATAAAGTCCCCATTTCAGATGACGAAATGACACATTGCCTGCTCCTATTCCAGTTTTCTGCCTCAAATGTCTTCCTGGAGAGACTCCATGTATGCCAGCCTTCTCAAGGATTTAAGAGTATTAAACCAAGGTTAGATGGTAGCTAGTGTTCTTTGATCTCACTGTACACATTGTTATTCATTTTTTTCTTCTTCTTTTCTTTTCTTTTTTTTTAGATATGGCGGTCTCACTATGTTGGCCAGGTTGGTCTTGAACTCCTGGCCTCAAGCAATCCTCCCACCTCAGCCTCCAAAGTGTTAGGATTACAGGTGTGAGTCACCACACCTGGCCTGGTTGGTATTGATTTTTAAAAAGTGATTTGTTACTTGTTGTCCATGAAACTTGGTGTGCTCTAAATAGGTTGTTTGTTTCACTACATGACATTCCATATACTTACCATCAATTCCAATTAATAGGAATTCCAATAGAATGGCTGAAACAAATTGAGTAGAACAATTACTAACTCCTTTAGACATTATTATGTTAGGCTGAACTATTTTCTACACTGGCTCTATCTATGGGTCATTGCATCTGGCTATTTAGATGGCAAGGAAATGTAATTGAACCAAAAATCCTAGTCATTGAGCAACGGGCTGTTTTTGTTTTGCTTTTTACCTGCCAGCTGGTTCCTCATCTTTGAGGTTTGCCCTGACAGCTCTGAAGCTTGGGTAATATACAACAATATAGACAAAGTAAGGAAATAATTAGGTTGTATGATAGTAATACATTCCCATCCTGAAAACCACAGTTTTAAAATATTCCTATTGTTTCCCCTGTCCTCTGCTCATTTGACAGTTACCAGGAGCTTTGGGCAGACGGGGAGAGAAGTGCATATGTTGTCATCTGACGCTCTGCTGCCTCCATAGCCCATGTTAGCAATTAGCATGGTGTAGATTAAGTACAACTACACAATAGTCATCAATTCCCAATGTTATCGATACATTAGAAAGGGGCTCTGATTTCCAATTAAGTACTGAATAATTGAAAGAAAAATGTGTTGTTGCAGGTTGTTGAGAAACACCTCTACCTCCATTTACCCTTTCATTAAGAAACAGGGATAAAAAATATTGCGATATCAGGATATCTAGAATTTGGAAGATGTGGAATCATCCTGATGAGTCCAAGGACAATCCAGAAAATCAGCTGTGATTCAGACTCCGGTGTGCCCCGTGGAGGCCATGGGTCATCCAGGAGCCTTGTATACCTGGAGGATGAGGAGCCACCTGGGGGGAATTCATTCTAAGGTAAAAAAATGTCATCCTGGCATAGTGACTTCGACCCAGTTCAAAAGCCCGCGTTGTTGAAGAGGAGCCGAATTCTAGGCATGGTGTGTTTACAGTGAGTGCTGTGTTTCCCAGATTTTCCATCCACAAGGATCTGAACTTTTTAGGAAGAGAGAGAGAGAGAGAGAGAGAGAGAACTCAGAATAACAGCTGAATGAGCCACTCTTTGAGAGTGCAGTAGTAGGTTAGCTCAGCAGGTCTGTGTTGTCCAAACCCTGCACTTTCCAAAGAAAGGTCTGTTCTTTGACAGCCTTCCAGGGGATAACCTCTAAACCCTTGGAATATCCTGCCTGATCATAACGTGTTTGTTTACCTGGAGCTTTGAGTCATGCTAGACAGTTAATGCTGATGATTTATAGTGGGGGCTTTGGGCCACCTGTATCAGTCTTGACCTCTGGAGGGGCTGGTGACTAATTTCGGTCATGCAGACAGTCGGCCATGCCTACATGCTCCCAAAACCACACTGGATGTCAGGCTTGGGGGAGCTCCCTGGGCAGCAATGTTCTGTGCAGGTTTCCTCACATCACTGCTGGGAGAATTAAACATCATTTGGTTCCATTTCCCAGCTGCTGAAAAACTGTAATGTTGGGAAGAAATTAATAATTCAGCTTAAATCCAAAGGAAGAATGTTGATTGTGTAGATTTTGTAGAATTTTTTTTAAAATGTTGAGGGAAGAAGGGAAGACCAACTATGTAGAAAAGGGAGCCTTTATTATGAACACACAACTCTTTAAAACAAGTGAAGTAATACCCATGTAGAATAAAAGCAAAGAAAAAAGAAACAATTCAGATAATCATCACATAAGAACACTTATATGTTTTATTTTATCTTATTTTATTTATTTTATTTTATTTTGAGACAGAGTCTCCTTGTGTCACCCAGGCTGGAGGGCCATGGTGCGATCTTGGCTCACTGCAACCTCCGCCTCCTGGGTTCAAACGATTCTCGCGCCTCAGCCACCCAAGTATCTGGGATTACAGGCGTGGTGCCACCCAGTTTTTTTTGTAATTTTGGTAGAGACGGGGTTTCACCATGTTGGCCAGGGTGGTCTCGAACTCCTGGCCTCCAGTGATCTGCCCGTCTCAGCCTCCCAAGGTGCTGAGATTACAGGCATGAGCCACTGCACCCAGCCACTTACATGAAACATCTGACTGCATTGCTGAATTCAAAATATCTGAATATGTTATACAGAAAAATGTTTTGGAAATCTAATGAAAATTAATAACGAAATACAATGTTCTACTTACAGTCATTGTTGACTTATCTTAATAATTTGTTTGTTTTGTAATGTGACAAAATAGATCTATATTGTTCATCTTGTCAAAAATATTTATGTGCAGAACTGTATTTTAAAACAAGCAAGTACAAAAGGAAATAAATTAAAGTACACGAATATTTTATTACCTCTCAAAATAGCCTGACTTGAAAAGACCATCACTCCATGGCCAATGGATCTACTTGATCCTGAAATAACCGAGAGTGGGGTGTATCTGTTACTATCAGCAGGTCAACCTTACAGCAACAAGAAGAAAGGCCTTTGACAACCTGATGGTCACTCCTGGGATTTCTATGGCTAACTTAAGTGGCAAGAACTAGCAGGAAACTAGTTGACTTTTTTTGAAGAAAGAAATGACAAAAGTTTCTCAATCAGTACCTTTTAGTCATCATTTCTTGGAAACAACTATACATCATACAGTTGATGCCTTTAAAGACACGACTTTGGGTATGGGCTCAGTGGCTCATGCCTGTAATCCCAGCACTTTGGGAGGCTGAGGCAGGTGGATCACTTTGATGTCAGGACTTCGAGACCAGCCTGGCCAACATGACGAAACCCCGTCTCTACTAAAAATACAAAAATTAGCCGAGAATGGTGGCACGCACCTGTAATCCCAGCTCCTTGGGAGGCTGAGGTGGGAGAATCGCTTGAACCCGAGAGGTGGAGGTTGCAGTGAGCCAAGATCTTGCCACTGCACTCCAGCCTGGGCGACAGAGAGAGACTCCGTCTCCAAAACAAACAAACAAGCAAGCAAAAAACATAAAAGCACAATCCATTGATAAAAAGGGTGCAGCTGGACATGGTGGAAACACACAGGGCATGGGAGGGAGCCTGGGCTCCACCTGCAAGGCGAAGGCCATTCTAGCCAAAGGGGCAGGGGTGGCTGGAAGGAGCTCGGGGGCGAGGTCCTAGGCCCCGTCCACTTGGCTTCCATCCCGAGTCCTTGCATCCCTCCCCAGGAGGAGGCGCTGAAAACTTCTGGGGACAGAGGCCCCAAAGAACCACCACCCACCCCAGTCCACAGCAAATATGGGTGGTCCCTTACGGAAAGAGGGAAGGCGTGTCAGCAGGGGTCGTGGCCCCCAAGGTCCTTCACCCGCATGCGCATGCGCACTTAGCTGACCAATCAGAGAGGAGCGTGGATAGCCAGGGCAGCTGCTCTCGCGAGAACTGAGGACCCATTTTTCTAAGAGAGCGTCGTGGTGCCAGTGCCTGCAGGTTCTGTGAGGAAGCGGCATCAGGGGTCCCTCAGGTGAAGCGCTCGCGGTGGGGAGGCAGGAAGTCGAGCATGCGGCCCTCTCGCAACCAGGGTGTGAAGCGCAGGTGAAGCGCTCGCGGTAGGGAGGCAGGAAGTCGAGCATGCTGCCCTCTCGCAACCAGGGTGTGAAGCGCTGAGCGGCCGGCTGACCTGCACACGGGCAGCCCGAGACCCCTGGCCCCTTCTTGGCTTTGGAGTCCACCATGCACGTGCTAAGAGGCCCCAGGTTTTCAAAGCAGGAAATGGCCCTGGCATCGTTGCCTGGGGCCTGGGTCAGGGCGAGGCCCTGAGGGTGGGCTGGGATGGGCCAGGGCAGGGAGGGAGCTGGAGACACCTGAGTGATCCCCAGGGCCCAGGAGTGTCCCCGGGACTTGTGCATGTGTGCAGTGGGTAGGGGTGGGGCAGGGGAGGGGGGCTTGGGGGAATGGAGGGGGTGGAGAGGGGAGCAAGGGAGGGGTGGTGGCAGAGGGTGGAGGGTCGGGGAAGTGGCAGACAGGCAGGGGCCGGGTGTGGGGCCAGGGATGGGGGCAGGGGAGGGGAGGGGTGTGGGGTTCGTGGGGTGAGGGGATGGGGGAAGGGGAGGAGGAGGGGCGGAGTGTGTGGGGAGGCGACAAGCAGGGGTGTTGTGGGGGACAGTTCGAGTGGGTCCCTCCAGCCCGGCCGCCCGTCAGGACAGGACACTTGGGGTCACGAGGGGTCACCTGGGCATCCAGGCAGGCAAGTGGCAGTGCAGCCCCTGACATTCCCCCAGAGATGGCTGGGGAGGTCCTGTGACACCCGTGGTCCTCCGGGCCACGCAGGTCTCTGGGGCACACAGGGGCAGGGCTGAACTCTGTCCCAGGGACACCGCAAGGATCCTGCAGGGGCCATTCAGGTGTGCGAGGCAGCTGTGAGTTCTGCAGCCAGCCCCAGGGACGGGCTGGACGGGCCACGAAGGATAGGAGGGGACACTGGCATCTTCTCCGACCCCTCCTGCTCCCACAGGATACACGGGGTGGGCCAGCCCCACCCTTTCTTGAATCCGAGATCCCGTTGGCTCTCCTTTCACATATCCTGTTTCCTTAGCTTACTTAGTTTGACTTTGCACTCAACCAGGTTCAGGGATCGCCTCTAACTTCCCAGGACAGCCAACCATGGAGCCCGTGGGCAGGAAGCGCAGCAGGAAGGCTGCCAAAGCTCAGTTGGAAGCTCAAGTTACGGCCGCCCAGGGGGCCACGAAAGAAGGTGCACGCCCAAGGAGATGGTCTGTTTGCTCTCTGCGCGGGGGGCACATGGGCAGCCCGAGACCCCTGGCCCCTTTGTGGCTTTGGAGTCCACCATGCACGTGCTAAGAGGCCCCAGGTTTTCAAAGCAGGAAATGGCCCTGGCATCGTTGCCTGGGGCCTGGGTCAGGGCGAGGCCCTGAGGGTGGGCTGGGATGGGCCAGGGCAGGGAGGGAGCTGGAGACACCTGAGTGATCCCCAGGGCCCGGGATTGTCCCGGGGACTTGTGGATGTGTGCAGTGGGGAGGGGTGGGGCAGGGGAGGGGGGCTTGGGGGAATGGAGGTGGTGGAGAGGGGAGCAAGGGAGGGGTGGTGGCAGAGGGGGGAGGGTCGGGGGAGTGGCAGATAGGCAGGGGCCGGGTGTGGGGCCAGGGATGGGGGCAGGGGAGGGGAGGGGTGTGGGGTTCGTGGGGTGAGGGGATGGGGGAAGGGGAGGAGGAGGGGCGGAGTGTGTGGGGAGGCGACAAGCAGGGGTGTTGTGGGGGACAGTTCGAGTGGGTCCCTCCAGCCCGGCCGCCGGTCAGGACAGGACACCTGGGGTCACGAGGGGTCACCTGGGCATCCAGGCAGGCAAGTGGCAGTGCAGCCCCTGACATTCTCCCAGAGATGGCTGGGGAGGTCCTGTGGCACCCGTGGTCCTCCGGGCCACGCAGGTCTCTGGGGCACACAGGGGCAGGGCTGAGCTCTGTCCCAGGGACACCGCAAGGATCCTGCAGGGGCCATTCAGGTGTGCGAGGCAGCTGTGAGTTCTGCAGCCAGCCCCAGGGAGGGGCTGGACGGGCCAGGAAGGATAGGAGGGGACACTGGCATCTTCTCCATCCCCTCCTGCTCCCACAGGATACACGGGGTGGGCCAGCCCCACCCTTTCTTGAATCCGAGATCCCGTTGGCTCTCCTTTCACATATCCTGTTTCCTTAGCTTACTTAGTTTGACTTTGCACTCAACCAGGTTCAGGGATCGCCTCTAACTTCCCAGGACAGCCAACCATGGAGCCCGTGGGCAGGAAGCGCAGCAGGAAGGCTGCCAAAGCTCAGTTGGAAGCTCAAGTTAGGGCCGCCCCGGCGAAGAAGCACACAGGTAAACACAGCCCAAGGGGCCAGAAAAGAAGGTGCACGCCCAAGAGGACGGTCTGTCTGCTCTTTGCGCGGGAGGCACATGGGCAGCCCGAGACCCCTGGCCCCTTCGTGGCTTTGGAGTCCATTGTGCATGTGCCAAGAGGCCCCAGGTTTTCAAAGCAGGATCGAGGGCCTTAGGCTTCCCGTGGGAGGCTCCCCCTCATAGCAGGGTTACAGATGCTCGCAGAGCAGCTCTTCTCCATGGATGCGGTCCTGACATCCAAGGGGTCTGACTTGTGAGCGTTGTTTACTAGGACTTGAACCGGAAGGGCTTCCAAAAATGCCTCGGTAAAACGGTCCGGAGCCCAGTGATTCCATGCATAGCTCTGCTTTAAAGCTTTAATTGGTAGAGAGCCAAAAAAGTCCACAAATAATAAGTTTCTCTACAAAAGATGTCCACAACAGCGTCTTCCTCTAAAAATGGTTTGTCTTTTACATTTTAATGCAGGAAAGGATCCAGTCCGTGATGAATGTGAGGAAAGAAACCCTTTTACAGAAACAAGGGAGGAAGATGTAACTGATGAGCATGGGGAAAGAGAACCTTTTGCTGAAAAAGATGAACACACGGGGTAAAGTGTTTAAGTCACTTTTGCCTGTCGGATAGGGTCTTTTAGGAAAAGTCAGCTTTGGTTCATGTCATCACTATTCTATTCTATGCGGAACATTTCACATAAGACATATCTTCCCAACAAACATGGCATTTTGTGTAGCATTATGATAAAATTTTGATGTAACTTTTTTTACAGGATTCATACCATGAAGCTAGAACATATTGCAGGTATGTTTTAGGAGCTATTCGTAGTCTTTGAAAATTATTTTCAACCATACAACTGTTATAGTAGGTTATATGAATTAGTGGACGACGAGACTGTCTTAACATGCCTTCTTCTCATATATAGCATTTAACATATGTATTTAATGTAATGCGTTTAATAAATTTTCATACTTACCTTTTGGATTGTTGATGTGGAATGTGAGAATGCTTCTAACAATGGTGAAGTGAGAGGGATGGCTTTTCTTTCATACACATGGAAATTTAATTATTTGGGGGATATTAGAGGACACTGGAGGAGAAACAGCTCTATTGGTTCCTTTTAGTGTACACAGATTAAGTATATATATCAGGTTTTTTTATCTTTTATTTTAGGTTTGAGGGTACATGTGCAGGTTTGTTATATAGATAATTGCGTGTCACAGGGGTTTGGTATACAGATTATTTATCACCCAGGTTATAAGCATAGCACCTGATGGGTGGTTTTCATCCTCACCCTCCTCCTACCCTCCAACCTCAAGTAGGCCCAGGTGTCTTTTGTTCCCCTCTTCCTGTCCGTATGTACTCAAGAGTTTTTAATATGAGTTTTTATGTTCCTAATTTAGCTATTCTATTGTCACAGCTTTCTGATTTTGTTTTCTTTAAAGTACAAGAGAAAATTGAATTATCTAAAATGATGATATTCTATTATTATTCCAGTAATAAACTGTGTACTAGAAAAGGAAAGACAAGTTTTCTACCCAGTGAGAAACATGTAATTGGATCCAAAAACTCATAAATTTTGTATTGCCATGTGAACTGTTAGTTGCACTGACTGTTATAGGACCATATTTTCAAAAAAAAATTGAGAAAATTTCTGTAGAGACGGCGGAGACAATACTCTTATTTTTAAAACGCTCAATTCAGTTTTCAGCTCTTCTCTAGCGATAATTCATACAAGCAGTATATTTGGAAAGCTTTGCTCTGCTTGGTGAGTAAGTGCTGGTTTTGTGAGCTACCTAACTGAGCATTATAGATGGAGAATGTAAAAAATATTTGTATTATGGTGCAGATCTTTTATGATTGCTGAAAACTATTTTTAGCAATTGATGGTAGATCTCTGATGTGAAACCATGTTTAGGAAAGCATTCCTTGCAGTAGGACAGTTTTCTGAAACACAGCACTGTGGATAAAAATGTCATATAAAAAGCTCCAAGAAAATATTTCAAAAGTGTTTTTGAATGTATTTCTTTACTTAAGCCTAAATTTTTATACCCATGGACGATGCTTCTTTTATTAAAATACAGTTAATAGCATCAATCACCAGATTGCTTAAAAAATGCTCTTCTTATTGTGTACTAAGTTATTTCTACCCTTTTGATGGTCTTATTAAATAAGATACTTTTCTGTATGTTTTACATAATGAATTGTGACAGTATTTCATGGAAACATGTCCTTTGAATTACAGGACATTTTATAAATGTAGAAATTAGAGTCTGTGTTTGTAACGCTTTCTGCACATTTAAAAAATCGAAAATTACTTGCTTTTTTTCATCATCCATAAATTAAGTGATTTGCAGTTATACCAATTGGAATTAGAGTACTAATATTAATACGTAAAAGGTTTTACAGAAAACAAGTGAGTAAATCTTGCTTTTTGAAATGATCTTTGTATTTTACAATGTAAATGTCCTTCCGATATTGCTGAACCATCATATCTCACGTTGATTTCAATATATGCGAAGAAACCACTTTTCAACATTAACTTTTAATGCATTTTCATTTACTATCTAGCTGACATTAAAAAGGGCCTTGCTGCAAAAAGAGAAATGATAAAAATAGATAAAGCAGCTTACAGGAAAACCAAGAACACAATTGAACGTGCTTTGAAAAAAAAACAACTAAAAAGGTATGATTGTTGGCTTTTTTGCATAATGATATTTATATCATTTCTTTGTATTTGTTGGTGCAAATAATTTCAAAAACTGTCCTGTACATATTGGCGTCTCTAGGGAGCAACATATTTTACTTGATTGTTCCCTAAGCAGGTAAGTTTCTTTTGTTTTATAACCTCAGTTTAACAGAATTGAGGCATATTATCTAGAAAGCCAATGAAGATGACCTCTTTTTGCCTTCCAGATAAAAATAGTCTTCCTGTAAAATTAATTTTTATCCATTTCTAGAAATATGGCAGCTGCATATAAGATAAATGTCTTCAACGTTTAGTCTGTAGATCCTTAACAATATTAAGTTATGTGGAAAGGGACAACCTTATGTTGTAAATATGTTATCTATTTTAGTTAAATTGTTTTCACTATTCCTTTTAGAAAATCATTGTTGTGCCAAAGTGGAGAAAGAGTTAAGTGAAGTATTTCTTTTGGGAAATCTTACAGGATGAATGGCTATGATATTCTTGAACCTACTTATGAGAACCCATATGTTATTTAGTTTGAGGAAATGAAAAGTAAACTGCTGTTAGAGAAAATTATTGTTTCTGGGAAATTTATAGTGCAGTAAACTCTCCTTTGTTTTCAGCACATAAAGAATGTAAGATAGCTGCTCTAGTAGTCAGTTAGGAAGGGATCCTTTCAGAATGACAGTAACTCATTTCACCTTTTCCCAAAAAGAAGATTTCAGCTGCTATTACTCCCTTGCTACTTTATAGTATAAATTATGTGAAGTCAGTTTTGGTTTGAATAGGATTAATTTTTCATCTCTCTATGACATATGACCGTATTACTTATTATGTGTTACAGGCAGAAACGTGATTATAGACATACTCGGAAGTTGCTGAATGTCCTTAAAGAATACATCGCAGAGAAGCAGAAAGATGATGAAGCAGAAGAAGCAGAAGCCGCAGCAGCAGCAGCAGAAGCCGCAGCAGCAGCAGAAGCCGCAGCAGCAGCAGCAGAAGTAATAGTAGTAGAAGACGAAGAGGAGGAAGAGAAGGAGGAGGAGGAGGAGAAAGAAGAGGAGGAAGAAGAAGGAGAAGAAGAAGGAGGAGGAGAAGAAGGAGAAGAAGGAGGAGGAGGAGGAGAAGGAGAAGAAACAGAAGAAGAGGAAGAGGAAGAAGAAGAAGAGGAAGAGGAAGAACAAATTGTTGGTATCAGGCTTAGCTTTATGATTAACCTATTGTATCAATGTCTCAGGTAGTAATAGTTCATGCAGAAATCCAGCAAAGAAGGAAGAGAGCATGAGCCCAGAGAGGGGGGCCCATAAGTGGACTCATGTACTAGGGGAATATAATTGCCACGCAGCATTAGGGGTCCAACTGAGGTCAGCATCATAGCGATAAAGAAGTTAAAGTGAGCCCGGTTGGCATATTTGTGCAAAAGCAGCTGTAGGGTTGGAATTTCCTGGGTTGGGGTGTAGCTGCGCACGTTGATAGAAGGAGAGTTGGGCAGGGCATAGATGCAGGGATGGGGATATGATGACTGGCTGTGGAATTTCAGCTGGGACTGAGTTACCTGAGCACATGGGGGTGGGCAATGGGCAGTGAAAAGTGTTCCATTCAGTGGGTGTCGGGTCTCAACAGACTCCTGAGCTGTAGTACTGAAGTGAGTGACCTACAGTGGCAGGAAGGTAGTGGCTGTATGTTGGGAAGATGGAGAAACAGCTGAGTGCAGTGGTCAAGGGCTGGGACACTGCAGCCCCACTGCTTGTAATTCAACTCCAGCTTGACGATTGCTAGCTCGGGAACCATGGGCAAATTATTTATCTCTGTGCCGAAATTTCCTTATCTGCAAAAGGAGACACGGTAAGAGAACTTATGTCAGAGTTATTTGGAGGATTGAAAGGTTCCTGTGTAATGGGTTTATTTAAATTTTTCAGGATGTGATCTGACCCATGATTGCTCTTTATCATTGCTATTATTAATATTATGTAGATGTTGCAGTCATTGGGAATGATAAAATCTAGGGGATGACTGTATAAGTGAGTGCCACGTAGAGGAGAGGAGAACACTGTTGTTGGAGATTAGGTCAAGGTGCAGAAAGGCAATCATTATTGGAAGGTTCATCCGTGTGCATACTGAAATGACCAAGATTTATTACCTGTTTAAAATCTTAGTAAGAAAGAATGTTTCTTAGTTAATTTCTGTATATATCTTACCCATCTGTGGTCAACAAATTATAGGAAGGGTCGTCAAATACTCTACATTCAAAATCAAGAATTAAGACATATGTGTTGATTATGTATGTAGAAGAAAGAAAATTCCTTAATCACTGATGAAAAAGGTTATTATATCATTTTAGCATATGGGTGGTGAACACAGTTGTTTAAAATTGGTCATAAACATTGTTTAAAAGAAAGTGTTAAGAAGTATAGATTTAAAGAGTATTCCTATAAAGCTAATGCAGAATTATGTTTTGTAAGTATTAAAAATTACCCAATTTTCATCACTATTTTTTTGTGCTTCTAGAAAGCATTTCAAGAAAAACAGAAGAGGTGGCAACAACCTACAGGTGTTAGGAGCTGGAGGCTGAGAGAGATGAAGCCGCTACTTGAGCAATTACTAAAGGTCTGTTCTATTTGGTAACATAATACATTATAAAATACAACACGTGCATAACAGAAGAAAGTCTGTTTGTTTCCGAATGTATGGAAAGACATTTTGGTTATGCATTTTAAATTACTTACCATTTTCACTTTGAATGTATTGTTCCAAATTTAACATAACTGGTAAATGTATTTTTAGGATTCGTGAATAGTTTTGTGGGAGTTATTTAGAACAGGAAAAGGTAAATTGGAAATTTTACCTGGAAATATACATCTTGTGTATATTGTTAACGCATTGACACATTTATGCCGGAGGCTGCACATTTTTTGTGTGTGAAGAAACAGACCTTGGCTATGTTCTTGAGCGGTAGGAGATACATGATTCCCACAAGCTTAGCGTTCCAATAATGGAACACTAGGCATAAATGGGTTTTAATGAAGATTTTATTTTCAGTTTTCAGGACATCAATGACACATCTATGGTGGAAGGCAGGAAGACCATAAATCCTTTCTGGATGTCTTTTTTACTTGTGTTGTTTCAAGAGTTTTAGTTAAATAGGAAGTAGGCAAGTGTAACTACTGAGTGTCTCTTTTATTTCCTGCTGTAATACAGGAGTGTTTTATGGCATATTCACTTTCAAAATTATCAGCGACTAGTAATGGTTTTACATGACAATTTGTAGTCATAAGAGATGGTTCAGATGTATAACAGAATGGGAAAGCCAGCAAATTATTAACACGTTGTGAATTGTGAATTATCTGCTGTCGTATAGCACATTAGCAAATTGTCATCAATGACCTCTTCTTCATGTAGATGTACATTATTTAGGTAACAATGGAATTCCCTTCTGGGAGGTAAGGTATTCTTTTTAATAACCTTGTGAAAAGACATGTTCATATGTCACTCCTCTACACTAACTGAGATGTGTTAAATAAACTGAGAAAAGAGTTTGAAAATAAAATTTTCAAGCAACTTGAGAATGATCTATACACAAAACAGTTATTTAAATAGAAGTCACAAGTAGAGAAAATGTTGCTATAATGTTCACCAGAAACCATTTATTAATTGGTATGAACATGAGACTAGAAGTTTTCCTGTCAATGTTAATGCTACATGTTACCACTTAGGGTAGGAACTTTGCTATCATCTTGGACTCTTCTAAGTCCCTTATCCTTCCCATGCAGTTATCATGAGGCAAGTTTTACCTCTGTAATGGCCCTTAAATTTCTTTTTTTAAAATTCCCACCGCAGCTGCCCTAGTTCAAGACCTCATTCTTCCTTGCTTGTACTATTAAACTCTTTTCTGAGTTCTCTCTTCTCTTCTGAGCCATCCTTCATTGATCGGCAATATTATCTTCCTAAAACCCTCCCCTTCCTAAAATGCTTCCTAGCCCTTCCCTCTTCCCAGCCTGTCAGTGATGCCCCGTCTCAGTTCTTAGATATTCAGAGACTCTCCCCTTTACATGACCCCCTCTTAGGCTTGCCGCCCTCTGTCTTTGCTCCTGCCTATCCAGGTTGACAGCTTTCCCTGAAGGAATTCACTGTTACTCTTATGCTTTTCTCATGCTCTTCCCTCACAATGCTTTAAAAAAATTTTTTTTTGACTAAGACCAATTTAAACCTTTTGCCAACTAAGTCAACATACGTCTCCATTTTTGGCTACATGTCTGAGTGAGTTGCCCTTCCATAGCAGTTATACAATTTTTGTATTAATTTTTTTTATTTGTGCATTTGCTCATGTCACAGGATTATGGAAGAGATTGTGCTTACATTTTTTACATCTTCCTTAGCATTAACATACACCATTTTCAGGAGTAGGAACTGTTGAACTATTTGTTGAGGGAATAGTATATATTTCAAACATAGTTACATTTTTCTCTAACTTGATGAGGTCATATCACCAACCATTTTATCCCTTCAATGGAAACCACTTTCCGTAGACTATTGCTGATAATACATGGGTCACTACCTGCTGAAAAAATATATTTCATGGTAAGCCTGCCTGACTTTTTCTGTCTTTGCTCCATCTTGACCTTAAGATGCTCATCAACCCATTTTATTCAAGCAAAGTACATGACAATTGGACCTGCTAAAATAATATTTCACTGAAATCTGGCATTAAAAAATTTAAGTGGGTATTTGGAGCTCCATGTATTGGTTACAGTTTTTTTCAAATTGAAATAAATAACCAGCATCCTTTGAATATTAAAAGCTGTTTCCTTTTGACATCTGATTAACCCTGTTTAAAACGTGAGATGTAAAGTGGTGGTTTGTCAGTGAACTAGACTTTTTCTTTTAGGCTGCCAAGGACACTAAAGACAATTATTGCATCATTTCTTCCAGTGAAGAAAGTGAACTTGATAACTAGCCGTGTTTTTAAAAAGAATCGTGTCAGAACTGTAAGTAGTGCATATTTAAGTTTAAAAACTCAGGATTGATGTAAGCACTGGAATATTTTATTTGCAGAAATGTGTATCACAGTTACTTAAATTTTTTTTTGAAACAGCTTTTGGAAGAGTTGGCACTTCATTGTCTCTTCAACCTCTGTTATTCTGATGACTGAAGAAAGAACTTGAACCTATGTTATATGATACGAGCACAACTTGAGCTACAGTAAACTACATGACAGTGTTTTGATAATTGTTGTATAAATCGGTATAGCTCCTCTGTCACTTGTCTGTTAAATGCCAGACCTCGTTTCTATGATCTGTTGAATGAATCCTAGACACTTCTGTGAGAAGGCAGGGATTGCACAGTTATGTACATGGTCAATTAAATTTTAACATTAAAGATAATTTAGATTTCAGTTCACCTCTGTGGATCTGTATCAGTTTCAAAAACGTAGAAAGCACGGGCATAGAAAAGTACATTTTTCTCTAATAAAAGAAGACACCAAGCCTGCCCGGTGCGGTGGCTCATGCCTGTAATTCCAGCACTTTGGGAGGCCGAGGCGGGTGGATCACTTGAGGTCAGGAGTTTGAGACCAGCCTGGCCAACATGGTGAAACCCCATCTTTACTAAAAATACAAAAATTAGCCAGGCATGGTGGCACGCACCTGTAGTCCCAGCTACTCAGGGGGCTGAGGCAGGAGAATCACTTGAACCCGGGAGTCGGAGGTTGCAGTGAGCCAAGATTGTGCCACTGCACTCCAGCCTGGGCGACAAGAGCAAGACTCTGTCTCAGAAAACAAGAAGACAATGACAAAAGCTATCCTATCTATGCATTCTTTTGTATTTACTCATTAGGATAAAGAGGCAATTCCAATGAAAGTAGGACTTCAAAAAATAGATATACTCTATGGCCATATCAAAATTATTAAAAATACCTTAACATCTGTGTTCTTGAAAAAATTAAACTACTATAAATAATTAAGGCAACTGAGCAAGATACATTAATATCAGTGCTGAGCCACTGGTTTGTGGGTATGTCATTTCCACAGACATCAAAATGACATTTAGTTTGTTTTGGTCCATCATTCAATGATACCTCCCCTTAGCATTGATTGAAAATATTTTGTTAACATTTATGTATGCTTACAATTATTTCACATCTGTGGCAAGTTAAATTATGTAGAGTGCTTTGTTTTTCCAGTTTAATATTCACGGATTATGTGGAAGTTTAAGTATACCTGCATCTAAAAACTTGAATGATGAATTCACCTACCTTTCCTTTTTTTAATGTTAATGTTTTCACATGTAACAACATATAACAACATGTAACAACATGTTTAAAAATATATTTTTGCATGTAAAAACATGTTAAAAAGATGTACACGTTTTTACATGTAAAAGGAATTTTACATGTAACAGCATGTAAAAAAATGTTCATTTGGAAACTATTTAGTAAATATGAAATTCAGAATATATTTGGAGTAAGTCAGTTAAATGTATTCTTTTGCTGAGTTTCTGAAATTCCATTCATGAATTGTTCAAAACATAATACTCCCATTGGAGGGAGAGGAGCGACTTCCTCTCATTTTTCCTTGTGCTTTTTATTTTAATTGGCCCCTATATACCACTCTTATTTTTTCTAGGTTTTCCAAGTTTAAGAAAAAAAGCAAGTTCATTCAGATAGTGTTTTTCTGCCTATAATCACTTATACAGGAATAAGTGAGTCCCTGTGGGGAGCATTTCATTCCTAAAGTTTGCATTTTCTTAAAGGATTTTCCTTTTACCCAAAGCGTGTGTTGGTACTAATAAGTACTCCTAAGTACTACTTCAAGTTTCTAAGAAGATCCTTTTTTGAGATCTCTTTCAGTAGTTACAGAGGCAAAAGAAGCACTGCGGAGGTCCATGTGCAAGTTCTGTTGTACATACTGGGCTACCTGACTATTTCTTCTATAGTGGAAGGATGAGAAAGAGGCCAAAATGTACTTAGTGGTGGAACAATTGATATTTATGTCACCCCTTACTATAAAGTGAGCAACTGTGTACTTGAAGTCACATTTTTTTTTTTTCTTTAGAGATATTGTCTCGCTCTGGCCCAGCCAGAGTGCAGTGGTGTGATCATTGCTCACCGCAATCTTGACCTTTTGGGCTCGAGCGATCCTCCCACCTCAGCCTTCAGAGTGTCTGATAACACAGGTGTGCACACCATGCCCAGCTAAAATATATATTCTTTTTAGAAATGAAGTCTCCCTGTGTTGCCCAGGCCGATCTCAAATTCCTGGCTTCAAGTGATACTTCCACCTCAGCCTCCCAAATTGTTGGGATTACAGGCATGAGCCACTGAGCCTGGCTGCATTATCTCACTTCTATATGGAATCTAGAACAGTTGAACTCACAGAAACAGAGAATAGAATGATGGTTACCAGGAGCTGGGGGAGGTGGAAGGCTGGGAAGATGTTGGCCAAAGCGTACAAATTTCAGTTAGACAGGAGAAGTTCAAGAGCTCTATTGTAAAACATGGTGACAACAGATAATGATAGTATTATATTTTTAAGGATTGCTAAGAGGGTAGATTTTAAGAGTTCTCACCACAAAGAAAATTATACTTAGATGAAGTAATGCAAATTTCAACTAGCTCGGTGTAGCTATTTCACGATGTACACATATTTCAAAGCAACCTGGTGTAGACAGTATATACCATTTAAGTTCGTCAATTAAAATAAGTTAGTGAAATTTTTGGAATTAAAAATAAAAACATACACTTATTGCCCTGCAGTTCTATAGTTTCAGTGTAAAGTCTAGAATGAGTGTCTTTGTGTTAAAAATCAAGATGGCAGTGGGGCAGTGTCCCTTCTGGGGGTTGTAGGGGAGGAGCTGTTTTCTTGTGTTTTTCAGACTCTGAAAGCTCCCACCATTCCTTGTCTCATGGCCTCTTTCTCCATCTTAAAAGCCAGCATTTTTGGGGTCGGATCCTTCTCATGTGGCTGTCTTTCTGGTTCCTTTCTCCTGCCTCTTTTACACTTAGAAAGACCCTTGGGATTCCACTGGACTCCCCCAGAGTTAACCCAAGATAATATCCATGTTTCAGGTCAGCTGATTGGTACCTGTCATTAGCACCTTCCAACTCATTTCCTCCCTTGCCTTGTCGTCTCACATGTTCACAGGTTCCAGGGATGAGTTCCTGGACATCTTTGGAGGGTACTTATTTTGCCTACCAAATACACCCTTTCTTTAAATGCACCTCATCTTAAAAATGGCATTGTTTTAGGTGGGCACAGTAGCTCATGCCTGTAATCCCAGCGCTTTGGGAGGCAGGGATGGGAGAATCACTTGAGGCCAGGAGTTTGAGACCACCCTGGCCAGCATAGCAAGATCTCATCTCTACAAAATAATTTTTTAAATGGCACCATTATAAAGAGGGAGGTAGGGTGGATTCCATCCTCTTCTCAGCCCTTGTCCAAAGGTATTGACTTGCATAAACTGAGAAGGCACAGTGACAATAAAAAGCTCATCCTTGCTACCCCCAAGGAGAAACACTGGCTCCCATAAGCAAGTGCCATGAGTGTAAGTCTTTGTGTATGTGTCCGTGTGCTGGGGAAGGGGTTCATTGAGTTAATGGAGGCTTTGAGGTCTGTACTGTCTTCCACCTGGCTGCAAATTGTATGCGATGGCTCAAGGGATCCTCTCACTTCAGGCCTCCCGAGTACCTGGGAATACAGGCGTGTGCCACCATGCTGGCTAATTTTTTTGTGTGTGTTTTGTAGAGACGTGGTCTCAGTGTGTTGCCCAGGCTGGTCTTGAGCTCCTAGCCTCAAGTGATCCTCCTGCCTCAGCCTCCCAAAGTGCTGGGATTGCAGGCATGAGCCACTGTATCCAGCTGACCTATACACTTTGTATTTTATTTTATTTTATTTTATTTTATTTTATTTTATTTTATTTTATTTTATTTTATTTATTTTATTTTATTTTATTTATTTTATTTTATTTTATTTTATTTATTTTATTTTATTTTATTTTGAGACAGGGTCTTGCTCTATCATCCAGGCTGGAGGGCAGTGGTGTAATCATAGATCACTGCAACCTCTGTCTCCTGGCCTCAAGTCATCCTCCCATCTCAGACTCCCAAGGAGCTAGGACCACAGGCACGCATCACCATGCCCAGGTAATTTTTGTATTTTTAGTAGAGAAGCGGTTTTGCCATGTTGAAATAGACTCTCTTTATATAAAACATATGACTCTCTATTCTTGAGTACAGATTAAAAACATCAGTTTTTATTATGTGAATTTGTAGGAGTTTTATGTGTAAATAGAAAAGAAGATGCTTACGATAAAATTAATTTATTGTATTTAAAATGAAAATTATCACATAATTAATATATTAATATATTTGCTTAACAAAATGTTAATATTCTCTTTAAATATCATTACTAACACATAATCCACAAAATCCTGCCTTGGATGTTACTACATAGTTTAGAAGTTTTATTGCATGTCATAATGTTCGTAGTTCCGTAAGTGAATTTTAACATCTCTAAGCACAGGAGAAGATCATATGCATCATTGCCCTTACCTTACACCTAATAAATAGTTGATCATTTCAGAAATCAGGCATTTGAAGCTGTGTGAACATGAGCCATTCATCATTACAGATGGTCCTGATCACATAGATACATGATATCCAGCAATTGCAACTTACAAAGTGTTATCAGTCCAAGATCTGATTGGTTCTGTAAACATAGATGACTCATTTTCCAGTATTTTCAAGTTGCAGCCCGATGTTTTCATACATGTCATTTCATACCTGTCATTTCTGATTTGCCATTAAGCATGATCTGGTAAATTGTTTCTCTCGACTGCTCATGCAGTGTTTGGAACTGGTGCCATAGTAGATTTATCTTCTTCCCTTCAGTATAGACAGATACATGTGCTTATTTCTAAACCTCATCAGCTACCACTAAGGACCAGGAAGCAAAATCTAAATGAGTGACAGCAGTTTCAAGTTATTCTTTGATTCGCTTTTGGAGTGAGTTTGATGCAATCTCCTCGCCTTTTTTAGCCAGGGCCATTTGGTCAAGTTATCTGTCCTCAACCATTCCCCTTTGGGCTGTAATACTGTTTTGGCAAACACAGAAACACTAATGTAGATAGCTCGCACTTACAGTTTCCAGAATTTTTTTTCATACAAAGAAGTTTTAAAATGTACAAATCTCTTTTTTCCTAAATTCACAAACAAGGTTGAATAATATACCACATATACATTTTAATACATATTTAAATATTTGCATATGAATATATGCAATATATAATTAATGTAAACCATTTTATATTTCCTTGCATTTCTTAGAATCAAAGCCAAATCAAAACATTTTAAGTACAATGATATAATTTACTGATAAAATTATTTCCCACTCTTCTATAAATTTACAGAGCCTGGGATTTTTGTCAGATAAGCTTTGGATACCTTAAAGAACTAGCATAGTCCTTTTTTAAAATATATTTTTTAAATTTAGCTATTATTCTTAGTAGAGACAGAGCCTAGGCTGGTTTCCAACTCCTGGCTCAAGTGATTCTCCCACCTCGGCCTCCCAAAGTGCTACGATTACAAGCAATGAGCCACTGTGCCTGGCCTAGCATAGTCCTTTACTAAAAGGAAAAAAAAAAAAAGCCACCATAAATATTTGCTGAGATATTGAGTGAATGGATGGATTAAAAAATGAATTAACCAATGAAGCAGTGTCTGAATTTAGGAGAAATTCTCTTTTTTTTTTTAGGAAAATTAGTTTAAAATGTACTAAACAGCTCCATGCAACTTCTCCAGAATGATGGGCATTCCCCTATGGACATATATGAAAAATGTATATATTTATAGCATATATACAGCTTCCTTGATTAGTGTATTCACTTTATGTTGTACTTTTTTTTCAACAAATGACTATAAAAGCCTGGTTATAATACAATTTCTATAGGCACTAAAACAAACAAATAGCCCCATCCCTATCTGTGTTCAGAATTTGAAAGTTGTTATTTTTGGGTCATTTTAAACCATGTTTGTGTCTCTTTTACTGAATTTGACTTCGTAATGCTTTTTTATTTTTTTAAATTTCTTTTTATTTATTTTAATTTTATTTCCATGGGTTATTGAGGAGCAGGTGGTGTTTGGTCACATGAGTAAGTTCTTTAGTGGTGATTTGTGAGATTCTGGTGCACCCATCACCTGAGCAGTATACACTGAACCAATTTGCAGTCTTTTATCCCTCACCCCCTTCTCACCCTTCCCCCCTGAGTCCCCAAAGTCCATTGCATCATTCTTATGCCTTTGCATCCTCATAGCTTAGCTCCCACTTAGGAGTGAGAACATAACGATATTTGGTTTTCAATTCCTGAGTTACTTCACTTAGAATAATAGTCTCCAGTCTCATCCAGGTCACTAGGAATGCCATTAATTCATTCCTTTTTATGACTGCATAGTTTTTTTATCATATATATATAAGAAACTGATATATATATAAGAAACATATATAAAAGAAACATATATATAAGAAACATATATATATATGTATATCAGTTTATCCACTCGTTGATTGATGGGCATTTGGGTTGGTTCCCTGTTTTTGCAATTGCGAATTGTGTTGCTGCAAACATGCTTGTGCAAGTATCTTTTTCGTATAATGACTTCTTTTCCTTTCTTTTCCTCTGGGTAGATACCCAGTAGTGGGATTGCTGGATCAAATGGTAGTTCTGACATTCTCCCGCCGCCCGCGCACCTCTCCACCCCGCAGTCCCCGCTCTGCGGCTCACCCTCTGCTGCGCTAGGCTCCCGCGGGTGCTCGGCCCGGCGCCCCTCCGCCTCCTCCCTGCCGACCCTAGTCCTAGTCCTCCTGCTGCCCCTGGAGCTGAGCCTGGCAAACGCCCTTGCACCTGGGACCCCTGCTCAGAATCTACCCGAGAATCACATCGACCTCCCAGGCCCAGCGCTGTGGTCGCCTCAGGCCAGCCACCACCGCCAGCGGGGCCCGGGCAAGAAGGAGTGGGGCTCAGGCCTGCCCAGGGAGGCCCAGGATAGGGCTGTGCTCACCGCCACCAGGCAGGCTTACAGGCTGCCAGGGCCTGAGGGGCCGCTGCCTGAGCAGAGTCCTGCAGGCCTGCTGCGGGTCAAGGACCTGCTCCTGGGGCTCGAGTTTCCCTACCCCAAGAAGGAGAATCGGTGTCCAGGGTGGTAGAGAGCCAGGAAACGCAGCAGGGAGTACAAGAGACGCAGGGACAGGCTGAGGCTGCACCGAGGCCGAGCCTTGGTCGGAGGTCCCAGCTCCCTGATGAAGGCGGAGCTCTCCGAAGCCAAGGCGCTGGATGCGACCATGGAGGATTCTTCCGCCAGTCTGGCCCCCACCATGCTCTTCCTCACCACCTTTGAGGCAGCACCTGCCACAGAAGAGTCCCTGATCCTGCTCATCGCCCCCCTGCGGCCCCAGGCACAGCGCAGGCCTGACGGGGAGGTGATACCCACACTGGACGTGGCCTTGTTCGACTGGACCGATTATGAAGACTTAAAACCTGATGGCGGGCCCTCTGCAAAGAAGAAAGAAAAACCAGGGTAAACTCTCCAGTGACAGTAACGAAACATCATCAGCAGAAGGGGAACCGTGCGACCATCACCAAGACTTCCTGGAGGGTTGCGCTGCTATGCCAAATTCCACCAGAACCTCACGTCACACAGAGGAAGGGGCGCTGCCTGGAGCCCGAGACGGCCAAAGGCGACCAGGGATCCTTCATCAACGTCTAGCCGCTCCGCGGGACTGCGGATGAGCCCGGGAGGTTTGCACAAGATTTGTTTATAACTAGCAGTGGGAGATCAAGTGAGGGACCAGATGGCCGAGGCTGCAGGCTCAGGCCCAGGACTCTCGACCCCGGAAGGGGTGCTGCTAAGTAAGCGAGCTGGGTGGGTACCCAGGTGCTGGCCGGGTACCCAGGTGCTGGCCGGCAGCACCGGCGCACTCTCAGTCCGGACCCACACAGCCTGGTGTCGCGCTCTCCGCGATGGCAATACCGAGATTGCCCTCTACTGTCCGACTGCAGCACTACAACAGCTTCAAGTTCAAAACCAAGAGGCCATTTTGAGAGTGGAAAAGAAATTTAAACTTCCCGAAAGAAGGTCCACGGGCTGGAGATAAATATGGAACACCTCCTATGGACCAGGCACTATGCTCAGCGCTGGACTACCTTACCTCATTGAATTATCACAACGACCTTTTCAAGTAGGCATTATCACCACGCGACAGATAAGGACCCTAAGGCACACTGGAGTGATTTGGCTTGCCCAGAATCCCAGGTCAATGTTCTTCAAACCTTAACATGCTAAGAATCGCCTGGCGGTCTAGTTGAAAATGCACATCTGACTCAGTGGGCTCTGCTCTAACAAACTCCCAGGGCATGCGATGCTGCTGGCCCAGGGACCCCACTGAGAGGTCCGGGAAAGTACATGGCAGAGCAAGGACCCGAACCTGGGCCAAGGCTGTCCAGCCCCAAGATCCACGTTCCTGCCTCTCCACGACCAAAAATTTCTTCTAGATTCTCCAAGGCTTTTGGCAAGAGAGGCTTGCACCCTGGCATTCCCTTTCTCTGTGGCTGGAATAACTTCACTGTTCTCTGCCTTCCCTGGACAACGGCGTATCATGTTTAAAAACAAAACAAAATGCAAAAGTAACCAAAAAAAAATGCTAGTTCTACTTTTAGTTCTTCAAGGAATCTCCACACTGTAATGCTTTTTTAAAATATGTGCTTTTTCGCTGAGCCCGAGTTAAGCCATCATATCCCCTGTGACCTGCAGGTACACATCCAGATGGCCGGTTCCTGCCTTAACTGATGACATTCCACCACAAAAGAAGTGAAAATGGCCTGTTCCTGCCTTAACTGATGACATTACTTTATGAAATTCCTTCTCCTGGCTCATCCTGGCTCAAAAGCTCCCCCACTGAGCACCTTGTGACCTCCGCCCCTGCCTGCCAGATAACAACCCCCTTTGACTGTAATTTTCCTTTACCTACCCAAATCCTATAAAACGGCCCCACCCCTATCTCCCTTCACTGACTGTCTTTTCGGACTCAGCCCGCCTGCACCCAGGTGAAATAAACAGCCTTGTTGCTCACAAAAAATAAATAAATAAATAAATAAATAAATAAATAAATAAATAAATAAAAATATGTGCTTTCTATTTCTTGCTTGTATTTTTTTGTATTTTGAAATTGATTTAGGAAGTATATATAATCCATAGAGACCTCAGCCCATTTTTAAAGATTCATGTTACAAACACTCCAATAGCTTCCTGTGGGTTTGGCATGGTAGGAAGTACAGGTGAAAGAAGACAAATAAGACAGAACTGGTATTCAGGAGCTTGAGAAAATGAAGAACCCTGGCAATCATAATGCAGTGTGAGAAGTGTTATGAGACATGCATTTGCGGGACCCCTAGGGGCACGTGTCTGTCTCCTAGTGCAGCCCAGGAGGTATTGTCATGGAAGACATCCCTCTTAAATCATCTCCCAGAGGGTGGCATCTGATGAGGTAGGACGCAAATGCACTGGGTTATTAAAGTATTGCAAATAACTCCTGCACACTTCTGGTACAAGTACAAATTGGTACAATCCCCGAGGAGAAATATTTGGTAATATCCACCAGTAATAAAATGTATTAATGATCAGATATGGGACCCAGCTCTCCCAGCTGTTCCATTTTTGAGAATGTTTCCTGCAGAGACACTTGCCCATGGATGACGTGGCGGATGCACAGTTTTGTTCACGGCAGCCCTAGCCTTCGCACAGAGTTACAAACACCCTAGATGTTCCTCAGGAGAGGAAGGATTCAATAAAACACTGTGTGTCCAAATGGTGGGAATGCCACTACAATCAAATGATAAGGAAGGCTTTCTGAGATATGATGTTAGGTGAAAAAAGTGGGTTGTAAATGGATGTGTATGATATACTATATATTATGTGAACAAGGGAAAATACATATATGCCTTTACTTGTTTCTTATAAATGTATAAAGTCATCTCAACGTGTATGTAAGAAGCTGACAAAAATATTTGTCTCAGTGTGTGGTGTTGTTATATGGGACTAGATACAGGACTCGTTGGGGTGAAGGATGAGAGGGAGATAATGGTCCAAGAAACAGCTACAGGCCTTCTCCAAGCTTCCGCAGTCATCAACTCATGGCCAATTCCATTTCATCCCAACTCCTAGACATTTCTGCCTGCCCCAGAGTAGAATATCTTGTATATATACAGATGCACACACACACACACACACATTCATGTGCTTGGCTTATGGCCCAAATAAGATCCATGCATAAAAATTAAAGGTAAAATTTTTCTTTTAAATATGTACTTTGTCAAACTTGTGCAATAATTATGAAAGCCTTAATTATGAATGGAGTAAATTAAGTTTGTTATTATTATCAAAGTCTCCTAGACACAATTTTATTTTTATTATGACTTTTAACTCACAGAGATCTTTACGTGTCTTTTTACATTTTTAAATATACAGGGCCATTGAAGGCTTTCTTTTGATATTAATTTTTAAATTTTTGTATTAGAGTCAGAAAATTTCAGATTCTTTGAAATTTGAGAAGACATACTTTATGTCAAGTGGGTAACCAAGTTTTAGAAAATTTTCTGGAATGCTTGAAAAGATTGTGTGTTCTCCAATTATTTGGCGTAGTTTTCTATATGTGTCCATTATAAGGAGCTTATTAAACTATTAAATCTTTTATATTTATATTACTTTTGGTCTCTATGCCAGTCATAGACCATTCTCACAGCTGGTGAGAATATGCTGAATTATTCCAATATAATGGTGGATTTGTTCATTTCTATTTTTGTTCTGTTAATTTTTCTTTTATGTACATTATATATATTAATGCCATTTAATTAGATGCATGTAGATTTAAATTGTTATAGCTATCTGAGAACTTAACAGATTTTCTCAAATGGATGACTGTTTTATCCATAAGGATGACTTTAGCATTAATATTTAATTCATCTGATGTTGATACAGTTAAGCCTCTTTTACTTGGGTTAACATATATTTGGTGTTTGGTTTTCCATCATCTTCTTTTCAAACCTTTTGTGTCTTTATCTTTTCATTATAGAGTTTAATCTGTTTGTATCCATTGTGTTTGTGGACTCATTTCTATCATCTTATATTGTACTTTCTGTTAGTATACTTGCTGTTCATATCACTTTTATTCTGTCTACCTTGTTTGTGTTTGTTTTATTTTAGCTTGATTATTACCATTTTATTTTGTCCTTTATTGGGTCAGAAGTCACATCCTCTAATTTCATCCTTTTATTGGATATTATAGAAATGTTATAATATATATTTTTTGAAGTGTGTACACAAATAAAGTGAATGAGTAACCTGACTCTTCTTCAGAAAAATATAAAGACCACACAAAGTGGGCACATAGCTGTGGAGGGACAAAGGTGATGCTGGGCACACAGACTGACCACACAGAGCTGGGTCTCTTCAACAATGTCGTATGTCTACGTGAAGAAGGATGCCAAGGCACACTCTAAGATAATGTGTGTGCGGGGGAGAGGAGGCGTGTGTGTGAATGTGTGCGGCACACCTGATGCATGCTCAGGAGTGTATGTATATCTGTGCACCATTGTTTTTAATTCAAAAAGTGCATAGCTTTCATTTTCACAGGAAGTTATGATGCCTCATACAGCAAGTACCTTTGGTACATTTGGATAGACTTTTTAAGGTAGCATCTCATTTTTGTCACCAATTTAGCAGCTGTCTGCATTCTAAAAAGCTGGATTCAACTTTAAAACTTCCCCAGTCTAGTATAGTATAGTGTAAACAGATCAATCACCATAGAAGAGGAATTAAACAGGCATATTTTGAGCAGGCGAATGGAACATGGAACCACTTTAAGTAGCAGAATTGGACCTGTGTGTTTAAAAGCACAAAAGGAACTGTGAAATATCTAAAATCCAATAGCTAAGAGAAATTTCACATGGAGAGACTGAGAAACTTCTGCAATAATTATGAAAGCCTTAAGTTATGAATGCAAAAAGACAGTGTTGCAGAGATTTCTGTAGTAATCTCCAAAGATGAATCTGTTGCCCACTGAAACTCAGGACAATAAGGAAGCAGAAAGTTATAGCAAGACTGGGCTAATTCTAATTCCATTGGCCATGCCCGGCTAAGCATTTCATTAATTCTTTTTTTTTTTTTTTTTTTACTCTTTTGGTTATTTTATTTTATTTACTTATTTATTTTACTTTAAGATCTGGGATACATGTGCTGAACGTGAAGGTTTGTTACATAGGTATACATGTGCCATGGTGTTTTGCTGCGCCTATCAACCCATCATCTAGGTTTTAAGCCCCGCATGTATTAGCTATTTGTCCTAATGCTCTCACTCCCTTTCCCCCCAACCCCTGACAGGCCCTGGTGTGTGATGTTCCCCTCCCTGTGTCCATGTGTTCTCATTGTTCAACTCCCACTTATAAGTGACAACATGTGGTGTTTGGTTGTCTGTTCCTGTGTTAGTTTGCTGAGGATGATCGTTTCCAGCTTCATCCACGTTCCTGCAAAGGACATAAACTCATTCCTTTTTATGGCTGCATAGTATTCCATGGTGTCTATGTGCCACATTTTCTTTATCCAATCTATCATTGATGGGCATTTGGGTTAGTTCCAAGTCTTTGCTATTGTAAATAGTGCTGCAGTAAACATACGTGTGCATGTGTCTTTATAGTAGAATGATTTGTAATCCTTTGGGTATATACCCAGTAATGGGATGGCTGGATCAAATGGTATTTCTGGTTCCTTGAGGAATCGCCACACTGTCTTCCACAATAGTTGAACTAATTTACGCTCCCACCAACAGTGTAAAAGTGTTCCTATTTCTCTGCATCCTTGCCAGTATCTATTGTTTCCAGACTTTTTAATGATTGCCATTTTAACTGGCGTGAGATGGTATCTCATTGTGGTTTTGATTTATTTGCCTTCCTCTAATGACCAGTGATTATGAGCTTTTTTTCATATGTTTATTGGCAGCATAGATGTCTTCATTTGAGAAGTGTCTGTTTATATACTTTGCCCACTTTTTTCTCCCATTCTGTAGGTTGCCTGTTCACTCTGATGATAGTTTCTTTTGCTGAGCAGAAGCTCTTTAGTTTAGGTAGATCCCATTTGTCAGTTTTGGCTTTTGTTGCCATTGTTTTTGGTGTTTTAGTCATGAAGTCTTTGCCCATGTTTATGTCCTGAATGGTATTACCTAGGTTTTCTTCTGGGTTTTTATAGTTTTAGGTTTTACGTTTCAGTCTTTAATCCATCATGAGCCAAGTTTTGTATAATGCTTAAGGAAAGGGTCCAGTTTCAGTTTTCTGGCTATGGCTAGCCAGTTTTCCCAACACCATTTATTAAACAGGGAATCCTTTCCACATTTCTTGTTTTTGTCAGGTTTGTCAGACACGAGATGGTTATAGATGTGTTGTGTTATTTCTGAGGCCTCTGTTCTGTTCCGTTGATCTATATATCTGTTTTGATACCAGTTCTACACTGTTTTGGTTACTGTAGCCTTGTAGTATAGTTTGAAGTCAGGTAGCATGATGCCTCCAGCTTTGTTCTTTTTGCTTAGGATTGTCTTGGCTATGCGGGCTCTTTTTTGGTTCCATATGAAATTTAAAGTAGTTTTTTCCATTTCTTTGAAGAAAGTCAGTGGTAGCTTGATTGGGAGAGCATTGAATCTATAAGTTACTTTGGGCAGTATGGCCATTTTCACAATATTGATTTTTCCTATCCATGAGCATGGAATATTTTTCCATTTGTTTGTGTCCTCTCTTATTTCCTTGAGCAGTTGATTGTAGTTCTCCCTGAAGAGGACCTTCACATCCCTTGTAAATTGTATTCTTAGGTATTTTATTCTCTTTGTAGCAATTGTGAATGGGAGTTCATTCATGATTTGGCTCTCTGTTATTGGTGTATAGGAATGCTTGTGATTCTTGCACATTGACTTTGTATCCTGAGACTTTGCTGAAGTTGCTTATCAGCTTAAGGAGATTTTGGGCTGAGATCATGTGGTTTTCTAAATATACAATCATGTCATCTGCAAACAGAGAGAACTTGACTTTCTCTTTTCCTAATTGAATACCCTTTATTTCTTTCTCTTGCCTGATTGCCCTGGCCAGAACTTCCAATACTATGTTGAATAGGAGTGGTAAGAGAGGGCATCCTTGCTTCGTTCCGGTTTTCAAAGGGAATGCTTCCAGTTTTTGCCCATTCAGTATGATATTGGCTGTGGGTTTGTCATAAATAGCTCTTATTATTTTGAGATATATTACATCAGTGCCTAGCTTATTGAGAGTTTTTTGCATGAAGGGCTGTTGAATTTTGTCGAAGGCCTTTTCTGCATCTATTGAGATATTCATGTGGTTTTTATCATTGGTTCTGTTTATGTGATGGATTACATTTACTGATTTGCGTATGTTGAACCAGCCTTGCATCCCAGGGATGAAGCCAACTTGATTGTGGTGGATAAGCTTTTTGATGTGCTGCTGGATTCGGTTTGCCAGTATTTTATTGAGGATTTTCACATCAATGTTCATCAGGAATATTGGCCTGAAATTTTCTTTTTTTGTTGTGTCTCTGCCAGGTTTTTGGTATCAGGATGATGCTGTCCTCATAAAATGAGTTAAGGAGAATTCTCTCTTTTTCTATTGTTTGGAATAGCTTCAGAAGGAAGGGTAGCAGCTTCTCTTTGTACCTCTGGTAGAATTCGGTTGTGAATCCGTCTGGTCCTGGACATTTTTTGGATGGTAGGCTATTAATTGCTGCCTCAATTTCAGAACTAGTTATTGGTCTATTCAGGGATTTGACTTTTTCCTGGTTTAGTCTTGGGAGGGTGTATGCGTCCAGGAATTTATCTATTTCTTCTAGATTTTCTAGTTTATTTGCATAGAGGTGTTTATAGTATTCTCTGATGGTAGCTTGCATTTCTGTGGGATCGGTGGTGATATCCCTTTATCATTTTTTATTGCATCTATTTGATTCTTCTCTCTTTTCTTCTTTATTAGTCTGGCTAGTGGTCTATCTATTTGGTTGATCTTTTCAAAAAACAGCTCCTGGATTTATTGATTTTTTGAAGGGTTTTTTTGAGTCTCTATATCCTTCGATTCTGCTCTGATCTTAGTTATTTCTTGTCTTCTGCTAGCTTTTGAATTTGTTTGCTCTTGCTTCTCTAGTTCTTTTCATTGTGATGTTAGGGTGTCAATTTTAGATCTTTCCTGCTTTCTCTTGTGGGCATTTAGTGCTATAAATTTCCCTCTACACACTGCTTTAAATGTGTCCCAGAGATTCTGGGATGTTGTGTCTTTCTTCTTATTGGTTTCAAGGACATCTTTATTTCTGCCTTCATTTCGTGATTTACCCAGTAGTCACTCAGGAGCAGGTTGTTCAGTTTCCATGTAGTTGTGCAGTTTTGAGTGAGTTTGTTAATCCTGAGTCCTAACTTGATTGCACTGTGGTCTGAGAGACTGTTTGTTATAATTTCCATTCTTTTGCATTCGCTGAGCAGTGTTTTACTTCCAATTATGTGGTCAATTTTAAAATAAGTGCGATGTGGTGCTGAGAAGAGTGTATGTTCTGTTAATTTGGGGGATGAGAGTTCTGTAGATGCCTATTAGGTCCACTTGATCCAGAGCCGAGTTCAAGTCCTGGATATCGTTGTTAATTTTCTATCTCGTTGATCTGCCTAATATTGACAGTGGGGTGTTAACGCCTCCCATTATTATTGTGTGGGAGTCTAAGTCTCTTTGTAGGTCTCTAAGAACTTGTTTTATGAATCTCGGTGCTCCTGTATTGGGTGCATTTATATTTAGGATAGTTAGCTCTTCTTGTTGGATTGATGCCTTTACCATTATGTAATGGCCTTCTTTGTCTCTTTTGATCTTTGTTGGTTTAAAGTCTGTTTTATCAGAGACTAAGATTGCAACCTCTGCTTTTTTTTTTTTGCTTTCCATTTCCTTGGTAAATCTTCCTCCATCCCTGTATTTTGAGCCTATGTGTGTCTTTGCTCGTGAGATGGGTCTCCTGAACACAGCACTCTGATGGGTCTTGACTGTCTATCCAATTTGCCAGTCTGTGTCTTTTAATTGGGGCATTTAGCCCATTTACATTTAAGGTTAATATTGTTATGTATGAATTTGATCTTGTCATTATGATGCTAGCTGGTTATTTTGTCCATTAGTTGATGCAGTTTCTTCATAGCGTCAAAGGTCTTTACAGTTTGGTATGTTTTTGCAGTGGCTGATACTGGTTGTTCCTTGCAATGTTTAGTGCTTCCTTCAGGAGCTCTTGTAGGACAAGTCTGTCTGATGGTGACAAAATCTCTCAGCATTTTCTTATCGGTAAAGGATTTTATTTCTCCTTCACTTATGAAGCTTAGTTTGGCTGGATATGAAATTCTGGGTTGAAAATTCTTTTCTTTAAAATGTTGAATATTGGCCCCCACTCTCTTCTGGCTTGTAGGGTTTCTGCCGAGAGATCTGCTGTTAGTCTGATGGGCTTCCCTTTGTGAGTAATCTGACCTTTCTCTGTGGCTGCCCTTAGCATTTTTTTCCTTCATTTCTACTTTGGTGAACCTGACAATTATGTGTCTTAGGGTTGCTCTTCTTCAGGAATATCTTTGTGGTTTTCTCTGTATTTCCTGAATTTGAATGTTGGCCTGTCTTGCTAGGTTAGGAAAGTTCTCCTAGGTAATATCCTGAAGGGTGTTTTCCAGCTTGGTTCCATTCTCCCCGTCACTTTCAGGTACACCAATCAAACATAGATTTGGTCTTTTAACATAGTCCTATATTTCTTGCAGGCTTTGTTTCTTTTCACTCTTTTTTTCTCTAATCTTATCTTCTCGCTTTATTTCGTTGAGTTGATCTTCAATCTCTGATATATTTTCTTCTGCTTGATCGATTCAGCTATTGGTACTTGTGTATGCATCACTAAGTTCTCTTGCTGTGTTTGTCAGCTCCATCAGGTCATTTATGTTCTTCTCTAAACTGGTTATTCTAGTTAGCAGTTCCCGCAACCTTTTATCAAGGTTCTTAGCTACCTTGCATTGGGTTAGAACGTGCTCCTTTAGCTCAGAGAAGTTTGTTAGTACCCACCTTCTGAAGCCTACTGCTGTCAATTCATCAAACACATCCTCCGCCCAGTTTTGTTCCCTTGTTGGCTAGGAGTTGGGATCCTTTGTAGGAGAAGAGGTGTTTTGGTTCTTGGAGTTTTCAGCTTTTTTGCACTGGTTTCTCCCCATGTTCGTGGATTTGTCTACCTTTGGTCTTTGAAGTCGGTGACCTTCGGATGGGGTCTGTGAGTGGACGTCCTTTTTGTTGATGTTGCTACTATTTCTTTCTGTTTGTTAGTTTTCCTTCTAACAGTCAGGCCCCTCTGCTGCAGATCTGCTGGACTTTGCTGGAGGTTCACTCCAGACCCTCTTTGCCTGGGTGTCACCAGCAGAGGCTGCAGAATAGCAAAGATTGCTGCCTCTTCCTTCCTCTGGAAGCTTCGTCCCAGAGGGGCACCCGCCAGATGCCAGCCAGAGCTCTCCTGTATGAGGTGTCTGTTGATCCCTACTGGGAGGTGTCTCCCAGTCAGGATACATGGGGGTCAGGGACCCATTTGAGGAGGCAGCTTGTCCCTTATCAGAGCTCGAATGCAGTGCTGGGAGATCTGCTGCTCTCTTAAGAATGGTCAGGCAGGGACACTTAGGTCTGCTGAAGCTGCGCCCATAGCCATCCCTTCCCCCAGGTGCTCTGTCCCAGGGAGATGGGGGTTTTATCTGTAAGTCCCTGACGGGGGCTGGTGCCTTTTTTTCAGACATGCCCTGCCTAGAGAGGCGGTCGGGCAGCAGTGGCCTTGCTGAGCTGTGGTGGGCTCCACCCTGTTCAAACTTCCTGGCAGCTTTGTTTACCCTGTGAGGGTAAAACCACCTACTCAAGCCTCAGCAATGCCCCTCCCCTCACCAAGCTCAGGAGTCTCAGGTCGACCTCAGACTGCTGTGCTAGCAGTGAGACTTTCAAGCCAGTGGATCTTAGCTTGCTGGGCTCCATGAAGGTGGGACCCACTGAGTCAGGCACCAGAGGGAATCTCCTGGTTTGCTGGTGGCAAAGTCCATGGGAAAAGCGCAGTATCTGGGCCAGAGTGCACTGTTCCTTCCTCCCATGCAGTCTCTCATGGCTTCCAGTGGCTAGGAACAGGAAATCCCCAGACTCCTTGCACTTCCCACGTGAGGCAACACCCACCTTGCTTTGGCTTGCCCTCTGTGGGCTGCACCCACTGTCCAACCAGTCTCAATGAGATTAACTGGGTCCCTCAGTTGGAAATGCAGAAATAGCCTGCCTTCTGCGTTGATCTTGCTGGGAGCTACAGACTGGAGCTGTTCCTATTCGGCCATCTTGCCAGCAATTGGGTGAAAAAGGTTTTATTTTGTTCTCAGTCAACTGAATTATTTTTCTCCATTTTCTTGCCACTCTTAATACACATGAGAGGCCCTAGGATAACATCTGTTAGCCTGGGACTCCTTGGGAACAGAGGAGGTGCTACAGACTCCATTTTAGAAGAAAGCCTCTATTTTCCTTATGAAATCCCAGGAGTTAAAAGTGGATAGATCTCTCTCAAAATCCAGGACTCTGTTTTGTTTTGCATTGTGTTATCTGATGATTTTGAGTTTTGGGGATATCAGAAACTACTTCACATTATGAGAGATACTTGATGTGTAATAACTAGGCAGGAAATATACTTTATGTGATGGCTAATACTGGTTATGGAGGGCTACTTAACTATTTGCACATTTGGAACAGAGAGGCATTCTCTCAGCCACCCAGAAGATATAAAAACATCCCCAATCTGACCTGAGAAATGAGACTCCCACAGATGATGGGCTGATTGCAAAAAGAACTGTTTATCTTTGGGTTGCCTTGCAATGAAATGCATGGTAGAAACACTGTGCTATCTTTTCCCATAGCATTTCCCTCCTTTGGGGGATCCAGGATCCAGTATAAAATGGCACTCTTAATTTTGGGGATCTGGCTTTGCCTTCAGATGTGTCTGATTATCAGACCCTAGGAATGCCTGCTTTCCTGTCCCTGTTCTTCCAAGGCATCCCCCGAAGCCAGTAATCCAATTAAGAAAACGGCAAATGAAAAATCTTTAAAGTGTTGAATCTTCTGTCTGTGTAGCTATACATGTGTTGTGTGTAATGTCTATAAAAAGAGCTCTAATTGTCTTAAGAAATAAGTGCTTAAATTAAATATGTTTTAAAGGAAAAATAAAATCTGTAATGCCTTTTATTTCATGTGATGTTAATCTTTAATAAATAAAAATAGTCCTAAGGATTATTGGTAAAATACAAGTGTTGTCAAAATGCAAATAGGTGGTCTAAATCATACAATTCTCATACTAGGTTTGATAAATGTTTCAAGGTTGTAAACTGCCTGCTTTACAACTTGGTGAGGCCTGGGGACATACAAAATTAACCACACCCCTAATTATACTGAAAAAAGTCAGACTTTCTCTGTGTCTAGTATATAATGAAAACAACTCACCAGGTTTCACATTAAAGTTACAAATTACTAGAAGTTATCATTATGACATGTAATTTAAACTACTAAAAATAGATTTATTTTCAAGGTGTGTAAAGACAGTAACGTATGCTTTTAGTAAATGATTATAAGAAGGCATGGAAATGTAAATTTTGCCTAGGGATAAAGGATTGTTTTAAATTAGATAAACTAAAGCTGAAGATTTAAGCAAGTTATGAAAGATTGCAAAAATTAATCTTGCAAAAAAATCCCATGTATAAACAGTAACTAAATTCAAAATGGTACTACATGGTTTTTTCATAAATTGAGCATTTAAATAAAGGCACAGCAAGATGGTCTTAAGATGCTAGTCTGCCTTTTAGCAAAACGGTTATAAAAGGTTTGCAAACATTTCACCCATGGTCAAATTGGTTAAGATTAGATGTAATTGTCTATGAGATTTCACTAAAAATTGGGATTAACTATAATAAACTAATTCAAGGGTAAAATTTGGCTTTGAACAGGATTTTCATGTAATAGTAAAGGCTAATGAAAGATTTTTGCCTTATGAGTCATCATTTTGGCAAAATAAATAATTTATGGTAATCTGGAATTCTATTTCATAACATCAAGTATTTTAAACCTCTAACTAACCTGCACAATGTGCACATGTACCGTAAAACTTAAAGTATAATAAAAAATTAAAAAAAAAAAAGTTAAACCTCTAACATACTTAAGAGGCTTCTCAAAATCACACCTCAGTTTTAAAATTGTCTTTCCTGACACCTGGCTTTTTGGAGACTTCAGAAGGGCCCTTAAAGTGTCCAGAAAAAAAAAGGTTAACAGGATTATTTAACATGGTTACGTATGTGAGATTGCCAAAATGATGTTTAATCTTCTTCAGGTTATATTTTAGTGAATAATATTAGTGTATGTTTCAAAATTGTGTGGGATTTCTAAAATTCTAATGTTTAAATATATACTATCAATTATAATTAAGGTTGAAGTTATTGTAAACAACAGAAAGAACCAAATCTCTGTCAGTCGTGTTTTTAACTGTAACTACCCTGGAAATTTTGTCTTTCACAGACAATTGCTGTCTTGCTTTGTTCCCTTTCAAAAGATGGTTTATAATCAAGCTATAGGACTTTAACAGTTGTTCTCAAATGCAGGTTTCTAATCGCTTTGAAGATTGTAACATTGGAATAGAGAAAATATACAGGATTCATGAGGAGCTGAAATGTTTCTGAATATCAAACAGTAGTTGAACTGCATGAATTACACTAATAGAAGTCTGAAGTAATCTTTTTTAACTTTTTGCTTGAAACATTGCTAATCTTTGTTTTCTTCTTCAAAGTCAAGGAAACTTTTCCTTTAAGATATCTATTGCTTTTGTCAATTAAGTAAGGTAGGCTTCTTGAACAAAATTTGAAGCATATTTGTTTTTCACTGCCTGGTTTCTCTAAAATTCGGAGACTGTGAGTATTCTTAACTTATGGCAATATGGTTTGGATCAGTGCATTAAGAATACATTTTCTTTATAAAAGCCCCTTGGGGAAAAAAAGAAATAGACTTGCCTCATACAGTCATCTATGCAGTCCCTGTACAGGGTTCCTGACCTGCAGTCAATAAAGAATGTCACTTTATAACAGGTCTAGGAGCTCTGAGTTTATCTTGGGACTTTAAGAGGAAAGGATCACCCAACTCACAGGTATTTGAGGATATAAACCCATGGCTGGACTTGGCTTTAAGAGGTCTTATCTAAGATTCCTTGTGAAACAGAGTTCCGCCAAAGTCAATTTAAAAGCCCGTGGGAAAGATAATTATTCTTGCTGCACTTTATGCACAGAATCAGGTGAAGTATAAAACTAAAGTTTATTCTACAAACAATACGGTTCTATCATAATTTGTTTTTACCAAAAATGAGGATTGGAGAGAGAAAAATTATGCTCCAAAACTTATCATACATTTGTTGTAAAATTTTAGTCTCATTGGTTGTTTCTGAGTGTTTTTGCCTACATTTTAGATGAACCCTGCTTACTCTTGTGAACCAAGTAGTGATCTCCTACAGCTTGGAAGAAACAAAAAGGGATGGGTAAAGTAAAAATCTGGACCAATATGCTAGTTCTGGGCAATTATCCTGAAAATCCTGCCAGGTAATGAAAATAAATAGGGTACCCATAACCTGGAGTTTTCTTTGGGAAAATAAAACCAAAGAACTTCATAGACCCCCAAAAAGGGAAATTCTATATCTTGACAACTTAAATTTTAGATGGAAATAATCTACTATGGCACCTTTGTGGGAATTGCTATACTCACTCTACTATTTGCATTAGAGCTATACATAGTAGCACCTTCTAACTGAAATGTTGGACAGAGAGTTTCCATTGCTGTTGCATTTCGCTTAAGTATTATCCATATAGCAGAAATAATAGCTACTGACAAGCAGTAAACATGAAGGTTTTACTATCTCTGAGTCTGCTGGGACTTTTTATCGGGTTTGGTAATATGTCACACCCTAGCTATGCAAAGTGGGTTGTAATAAAATGGAGGTTTATATAAGAAAGGATCTTGTATGGTAAATTCTTGTCCTAAAGAGAATAACTGGCTGTTAAAAAGAGGGATGTTTAGGACAAGTTAGAAAGTTAAACATGCTGTAGATGGTCTGTGGGAGTCATTAAAGGATTAATAATTGCAGCAAAGATTTAACCAAGGTTAACACTAAAGTTACACTAGCCACCCAAACCTAATGCTATTTATCCTAAAAAGAGTTTTACTTTTATATTAATGTTTCAGCAATATCTGGTGGATGCAAACCAGTATTAAAACCCACTGGAATGGCTGACAGCAATCAAATTCCAAATGGTGCTGCAGACAAAACCATGACACACCTTTCTTCTGAGGACTCTTAGATCAACCCCAGGAGCAGCCCTAGCTTCTGTTGCCCACAAAGCACCCCCTTTCAGCAGAAAGTAGCCAGAAAGAGTCATTGTCCAACACCCCCAACAGCAGTTAGGGTCCCCACTCCTTAGGGGGAAATAGTATAGGAATTAAAAAGAAATTATTTAGGCAGATAGTCAGGGTAAGGAAGTCCTCAGTAAGGTTTCCCTTTTAATAAAAAGCAGTCCCCAAATCCTTTCTTTTCTAATAAAGACCAGCCTCTAAGATCGAGCTGCAGACATAGATAAGAAAGCTGAAAGCTTGCATAATGGCAGCTGTGCCAATAGGAAAAGGCTATCTGGGGGCTAGGCATATCCAACATGGTGGCCCCATCTTTCCTTTTCCTTGCAAATCGCGTGTGCAGAAGGGAGCAGACAACATGGAGCCACCAAGTAGCAAACACATTTGCACAATAAAAAAGATTAGGGTGGGGCGGCAAGGTTCTTTGTGTGCTATGAAAACATCACACCTGGTCCAACCAATCTTTGGGCTCTATGTAAATCAGACATTGCCTCCTCAAGTTAGTCTATAGAACCCTATGCACTCCACCACAAAACTGGAAGACCCACTCAGGTGCCCCTCTCTTTCTGCAGGAGGGAGGGCTATTCTGTTTTCTCTTCCTTTTTCCTATTAAACTTCCACTCTTAAACTCACTCCTTGTGTCGGTTCATGTCCTTGATTTCCTTGGCATGAGGCAACAAACCTTGGATATTGCCTCATATGAGCCATGTCGCTTGAATATCACAGGCCATTTTATCCCTTCAATGGAAACCATGTTAAATGGACTATTTATGATTATAAATGGGTGACTACCAGATGAACAAATGTGGTATTTCATAATATCGGACTGCTAGCTTTTTTCTGCCTTTGCTCCATTTTGACCTTAAGATGTTCATCAACCCATTTTTTTCCAAGCAAAGTACTTGACCTTTGGACCTGCTATAATATTTCACTGAAATCTGGCATTAAAAAATTTAGGTGGGTATTTGGAGCTCCATGTATTGATTACAGTTTTTAAACTTGTAATAAATAACTAGCATCCTTTGAACACCAAAAATTGTTTCCTTTTGACATTTAATTTACTCTGTTTAAAATGAGAGATGTAAAGTGGTGGTTTGTCAGTGACCTAGCCATTTTGTTTTAGAGTATCAAGAACTTGGAAAAGTATGATGAAAGAACTCTTTTTGGTGAAGGAAGTCAACTTAAAAAAGAAATCACTGTTTTCCAAAGTAAAACTGTGTCAGAGACTGTAAGTAATGCATATTTAATCTTAGTAACTCAGGATTGATGTAAGCACTGGAATATTTTATTTGCAAAAATGTTATCACAATTACTTAAATTTCTTTTTTTTTTTGAAACAGCTGCAGCAAGAGTTGGCACTTATGCAGTTGTCTCTTCAATCTCTGTTATTCTGATGATTGAAGAAAAAACCTTAACCTATGTTATATGATACAAGCATAACTTCAGTTACACAAAACCACACGTTAGACCTTGTTTCTGCAATCTGTTGAATGAACCCTAGACAGTTCTAAGAGAAAGCAGCAATTGCACAGTTATATACATGGTCAATTAAATTTCAACATTAAAAATAATTTAGTTTTAGGTTTGGCCACTGTGGATCTGTATCAGTTCCAAAACTGTAGAAAGCATGGGCATGGAAAAGTACATTTGTCTCTAATAAAAGAAGACAAAACCTATTTTATCTGTGCATTCTTCTTTATTTATCAGTAGGTTTAAGAAGCAATTCCAATGAAAGTATTGTTGGGAGCAGGACCCCCAAAATCTGGCCATAAACTGGCCCCAAAACTGACCATAAACAAAATCTCTGCAGCACTGTAACATGTTCATAATGGCCCTAACACCCAAGCTGGAAGGTTGTGGGTTTACGGGAATGAGGGCAAGGAATACCTGGTCTGCCCAGGGCAGAAAACCACTTAAAGGCATTCTTAAGCCACAAACAATAGCATGAGCAATCTGTGCCTTAAGGACATGCTCCTGCTGCAGTTAACTAGCCCAACCTATTCCTTTAATTTGGCCCATCTCTTCGTTTCCCATAAGGGATACTTTTAGTTAATTTAACATCTATAGAAATGATGCTAATGACTGGTTTGCTGTTAATAAATACATGGGTAAATCTCTGTTCAGGACTCTCAAGTCTGAAGACTCTGAGACCCCTGGTTTCCCACTTCACACCTCTATATTTCTGTGTGTGTGTGTCTTTAATTCCTCTAGCGCCACTGGGTTAGGGTCTCCCCAACTGATCTGGTCTTGGCAAAGTATGACTTCAAAAAATAGGTATACTCTATGGCCTTATCAAAATTTTTACTAGCACCTTAACATCTGTGTTTTTGAAAAAGTTAAACTAATAAATGATTAAGACAACTGTGCAAGATATATTAATATCAGTGTTGAGCCACTGGCTTGTAGGTATGTTATTTCCACAAAGACATCAAATTGCCATGTAGTTTGTTTTGGTCCACCATTCAATGATATCTCCCCTTAGCACTGATTGAAAGTATTTCGTTAACATTTATATACGCTTACAATTATTTCACATCTATAGCAAGGTAAATTATGTAGAGTGCTTTGTTTTTCAAGTTTAATATTTGTGGAGTATGTGGAAGTTTAAGTATACATGCATCTAAAAACTTAAGTGATGAATTCTCCTACCTTTCCTTTTGTAATGTGCAGTTTTTATATGTAACAGCATACAAAATATTCATTTCCAAATGCTTTATTTAGTAAATATATAATTCAGAATATATTTGGAGTAAGTCAGTTAAATGTATTTTTTTGCTGAGTTTCTGAAATTCCATTCATGAATCATTCAAAACACAATACTCCCATTGGGGGAGTAGAAGAGGGACTTCCTCTCATTTTTCCTTGTGCTTTTCATTTTAATTGGTCCCTATATACCATTCTTACCTTTTCAAGATTTTCCAAGCTTAAGAAAAAAAACAAGTTCATTCAGATTCTGTTTTTCTGCCTGCAATCACTTATACAGGAATAAGTGGGTCCTTATAGGGAGCATTTAATTCCTAAAGTTGCATTTTCATAAAGGATTTTCCTTTTACCCAACACATGTGTTGGTATATAAGCCTAAGTACTGTTTCAAGTTTCTAAGAAGATTCATATTTGAGACTTCTTTCAGTAGTTACAGAGGCAAAATAAGCACTGCAGCAGTCCATGTGAGAGTTCCATTACACATACTGGCCTATCTAACTATATAGTGGAAGGACGATAATTAGGTCACAATGTACTTAGTGTGGAACAGTTGATATTTATGCCACCCCTTACTACCTCGAATAAGTAACTGTGTACTTGAAGTCCCTTTGGCAGATATTCTGAAGGGAAGAAAGTCTTTGCCCTTAAAAGTTATTAGGGGTGTGTATATATGCATGTGTGTGTATAAATGTGTGTATATATATATGTGTGTGTCTCTGTGTGTATATATGTGTATATATGCATACACATGTATGCATACTTATATATGTATATCTACATGTACATATATATGTATATCTACGTGTACATATATACATATATGTGTAGATAGATGCACAAACACATATATATGACTTTTGTTTTTAGAATTGTTTTTAGTTCACAACAAATTGATCTGAAGGTCTAGAGATTTCTCATTTACCACCTGTTCTCCTGCCATACCGTTCTCTGCTATTCATATCCCCCACCAGAGTGGTGCCTTTCTTACACTCCATGAACTTACATCAACAGATCATTATCACCCCAATTCCATAGATTATTTCAGGGTGCACTCTTGGTTACTATTTTTTTAGTGACTATTTTTCTCACATCACCTGTGCTATAGCCCCTATTTTACTTTTCATAAAGAGAACATTTAATTTATTCTTTTTTTGTGACCATTAAATTTTAGGTTCGAATACCAGAAATCAATCACACTAAAACAAGTGTAAAGATTCACTTTTCTCCTGAAAATGGTAAGACAAATAACTTTTATTTACATACATATGCTTGAAAAATTGTAGTTAGTGCTTTTAAATTCTAGATTGAAGCATATATTTTCTTTTGTTCCATAATAAACACCTGCTTCGAAGAATGGCTGATATCAAGAGCATCATGTCTCTTAATATTGTCTCACTCGACAGCTGAATGTTGAAATGTACAGTCACAAAGCACTAAATATATCCTTAGAGCAATAACGCATTGAACAAAATTTAGAGGTCTCCCAAGGAAGTTTGCCTACAAACCAGTGGCAAGTCCTTTCCTTTAGCAACTGAAACCCAGGAGAAACAGAGTCTCTTGTCTCTGCCTCTTGGAGAGGAGTTCTCCTGACACCGGAGGGAAATGGCCATCTCATCTGCCTGATGTTAGTTAAAATTTCATTTTGGATTGATAGGTTCATATCTTCGTGAAGATATCTAAATTAAGGTGATCAAGTCAAATCACAAAATACTCTACTCACTCCTTAGGAGGAACTTAACTCTTCCCTGATCTCTGTGCACACACCTGATTTATTGCACTCACAGTACATAAGCTCTGAGATATGAAATTGAACCAGAACCAGACAGTGCATTGCATTCTTATCCAGGCAAATCAAGGCTCGCTCAGCACTGCTCATCCAAAGCACACTGAAATCAATTCTTATTTATTTGTAAAACAGACAGTGATGATGGTATCTGTGTCAGAGGGTTACTGTGAGTGTCAGAGGAAACAATGATGGTGAGAAGGTTAGACACATGGTACATGTTGAATTAATGTTAGCTATTAGTTACCAATACCTTCATGATTTTCACTGATATGTATTAGTTGCAAATGTGTATGGGATAAATGTGATATTTTGATACATGAATATGGAAGGATCAAATCAGGATAGTTAGGATATTATCACCTCAAATTTTATCTTTTTTTGTGTGTGTTGAGAACATTGCAAATCTCTTCTAGGTATTTTGAAATACAGGATAACTAGAGTTACTCATCTGTGCTATTTAATACTGGAACTTATTTCTTCTCTTTAAATGTATGTTTGTGCCCACTGTCCAGCATTGCTTTTTCCGGGTCATCCCTGCTACTGTTTCCAGCCCCTGGTAGCTACCATTCTACTCATTACCTCCCTGAGATCAATTGTGTCCAGGAATAAATAGCCATTAAGTGATAAAAATTGACTAGTTGATAGTTAATAATCATGACTGGTCTATTCTTTGTCTGCTACACTTTCTTTCATCTATGTATGGCAAGTGCCTACTTAATCTTTTAAGCTTTGTGTCAAAGATCACCTTATTCTTCACCTCTTCTGGAATCTGTTTGTTCTCAAACAAAATTCTGTCCCTTTTCCTCTCTTTTAGTGGTTCTGTACCTTTCAAACCCCATATTGTGGCTGTTATTTACTTAACTCTTACCCCTGAGAGTAAAAATCTTATCATAGTCCTAGTTATATTTTTGGAGCCTGGTGTGTTCCCAGCAATACAGAAGGTGCACAATACATGTGTACTAAATAATTGAAATAATAAATGCTGGCCTGGCACGGTGGCTCACACCTGTAATCCCTGCACTTTGGGAGGCCGAGGTGGGTGCATCACGAGGTCAGGAGTTCGAGACCATCCTGGCCAATATGGTGAAACCCCATCTCTACTAAAAATACAAAAATCAGCCAGGCATGGTAGCAGGTGCCTGTAGTCCCAGCTACTCAGGAGGCTGAGGCAGGAGAATCGCTGGAAACTGGAAGGCGGAGGTTGCAGTGAGCTGAGATTGCACCATTGCACTCCAGCCTGGGCAACAAGAGTGAAACTCCATCTCAAAAAAAAAAGAAAAGAAAAAAGAAAAAGAAATAATAAATGCTGAATAGACAGCAATTCTCCAAACTCTGTGTTTATGAAAACACAAGAATTAACTTTATTTGCCTAATTCAAACAGTATCTTGAAATATATTCTAACTTCCCATTTTCCATGAATTAACCAGACATCGTTTGTTGCCAGATTTTCACTAATTAAGCAGTTAAATATCTTTTGCTATATATCATTTTAAAAGAGCACATGGAAAAAAATCAGACAGCTTAGGTAGTTCACGTCTCTTGAGCTCACTATTTTAAGGAGTGAAGTTCACCCCGCCACTTGCCTACCTGTCTCAGTACTCACACAACACTTGCATCGATGTCCTGCTAATATACGTTAAATCAAATATTCATACCTGCTTTTAAGTGTGCCCTAGTCAACAAACAGGTCACTTGGTTATCATTATCTTCCATCCAGGATCAAGATAAAATAAGTGCCAGAGAAAGATGCCTTATAGAGATTCTCACAATGTACTAGTTACCATAAACAAATTAATTACTGGAGCAGACATTCCTACCTTTCAGAAAGTGAAGACTTGTTCATAGGAGCTGAGAGTGAAGAAAATCAATTCTTGTTGAACTGATAAATGTCCCTTCTAGATAATTGACATTGCCATTAAAGCATAAATTTGACATTTTTCTTTATCTGCCAGCTACTTATTTCCTGCATGAGCTATTCTGACTTTTTAAATTCTATCTTTTGGTCATTTGCCAAGTGCTTGGCCTCTGGGTACACACGGAATAAATTATGCAGTAAAAAACATCTCAGATCCTTGCACCTACTTTTGATCAGGTACACCTGTAAATCTTAAAAAGCCTATAAAGAAATACCTAACTAGTACGTTGGACCCAAGACACAAAAAATCTCACATACTACAATAGTAACTGAAGTACTAAATGTTTACTCAACTTAGAAAATTGCAATCGTTAGGGGGAAAATCCTTTAACAAAAGCTTAAAATTCCACTAGGTGGTAACCACTGTTAACACACACATGCATTTCCCTCTTCATATTTGGGAAACTGATGGTCGTGTTTCCTTTTTAGGGTGGAAGAAGGAATTCTCCATTAAGAGAAGGGAAGGAAAATATAGGAAAAAGAACCGCTCTTTGAAGGCTTCTATTGTCCAAATCATGAGGAAGAGCTTGTAGTTCTGAGTTGCACAAACATGCTTTAGTTGTTTTTCTGTAGGATCCTGGGCAGGGTCACCTGTTTCACGATAGCTGTGTCCTCAGACCCAGTGTAGAAGAGAGGTAAAAGATGTTGATTGGATAAATGTGTTACATTGCTAGTTCATACCTCTCTGAGCCTCTCTTGAAGCCACTGCAGGGAAAATTCCTCCATCTTTTCTTCGTTCTGTCACTTGCATATTGGGAGCCTTTCCTACTGCCCTTCTTATGTTGCTTTGGTTTGTTTCACAGCATGAATTTTTTCCATTACATATGTCTGTATTTCCAGGGTCTAGCACATGACTGTGCTCAATAAATATCAAATGAATGAATGAATGAATGAGTGAACACGAGTTTCAGATGTCCTTTACAGCCTTTTCTCATTGAAGAAATGCTTGTTCTTTGCCTCTTCAAAAGAGGTGCAACTCATTGAGAATAGGGTTGCCAAATGTTGCAAAACTAAGCATAGTCTTACAAAACTAAATATAGATGTGCCATATGATCTAACAATTGCACTCTTTGGTAATTACCCAAATGATTTGAAAATTTATTTCCACACAAAAACTTGTATGCAAATGTTTAAGCAGCTTTATCTATCATTACCAAAATTTGGAAGCAACTAAGATGTCCTTCAATGGGCGAGTGCCTAAACAAATTGTGGCACATTCATACAATGGAATACCATTCAGCAATTGTAAGAAATGATCTAGCAAGCCATGAAATGATCAGAAGGAACCTGAAATTCATATTGCTAAAAGAAAAAAGCCAATCTGAAAAGGCTGCATGGTGTATGATTCCTGCTATATAGATGACATTATGGAAAAGGCAAAAGTATGGTGACAGTAAGATGATTAATGTTTACAGGGGTTGGGGACAGGAAAGGATTAATTGGTGGCATGCAGACGATTTTCAGGGCAGCCCAAATTCTGTGTGTGATACTACGATGGTGGATACTCGTCATTATACATTTGTCATTGTGAACCCTAATGTAAACTATGGACTTCAGGTTATAATGGTGTATCAGTATTGGCTCATCAATGGTAAGAAATGTACCAGTCTGATATGGAATATTGAAAGTATGCATGGGGATTTGTTGAGGAAGGGGGTACCTGAGAACCTTACGTACTTACTGCTCAACTTTGCTGTGAATCCAAACCCATACTAAAAAATAAAGTCAACCCAAAAAGTACGAGGTACTCAAATAAACGTGAATTTCAGATACACAACAAATACTTCTTTAGTATAAGCGTGTCCCATGCAGTCTCTGGGACACAATTATACAAAAAAAGTTTCACTGTTTACCTGAAATTCACATTAAACTGAGAGTTCTATATTTTATCTGGCAGCCCTACTTGAGAGAAGACATCTGATCTTATAGCTTCTTGGTGTTCACCACAATGTCAGGGGAGCTGTTGGGGACTTGGGTTTTGCTTCTTGAAGAGCTGCATCAGATGACTTCAGGAGTACTTCTTGCAGCTCAAGACACCACACTACTGAAAAAACCTGGATGAACTGGACACACTTTGAGGAGAGTGATGAGAAATATGATTCAACACCAAGTTGCAGGGTGTGTGGTTGATGACACTGAGGTTATTTAATCTGGAGAAGAGATGATCCAGGAGTAATAGGAATGTTGTTCCTAAGGAGCCTTTTTCGTAAAGATTCATAAAGTCATTTTCTCAAGCTCTAAGTTTATAACATCAGTGCCAATGAGTGAAAGCCACAGCAAAGCCTATTTCAGCTGGCCAGTGGAATTGTTTTCTAACAACGAGAGTCATTCGAAGATGGAAGGGGCTGCTTTGAAAGGTGGTGCCTTGCTCTCTCCTGGGGGTATTTGTAAAAAGTTGGACAATCCCATGGCAAGGGTGCTGATGTGAGCATTACCATATGAATGCGTAGACTGGCTGGTGACACGTTTGTGTGCACACATGCACACAAAAGAAATTTGACATAGTACTGACTTTTTAATTCATTTTTATTGAGATATTGCACGTAGTCCAAAATTCACCACTTTAAAGTATAACTATTCACTAGTTTTTAGTATATTCACAAGGGTGTACAAGTATCACCATCACCACTATCTAATTCCAGAACATCTCCATCACCTCGAAAAGAAAGCCCATTAGTAATCACCCTCCAATCTTCCCTTCTCCCAGCCCCTGGCAACCACTAATCTTTGGATTCTGTCTCTATGGATTTAGGACTGGTTAATATTAAAGTCTCCATGAACTTGGGGAATCTCTGTTTCTATAAAGTGGCCCTTGGATTCTCCCACCCGAACACAAGCAGGTCATTCCCAAAGACAAAGGAATCTCAGCACACTGGAATCAATGTTAAACTCAGGCCCTCAAGAAGTTAGAATGCACCATCGTTAAATCCCACATTCTTATGGCGGCACTGTCTGTTCAAATAATAGTTTTTTTTTTTTTCGTTCCATATAAACATGCACTGGTGAGCCTGAGACTTAAAGGAAATGCCATGAAGTCAAAATAGTGAAAACTACATTTTACTTTGTCAACCTAAATAACAGAGAGTCTCTCCAAAAGAAAAGATGTTTATTTGTGAACAGGGCATTGCAATAGAAACACACATGCCATAGTAAACTATACGCCTATTCAGGGAGGTAAAAGAAGACAAAGGTTTTTAAACAGAAAAATGATGAGAATGATATAATTGTTTTGAAATAATTATCTTTGGCTATAAAAATCAGTAACAAAGGTGACACCAGTCCGAGTTTGGTCAGGGAGTTGTTTGGCAGATGTCCTTATAGAAGTACTTTTTCTGCAAGGTTGCGATGACATTTGTGCAAGGTTGTGGTTTTTGCAGCCTTTTGTGATAGTTTTTGTTATCAGACCTACAAGCATGTGAACCGTCTCCATGGTTTTCCCTGGCTCTGTTTGCCAGGATTTTCTTAACACTAGTCACCCCCACTTCATTCTCACAACTTTCACAGATTGCAGCCTCGTTCGTGTGTACAATAAACCTTCATTTTTTTTCTTTCCAAGTATTCTGCAGTTACAGATGGGGTAAAGTTGCTCCCTAGGGTTTTAAAATTTTCATTTCTTTTTTTCCTTAGTAACTTGTGATCCTGAAGAGAGGAACTAGGAAATTACAACCTTGTTTGCAATAAACTCAACATAGCGTGATTAGAAAAACTGTCCTTTGGCAAAATAGTGATGAAGACATGAATGGGTTCTCTCTTGTTCCATCAGGACAGCTGGTAAACTCCCACACCTTTGCTTCTAGGCTTTCTTTTGGTGGGGCACAAAAAGCTCAGCTACAATAAATCATCATCTAGCCTCAGACATTTATGAACAGATATGTTTTATGAGAGGAGCATATTCAGGCTCTGAAGAAAACATCTGCTTTTTATTCTCAATGTATCACATCTGGGTTATACTTTGCAAAAGTATAGAAATGTTATCATTAAAGATGAATTTGAGTTCAATTGTGGCAAAAGCCACAGCTGAAAACATATGACAGAGTGACAGTTGGCTAAGAAAGCTAGGGCTTTTATTTATTTATTTTAAAGCTATAGCTAGGAAAGGGCTTACAGGGCCACAGGAAAATACTCTACTGAGAGATCTGAATACCTTCCTTAACCGTGTTCCTGCTTCTGGGTTTGCTCAGAGGACTTTATGGGTATTTTGAGTCAGGGGGAAGTTCACATGCTGTCAATGTGTAAGGAAGGCTCTCTTTGATGAAATACAGTGTGGTGTTGACTTGATGAGCCCACTGTTTTTTCTTAAGGAAATACCTTTGTATTGACTGCATTTGAGGACAAGTAGTGACTCATAAACCTGGAGCAATATGAGGATCTAATAAAATCAACCCCTTTACCTCATACATTCCTAGTGGATGCTCCACAAGAGTTCTGGGGCTACTCAGGGCAGGAAGCCATCCTCACAGGGTTCCCAAGAATTCCGGACAGAAAGAGAGTCATCATTCAGCAATCCTCAGGCTGCACTTGCACCCACTTCCTTGTAACCACGAGCCCCATAGCACTAGATCCTGACCATTTGCATCTCCGTTGTTCCTATCGAAAGGATCTCTGATGTTAGAATCAGAGGCTTCTGTTTAAGAATTGCTTCAGCAGATCCTGAATTCCAGTGAAACAGCTGAGGCCAACCAGTTTGAAGATCCCCACAGAGGAACCCAATCAGCGTGAGAACACAGCTTCTTCATCGCCCTGTCCCATGACTTCACCCTGCACTCTTCTACCAATCAGTGATCTCCATGCTTCGGCCCACTCCAAAATCCTTAAAGCCCCTAGCCCCAAACTCCTTGGAGAGATGGATTGAAGGTTTCCTCTCATCTCCTCATTTGGCAGCCCCATGATTAAACCTCTTTCTCTGCTGCAACCTGGTGTCTCGGGGCAGTGACTTGCCACATGCATGGGGCAATGGACTTATTACGGTTACAGGAGAACCCTGACCTACAGAAATGTGGAAAAAGTTTACAAACCATTTAGGAACAGCAAAAGGGACTTGTGGCTACATCACTGGGAGGAGGTTCTGTACAACCGTGTCCTCCCAAGTTGGCCTGGCAACAGAGCATCCTTGCAGGCACTGGGGTCAGTTAACACAGCAGGATGCAGAAGCATAGGTGAAACCAAGCCAAGTGGCCATACAACCCCTAAGCAGCAGTGTGGCAGCCCCTGCTAGCTTTGCTTGCCACTGTCTAATGGATTTGGTCAATAAGGAGGTGATGAGCCAAGATGGATTCTGAGAGTGTATGACTTACACAGACAGCAAAAGTATAGTCAGTATGGTGCCAGCTCCCCAAGGCTCAAGTCCCACCTGACAACACAAAACCAGGGGGGCCAGGTGACAGATACTGTGAGCTAGGGGTAGCCCCTCTGCTGAGGTCCTACCTCTAACCTACAGCCAGGCTGCTTTATAGAGACACACAGAAGCCTGAAGCTGTATCCTAAAGGGGCAAGATGTAGAAGGGCCTGTATTCCCCTCAAAGTAGAGAGATAGATGGAAGAGAAGTGGCCAAGAGCCTGTCTTCCCAAGGTGGGGTTGGGGAAATGTCTTTTAGCTGCTCCTTAAAAGGTTATCTCCTCTGGCTCCAGAAGAAATTGCAGGGTATCCCACCATGACATGGGCCAGAATGTGGTCAACCTTTGCCTGTGTGGCCCATTTGGTGCTGGGCATGGTGGCGCCTTTTGGCCTACAAACAGTTGATCAGTGCCGGAGGAGGGAATCTGTGCCTCAAAAACCCATGCTACACAGCATGGGTCCTCTTTGATCCAGCAGAAGCTCTTGCAATGGTAGCCCAACAAGCAACTTATGATGCCAGTCTTTGGAATGGGCAGGTTTAAGATCACATGGAGTTGTATGCTAATGAAATTATGGAGCACAGGTCATTATTGAATGTTGGCTCTCTTGGCTACTCATTCAAGCCTGTTGATTATATCCTGGGCAATAGGATAGAATCATCCAAGTTTGTCTTCTGTGTCCTCCGTCTTCTGTTCTGTAGTCCTGTGTGCAAGATGGCACAATAATCCAAGTTTGTCTCTGTTCCTGCTCTGTCGTCTTGCATCTGTTTCACTGTTTGTCCATTAAACACCAGGGCCTTTAAGAAGTAGGCCCAAAACCTCATGGGAATGACCTTCCCCACAGAGGTCTGAGTTCTGAGTGCTTCTTTGTCTCTCTTGAACATCAATCACCATTGCCTGTTCCAAGACACTGTTGAGAAGCCAATACTAAGAGATGTGGTTACAGCAGGTTTTCCTGCCCAGGTATCCTGAGAACTCCCTGGAAATTCCCCCATCTTATGATTCACAGCATGTCTGTCTGCACACCTTCATCCTTAGCATTTTTGTGTTGCAAACCAGGGATATCTTTCTTCATTCATGTGCTCATGGGTTGCCAGGATTCTTGTACTATCTTATATTGTAATGTGTAACACATAGCCATCCTGTGTATAATGTTTTAATACTTTCAGTCCATTCCTTTCATCATTAAATAAGCATTTATCGGGTAACTGTTAAATTCCAGGCATCGAACTGAATGATAAGGACACAGAGATAAATGTAATGTGCCTCTTTGTATCATTAAAAGCTTATGATAAATTACTTTGCCATATACAACTGCTATTATGCTGTACATCAGATTATAGCTCTTGTCCACACGAGGTGATTGATGATGCAGCTAGCTCTCTTCTAATAATGAAGAAAACCTATAAAATGAGAATACTTCTGCTGAACTTATTGAGCTGCAAAATTATTTGGTTTTATTATGTGGTGGGACAAGAACTTAATGCCCATTGCGTTGATTTGCTATCTCTGACCTGACTTTCCAGACAACTTAAAAACCAGAAGAAATATAAAAATCTTTCAAGATCTACCAGGAAAACTATTCTGAGTATTTAAAAGAGGAAACGCAATTCAGGAAGTGATGAAAGATCAAACTCCGGAAGCTACTAAGACCCCTAGAGGTAGGATCCTAGGTGGCAGGAAGTTACTAGCAAGCCCAAGGTGGCACCACCTGGTGGAAGCTGAAACTCAAACAGGCATATCCAGAGATGCTGGAAATACACAAAGGATACGGACACCCGGAGACACCTGCCACTGCCTCCCATTAGCCCAACCAGCTGGATGCCTGCTTGGAAGAGAGCCTGAGGCCAGAGCTTGAAGGCATAGCCCAGGGAAAGTGAGGGCAGATACAAGGAAAGTAGCATATGGACAGAGATGTGTGCTCTCACAGGGACATAATAAACAATAAGCATTAAATATTACTTATAATAATATCTTACGCTATTTTTGTATTTTACATAATGATACTTTCATTCTACATTTGTTGTTGTTGTTGTTGAGTCCCATGGCAGGAAGGAAAAGTAAAGCCAGAGCAAGAAGAGCCAGTGTGTCCAGGATGAGGGTCAGTTTCCAGGTTGAAAGATTTAGGTCGGGGGAGGCTTTAGAAGGTGTCACTGGAGCAAGTTTTCAACAGCTGTAAGGTGTTAGTTGTGCAAAATTACCCCCCGGTGTTTTTCAGGCAGAGGAAACAACAAGAACGCAGATCCTAAAGGGAAGCAGACTAGAAATGTTCCAAAATCTGCAACAAAACAGAAAGAAAAGCATGCAAACTGAGAGCAGAATCACTTAAAGTCAGAAAGGAGAGGATGCCCCGGATTCCCCACCAAGGAGAGAAGCAGGCAGCTGAAAAGTAGAATCTTCCTTCAGTCGGGCCCTAAGCGGGCAAATCACATCAAAGCAACAACAAGATGCATTTATTATAAAATAGTATTTGATCTGTAAACATGAATAATTCATTCATTATTCAGTAAAGACTTATTGAATGTTTGTTATGTGTCAATAGTGGCAAATTTGGTAGACAAAGCCCTGCCTCCATGGAGCTTATGTTCTAGTTGGAGAGATACAGAACACGCAAGTAAATAAAATAAGCAAGTGAATGTAAAAATAAATAACACAACTTGAGGGAGAGGGAAGCGTTAGGAAGAAAAATGAAGGGGAATAAGGGTTTAGTGAGTGATGCGGTAGAGGGTATATGTAGATGGAGAAATCAGAGGGTCTTCACATAAACACCTTTCTCAGCTTATGATAATCCATTTTATTTTTAAAATTATTTTCATCAATATATAATAGGTGTACATATATGTGATAATGTAATGTATCCACTTATATATTTTATTTCTATACAATGGCTATTATATAACTTTTATACGTGATCTATTTTTGGTTTTAGTTACATAGGGCTATAAATAAAAATCTACTTAAATACTGTATTTTAAGTATTGTTTAATCCCATTTGACATGCACATCGATACTCATAAAGGCTATGTCTATTTCTGTTAGATGTTGTAGAAGTGTTTTCCTCTTGGTGAAGAATGAGACGGTGATGTTTGAGCAGAGACTAGAGGACCTAGGAAGACTGGTGTGAAAATGTCTTTGGCATAGGGAAGAGCATTTGCTAATCTTCTGAAGAAAGCATAAGCTTCAGTGCAGTAAGAAATTCCACTGGGGCTGGAGTGGGCAGAGGAGTGGGTGAGACAAGACCCAAGAAGGGCAGTGCAGATGAGAAGGGGTTGAGCAGGCCAGGCAGAAGAGGTTGGTTCTCATCTCTGAAGGAAGGGAAATCACGAGGGGGTGGAGGACAAGGCAGGCCGTCGTGTGTTTTGCACTTTACAAGCTCACTCCCAGCAGAGCATGGTGGCCTGCACCTGCAGTGCCAGTATTTTGGGAGGCTGAGGCGGGAGGATGACTTGAGCCCAGGAGTTCAACTCCATCCTGGATGATGTAGCGAGATCCCATCTCTAAAAATAAAACATAAAAAATTTAAAAAGCTGCCGCTGGCCAACATGGGCAAATAGTGTAGAGGGCAAGTGTGGAAGGAAAGGGTGCCTTAAATGACGATGAAAGGACAAATGGAAAACAAATAAAGCACATAAAATATGAGCATATATTTACAAGAGATAATGCAATGTTTAGTTATTCTTAAAAAATACAACATACAGAAAAAAAAAACACACACCTGTTTGTTAAAATATCCTATCAATTTATGGCAGCAAAAATAGTGAATAGCGTTGTAAGAGCAGTTTGTTAATGTAGCAACATTGGTCATGGTCAAAAAACTAAACATGTTCTAAGCCATCACTTCATAAATACTATAAAGACAGATCTCACATTTTGCAGTTATAAGCTGCACATTATAGTAATCTTATAAAAAGCACCACGCATTTTATCTTATTCATTCCTAGTGGGTCATGTTAATGTGCGTGCTAGTCTTAGAAACCCAGCTAGTAATAATCTACCAACATCTTTATGTCACCGGTTTTATGACTTTATTAGGAACCAAAAATCTCTTTTTTACTGACATTTCATGTTTACTAGACTAGTCATTTAGCATGAAAAATAAAAATCAATACAGTTAGTCAATGTAATTTTAAAATCTGAGATGATTGCTCTAGAATTGCTTTTAATATATCTCCTAGAAATCCCGTAATACTGGAAATAAATATTGGTCACACACATTTAGAACGTAGAAAGAAAACCCAGCCTGGTTGTAATTCGGTATGGCGGGAGTCGTGATCTTGACTGGATACAGCAGAGTTGAGGAGCATTTTAGCACCTTAGTAGAAATCATAGACTCAGTTTAAGGATCTTGAAGGCATTTGACCATTTAATTCATTTTCTTAGCTTTACTCTACAGAGCTATTTGTTCCATTCTTCATCCAAAATGCGGTTTTAACATTACATGAGAAAAATGTGGGTTCTTTTCTCTAATGTTCTCTTTTGTCTTCATGGAAAGAACGAGTATAGGCAAATTAGCTGGCCCGTAGAACAAAGCAAACCACGTACCAGTTTAAAAGAGACCTACGCTGAGTGCATGTTACCATGTCCCTCGTTTATGCACACAGAATAAGGATTGGGGTGTTTCACCCTCATAACCAAGCTGTGAGATGTGAGCTAGAGCTGCCTATTTCACAAGACCTATTTTTATTTATTTATTTATTTTTTATTTATTTATTGTGAGACAGGGTCTCTGTTGCTCAGGCTGAAGTGCAGTGGTGTGATCACAGCTCACTGTAGCCTCAACCTCCTGTGCTGACATGATCTTCTCACATCAGTTTTGTGAGTATGTGAGACCACAGGCACCTGCCACCATGCCCGGCCAATCTTTCTATTTTTTTTTTTTTTTTTTGTAGAGACTTCGTTGCCCAGGCTGGTCTCAAACTCCTGGGCTCAAGTGATCCTCCCTCCTCAGCTTCTGAAAACACTGGCATTACAGGCCTGAGCCACCGTGACTGGCTGAAACACCTACCGTTTACATATATTAACATCACTGAAATTGAAGTGTATCTCACAGCATAATCAACAGTGTCTTATAGTCACTCTTGGCCAGAGAGCAAGCAGGAAGGTCATCTCTACCTGCACATGCATGTGCTGGGCCTGGCCATAGTCTCTTCAAATGAGTTTTGTGAGCTGTTGTTGCTACAAGTGGGAATTCTATATGCCCAGCAGATGCCATTGACAGCAGGAGGAATTGTCACCTCTCTGAAAATCAAAGAAATCTGTTTCAAACTATGGGAGGCTATTGTAGCTGACCCAAGCATCTCCCAGAGCTGTCGTGAAGGCCTCAGACTACAATTTGTAAGAAACGTCAGGCTGATTTCTAATACACATTTCTTAACTTCCAGGGGTAGCTGATTGAATTGACGAGGAAAACAAAAACAAAACAAAACAAAAAATACTACGTGTTTAATCACACAAGCAAGCCTCTGCAGATCACTTGAAAGCAGAAATAAAAGTGCTGAGCAGATGCACTCTCTCCCCCCACATTTCCCTCCCTCCCTCAACCTCCAGCCAACCTCAGCTGCTTTAGAGGGGAAGGCTAGGGCTAAGGTCTCTCTGCCGCCAGGCTGAATTGAGTACCATGTGGATCTCTGCAATTGTGCTGGGAACTTTGTGCGGAGAAGTGATTCAAATTATTACGGCTTTGTTGAATACAGGCTTCCAAGTCACCATCCCACGGGGTTCCATGTGGTGAGTGAACATCCAAGTTCAGCTCATTTGGGCGAATAAGGTTCCCTATGGCATGTTGAATGCCCTTGTGTGGGTGGGGCCTTTCGGAGGCAATTCAGCATACTGTTTATGTTGCTTTTACTTGTGAATAAGTATTATAAATTGATGCATTGTAGTCTGTTTCTTGTCCTGTGATTGTTTGGGGCAGGGGCAGGGACTTCCAATCATGGAGAACCATAGGTGCAAAATTGTTAGTGTTTTGAGGGACCCACAACACTAACGTCCCTTTTGAGCTATAATCTCTATGACTGACGATTTGCCAAGTGGAGCCTCTGGCAGAAGAAGGCAGCCTCCACCCAGGGGCCTCCTGGGGTCGTGGATTCATGCCTCCCCTAATGTACCTGTCAAGTACAGCCCTTTGCAAGGCAGCACTTAGCTTGCTACAGGGCTCTTGTCAAAGCTGAACACCTGAGCTGTGGAGGTCTCCTTGTTCTCCAGCCTGCTATTACTGTTTTGGGGTGCATCAATGGTGACTCAATGACTAACGAGACAGGAAAGGGCCCAATAAGCCTCAGTTGTCCAGTGGAAATAGAATTATCAAGAAGGCTGCTTACCTGGCACCAGGGCATCTCCGCTTTGCATTTTGGCAGTAATTTCTTTTTGGGAAACTTTATTTGCTCCACTCCCACTGGTTGAATGGGGCCTTTGGTTCCCCAAGTTTCCCCTAAGTGCCAGGGCCTAGTTCACCGATGGTTTGCCTAAGATGAAACCCAATGGTATCCACTGTGTTGCCATGGATGTTCAGCTTCAGCAATGTCCACGCAAAACCTGGAGTGGGGAGAACTCAAGGCTGTTTTCACAGCTCTGCACAAGACTCTGTTGATGAAACTTGTTTTATTTTATGGACTCGCAGGGGCTTCTTAGTTGGAAAATTCATACATCACAGCAGCTGACTGAGCCATGTGACATGCCACTGCAGATAGCCCCATTCAAGGGCTCTATTCTGATGAGGCAACCTGGAATAAAGCTGCATCCCTCAGATTACCCACTGCTGATGGGACCAATGATGACCTCGGACCTGAGGTCCCATTTGGGGGCTACTGGAGGTGCCCTCTCCTTGTTCAACATTCATTATTTTAGAACTTATTCAACACAGTGCCAGGAATGTTTGTCAAATCACTCAAAATGGCATGCTGGTTACATATGATCCCAGCAGAGCAAGAAGAGGACTGCAAGTTCAACATTGAAAAGCAATCTTAACATTTTTAGTCACAAACATTCATAAGTTTGTTAAAAACAAGAGCTCATGCAATAGAAAATGCAAACTGCATAGTCAGAAATAAAGTGTGGAGTGATGGAGATAACTCTGGCTGTTAATAAGTAACCTTCAAGAGGGTGGAGACTTTATGTAGCCTGCTATTATATCACCCTGTCTAGACCAGGACTTGAAACATAGAAGGAGGCTCAGAGAGTTACTGAGTGAATAAATAATGTTGAACTTGCTGCCAGAGAGGTGAAACACAAAATTACTGGGAGAGGGGAGATCAAATTAGAAACAAAGCTATTTAAGCTTACTTTTCTTCCACCATCAAGAGAAAAAGGAGAATAAGAGCAAACAAATGAAGCAAAATAAATGCTTCTCATTGTTCTTCCTGTGGACACCTTTGATACCTGATAGACGATAAACTGTCAGTAAATTGCAGTTTATTGGGAGGGAGCTCTTGCAGGTGCTATTTCCAGCCTTTCTCTAGTTAGAGAAAGGAAGATAGAAAGGTTTTCATCTCTATAAGAAGTTCCATTGAGACTATTTGAATAGGAACTGCAAGAAGGCAGGGTTTGGGTGGGGCATGGAGTAGTGGAACAGTAGAAGAAATGGAAAACATCCACATTGGTTAATTTTTCCTTCGAAACATCACCCAAAATGTTTTGAATGAAACATTCTGTGCTGTGGGTTGTTTAACATCTTTTTTAAAATATTGTGTCCTGTGTTGTGTGTGTGTATCTGTGTGCATACGTGTGTGTTACGTGTTCGTGTCTGTGTGTGTGTCTCTGTGTGTGTGTTGTTATATAATGCTGTTTTAGTTGAAGGATGTGTTTATTTATTTGGTTGGTTTTCCTAGAACTAATGGATGATTTGAAAAACATGGGATTGGTTATGTCAGTGCTTCTCAATTGGGGAGCGGGGCGATTTTGCCCCACCGGGGTCCCTTTGGCAATGTCGGAGACACAGTTGGTGTTGTAAGTGGTAAGAGGTTCTACTACCATCTAGTGGTGAAAGGCCAGGGTTGTTGCTAAAAATCCCACACAGAAGACAGTCTCCAAGACGAAGAGGGATCCTGTCTAAAACGTCAATGGGGTTGATGTTGAGAAACCATGAGTTTCCCATTATTTTAATCCAATTACCAGGACTTTTCTGAAATCTACTATTTGAATTTAGGGAAAAGTATTCTTCTTGTTGATTCTCTAACCTGGAGGCATTCAAATCACCAAGGTGCTTTAAACAATACTGACACCAAAGCCACCCCAGACCAATTAAATGTGGATGTCTCGCAGTAGGGCCTAGGCCTCTGCATTTTAAAATTCCTAATAGTTTTTAGCATTGAGCAGCACCCATTTAAATGATATAATGTAGGCCGGGCGCGGTGGCTCGCGCCTGAAATCCTAGCACTTTGGGAGGCCGAGGTGGGCAGATCACGAGGTCAGGAGATCGAGACCATCCTGGCTAACACAGTGAAACCCCGTCTCTACTAAAAATACAAAAAATTAGCCCGGCGGGCTAATTAGTGTGGCGGGCACCTATAGTCCCAGCTACTCGGGAGGCTGAGGCAGGAGAATGGCGTGAACCCGGGAGACGGAGCTTGCAGTGAGCCGAGATCGCACCACTGCACTCCAGCCTGGGCAACAGAGCAAGACTTCGTCTCAAAATAAATAAATAAATAAAATAATGCAGGAACTCAAAACCACCCACAGTTGATTTATCTTATCCACACTAAAAGTATCCACAAATAAAATGACACAATTCTCCAACTTAAACCAGAATTTAACAGCTGTCATTACTCCATAAGTTCCTATGTACTTGTTTATATTTTATAAAAGAAGATTTTCTTTCACTTAAAGAAAAATCCACATTAAAAAACAGAAAAGAAAGTTTTGGAATATAATAAAAGTATTTCCTTCTTTGTTTTGACAACTTTGTGGCAACCTTCAAGTTCTAAGTCCATTTCTTTATAGTGAATATTTCAGTGACTCATCAGAGAGGCAAGCTAATAATAATAATAATAATAATAGTTCACCTTATGTAGTATTTCATGCTGTTAGTGTGTGAGATTGCAAGTCTAAATCAAAGCCATTATAATTTATCTGTAATTAGAAACCAGCACTTGCCGAGCAAGGTGCTTGTAATCTCAGCACTTTAGGAGGCTGAGGCAGGCGAATCACTTGAGGCTGGGAGTTCAAGACCAGCCTAGCCAACATGGAAAAATCCCATCTCTACCAAAAAATACAAAAATCAGCCAGATGTGGTAGCACCTGCCTGTAATCTCAGCTGCTCAGGAGGCTGAGGCAGGAGAATCGCTTGAACCCAGGAGGCGGAGGCTGCAGTGAGCTGAGATCACGCCACTGCGCTCCAGCCTGGATGACAGAGCGAGACTGCATCTCAAAAAACAAACAAACAAAGAACAACAACAACAACAACAATAAAACTCAGCACATAAAAATGCCTGTGGATTGAGAATTTTAAAATCGCTTTTAGAATAATTAGCGGTGGGGGGAGGGGGGAGGGATAGCATTGGGAGATATACCTAATGCTAGATGACGAGTTAGTGGGTGCAGCTCACCAGCATGGCACATGTATACATATGTAACTAACCTGCACAATGTGCACATGTACCCTAAAACTTAAAGTATAATAAAAAAAAAAGAAGAATAATTAGCTGTGGTTTGAACTTAAACAGTCTGCTTTTTTACTTGGATTCTTATTCACTTCCCTTCACTTTAATTACAGTGGTGCAAGTATTATCTCTCTCTCTCTCTCCACCCCCGTCTCTTTCTCTCTTTCTCTCTCTCTCTGTCTCTCTCCGTCTCTCTCCGTCTCTCCCCACCATGTGCTCAGAACTTTCCCGGAATTAGTTACGAAGTTAGAAATAAACAGAAGTTGACTTATCATATTACTGAATAGTCTCCCAATAGCATTTAAAAAGCACATTTAACAGGAGTCTCTCCTGAAACTCACCCAAGTAATTGGAAAGTAAATGAGTCTTAACAGAGATAAAAGAATACAATTCAATAAAAGTAGCAGAAAACCTCAAATGACTGACACAGAGAGATTTCCCACATATTACTTCCCAATATTGCATTACTTAAAATTTGCCCAAATTACCCGTCTGCACATTCCAGAGCTCACCAACCTGTAGATATAAGGAAAGACATATTATTGTAGTAACTATTTTTCTAGCTTGTGGTGCCTTTTAAAATCCTCTGAAATCTCCTTATAGCTGTTTTATACCCACACTTACTCCTATGTGATCTCATTTGGCCCATTTTATTTTGAACATTATGCATATAATGCTGATCCTGAAATCCGTGTCTCCCAGGAGAGTGAAAAACTATAAAGAAAGGCATTCCCTCCCTGCAGACAGGCACAGTGAGCTCCACAGAAGGCCAGCCTCATTCTTATGCCTTTGCGTCCTCATAGCTTAGCTCCCACATATCAGTGAGAACACACAATGTTTGGTTTTCCATTCCTGAGTTACTTCACTTAGAATAATAGTCTCCAATCTCATCCAGGGCACTGCAAATGCTGTTAATTCATTGCTTTTTATGGCTGCATAGTATTCCATCATATATATATCACAGTTTCTTTATCTACTTGTTGATTGATTTGGGTTGGTTCCACAATTTTGCAATTGTGAATGGTGCTGCTATAAACATGTGTGTGCAAACATCTTTTTCGAATAATGACTTCTTTTCCTCTGGGTAGATATCCAGTAGCAGGATTGCTGGATCAAATGGTAGTTCTACTTTTAGTTTTTTAAGGAATCTCCACACTGTTTTCCATAGCGACTGTATTAGTTTACATTCCCACCAGCAGTGTAGAAGTGTTCCCTGTTCATCGCACCCATGCCAAAGATTGGAGACTTGGGGAGAAGAGCGGGAGGGGGACGAGAGACAAAAAAACTACAAATATGGTGCAGTGTACACTGCTCAGGTGATGGGTGCACCAAAATCCCACTAATCACCACTGAAGAACTTACTCATGTAACCAAATACAACCTGTACCCCAATAACTTATGGAAAAATAAAAATAATAATAAAAAAAGAAGACCAGTGTCATTGCAAGCATGGGTTGTTTAAACCACGGAGTTCTCATCTTCTCCTCATGTGTCAGTTCCCTGTCTTGGACTCTTTACCTTCTCATTTTTTCTGACAGTGACATATTGTTTCACTAGGTACTTGAGACAGCTCTACAAAAGTCTAGGGCTATTTTATCCCCAAGGCTAACACTTTTCAGTCATCTGAACACTATCTTTTGGTTCCTTATTATTCCTAAGAAAAACACTCAATTACTAAGCCTTATTCTTCTCTGACTTTCCATCCAGAAAGAATACAAAACAAACAAACAAACAAACCATTGCTTTCTGACCCATTCTTTTAACAAATGATGCATTTAATATTGCAACAGAAGCTTAGGACCCTGTGTTGCTGCTTAAGTGACCATGCAGTGTCTGGCACTGTTATTTTGACTTCATTATATTTTTAATTTTCAGGTACACTGAGTTAGATAAATTGTAACTCCTGGTCCGTGACATTTGCAACATTGTTCCAGGTATAGCCCATTTTACTTATTTAGCTAACTATTTAATTAGGTATTGTTAATAGCGTAATGGACACCAGAAAATCCCACTGCCACTAACAAAAGCTAGGCCTTATACAATCAACAAATCCTCCTGTTTTACCCACTATTATCTTATAATCTATGTCTACGATGATCGCTTCTTCCCCTTTTATATAAATTTATTGCATATACTTGTGTTTTTTTTTTTTTTTTGAGACAGAGTCTCCCTCTGTCACCCAGCCTGGGGTGCAGTGGCACGATCTCTGCTCACTGCAACCTTTGCCTCCTGGGTTTAAGCTATTCTCCTGCCTCAGCCTCCTGAGTAGTTGGTACTACAGTGCATGCCACCATGCCCGGCTAATTTTTCTATTTTTGTAGACAGGGTTTTGCCATGTTGGCCAGGCTGGTCTCGAACTCCTGACCTCAAGTGATCCACCCACCTTGGCCTCCCAAAGTGCTGGGATTACAGGCATGAGCCATGGCGCCTGCCCTATTGCATATATTTGCTACTAATAAGTATTTTTTTTATTCTAGTTACCTTTAACTTTATAAAGAGATAGTATATCTTACCATGTGTAGTCTGTTGGCATTTTTTTCACATACTGTTAAGGTTTTTGTTTAACATATGCATTTCTGTAGTTAATTTTAACAGCTGTACAATATTTCAGTATGTGAATGTGCAAGAGTTTATGCAGCTGTTGTCCTATCGATGGACACTTTATTGGTTTCAGGATTTTGATAACGTGAGCTGTGCTGCTGTAAAGTTGCTTGGTCAAGACTTTGATAATATATATGCGGTAGCTTCAGTTGGGTTGCACCAGGAGTGAAAATGAGGGATCGTCATCTATGCGGGTGGTTGGTTTTTTGGTGGTGATGTCCGACTCTTTTCCAGAGTCATTGCATTAATCGATACTCGCACCAGCAAAGTATCAAAGATGCTTTGAAGCCAGGTGCAGCGGTTCATGCCTGTAGTCCCAGCTACTCAGAAGGCTGAGACAGGAAGATCGCTTGAATCCAGGAGTTTGAGACCAGCACGGGCAATAGTAATACCCCATCTCTAATATCTTAAAAATAAAAGATGCTGTAGAGCCATACACTTTCAAAGAAGTTAGCATGGTCAGACTTCTAAATTGCAGCTGAATTAGCATGGTCAGACTTTTATTAAATTGTTGCCAAAGTAAAAAATAACAGAGAGTGTGGGCTTATTTTATATTTTTTCCAATCACCAATGATGCTAAACATGTCTTTTAGAAACACGTTTCTTCCTCTGTCCATGCCTGTTTATAAGATTTTCTCTTTTTTTTTTTTGTTCTGTTTGTGCTCTTTTCTTTTCATGTGTAGGAATTAATTCCATATTCTTTATTCCAACACTTTGTCTGGTGTGTATTGTGAAGGCATTTTCTACCACATTGTAATTAGTCTCTTTTCTTTCTTTAAGATGTCTTTGGTAAACAATATGCCTTAATTTTAACATGACCAAGTGGATTGAAATTTTCTCTCTCTCTGTTTTTTGTTTGTTTGTTTGTTTTGTTTTGTTTTGTTTTTTTGATGGAGTCTTGCTCTGTCACCAGGCTGGAGTGCAGTGGCATGATCTCGGCTCACTACAACCTCCACCTCCCTGGTTCAAGCAATTCCCCTGCCTCAGCTTCCTGGATAGCTGGGATTACAGGCACACGCCACCATGCCCGGCTAATTTTTTTTTTTTTTTTTTTTTTTTTTTTTTTTTTGTATTTTTAGTAGAGACGGGGTTTCACCATGTTCGCCAGACTGGTCTCGAACTCCTGACCTCAGGCAATCCTCCCGCCTCGGCCTCCCAAAGTGCTGAGATTACAGATGTGAGCCACTGCGCCCGGCCTCTCTATCTTTTTTTAGTTAATGCATTTTGTGCTTTACTTAAGAAGTATCTCTCTAATACTAAATTCATCTTTGATCTGACACCTGATTTGTCTCTCAGGTAATGGTTTGAGGATTTCCTTCCTTGCTTCGCTGGTCCTCTTCAGGCTTTGCTGGAGGATAATTCATTATTGCCATCTTAAGCTTTGTCTTCGAAGGTGTCTTGTCTATGAGGGAACTTCAGGCTCCAGTGTCAACTCTGACTTTGGAAGCAAGTTCTGGGGCTTTCTCCCAGGGTAGCCCTTTGGTGCCCCCTGCTGGCAAGTGTAACCAGGACAGCCAGCATTAAATCAGCCAAACTACTAATACATTCTGGGAAGCAGAGAGAATGTGGTCTGATGAATTTTGGGTTTAGGCCTCCATAATTTCAGATAACGTTTATGCTATTCGTAAATTCTTATATCATACTTCTGAACACCTAGAGTAAAAATTACATATTGAATACAACAATTAAGAAGTTGTAAGAAAAAAAGAGGCCGCAAATTGAGGAGTGTCGAGTATTTCCAGTTCCAGGCAAATAATTTGTTGAGCGCCTATCAGAAATAGCCATCAGCCATAAGAAGTGGAGATGGACATGGACATGTAAACAAAGACTTGATAAGGCGTGGCGAACATAATAAAAATGAACAGCATGAAGAAAATACTCAGGAGGTGTCATCTGAGAATGTTAGAAAAGGCTGCCCATAGGACAATACAGTTACCTAAGGTGGGGACAATAATACATTTCTCAGTGCACCAGGGTTGGCAGGCCAAGAGGAGAGACGACCATTTCAGGGGAGAGAGCAACATCCACCACTGGCATGGGCATGGAGTGACAGCGTGAAGGCGCCAGCTGTTTAGTTCTTCCGTAGCGTGGCTGACACTGATGGGTCTGGGGAAAGATGAACTTTGAGGAGGGAAGACATTATAAAGCAACTCTTACTGCATGATAAACAACTGTCACATCAGCAGGGGGGATCCAGCCATGATTTTTAAAGAGGGCAACAATAATAGCATATCCTAATTTTAGAAAGACGTGATAAGAGCTAACACTTCCGGTGGTGTTCACCGATATTAACTCAGTGAATACTTATGACACCACAAAGTTGGTATGTTTTTCCCATTTTCCATTTGAGAACACTGAGCTACAGAGAACATATATAATATCCCCAAGTCCACACTTCTAAAAGCTTCCACAGGGTCGACTGGGGTTCATACCCAGGCAGTCTTTTGCAGGCTCTATGCTTTCAGCAGCTTTTATTTAATTGACCGTCTTGGGTACTTTTGCAATAGGCCAGGCACGCTTCCTGCACTGGGCAATGGGGGCTGGGTTCCTGAGGCAGGATTGTGCGTGTGTCTCGCCCTTGGAAACGCCCAACAGGGAGTTGGTCTTACGTAGCGTAGTGAAAGCTCAGGGCAGAGGTGGTTGAGAGAGACACATGCAAATCTTACAGCTCTGCAGAGCAACTAGGGAAAGGCCCCCAAGGAGCCACTCGTAGACACCGCCTCTTTGCATAGCTGCTTGACCCAAAGCAGAGTCTTCATCTCTGGGAAGGAAACTCAGGGTCTGTGGTGGGCCCCGGTCAAAAATAAATGACCCACACCTGGGCCAGAGCCCCTCACCCAAGTGGACACCAAGTCAGGACTGGCAAACGAGATTCTGGTTTTCACAGCATAGAGAGAAGACAGAGCCCCAGTACTGACTGGGCTCTGTAAGGTAGAGCAACAGTGTCCTCAATTCCTGCCACATGGACTTCTTTCCCATGCAAAGCCTCCTTGTCCAACTTGCCCTTCGATTCTATCACATGGAACAGATTATTTCAAGAACAGTGACGAATCCAGAAGGATGTAAAAAGAGGCTCCAGGGAAAAAAACTGAGGAAGAGACATGGGAAATCTAGGGATATGTGCTGTTTAGGAACAGGAGTTTCAAAGGAAGGGGTCTTGGGAATAAGTCAGTTCCATAAGCTCAACAAGGTAAGAGCAAAGCAGATGGGGAGATTTTTGTATCCTCAGCAAGAAGTAATTCCCTTGTCTGCTGAGTGGCTTGAAGACCACTGAGTGGGAAATCTTCTGGTCCAAAATGACAGAAAAGACCCGTGTTCTACTTTGAAAAAATGAACAACGATAATGAGGACAGGATATAACTGCTAATCTAGAATTCTGTTGTAGAAAGAGTATTCTCCAAAAATAAAAATGAAACAAAGACATGGCAATGCATCCCCTCAAAAAGAAATCTGAGGCCGGGCATGGTGGCTCACGCCTGTAATCCCAGCACTTTGGGAGGCCGAGGCGGGCAAATCACCTGAAGTCGGGAGTTCAAGACCAGCCTGGCCAACATGGAGAAACCCTTTCTCTACTAAAAAACACAAAATTAGCCGGACGTGGTGGCGCATGCCTGTAATCCCAGCTACTTGGGAGGCTGAGGCAGAAGAATCACTTGAACCCAGGAGGCGGAGGTTGCGGTGAGCCGAGATCGCACCATTGCACTCCAGCCTGGGCAAAAAGAGCGAAACTCCATCTCAAAAAAAAAAAAAAAAAAAAGGAAATCTGAGAAAATCTGTTTCCAATAGAACCATACTAATATATATATACAGTTGCATATATTTAACTTCTTCCAGCAGAAGGAATGATCCCAGATGGAAACATGGAAATATAAGAAAGAAGAAGCAATGTAAAGGATAAATAAATATTAAATCATAATGAATATTGAGTGTATAAAACAAAAATAATAAGGCTTGTAAAATTTAAATTATATAATTAGAATTAAAATGTACAAACTGACAAAGAAAAATAGAGTCTACAAATAGTCCTTGTACTTATGGAAATTTTGTGTATATATACATACAAAATTGTATCTATCTAAATTATCTATCTATCTATCTATCTATCTATCTATCTATCTATCTATCTATCTATGATGTCTTATAATCCCTTAATGTCTGAGTAGGCAGTTATGATAGTCATAACTTTAAAGTTTTTGCAGACAATGATAAAAAGTCTTTTGATTTTAAATAAACAATGAACATGTGCACCTAATCTTCTGAAAACAGAAAAGGGTTTAGATCTCTTTTCATTTCTTTCTTTGTGCATAATGCCAGGAAGCAGTAATTCACTGGGCGACATCCTACTAATATAAATGAGCTGACCATTTCTCCAATCACGCCACTGGTCTTCACTGGCTTCCTCTGTATCAGTAATTCAGGAGCATTTCTGCCTGTATGAATGCTCTCAACTGAATGCTTTTCCTAGCACCGTCCTCCTCCATATATGAAAAGCATTATGAACATTGAGATGCTGGAAATAAATTCCTCAGGGATAAATACCACCTGAACTCTCATCAATTCAGAATGGTAGCTACTAATTATTTGCAGGAGAGGAAAAAGAAAAGTGTTGAATACATATGGACACCTCCCCTTCAGTTTCTTTTTGAGCACAGAAGTTGTTACCATGTTGCTAACTACCTTAGCTATCTCAGGCAATGTCCAGAAAGACCAGGAAGAAACATTCCCATTAGGAATCGCCATTTAAACATCAAGTGAATCCCATTCACCATCTTTTTTTCTTTTCTGTTTTCTTATTATTTTAGAAAACAGGGTCTCACTTTGTTACCCAGCATGGAGTGCAGTGGTGCAATCACAGCTCACTGCAGCCTCAACCTCCCAGGCTCAGGCGATCTTACTTCAGCCTCTCTGGGACTAGGGGTGTGTGCCACTTGCCCTGATTATTTTATTTTATTTATTTATTTATTTATTTGGCAGAGACAAGGTCTTGTTATGTTGCCCAGGCTCCATTTACCATGTTTGATATTCAACTGTTGTCCATCTGTGTCCCAGTGAAACACAGATTGCTAAGAAAACAAAAGGCGAAGTGAACTCCTGGCCTTGGCACTCCATGGAACTCAAAGTCGACCTTTGATGTGCTACATAGTGCCTGAGGAGGGCTGGGCATTCAGAGTCCCAGAAACAATGAGGAGAAGAGACCAGAAGGGAGTCAGCTTTGCTCTCTGACTCTGAAACACCCAAAATTCAATCTCAGAGCGGAATATTCTCCAGTTGGTTCATGCTAGCCACTACAGAAAATCCTGGAAATAAAATATGTCTCTTTGTTTTGTTTTATTTGTGGTCCTAGGGGATGCTTTTTATTAGCTCCAGTGGATACAGAAGAGGAAACAGTTAGTTCATGCCTTAGTTACATTCAGAGGCCCTGCCCGCTTGGTCTTGGAGCAATGCAGGGCTTCCCCCAGGTTTCCAAACATGTTTATGTTCATCTCTTGGCTGTTGTCTCATCTTGTGCAGAGCGGCTGGCGAGTGTTGAAAGGTAGTTTCTGGGTCTTCTTCATGTTCTCTAAGGCAGCAGATAAAGCCTGTCAACTTTTTTTGCCCTTCTTTTCCCTGGCGTCAAATTTTATTCATATGTTCTCACATTTTACAAAATCTTAAAAAGCAAGCCATGTAGGAGCTGCAAAAAAAGTGGTTCCAAACAGATGCTTCCATAGATGTAATTCACAGTCCACCTTTGTCAGTTAATTTTGTAGGGAATATTTGGAAAGTGTTTAAAAGTTAGGAAAAAATTGTTTGAAACTGCTATACTAATCTCCCTAATTTAGGTCAGTGTGACTGTAGAGATGCAGGAACGCCTTGCAATATTGAAATCCACACTGGAAGTAATTAAGTTAGTGCTAAGTGAAAATGTGGCATGATTACCCCAGTCAGATATATGCTGTAGAGTGGACAGCTTTGTCCTAAAATTAGGTTATCTCACAGAGACGGTTCTGTGCTTTCCTTCCCGTTTTATTTAAATGGCCAGCGTGTGGCGCTGTCTCCTGTTAAAAAGCTGCTTTTGTAATTTCCAGCGGCTTCTCTCCAAATCGCTTGGTATTTATGTGGCTCAATGTCAATTTCAAAAGGCTTGAAAACATCAGAGAACAAAAACCCACTTAATACTTTCAACAGAATAGAGTTTCAGTAATTCTGAAGAGCACTTGTAGATTTATTTTCATGTTTAAACATGAAATTCAGAATAAACATGATCATTTATTTGAGCTTTGTTTAAAAAAACTGCTTCAAAAAAGTCTCATTTTACAAAATTTTAAGTACAAATTTTACTGAAAAGAACATTATGCTCTTCACATGAAAAATAGGCCACTCGAAAGTGAGAAATGTCATTTTTAATTAAAGTTATATCATTTAAGACTTCACTAAATTCATGCTTCTATTAATTTGTTTATGCTTCTCCAAATATTTTAGGGGCAAGCCAGTAACATTTTTGTCATACATTTTTGAAATACAATAGTTATTGTTTATATTTTTAATAGCCTCCCACATTTGACTTTAAGTATTTCTAACTATTTGTATGTTTTTCAATATCTACGGCTTGTACGGAGAATTTGACATGAGAGCCCTAAGTATTTATGGTTGCTTATAATAGTGTTGGTAATGTTAGAAGTAGGGTAAAATTAGCTAACTGCCTTGTCACTGGGGCAAGCGTTCATTTTACGGGCGTCAAGCAGCCTGTGAAACCACTGGGTTTCAAAAACCCACCCTCCTTGCTGGGTGCAGCATCTGTTCTGCTGTGTAAGACACCAGAATCAACAGAGGCCATCACATGTGCTAGAGAGACCGATTCATGGTGGGGCTCCGGGAGGGAAAGTGCACCCACAGCCGAACATCACCATTGCACATCACCATTCCCATCGCCAGACAATTGCTCTTGACACATGAAAATACGTCCTCTGACATACTTTATTTATTTATTTTTATTTTATTTTATTTTGAGACGGAGTCTCGATCTGTCACCAGGCTGGAGTGCAGTGGCGCGATCTCGGCTCACTGCAGTCTTCGCCTCCCAGGTTCAAGTGATTCCCCTGCCTCAGCCTCCCGAGGCTGGCTAATTTTTCTTTTTTTTTTAGTAGAGACGGGGTTTCACCACGTTGCCCAGGATCGTCTCGATCTCCTGACCTCGTGATCCGCCCGCCTCGGCCTCCCGAAGTGCTGGGATTACAGGCATGAGCCACCGCACCCGGCCTATTTTTTACTAATTATTTTAACTTTAGTAACGATTGCAGCCAGGAAAAATACCTTAGCAATTTCTTAGTCCAGACTCTCAGCACAAGTGTAAACAGGCAGCAAACAAATTTAACACTGATTGATGATGACATGACAATATGAAAGGGCAAAGAGACAAATTATTGAGAAGTGGTGGTAGTTAGAAATCATAGTATTTGACAATTTTTCGTATATTTTGCAAAGGAAGTTTAAATGTCATTAAAATAGTCTTTAGTGCACAAAAGTAATAGGAAACACAATTCTGAAACTTTGTAAAATCTTAGGAAACATCAAGATGACTAATAAAAGTGATCGCTTTAAACTGTATGGACTGCAACTAAATTTTTATAATCTCGTTGAAGGTGAAAAATGTGTTATATGCTAAAGTTATCCCCAAATAGGGTATCTAGCCTTGCAAGGTGATAAAAGAAAGCAGAAGACTGTAAATGGATGCGGTGGTCTTTTGTGTAAACTAGAGTGTATATTCAAAGACCCTATGCCAAAAGCAATCATTGTTATTTGTAAAATCATTAAATTGGCCATCGGGAACAGATGGGTACAGTACCATAAAGGTACACCTCATTCCTGCCTGAAACCATATTGCGAAAGATGAAAATCTGACATTTATCCATTCAGTTATTAATTGTATCCTGTGCTGTGCAGAAGAGAAATTAAGTCTGGAGGAGAAGGAAAGCGGTTAAAGAAGAGCTTTAGCGGAACTGAGCTAGCAAAGCCTGAGAACATTGCCTGAGAGGGTGGAAGTATGGGTCATGGCCAGTGAGCTTGCAGGGCACACTCCTTCATCTTGCCACTGTTGCTTTTCCTGAAGTGAACTGCAGTTTCTAAGGGAAGATGCACACTCTTGCATCATCAAATGGAGGCAACTAGAAAGGAAACTAGACCTCATCTGTGACTTTCTTCCCCTCACTTTACTTTCCCCTGAGAACCAAAACCAGGGACGATGTCGTTTTGTTCATGACTCCTAAATGCTGTCATATTTAAGTATTTGTTCTCCAAGTTTTGAGTGAGTTCTCATTTTGCTTTTCCAAGAGAGGCATGTCAGATAAAGATTATATTTGCTACCTTCAAACTTTATCCTTATCCAGTGTAGCTGAAAGCCCTTTAAAAAGGCAAGTTGCTTTCTGAAAAAAACAATGAGTCTAAGAGAGTCTTAGCTAAATGTACTGGAAAAATATGTCCATTTGATTGTTAAGAAATAGACTAGTATGTCCAATCCATATAAACACACATCTAAAAAAAGATACTTTAAACAACAGTAAATCATAGATGCTATTTAAATAAAATTTTTTGTACCATTTTTAATGGTTATGTACTTTTTTTTATTTGTTTGTTTTGTTTTTTGTTTTGAGACAGGGTCTGGCCCTGTCACTGAGGCTGGAACTCAACGGCATGATCTGGGTGCACTGCAGCCTCGACCTCCTGGGCTCAAGCAGTCCTCCCACCTAGGTTTCCTGAGTAGCTGGGACCACAGATGTTTACCACCTACCACCATTCCTGGCTAATTTTTGTACTTTTTGTAGAGATGGGGTTTCACCGTGTTGCCCGGGCTGGTCTCAAACTCCTGAGCTCAAGTGATCCTCCTGCCTTGGCCTCCCAAAGTGCTGGGATCATAGGCATGAGCCACCGAGTCGGGCTTCAGATGTACTTTTAAAATCAATTATCCCTCAAAGTGTAGTCCCTGGTTGAATTTGTATAGAATCACTTGGGGTATTATTTAAAAGCTGACATTTCAACCCTCCACCCCGGATATACTGACTCAGAATCTCTCAATTTAGGGCCCTGGAGTCTATGTTTAGTAAAGATTTCAGGTGTTTCTCATTCTCTGCAGAAAAACAGGAAAAAAAAAAAGAAAGAAAAGAAAAACCAATAATTAAAATACAAGGAAAATAATAATTTTTGGAAACTGTGAAAGAGGGCTTTATTTTGTGTGATTTCTCCAGAACCTGACCAAGACAACCACACATTTTGGTCTATCTTTGTTCATGTAGATATAAATAAGAGATAATTAAGGTGCTTTTCTACTCTCTTTGTTAAATGTGTGTTTGTCTATTTAAGTCAAACCAAAGTCAATGTGAAGTTAAATTCTTCTCTAGACAAATTCGGATCATGGGGGTCAAGGAGATTTGGAGAAAGACATACTAAGTACCGTCTTACTAGCTGCACCCGAGGGTCCTACCCCTTTATCCATCATTTCCTCAGCATACTCTTAGGGTTCTCCTCCCCTGTGGTTGGCTTTCATGAACTTAGATTGTGGCTTACCTGGTAATGTCAAAAGTCAGAGAACTTCCATGTTTCAGTTTGCAAGGTGAGCTGCATAATAAGTTGGGCATACATGGGCAGAATGAAAACAAAACAAAACAAAAAAACACCGAAATTTGACTGTTATTCTGACTTTACTAGAATGCTTTCCTTTTAAAAGTTACTTTAAGCTGCAATTAAAGTAAATAATATGAGAAAGGCCTGCGTAATCACAGAGGATGTCTGTGATTATTCTAAAGGAAGAAAGCAATATAACTGCAAATATTATTTTAACATATTTATAATAAGGTGGCTCTATATGTTTAAAACCAAGTTTTCTGTTAAACTGACTGTTCTCCTTTGTGGTTTATTACAAAACGCATTTATTCATAGAAATGAATATGCTATGGAACCCATATAAGTAGCACACACACTGCTTTTTAAAAAAAAAAAAAAACGGCAACCCCTGTGAACATCCAAAGGCTGTTTTTAAAAGCTCAGCATGCTTGTCCTTGTGATTTCACTTTCTGGAATATGCATTTCATGATATGACATGCAAAATTATAAATCAAAGTTACCTAAGAAAATGTCGGTGTACATAATATCTTTGCCTTCACCAAGACCACATATTTGCTTAACTTTAAAATTCCAAACAGGCCAGGCACGGTGGCCCACGCCTGTAATCCCAGCACTTTGGGAGGCTGAGGCAGGCAGATCACGAGGTCAGGAGATCGAGACCATCCTGGCTAACACGGTGAAACCCCGTCTCCACTAAAAATACAAAAAATTAGTTGGGCGTGGTGGCGGGCGCCTGTAGTCCCAGCAACTCGGGAGGCTGAGGCAGGAGAATGGCGTGAACCCGGGAGGCGGAGGTTGCAGTGAGCCGAGATTGCACCACTGCACTCCAGTCTGGGTGACAGTGAGACTCCGTCTCAAAACAAAACAAAACAACTCCAAACAAACACTAGGAAAGGATCCCCTACAGCTTTTGGAAATGTTTTTAGTAATTCACAAATGAAAGTGACAACATTTAGAAGACAATCTCGGTATTCAGACATCATTATTTATTGACACTTGGCTTTATACACATGCCTGCTTGGGGTCATTATAGTTAGCTTCTTTACTCTTCGTTAATATTATGTTTAACATACTTAAAAAATATTTCCATTTGCAATTCTGAGCAATTTTAAAACAAATCATTGAAGTCGTGTAAGCTTATGCCAAAATTACTAGGTTTCCAGCCCAAGTAAAGAGTGGCCCCAACCTTTTTGGCACCAGGGACTGGTTTCATGGAAGACAATTTTTCCATGGACCTGGGGGTAGCAAGTGATGGCTTGGGGATGAAACTGCTCCATCTCAGATCGACATTAGATTCTCATAAGGAGTGCGCTACCTAGACATCTCGCATGCATAGTTCACTATAGGACTGAAGCTCCTATCAGAATCTAATGCTGCCACTGATTTCTCACCTGAGGCACAGCTCAGGCAGTAATGTTCCCTGGCCTGCCGCGGCCCAGTTCCTAACAGGCCACTGTCATTGTGAAGAGTTTCAGGATGGTGATGGCAGAACAGGCCTTCTAAGAGTGCGACTGTACCATTGTACAGCTTGCATGTCCATGAAACTGGCTTTGCCTATAGAACCTTTTGAACAAGATGACCCTGATTTTCTAATTCGCTGAGAAACACACCAAGGCCAATTAATTTGACTGGCCTTTCTGATTTAAGCTATGTGAAGAAATACACATGTAAGATGATGTATTTGAAAAGCACTCATAATAGGATAGCTGCAGATGGCTGTCATTGCAATTTGTTAACAGGCAGATCTCAAAATTGCAGAGTGGAACCTGTGTATAAGAATAGGGAAAAGGGTGGGAAATTGCAAAACAACTATATAGGCTTTGTGCAAAGAGGATTCCAGCCTTCTGATGTAGCTTTGAGTAGAGCGAGTGCATCTAGATACCCTGACTGTGCTTAGCTGGGTGCTTATAGAGATCCCGTTTTCGAAGGTGAAAGTGCAATTGGGTAGGAGAGGGTGGAGATGTCAGAGCAAAGGAACAGCAGTCAGTTGTTGTCCATTCGAATAGGAGTGTGCCTGGGTCTTTTTTCTCTGGGCTCTCCTACCTGCAAGGGGACTGTCACTTCCTGATGGGGCTCAGGGGAGTGTAGAGCTTTGTTACAAGTTGTGTCTTATCAATGCCTCCTGTCTTTCTGTGGCAGGATCCTGGCTGGGGAGGGAGAATTTGTGTGCTGAGAGAACACTAGACAAAAACGACAGGAGAGGACGGAGCAGCCATTCCAAAGCTAAAAAGCCTGAGTCAAGAGGCTCGGGCAAATCGTGGGGAAAGAAAGAGATTAAGACGCAAGTCTATTTAGAATAAATCACTCACTTTGGGGCGTGCAAGGCTTACTAGAAAAACAGACACCTGAGGAAACAAGGCGTGTGGACCTAAAGGTGGTTAGCTATGCACTGAGACTGTCTCCAGGGAAAACAGTGCGGGAGGGAGGGAGGGAGGGATGCGGGAAGGACGGAAGAAATGCAAGAGGGAGAGAAGGAGGAATTTGTCTCCGGGACACTGTAGGGCAAATGTCCACGCTCCCCTCCCCGTCTGTCTTACTGCCATTTGTTTTCTTCACTTCTTTCCACTACCTGGGCAAAGGAAATTCGAATATGTGAAAGCGTGGGAAAAGCCTGGACCCAGGGGAGGTCGGGGAGAAAGCAAGCCACTTAGGGGCGCGGGGTCAATCCCCAGGCAGGTGGGACGCCCCTGGGGGTCCTGAGGCCTCTTCCCTCCTGCTGAAGGGAGCACCCCTCCTGGCAGGCCTGGACCTGCTCACACCGACGTTTACCTGGACGGAGGGGGAAGGTGGGAGGGGCAGGAAGCGGTTGGTGCGAACGGGAGAGGCGCCTGCGTGGGAGCTGGGCCCCTCGAGACCTGCGCGGCGTGGAAAGCCGCTCGGCGTCGCCCTCCCCCGGAGCGCCCGGGCTCGCAGCTGACGAGACCGGCCCATGGGCCCTGCGCCCGGCCCCCCTGTCACTCACACGCCTTCCAGCCAATGGTGCGGCCTCCTGTCCCCCTCACCCCACCCCTCGAGGGCGAGCTGGGAGGGAGGTCGGCGAGGAGGGTCCGGCCGGAGTTGAAGGATTGAACTTTCCGGCTCAGTCGCGGCGTCTGCCTGGTCCTCAGCAGTGCAGCCCCGGCGCGGAGCAGGGAGCCTCGGCCCGCGCCCGGCGCCCTCGCCCTCGCCCTCGACCCGCAGCCATGGTGCCCGGGGTGCCCGGCGCGGTCCTGACCCTCTGCCTCTGGCTGGCGGCCTCCAGCGGCTGCCTGGCGGCCGGCCCCGGCGCGGCTGCTGCGCGGCGGCTGGACGAGTCGCTGTCTGCCGGGAGCGTCCAGCGCGCTCGCTGCGCCTCCAGGTGCCTGAGCCTGCAGATCACTCGCATCTCCGCCTTCTTCCAGCACTTCCAGGTACGGGGAGGCCCCCGCCCGGGTTCTTTCTGGGGCTGCGGCCGCGGCGTGGGCGCACCGGGGCGCGCGCCTCCCAGCCTGGGCTCGCAAAGTTCTCGGCCAGCGCCGCCGGCTGATCCTGGCTTCCCCTGGGCGTGGATCTTACAGTCGGGGTGCTGGAACTCTCCTTTCCAGCCTCTTCCCGGCTCCTGAAAAGAAAAAGAAGCCCGAGACATCTTGCCCCAACTCCCTCCTTCCCAGCAGGAAACCAAAGGCGATTTCCCTGGGGAGGGAGAGTCGTGGATGCTGGGAGTGGGTGTGTGGATGTGGCGGTTTCCCGGGAATTGGAGTGCGCGAGACTCCGGGCGGGCGGCGACTCCCGCAAAGTCCCAGGCGCTCCGGGGCACTGGGAGGGAGTCTGGGAGGCGCGTCCGGCTGCGCCTGGGGACCTCACCTCGAGCCCCAGCCCCGCAGGTGCCCGCGGGCCGACACTTTGTCTCTTTTGAAAGATGGTTTTCACTCTCTGAGGGCTCAGAGCTCGCTGCCCACCCTTGGAGCCCCAGCCAGGGTACTTGTGCCAAGTCGTGTTCCAGGGTGCGTGTATGCGCGTGTTGGGGGTGCGAGTGGCTGTGCGCGCCTCAATTCGGAACCCCAAAGATTCAAGGTCTTGCCCTGGACTAGCGTAGAGCGTCAGGGAAGAAGTGCCGGGGACAGGGGATTTGGCGGGGCCGTATTCGGATACTCCTCAACGAGTCCCGGGGGAACCGTCCCCCAAACCCCGAACGTAGGTTCTTTCAGCCTGAGGGTGGGGAGTATGTGTGTGTGCGCGCGCGCTTGTGTGGGAGGCTCCGGGAGCCGCGCGCTTGGCTCCAGCGGGTTGCCGGGACTCTGCCCTGTGGCGCGGACCCCCGCGGGACTTGCGCGAGGCTCCGGGTGCGGGTGGGCGCACGAGAGCAGGTTCCGGACTCAGCGCGAGCGAGTGCAGCTGCTGCCTGTACCAGCCCTGTCGAGCGTGCGAGCTCTGAAATCCTCCGCTTATTTTTCTCTTCTCTCATCCTTCTCTCCTTCTTCTTCTCGCCTCTATCCCTAGGTGCCCACCTGTTCCAAGTTCCCAATTTCTCGCTTCAGGGAAACTCTGGAGGGACCAAAAGGAGAAATGGGGGCTGGGGGGAGGGGTTCCCCTGGCTGGGCGGGAACTGGAAGCCAAACCCTTGGCTCTTAAACTGGGCGCCCCTCCTGCCAGAGCTGGGTCAAGGGGTGGGGGGGGGGGTCCCCCTAGAGGCCCTGGGAATTAAGCTGCCAGAGGAGGCCATATTAATAAGGGTGGAATGTGGAAGTGATTCCCCTTACCCTCGGGGATGATCTTGAACCGGCTGGTGAAGCTGGCGCGTTCGCGAGTGTGCAGTTGAGTTTGTTCTAAGTCGTAGAAGCAGCGTCTCGTGGGTGTCAGAGAAATGGGCACGCTCTGTAGTCCTTCTGCGTCTTCAGGGAATGGAAGACCCAGTGCTCACCTCCTGTGGTGAAATTACCCAGACATCCTGGACAGAGCCAGGAGAGGGCCGATCCCCAGGCACCTGGTTTCCAGCCCTCCGAGTCCTACCCTGAAAGTCACTCTCCTAAGATGCCACACTATTGTTTGAAACAACAGAAAACAAAACAAAACGGAGCAGCCTATTCCCAGGGAGAAAGAGTACCTTTTTTTTTTCTTTTTCTTGAATTGTCAGTGCTGTAATTTATTTGTTTTACAGTTTCAGTGGCTAAAGCACCAGCTTAGATGAAGCCAGTTCCCGTGAAAGGCTTTTCTTGTGGTCTCCTTGGCATGATTTCTCTTTGGAAGAAAAACTGCTGACAGAATGCACATTGCTAGACAATCCTGATTACATTTTAATTAGCTGGGGGTGAAATAAGCTGCAAATTACTCAGTTAAGACTTAATAAGTGCTGTGTTTGTAATCAATTGCAAAGCCATTCTGGGAGCCTTAACCCTAACCTGGTAATGCCTATCTGATTTATCTAAATTGCAGGGATTAAGTGTTTTTAAGATCTGAAAAGCCAGCAACACATTCTCCTTATAAAACCCCAAGCTTCCCTGTTCCCCACCGCTTGCCTTCCTTTTTTTTTTTTTTTTTTTTTTTTTTTAATAATTAGAAGGAAGATGGGCCGGGCGCAGTGGCTCATGCCTCTAATCCCTGCACTTTGGGAGGCCAAGGCGGGCAGATCATTTGAGGTCAGGAGTTTGAGACCAGCCTGGCCAACTTGAAATCCCGTCTCTACAAAAAATACAAAAATTAGCCTGGTGTAGTGGTGCATGCTGTAGTCCCAGCTACTCAGGAGGCTGAGGGAGGAGAATCCTTGAACCCGGGAGGCAGCGGTTGCAGTGAGCCGAGATCACACCACTGCACTCCAGCCTGGGTGACAGAGCAAGACTGTCTCAAAAAAAAAAAAAAAAAAAAAAAAAAAGGAAGGAAGGTGGAGCAATCAGTCTGCAGACAACTCATGACTGGGCTACGGGAAGTCTTAAGAAGATTGCTTTCCTACAGGGTCACCCCCGCCCCCAACTCCTGCAAATGAGCCCACCCATAAAGCTGTCTCTGGAGCAGGTGCCTGTTTCCATCTTCTCTTGCACGGTTTCAGGCCATGTTTAAGGATGGGAGAAGCTTGCCTGGCCTCCAGCCTGGATGCCCGCCAGGTATGTGGACTCTCAATTATGAAAGCTGTCAGGCCTTGCCTCAGGAGAGCGCAACCTATGCACTCATGGTGTAGGCAGTGACACAGATTCCCTGGGGCAGTGACCTGCTGTCGTCGGCCTGCAGAGGAAGCTGTCGTCTCATAGTCTGTGCCCCAGTTGTCCCCACTGTCCTCCACTGCCCAGCCCTTCAGCAACAAGACAGAAAAGCAGTGGGTAGATGTGCACACCTGACACCTCCAGGTCTGCAGGCTGTTTCTGCCCCACCTGCACAAAGTGGCTGTCAACCACGCCCAAAAACACAAGGGACTCAGTACTGAGGCATGGGGGTGGGAATGCAGACCAGGGATACCTGAGTAATCCAACACTGCTCTGACCTGGAAAGGAAGAAAGGAAGATGGGATGGAAACCCCATCATTTCACTACTGAATGCTGCCCTTCATTCACGAAAAGAAACAGTGCATGTTAGCACCTCCTGAAATATTAGTATCTGGCTCCAGGATGCTTTGTCCAGGTCATTTGGCATGGAGCTATTTCAGGCTCACAAGTAGAATACATATGTGCGGTTAGCAGAGTGAAGAGGAGCTGTGGGTCTGTGAGGTATGGAACAGGGAAGTGGGCTTTGGGGCTGTGCAGACCTGCTCTACACCCAGGCTCTGTAGCGTCGCGAATGGGTAGCTTGGGTGCATCACATCACCTTCCTGAATGTTAACCCTTCATATGCCCAGTGGGGGAGAGAAGCACCTGCCCTGCAAGATGCAATCAGGATGCAAAACATGTTGGGGTGATGCAGGTGATGGTAATACAGCAGCTAGCACTACCCGGAAGATTACTAAGGAGCAGCCACTCTTCTGGGTATTTTACAAGTACTACTCTTTTAATCCCCACAACACTCCTAGGAGGCAGCTACTAAATTAGGGAAGAACTCAGAGGTCTTGAAAAGTTGGCTCATCACACAGTTCATTGACGATTTAGCCGGGTTAATAGTGAGGATGGCTTCTAGCTTTTGGTTTTGTTTCTATTTTTAAGATTTTGTTGGTTAGCTGGATAATTTACTTCAGGACTGACTACCTAATTTTCAGGCCCTGGTGCAAAATAAAAACGTGGGGCCTCTTAGCAAGAAAAAAAGTGTTTGTTAAAGGAAATAAGATATAAAACGTTTTCCTTTCTTCTGCCACTTGCTTCTGTTAACTTGTCATGGTGTTTTAAATTTCCTATCCATGTTGTTCTCAGTGAAGAAAATTTTAAAGTTTAATTTTAGCATGACGCTAACTCTTCTTCTTTATATTGTGCAATGCCAGCTTTACATGTAAATATCAGAGCACTTAATTCCTGGAGGGAGCCCTGAAATGGCCAGAGGGTCCAACAGGCCAGACTCGGGAATGGTGGAAGGAGGAAGAGAAGGCTCCCCCAAGGCTTTGGGGTGTGCCCAGGGAACACTCATGTCTCACAGGCACCTAGGGCCTTGGGCTCAGACACATGTGCTCAGGCATGATGCTGGCCAGGTCCCCTCTTTTGCCTGCTGCTGCACCCGGGGATTGTACTCTTGCCTGGCACAGGTCCTCTGGAAATTGAGCCAGGTGCCTCCCCTTCATAGGCCAGCTGCTCCTGCCCCCAGCAGATGGGCAGCTCCCAGGTTTATTGCATCCTCCTCAGTGGATGTGCCATTCCAGTGTCTCAGAATCGTGCTGGCCACCCACCAAACACACCATCATGCTACTAGCATGGAATGGGGACAGACACAACCATACCATGGGACACTGTATGACATGCATATGGCCAACCCTGATCTTCCCTACACCCATGCCCGGTCCCTGCAGGGACCATAGTGGGCAGGGATCATGTGATGGGAGGTGGGGAGCAGAAGGCCAGTGGGGCCTGAGGTGCCAGGTGATGGGGGAATGGGCGGTGAGAACCTGTCCTGGAGAGGTGAGGGTGCGGTGGGAGTCAGGATTGGTTCTGAGCTGACATGTCCACTCTCCAGTGAGTACTGCAGTGTGCTATTGACTCTTACATACAAAACTCAAACTCAAAGAATTTCAGCATGGCCATTGCAGAGCATACCCCAAGCCTAGGTCCTCTTGTGAGCATATAGTGGACTGCACTGTTCATACGTCTGTGAAACTGACCTAATTTGCTTTGTTTGTATGTCAAAGATTCAGCCATCTGGGAAAGTTTAAACCTACTTTGGAGTGGCGGTTCCTCATAGGGTCACCTGTAATGTTAAAGGGTACGATGCTGACATATGCTCACTTAGGGAGAAACATCTCTCCTCTTATGTTCTCAACTTCTCTAGAAGATTAAAGAAGAAGGAAAGGAGGGAGGTGGTGCCTGAGATAAGCCCTGTCTCTTTATAGGTGACTCTTGATGCATTTGAGAGTGACTTCATGCCCTATGCTTCATCTTGGACACTCCTGCTCCTCTGACCTCCTCTGGGTCTGCCCATGATGGCACAGGTGTAGCTGAGTCTTAAGCTCTAAACATAATCAGTTCCCTAAGCATGGGCAGGCTTGGGACCTGCCATTGGCAATCTCAGCATTGGCAGGCCTGGGACCTGCTCTTTGTCTGCCTGTGTTTTCTCAATGGAGGCTCAAAACAGTAGGGTTTGAGGAAAAGTAGTAGTCCGTGGGCAAGTGAGGCGGGATGTGTGTGTATGTGTGTCTGTGTCTTTGCCAGATTTCAGAATGCCCAGGGAGAAAGTGGATGGGATCCTGCTGGAAGACTAATAGCAGGTTGCTGGCAGCTTGGCCCTAGGGTTCCAGAATTGTACTGATGTTAAGAGATTCTTCCTTAATGGGACGTTATTCGCCCTATAAAGTACCACCGATAGGCTCCCTTTGGTAGCTGATTAGAGATCAGAGGCTCTTCCTAGCAGTAATTGGAAGCTGTTTGTTTTGGCAAAAAGGAGAATGAAGCTGGTGATGAGATCATTCCACTTAGAGGGCCAGCCTCTCCTCCAAGGCAAAGTAAACAAACAATTAGCGCATCAAAACCCCAGCAGCTACAAATCAGCCCCAGGCTCACAGATTTCAGAGGAATGGATTTTGTGGTGCTCATACCCAGCCTACGATGTGTCCCTTTGCTCTGTGCTGAGTTTTCAGTTATATTGCAGGATGGCCAGGCATTTAGAGAGCCGCTGGGAGAACCACGACTCGATGCAGTTTGGTCTTGGTGTTTCCTGGTCTGAGTTATTGGCTCTCTGGCTGCGTTTCTAACACGTTCTGAATTTGACCCAAAAGAAACCTTATACTATTCATTGCAATTTTTTGTGTTTTTAATATGGTATTTCTCTTTGAACATGATTTAAAACTCTACCTTATTGTGACTGTAATAGAACATTTAAAAAACAATAGAAAATACACTTACTAACTTGTTTATTTCTTTATGCAGTATATCAAATATATATATCTGTATATATATATATCTGTATATATATATCTGTATATATATATATCTGTATATATATATCTGTATATATATATATCTGTATATATATATCTGTATATATATATATCTGTATATATATCTGTATATATATATCTGTATATATATATATCTGTATATATATATCTGTATATATATATCTGTATATATGTATATCTGTATATATATATCTGTATATATATATCTGTATATATATATATATCTGTATATAATATTATTTATCCACATGTGTGTATTTGGACACCTAAATTAAAAAGGTAATATTGTTGGTGCAAGTGTTCCCACTTTTAAAAATGTAATCATAAATTTGGAGGTTATCATATTTATTCAAAATAAATTCACCACCTTTCATGTTCTCACCTACCAGGTATGTTTCAGTGAATGAGTATAAAATGTTGGGGTTAAGGTAGAGAGACTTATGAAAGTGTTAGGGGGTACTGCTTGTATTAAGTCAGAAATGGAGAAGTTCCAATGGATTACTTGGTATTGCTGTCCAGAAACCTGACTCTCATACCATTTTGGGGGGAAGAGAGGTTTGGGACAGCAATTAATGAAGCATATCCATATTATCAAAAGGCATTTTTATTTATGAAATAGGAATAGAAATAACTGAAAATGTCTCTTTGCAGTGCCTTGTGTAAAGTATAGAATAACATAATTTCTGGGCATCATCTAAGCTCACAGAGCCTTAGGGTTCTGAAGTCAGCTACCTTTCAACTTTTCCATTTAACTTACCCTGGCCTCCATATTTTGAAAGCAGGTTGTCTATCAACATATGGCGTTTATTAAGTATGACCTAGTTTTTCCTCTTTACATTAATCAAAGATAGCCATAACTCTTTCAAGCTTTAGATTAGCATTAGGTTGCCCCCATGACCAGAGCTGATTGATAAAATGAATAGTTATGACATTTTAGTTCTCTTTGCACCATCATCTTAGGAAAATGTGTCATTTTGGGGAGTTTTCTGAAATATTTTAAAAGAGGTGATATACACCAATTCCTTCTCCAGTCGATGCAGTTGTTGACCTCTTGCCTCTTACCCCACCATCCCCCGGCTCCTGTATCAGCTGCTAATAGCTTACAGCTGCTTCCTTTTAAGGGAATAACCTTTGGCCGATGGGCACCATCTTGCTTGCAAGGTCATGCATCCTCCTCCCTTGATGTGCGCAGACCATGGCGATTGGCTCTCTGCTCAGGGGATATAGGAGGTCAGCCCCCTGCTGGAATCAGCTCTGTAATGCAATTCATGCCCAAAAGCATCGCATGGGATCAGGCTTATGCAGGGCTCTGGCTGAGAGCCCATCCCCACACAGGTCTTATCTCTGCCTTCTCCTGCTTCCTCTCTTCCCTCTTCTACTGAGAGCTTTTCTCTCCGCCCCAATATTACCTCATGTCCGAGAAACCCCATTTCAACCTCTGCTTCTAGGAAACCCAGTCTAAGACACCTCCCTTCAGAAACACGTGGTTCCATTCAACACTTTTGTTTTTTCTGATCAGACAACTCGGTTCTTATAGAAATGACCTGTTCAAGCTAGTAGGTAGAATAAGTAAAAATATAAGTTAGCTTTTACACTCTCAGCTAAGACTTCATTTACTATCCTTCAAAAAATTGAGAGGGTATACAAAGTTTAAACATCATTTTAAATAAAGAAACAGATTCAGAAGATTTTCTGTTACTTGAATTTAGTTTCTAGCTCCTGATGACTTCAGTAAAAAGATTTCAATTCTTGGACCTAGTAGGTAAGCACATCATGCTCCCTCATTGTTGAGAATTCAATGAAATGTGAAAATATGCACTGTTCAGGCAAGCTTGAAATAGCTGTAGGGTAAGTGGGCAGTAGCTGGAGTGAGAGGACATCATTAACGACAGTACTACATGGCAGGTCTAGGAAGAAGGCAAGGGAGCCCCAATAGTTCAGGTATCAGCCAACATTGGATTTACTCAGCATGCAACTAGTGGAGCTACACCCCAAAAAAGCTACATCCTCCAGGACCTGCAATCCTTTGTATATTTTAAAAATGTAATTTGTGTATGGTTTCAAAGAGGTGAGGGGAGACATTTTCCCTGATGGTAAAGAGGGTTGGATAAAAATAGTTATACTTATTAGCCAATATGTAAAAAATGCCCAGAAAGGAACAAATGTAGCATTTGTAGATTGTTTTCATGTAAATCACTGTCTGCATAGGTGCTGAATCTGTTTCTTTCTTTAAAAAGTACTGATTTATTTGCATTTCCCTGATCACTAGTGATGTTGAGCATGTTTTTCATACGTTTGTTGGCCAGTTGTATATCTTCTTTTGAGAATTGTTTATTTATGTCCTTAGCCTACTTTTTGATGGGATTGCTTGTTTTTTCTTCTTGCTGATTTGTTTGAGTTCCTTGTAGATTCTGGATATTAGTTATTTGTCAGATGTATAGGTTGTGAAGATTTTCTCCCACTTTGTGGGTTGTCTGTTTACTCTGCTGACTGTTCTTTTTGCCGCGCAAAAGCTCTTCAGTTTAATTAAGTCCCACCTATTTATCTTTGTTTTTGTTGTGTTTGGTTTTGGGTATTTGGTCATGAAATCTTTGCCTAAGCCAGTGTCTCAAAGGGTTATTCCAATGTTATCTTCTAGAATTTTTATAGTTTCAGGTCTTAGATTTAAGTCCTTGATCCATCTTGAGTTGATTTTTATATAAATGAGAGACGAGGATCCAGTTTCATTCTCCTACATGTGGCTTGCCAATTATCCCAGCACCGTTTGTTGAATAGGGTGTCCTTTCCACACTTTATGTTTTTGCTTGCTTTGTCGAACCACGATGTGGTACCACCTTACTCCCGCAAGAATGGCCATTATCAAAAAATCAAAAAATAATAGATGTTGACATGGATGCAGTGAAAAGGGAACACTTCTACACCACTGGTGGGAATGTAAACTAGTAAAACAGTGTGGAGGTTCCTTAAAGAACTAAAAGTAGAACTACCATTTGATCCAGCAATCCCACTACTGGATATCTACCCAGAGAAAAATAAGTCATTATATGAAAAAAGATACTTGCACACGCAATTGCAAAAATGTGGAACCAGCCCAAATTCCCATCAATCAATGAGTGGATAAAGAAACTGTGGTGTGTATGTGTGTGTGTGTGTGTGTGTGTGTGTGTGTACACACATAATGGAGTACCACTCAGACATAAAAAGGAATGAACTGATGGTATTCGCAGCAACCTGGATGGGATTGGAGACCATTATTGTAAGTGAAGTAACTCAGGAATGGAAAACCAAACATTGTATGTTCTCACTTGTAAGTGGGAACTAAGCTATGAGGATGCAAAGTCCTAAGAGTGATACAATGGACTTTGGGGACTCCGGGGGAAAGGGTGGGAAGGGGGTGAGTGATAAAAGACTACACACTGGGTTCAGTGTATACTGCTTGGGTGATGGGTGCACCAAAATCTCACAAGTCACCACTAAAGAACTTACTTGTGTAACCAAATACCACCTGCTCCCCAAAAACCTATAGAAATGTATTTTTTTAAAAAGTACTGATTTAATAAGTTGCATTTATTTCAGCTAATATCAGTGGATTGTTACAATTCCAAAGATGAGCTAAAACCTCTGTACATGAGGAACTTAGGGTCTATTCTAGGCTAAGACTTGTTTGTAAACAGACAAGTTCAGCCCAATAGATGGAGTTTTTTGTATGAGATCTCAGAGGAGGGAGGGTGTTTATCTTTTTAGGGAAAGTCTCATAACTGCTAGCTGAGTTATTCCAGCTTGGAACAGCATGTGTATAAATACAGAGTCTTGCAACAGTGTGGTCTGTTGTTGGGGACCATAACCTAAATGGCCATGATATAGCATCAGCCTCCCAGCTAGCAGCCAGACTTTGGGAACTTGTTAGAGAAGGAATAAATAGCCACAAAGCTCAAGTGCTTTGTTCTGCAAGGCAGGTTAAGAGCATGCCCATTGTAACATGATGCCACATTCAAGCCACAACACTTAGGGATGTGTGTCTTGCTGGTTCTTGCTAATCTGGTTGAATTTCAACTCTTAATGCTTTTCAGTTGATCTCTATGGAGATCCTTGGCCACACCTCTAAGAAAGAGCCTAAGAAAGAAGAAGGGAGGAAAAGGAGGCTATCTCTTGGCTTGCGGTTGGACACAGCTTCTGAATTAGTGGAAATTAGAAGCTCTCCGGAATTCCTGAGCCACAGGACAGAAGGCATTTAGCATTGCATTTTACAGTGTTTTGGAGCTGACACAGTTGTTTCACATAAAATATCTATTTGACCATCACAACTACTCTGTGAGGTCAGGAATGTTATTTTTCTTTACAGATAAGAAAACTGAAGGCCTGAAAATGAGATAACCAAGGATCCATAGCAGAAACTCAAGCCCTCATTGTCACATTCCTAGATATTTGTACTGAATGACTCCACTTCTTAGTATGTTAACAGCGAGAGAAGACAGAGGGGAAACAGCACCTATATTATGATCCAGAGACACTCAGTTGTAAGGGAACTAGGACGGGATTTCTCACTGGCTTCTGGAGGCAGTTTTGCACCACAGTTGCACAGATGAGGACAATTGAAAGGTTGCTGGTGTGATAGAAAATGGCTTGAAAAATATCAGTCCATCAACACCATCCCGACTGGTGGTGCACGTACCCACCCAATTCATTCTTCTAACCAATAAGAATCTGCAAAACACAACCGTCTTTCAGGTATCTTAGATTGTGAGGCCCCAGCATATGTGAGATGTGCTTCTTGCCTCCAAAACAATTACTTTCTTTACAAATTTTTTGTTTGTTGTTTACACAAGGTCTCCCTCTGTCACCTAGACTAGAGTGTAGTGCCATGATCATATCTCACTGTAGCTTTGCACTCCTAGGCTCAAGAAATCCTCCCTCAACCTCCTGAGTAACTGGGACTACAGGTGTGTTACACCCCCGTACCTGGCTACTTTTTTTTTAAGTTTTTTGTTTTTGTTTTTGTTTTTCCCCAGAGATGGGGTCTTGCTATGTTGATCAGGCTAGTTTCAAACTCCTGGCCTCCAGTGATTCTGTTGCATCAGCCTCCCAAAGTACTGAGATCACAGGTGTGAGCCACCATACCTGGCCAAGAGAATTATTTTCTACTGGAGAGAAGGACAAACATTTAATAAAATTGCTGCAAGTTGTTGACGTGAAGAAAGAAACTATTAAAACCATGAATCGTCTTTTAAATCCTTACATATAGTAATTTAACTCATGATCATGGATATTGATATTTTTCAGATGAAGAATGTCTTTTTTTGTTTTTGTCAATTGCTTTTTTTTAGGCCTATCCAATTTTCCATGCATGTAATGAAATAGCAGAGTTTTATCGAGATTCTTGGGGAAGCGTTCCAAGCAGCTGGAGTCCTCGACATCACAGGGGATGTTTGCTGCCTGCAACAAAAGTTGCGGTGTCCTCATTCTTGGCTGTGTTGCTGTTGTGTATGTTGGTGGGACATGTGTGGAGTCATTGTGCATGGTAATTGTAGCTTGCATGTATGTGACAGCCATTTCCACGAGCTCAGTGTGCCTGACATGCTTGCTTCATTGCCTTTTGTTTGGGTTTTGGTTATGTGTGTGTGTGTTTACACTTTATAATTCTTTCCGGCATCTCTGCAAAATATAAAAGTTAGGCAATGAGGAAATCTTTCAAAAAAAGAATTTTGAAAATTCTCAAGGCTGCACATGAGAACAAGATGGTAAAGATGTGAAGTTTTGGGGTTCTTTAATCCCCGAAGCTTTAAAACCTCTCCTCAGGGGAGTCTGAGAAACAATACCCATCAAAAGGCTTGAAAAGAATCCGGCAACTAATCAAGGCTCTTAATTCACATTCTGTTTACCCTTTTGTTTTGAATTATAACTTTTTTATTTTCATAAGGTTTTTTTTTTGCTTTTCAAGTTGTTAATACTTCAGAAAATATTTTCTTAGTGAGCTCAAAAATATATAATTTTGTGTTTCACATTACCCTGATTCTTATAAAGATAACGCAGATATGTTGTTACCATTTAAAAAGTCACATAATGGGCCAGGTGCGGTGGCTCTCGCTTGTAATCCCAGCATTTTGGGAGGCCAAGGTGGGCAGATCGCCTGAGTTTAGGAGTTTGAGACCAGCCTGGCCAACATGGCAAAACCCCATCTCTACTAAAAATACAAAAATTAGCCAGGCATGGTGGTGCGCACCTGTAGTCCCAGCTACTAGGGAGGCTGAGGCAGAAGAATCCCTGGAACTTGGGAGGTGGAGGTTGCAGTAAGCCGAGATTGTGCCACTGTACTCCAGCCTGGGTGACAAAGAACCTGTTGAGTTCTTTGAAGGGTTCATTCAAGGAAAGTTGATTAACTCTTGTTTAAATCTCTAATAGGGCATTATTGCAAGAGACAGTCCATCTAGACTTACACAAATATCCCAGTCCTTGTCTTTAAATGCCTACACTGTTGGAAGTAATGACACTCTTCTGAAATGTAGACTCCTTGTTATACTGTGTATACCAGAAAGAAAGTTGACCAAAACCTGTAAGCCTAAAATACGGGAGAGAGATTTTTAACAGAATACACAGCTTATATTGACATGTGTCACCCCATCAACTGGACAGGTCCAGAGTGTTGTTATAACAAATCCAGTATGCCAAGGAGGATTGCATTTCAGGGTCATTAGTTTGCTTTCCAACTGATAGGACTCCCGCAGAATGCAAATTGCAAGATCCTTTACAATCATAACGAATAGTGATAATAGAATCATCCCCACAATTGGAAGTATACGAATATTTTCTGAGAACTCTGCACCAACAATTTCTGATGCAGCGCTGAGATTTCCACTTTTTCTTCTTCATGGCCAGATACTTTTGTCTCTGCCAACTGCTGTTTTATCCCTCGCTTGATGGTCATTTCTGCCCAGTGGACAGAGTTCTGCTCACCTAGAGGCGTAATTGTGCCTAAAACAAGGAGCAGAGAACCACGTAGCTGTAAGGAGATGCTATGGCAACCAGACATCAGAGGTTACCTATTCCTGCCCAACAGTCCTGCCATATGAATGACCCACATAAAGGCAGAATTACAAACCACACCACAGCATTGGCGCCTGGCCCCTAGAGTTGAAACCAATCCTGTTGATGCCATGAATGCCAAGTTCATGCAGAAGTTACTGACTCCTTTCAGATAGAATGAGAAGAAAATGGGAGGCCAGTTGTTGTGAACATGTTTTGACAACTGTGCTTCTTTTAAATTTCATCTGTGGCAAGAAGGGACAAAGACGTCACCTAGGGTGGTGTCCACCATTAATTGTTTGAAGGTGGGCACTTTGTTCCCCATTTTCTTTTCCATGTTTTGGGCTACTAAAGCTATTTGGGGCCAGGCATGGTAGCTCACGCCTGTATTCCCAGTGCTTTGGGAGGCTGAGGTGGGAGAATCGCTTGAGTCCAGGAGTTCAAGGCTGCAATGAGCTCCAGTGGCACCACTGCACTCCAGTTGGGTGACAAGAGTGAGACTGTGTCCTCAAAACAGAAAAGTCATTTGGAACTAGAACTTTGCCTTTAAAATCTAAAATATGTGTCCCATATATCCTTGATGGATAGTGCCATCATATCTTTTGCTTAATCATTTATTTTTTAAATTTTGAATTTTTATTTATTTTATTTATTTACGTTTTGAGACAGGGTCTCACTCTGTCACCCAGGCTGGAGTGCAGTGGTGCAATCATGGCTCACTGCAGCCTCAAACTCCCTGGCTCAAGGATCCCTCCACCTCAGCCTTTCAAGTAGCTGGTATACAGGCCTGTACCACCACGCTTGGCTAATTTTTTAACAGTTTGTAGAGACAAGTTCTCACTATATTGCCTAGGCTTGAGTTTTTATTTTTTGAAAACAGAGACAGGGTCTCACTATGTTGCCCAGGCTGGTCTTGAACTTCTGGCCACAAGAGATCCTCCCATCTGGGCTTCCCAAAGTGCTGGGATTACAGGTGTGAGCCACTGTGCCAGGTCAGCCCATCATATCTTTGAGTAGAAATGCATTGTCTCTCTCTTCTCGCTCTCTCCTGATCTCTCTTTTCTTTCCCCCTCTTCCCTCTCCCTTTCTATTTTGACATTTGGCTGTACCATTTTGAAAGCAGTACAGCCAAACCTAGTGGTCATCATTCCAGAAATGGCCTACATCTGGGAAGTATTTTTTTTTTTCCCATTGGGCCAGAATTTAAAAGAAAGTAGAGAACATCTTTTGGTTGTTTTTGTTGTTTCCACATTTTTGTATCCGGAGTTATGAGCTAATGCCTTCACAGCTGCAAAGAAATTTTTTAAAAAAAATCTGGATAGAATATATTCTCTGGTTATGTATCACAATCACCAGAAAAACAAATATAGACTAGTCGACCATCTGTAATTTTCATTTTTCTATTATCCAGGAGCCATAGATTTTTGCAATGTTTTAAACCTGTTTTTAATAGGGCAAGATTTGCATACTCTAGTTCACTTTATTACTCCACAATTTTGAAAAGAAGATGGAGGTTGCTTTTTTACATAACCTCATGAAATTAGGGCTAGAATTTAATTTCCATATATTCGTCTGTGTGTATATTATGCATGCGTTTCTAGTTCAGGGTTTGTCAACTATGACACTGTGGACGTTTTGGAGCAGATTCTTCTTTGTTGAGTGGAGGGGCTGTCTGGTGCATTTTAATGGTTCCACAGCATCCCTGGCCTCTCCCTACTCAATGCCAGTACCATGCCTCCCACCTTCAGTCATGACAAAACTGATGTCTCCAAACATAGCAGTATGTGAATATTTGTATCGGGATATCCATATCTATTCCATCTGTCTCTGTCTCTGGGTCTCTATCTCTGTGTCTGTCTCTATCTGTATATGTTTTGCTTCCACTCTATGGCAAACATCCTGGCAGTCATGACATGGCTTAGCTTCTTGTTCTCAGGAAACACTAAGGGTCTGTGCTGTGTCAGGCTCTTTGCTAGGCGCTGGTGTTGCCAAGATGACCAAGGCACGTGCCTTCATTCCCAAAGGACTGTGTCAGGGAACTGGGGTGCACAGACACAAATGAGGTGTCAGGTGTCACTAGCTCAGAGATGGGAGGCCACAAGAGGAGGGGTTACAGGGTGATCCAGAGTGCACTGTGGATCCAGATCGCTGGTGCCCTACCCTGGTTCTGTCCCTTCCTATGCTTACATCTCTGCTGTAAGTAATTCTGGAATCAAAACTGATGCTGTGAACTCTCTCGCTTATGAGGAGACATGGACATCCCCATTCACAGTCAGAGGAGAAGGTTTGGGCCCTGAGATGACCACAAAAGGACAGGGTTAGCCTGACAAGTTTTCATCTTCTGAATAAATGAGACCTTGTAGCATTCTGTTAAGTTTCTCTCTCCTAAACGAAAACCTCACTTTCCTTGCGTCTTTGGCAACCCTGATTGTGAAGATGTGTCGTGGCATGTGAGCATGATCATATAAGTAGATGGATGGTTTTATCTATGAGCAGACTCATGCAAACTTAGTTATGCTGCATCTTCTTCTTTAAATTCACATTATCATTATTTCTGTTGGTGAGCTGGTCCTAAGGTCTTCTGTTTTTGGGACTTCTTTGCAAGTAAACTTCTTTTCCTTTCTGAAGACTGTTGTCTCTGCCCTCTCTCTCAGACCGTCGACTGCCCTTTGCCTCCATTTTGACGGTGGTGCTGCTTCATTGAGTTTTCTGGGATGCCATGCATTTTACTCAGAACAGAGCCTCTTACTTGGCTCTACAGACGCGCTGGCTGTCATCAGGTTGAGTTAGGCCCAGAGGGAGTGCCTGGTGCTGATGATCCTGGGATTCAAAAATAGTGTGGTGCATGCCTGTAGCCCCAGCCGCTTGAGAGACTGAGGAGGGACGATCACAGCCTAGGAGTTCTAGTCTAGCCTGGGCAACACGGTGAGACCCTATCGCTAAAATAAAATGAATAGTATGTAACCCTGGATCCCCAGTGCTCTACAGTCTGGTCTGAGAGACCCCTCCACTTCCAAAAGAGATTTAAAAACTTAATTTTTTAATTTAAGAGACTCTTTCCAGTTTGTTTTGAAGTATCTAGTTCAATCAGTAGAGCATGACATGCAGATCTCTCGTGTGTGCTTTTGTTACTTAAAGATTTCCCATTCTGGGTGGCCATGGTGGGCCTGTCATCCCAGTGCTTTGGGAGGCTGAGATGGGAGGATCACTTGAGTTCGGGAATTTGAGACCAGCCTGGGCATCAGAGTGAGACCCCATCTCTACCAAAAAAAAAAAAAAGAAAAAGAAAAAATTAGCCAGGCTTGGTGGTGCATACCTCTTGTCCTTGCTACTTGGGAGTCTGAGGCAGAAGGATTGCTTGAGCCCAGGATGTTGAGGCTACAGTGAGCTATGATTGAGCCACTGCACTCCAGCCTAGGTGACAGAGAGACCCTGTCTCTGAAAAAAGAGAAATATTTCACCTTTCCGTATGATGCATAGGATAAGATTAAGTAGATTTTTAAATTGAAATTTGAAATCCTGGATAAATATTGTGTAAGGAAAAAAAGTCATTTAATTCCAAGTCATCTATTCTACTGGGAAAACATACCTGACTTTTCAGACATCCTTCTAATTCTGCAATGAACACATTTTTCTTGGAATGAGTTTTATTTTTTTGCAAAGCAGTTTTTTCTTGGGGTTATTGCTCTTTGCGCTTGCATCACATTTAATTAATCATGTTTTCTCAAGTGATCCCTCATTAAAACACACTGTCTTTTGAAGTTTATATTAAAATAACCCAGAATCATGATGAATGGGTTAGAATATAAGTCAGGGCATAATAGACTATGAGGTACTCTATTTTAGTTTGATGAATTATTCTGCACTCTTTAATGAATAACATAAATTAGCATAATGAAAAAGCATATATCACAAGAAAACAATGTGACAAAAATCTGACACTTAGTAAAGTCAATTAGAAGGGGAAAACATGTATTTTTAGTCATTTTTTTTCCCCTTCTTGGGTGTTCCCTACTACAAATGAAGCTCAACTACTAAGTCCTGCATCTCCTAGTTTACATGTGTATAGCAAGATGGGGGTTTTGCTTTACCATTAAAACAACAACTTCTAGGACTTACCAGGCATATTCCAAAATGTGTTGCTAAAATATTCAGTAGGGAAGCACATGGAAATAATAGTTTTTATCTCTGGGGCACGGTACGTTTTTTCAATTAGATTTTTTTTTAATGGTTATAGTGATAATAGCAATAGTTCCCAGCTCATGTTATCCGGAAGCATATCCTCTCCACCTACTCTTAATGCATGTGAGTAATTAGCTTGATAACTTAACATTAATCCTTAACCTCTGCTGGTCAACATGCCAGATTCCAGGCAGTAATGTGCCTTGTGGGAATGACTTGTTATGTATAACATATTGCACCTGTCAAGCTTTGCAGCTGCCAAGCATCTATTTTGAAAAATAATAGGGTGATTTGAGAGTGCCTTTAAAGTCTGCTTTGTGCTTTTGCCACACAGTCATCCCCAGCAAGAAATTACATGTTTCTACAGTTGTTCTGTATGAAAATGGCCAGAGACTGAGATGAGGCCAAGACAGCAGAGGCCAGAGAGGTCTAGACCGCCCTGAATGTTGTTACCTTGAGTCTTGGTCTTGGAGAAAAAGAAACCAGCACATGCAAAGATCAACTTACTGCTTTACAAAGAGGGTTGTTCTTTCTCAATGACAAGAATCCAATAAGATACCTGTAAGAGCTGAATAAGGGTCTCAGTCATTTATTTGGGACACTTGGAAGGGAGAGAAGAGAGACATTTGGGCCGGACACGGTGGCTCATGCCTGTAATCCCAGCACTTTGGGAGGCCGAGGCAGGTGGATCACCTGAGGTCAGGAGTTCAAGACCAGCCTGGCCAATCTGGTGAAACCCCGTCTCTACTAAAAATACAAAAATTAGCCAGGCGTGGTGGTGGGCGCCTGTAATCCCAGCTCCTTGGGAGGCTGAGGCAGGAGAATCACTTGAACCCGGGAGGCGGAGGTTGCAGTGAGCTGAGATCGCGTCGTTGCACTCCAGCCTGGGTGACAGAGTGAGACTCCATCTCAAAAAAAAAAGAAAGAAAGAAAAAAAAAAGAAAGAAAGGAGACATTTGGAGTGTATTTCGTGAAGTCACATAAAGCAAAGGAAGAGTAAGCATCTCAGGCTTTCGTGGGGATCAGCCATATTTGGACAACTTGTAAAACAGCTGACTGCTCTCCAGCCCCAGGAGTTTTGATTCTACGAGTGTAAGGTATATCACCAGAATTTGCAAAAGCTTCCAGGTGAGGCTGATATCACTGGTTCCAGTACCACACTTTGAAAGTCACTGCTTCAGTCAGTCATGCTGTCGGGCTTCTCTCTGGTACCTTTCTTTGCTTGATAAGAGGTGCCAAGTTCTAGCTTTGGAACTGTCCATTCTCCATCCCCCAGCTTGGACATTCTTCTGGGCAGCCCTTTTTGATTCAGGTTATGTACAATTGATTAAGTGTGAGCTTACTAAGTAGAAGTCAGTGGTGGTGTCCTCAGCAGAAACATCATTATAGGCTCACTTAGAATCAGTAGACTCATTTGTCAAATGAGAGGGCTGGAGTCACTGTCTGGCTGCCATGTCTTTTGAAACATGAGTTTTGATTCCACCTTGTTGACAGATGAAGAGGCCATTGTCAATTCCTCTGAACATATGTGTTCAGGGAGAGAGAGTGGGTCTCCTGGGAGAGAATGGGTCATTAGTAATCAAGGTCCAGGTATGGAACAAAGATCAGGAACATAAAGCTGAAGGTCTCACCAGAGGGTGCAACATTTTAAAAGTAGATTGGTTACACCTGGGGAGAATTGTGTGCTTGGCCAAATCACCTCATTATGACGGTGTGGTTCTTCCATGTTTATTCAAGCAATCAATTTTCACCAAAACTGGACTACTTGATTCTAAACAGTTTACATTATGGATTACAAATGCCTTCTTATGATACACCCACTTGCTGTCAGATTGAAGTACTTTATGAAAGGAAAAACCATTGTCAGTGAGATGGACAGATGGGTTGTTACAAAACACCATGTTCTGACATTTGCTGGGAGATGGCAAGGAGGCCAAAGTGAAGAAATAAACATTGATAGTGAGTTGAAGCAAATTGAAAAAATAATACGTGAACATATTAACACATAGATTATTAACTGAGGTGCAGGTTGAAGTGTGGCTGAAACAATGTAGTATTTGTCCCATGGCTTTAATTTATTTTAGTCGCTTCCGGATTGAATAATGCACCTCTAACTCCATATGTTGATGTCCTAACCCCCAGTTCCTCAGAAAGTGACAAAGTGGCCTTATTTGGAAATAACGTCGTTAGAGATGTGATTAATTGAGATGAGTCATTCTGGAGGAGGGTAGGCCCCTAATCCAATATGACTGGTGTCCTTACTGAAAGGAGAAATTTTAACACAGACATGCAGAGATGTGAGGACACGGATGTGAAGGTTGGAATGCTGCCACAAGCCAAGGAACTACCAGAAGCTCAAAGAAAGTCATGGAGCCAATCTTCCCCTATGGCCTTTCTGAGAGAGCATGGTCTTGCGATAACTTGGTCTCACACTTCCAGCCTCCAGAACCGAGAGACAATAAATTTCTGCTCTTTCAGCCCCCTGGGTTGTGGTACTTTGTCATGGCAGCCGTAGGAAACAAAGTCATATATTTCAATGTGAATTTGAAATTATACTAAGAATAGCACTTGACAGTATTGCATTTTCATGTTCTCCCAAGTGGGGTTTTGATATGTGAATCTAATTTAGTGTGACCTTGCATTAAACAACTGTATAGATTCTATTCTTTACATGGATATTATGCCTTTGCAAAGACTTGAAACAACCATACAATGTAGAAATTAATTAGGCTGCTCTTATTTATAAGGCACTGGAAACCATTTTCTTTACTGTTGTATCAAAACTTACTGAGGGATTTTAGAATTCTGACTTCTCCATGGCTAATCGCATGATTAATTGGGATTAATCAACCTCCAGGTGGGGCCCCAGAGCTCTCTGAGACCTTCTACGTTATTGAAAGTCACTCCTTGTGTGCAAAGTGGTCATATCACTGAACTTGGCATCTTGCCAGCTAGACTACAGCCTTGACCTTGGATGGTCACAGGTGGTTTTCATAGACATCTCTGTGATTATCTTGTAAAGACATTATTCATCTCATTTGAGAAAAGAAGACATTAATTTTTCTGAGAGCTTACCACCCATGGTGGATGAGTAGTAGCCTGGCATGTGAAATAAAGCCTTTGACTTTAAGTAAGGTGTGCTTACTATTAAAATATTCTTTGTGTTTGAATCAGTAATAGTTCATACATTTTTTAGCCTTCCTGAGCCCCAATTGACTCATCTACAAAGGGAGACTGTTGAACTTGAATTGCTATTAACTTGCCATTCTCAGGATGTAGAATTTTCCTCTGACTCTTGTGTTGCCACTGTTGCCAGTGGCTTTCACATGTTATTCTGATGTGTGACAATGACTAACCTGATGATTTGGGACAGTCTTAGGCATGGTAATTTTGAGGTTTAGAGCTATCATTGGACACTTAGATTCCTCTTCAGCATGGTAATTTTGAGGTTTATTGGACACTTAGATTTCTCCTCCAACCCCATTCTTTGCTTTTCCTTTCTCCTCAGACATTAGTGGAAATTCTAAGTTCCCCACTATATGCTCATTTCCATGATGTGGTTTGTGTCATCGTCTTGGTCCTGCCCTTGAGTATTATGGAATTCAGTAATATGTGTGTGATCTTCCTTCTTCACACTCAGGCAGGATGGTCCCTGCATTGTGTTTTTCTCTTCTGGTTTTGATGTTTTCCTTTGGCATGGTAAATGTTTTGGAGAGAGTTACTAGATGAATTAGTTAATCAGAGAATAAAATATTAGCAGGCAGAAAATCTGAAAGTTGATCACTTGCAACTCCTCACCCCTTTTCCCTTGAATGGCTTTGAGAGATTTCGCTAGGAATTCAGGATGGAAAAGTCAGCATAGCGGAGTAACATGTTACAGGGACACTGTAACCTCTTTTCCTTGGAAAGTTCCCTGTATTATGAGACAATGACATGTCATTAACGAGTTACATTTGTCTTGTTTTCACCAAGAAGATGGATTGAATGGCCCTCAAAGATCTTCTCTGAGTTGTAATGATATGGTATCATCTGAGTCAGAATGCTACCATTTACAAACATTTTGAGTGGGTATTTGGAATCACTTGTTGGGTCCTTTTTCTTATCCTGGTTGTGTTTAGAGAACAGGCTTGGTCAGATTCAAATAGATCTTACACTTTGACAGAGACCGGAATGCCCATTGATGAAAATACTTTGCACAGAAGGACTGCTGGTGAGGTAGAAGTTCTCAGAGAGCTCTGGACTCCTATGTGGCTCATGTGGTTAACTATAAAATCGGAATTTCAAAAGCCCTCATAAATTTATAAGATAACACGGCCGGGCGTGGTGGCTCACGCTTGTAATCCCAGCACTTTGGGAGGCCGAGGCAGGTGGATCACGAGGTCAGGAGATCGAGACCATCCTGGCTAGCACGGTGAAACCCCGTCTCTACTAAAAATACAAAAAATTAGCCAGGCGTGGTGGCGGGCACCTGCAGTCCCAGCTACTTGGGAAGCTGAGGAAGGAGAATGGCGTGAACCCAGGAGACGGAGCTTGCAGTGAGTGGAGATTGCACTGCTGCACTCCAGCCTGGGCAACAGAGCGAGACTCCATCTCAAAAAAATAAAAAAAAATTATAAGATAACACAAATAATGGTTTTCAATCATTTGTGCATAAGAGCAGCTATTGCACACTACCTTTCCCAGGGTGGACAAGGTTGAATCCTGATGTAGCTAAGAAATGTCGCAAGTCATAGTTTTAGTCTATGCAACTTTAGTTTCTGCTAAAATTTTTCTTGATGAATTTTTAGTTATATTTATTTATAAAACATCCTATATTAAGAACACAACACCTACAACAGTTAAGGAAATACAAGACCTAAGAAGGCTTCAAAACACTTCTAGTTATTACGTATCACCTAAAGTACACTATAGCCAGATAAATATTCGCATCATGTCATACTCTTTGCAGATAACCATGGTGAAGAATGTCCCTGGAGGCGAAGGTTGCAGTGAGCTGTGATCTCACCACTGCACTCCAGCCTGGGTGACAGAGTGAGACCCTGTCTCAAGAAAGAAAAGAAAAGAAAACAATGTAATTCAAAGTCATGTAAAGTTATTTAATATTGTTTTCTCTCTGTGTTGGTCTTGCATAATTTTCTCCTTTGATGATTTTCATTATTCACAAGAACTTTGAAATGAAATTGACATTTGTTTTCTTAAAGACATTTCTTTTTTTATGGTTGAATAATACTCCACTGTGTATATGTACTGCTTTTTCTTTCTTTTTTTTTTTTTAATTACACTTTAAGTTCTGGGATACCTGTGCAGAACTTTCAGGTTTGTTACATAGGTTTACACATGCCATGGCAGTTTGCTGCACCCATCAACCCATCATCTATCTATATTAGGTATTTCTCCTAATGCTATCCCTCCCCTCACCCCCCACCCCCTGACAGGCTCTGGTGTGTAATGTTCCCTTCCCTATGTCCATGTGTTCTCATTGTTCAACTCCCACTTATGAGTGAGAACTTGCGGTGTTTGGTTTTCTGTTCCTGTGTTAGTTTGCTGAGAATGATTGTTTCCAGCTTCATCCATGTCCCTGCAGAGGACATGAACTCATCCTTTTTTATGGCTGCATAGTATTCCATGGTGTATATGTGCCACATTTTCTTTATCCAGTCTATCACTGATGGGCATTTGGGTTGGTTCCAAGTCTTTGCTATTGTGAATAGTGCCACAATAAACATATGTGTGAATGTGTCTTTATAGTAGAATGATTTATATTCCTTTGGGTATATACCCAGTAATGGGATTGCTGGGTCAAATGGTATTTCTGGTTCTAGATCCTTGAGGAATTGCCACACTGTCTTCCACAATGGTTGAACTAATTTACACTCCCACCAACAGTGTAAAAGGATTCCTATTTCTCCACATCCTCTCCAGCATCTATTGTTTCCTGACTTTTTAATGATCACCATTCTAACTGGTGTGAGATGGTATCTCACTGTGGTTTTGATTTGCATTTCTCTAATGACCAGTGATGATGAGCTTTTTTCATATGTTTGTTGGCCACATAAATGTCTTCTTTTGAGAAGTGCTGTTCATATCCTTCACCCACTTTTTGATGGGGTTGTTTGATTTTTTTCTAGTAAATTTGTTTAAGTTCCTTGTAGATTCTGGATACTAACCCTTTGTCAGATGGATAGATTGCAAAATTTTTCTCCCATTCTGTAGGTTGCCTGTTCACTCTGATGATAGTTTCTTAGGCATTTCTATTGTTCCTTTAAACTGTCTGGCACTCAGCTTCCCCCTAAAGTTTTTTGTTTTTGTTTTTGTTTTGAGGCATAGTCTCGCTCTGCCACCCAGGCTGCAATGCAGTGGTGTGATCTCAGCTCACTGCAACCTCCGCCTCCTGGATTCAAGCAATTCTCCTGCCACAGCCTCCCGAGTAGCTGGGATTACAGGCATGTGCTGGCATGCCCAGATTATTTTTGTATTTTTAGTAGAGATGGGGTCTCACCATGTTGGCCAGGCTGGTCTTGAAATACTGACCTCGTGGTCCACCCGCCTCAGCCTCCCAAAGTGCTGGGATTACAGGCGTGTGCCACCATGCCTGGCCAGTTGGTTTTAAAAGTACAGGTGGAAAATAACTGCTGGTTACATTGAAACAACAGTATGTTCTTCTTGGATGAATATACTTGAAGAACACAATTCTATTAGTTTCAGGAAAAGTATATCAAAGTTATAATGCACCCTAAGGGTTTCAGGATCTGCCTCCCCTCCCCACCCCGGCAGACACCTACATCTGAAGATGCTCAAGTTATTGAAGTAAAATGGTGTGGTATTTGTATATAACCTGCAAATATCCTCCTATATATTTAAAATCATCTGTACATTACTTATAATACCTAATACTGTGTAAGTGCTATGTAAATAGCTGTTACACTGTATTGTTTAGGGAATGATGAGAAGAAGAAAAGTCTGGCATTTGCTGTTCTATATATTTTCTTTAGGTACTGTATCTACACCCTATAAAAAGATAATTAGTATTTTTATTTATTAAATAACGTATATTTGATCCCAAATGCAAGTCTTTGTTCAGTTTTCGGTGTCATCATGCCAAATCTCTTGGACATTTACATCATAGGAAACAAAATAATGAGCCTACTTCTTAAAAGCTCCATCCAGAGAAGATGAAACATTTCATCAGCTCAGTCTATTTATATCATTCTTTCTAGCTCCTCAGGACCTAATAACTAAAGCTTAAATTCCTTTGTATGACCTCCTACTCCATTCATTTATTTCTTCAATCAGTACCATTTGTGAAGACCATTTACTCTGTGTCAGGCACGCTGCTATGTGCCAGAGAGCCAATGGCAAACATGTGCTAGGGATAGACACTACCGCCAAAGCTTTTCCAGGCTGGGGGGCATATGATCATTAAATTAAAACAACACACATAATTTGCACTTGTCCACTGTGTGATAGAGTGCCTGGGGGGAGAAGTGCAGAACGTTATAGAGCAAGCAACAGAGAGAGAGAGCTGTGGAAGTCAGGGCGTGGGGGTCAGGGAAGGCTTCCTGGTTGAAGTCGCATTTTCTTTGAAGAAAGGACAGTATGGGAAGGCTGGGTGTCTGGAGGCAGGTGTATTTCTTTCTATATGGTCAAATATTTGTTTCCTGTAGAATTCCATTAAATGTGAAATATTTGTAGAATACAGAGAGACTTTTTTCTTGGTTAATGAAAAGACTGCTGAGGATATTCCATAACATTTGAAAGAAATCTTACTTATGAACAACAAATATATAAAGAAAGCCCTCCTCCTGAACCTTTTCAATAGACTTTTTATTTTGTAGAGCAGTTTTAGGTTCACAGCAATTGAGCAGAAGGTACAGAGAATATCCACATGCTCTCTGCCCCCACCATGCACAGCCTCTCCCATTACCAACATCCCCCACCAGAGTGGGACATTTGTGACAAGGGATGAACCTACGTTGGCACATCATCATCATCAGGGTCCATAGTTTACATACGCTTCACTTTTGGTGTTGTATGGTCTATGGGTTTGGACAAATATATAATGACTTGTATCTATAGTTTCATCTATTGCTTTAAAATAACTTACACCAAGCAGGACACAAAATTGTCCATTCAGGGTCACAGCTAATTATTTGCAGTGTCAAAGCATTGATTGGTAAAGTTAAGGTCTATGGTGGGTTTCCTGACTGATTTCTATTTCAAATGTTCAGTTCCATTGTTAGACACTAGTTTGGTATGTATTTTGGAAATTGTAGACTGACTAGTTCCTTAGCTGTTCCATGCCGACACCTGGCTATGTTGAAGGAAATGAGTGAGATCTGTTCCTGTTTTCTCTTTTCATATGGTGGGATCTAGAGAACTAGTTTCCATTTATCTTTATTCTTCCCGTGTGTGTTGTCTTTGCATGAATGATGTGTTTTCTTTACTTGAAGCTTTTGAAGAGTTATCTTTCTTTAAGGAAAAATCAAAAGGCTAGAAATGAAAAGACTTGGAAAATGTCATTGAAATAACGGCTGGGTGCAGTTGATTGAACTTATATAAACTCTTTGAAAGCCAGATTGACTAGCATTCATGTTTGATCTAGTTAAACCAATAAAATACAGGATGTAATCTTTATATAATTACAAAAGTCCCACTGTCTAATCCTACCTGGAGGTTACAATGATGGTTCTAGAGGCAAATGTGTTTCTAGCCTAATGTACTTTGACTCTTTATCTTTGTTGGCTTTAAGCCAGAACAAGACTTTATTGCAAATACTGTTATTTTATCTTTGTTGTCAAATGGCTTAACTGGTGAAGGCTATTGTAATCTGACGAAGGACTTCTGCTGGGGCAGGGTATTGAAATATACTGGATTCTTGTATTTTTTTATTGCTCTTCTGCTCAAAGAGTACTATATGTAAGCAACATAGGTGGATCGTGATGGGGTAGCATCTGGCCTAAACAAAGTGGCCAGCATTAATCGGGGGTTTATTGGCATCCCTGATGCTAGTGGGCAGGGTTCTTAGAAGTTCTTAGTAGAGATAAATAGCACAGCACATGATGACTGATACAGGTAAAAGCACAGAACGGCTGCAAAACCTTGGCATGGGGGCAATTATTTTAAGAAAAACAGGAAACCCAGAATCCAAAAAGGAACTATGGATGCATTTTGAGGGCAAATATATATGTGAATGCATGGATGCGTGCATCTGTGTGTGTGCATGCATATAAAATTTCCTTGTGGAAAAACCTCACAAATAAATGCAAAAGATGAATGAGGGGCTTGAGAATTTTTGCAATAGACAAATGATCATTGAACCTAAGTGATACTAATAGTTGCTAAAATTGATTTTAAAAATGGTGAACAATCCGCAATTAGATAAGGTAAAAGAGACAGACTATCCACGGTAAAGGAAAATAAATGGCCAGTCAGGAAATTAAAGTAAAAATACCAATACCATTGCCCACTCATCCTGTTGGCAAATGTTGAAAAATTGCTTCCACCCAAGGAAAAAACAGAATGGAAAGGCATCCTTTTACTGCAAGTTTTATTTGTATTTTAGTATTGCTAAAATACTGTATCTTAGTATTTTCAATACTAAATACTTTTGAGTCTCACTATAATAAGACTGAATCAGTTAGTCTAGGGTGAGTATTATCCGTTGTGAGCTGGGAGATATTAAGTCTAGGATTACTCCCAAACTGCTAAAGACAATATAATGGCAAATGACAACAAAATCACATCAATAATAACAAAGGATTTTTTAAAAATCCTGAGCCAAACATTTTGATAAATACTTTACAAGGATTATCTTTTTAATCATCCCAAGCAGCCTATGACATGCTGTCCTCACTAATTTTAAAAAATCATTCTAATCATAATAATTGTTTATGCATGCTTGCCATTGCCCCAAATATTTCTTTGTAATGACAGAGTTTTTCATTTTGTGATTAGTAGAAAATTTTGCTTGAAATGAAAATGCCTTGCTCAACGCAATGTATTGATATTAATTCCCAATTCAAAATAGGCTCTGTGGCTATTGGCTTTCTTCTCATTTTGATGGGTGTGTATAAGCCAATGGTATGGGGAGCATTGAATTGCAGGAAAGAAGGAGAGTTGGTGTGGGGCAGGGCAGGAGGGTTTACACTTGGGAAGGGGAGGTTGGGCAGCTGAAGACAATCTCTGCTGCATCCTTTGTGCTTTTGTTGTTGAAGTTTGGCCATTCAACATACACAGTAGAAGGGAACAAAAGAAAGCTAATCAAGGTGTGTATTAGTCTGTTCTCATGCTGCTAATAACGACATACCTGAGACTGGGTAATTTACAAAGAAAAAGAGATTTAATGGACTCACAGTTCCACATGGCTGGGGAGGCCTCACAATCATGGTGGAAGACAAAGGAGGAGCAAAGCCATGTCTTAAATGGTGGCAGGCAAGAGAGCATGTGCGGGGGAACTGCCCTTTATAAACCCATCAGATCTTGTGAGACTTACTATCACGAGAATAACATGGGAAAAACCCGCCCCCATGATTCAATTACCTCTCCTAGGGTCCCTCTCACATCACATGGGAATTGTGGGAGCTACAATTCAAGATGAGATTTGGGTGGGAACACAACCAAACCATATCAAGGTGTGTCCTGCACAGGGCTTCTCAGGACTCTAATCCTTTATTTTTGTTTTAATTAACTCTCTGATATTTGCTAAATTAAAAATATTATTTCCAGAGATAAAATCTTGTGTAATGAAAATCCTGCAATCTACTTTCTATTTACCTGATCTCCCCTCCTATTCTCTGCTCCACCCCATCCATCTGAACTGCTGCTACCTCAACATATGGTATTTAGGACTGTTGGACCAATCTTCATCTCTCCTTTTAAGGTTATAAATCTGGAAATTCCTTCAAAATCGAGTGTGCATCTTGTTCCTTTCTTCACCTGTGGCTTTTCCTGTTGTGTTGTTTACCATTGAGGTTAATCACTGGCTTTGTCACTCTGCATATTTTACTTGGTTTCCCTGACTACAGGTTTCTTAACTGTAAAATGAATAAATGAAGCTTATGTCATTTTGTGGGATGATTACATGGGGTGAGTATTAAAACATCAAGGCACATTTCTGCCACATAGATTTGGCCACTATAATAATAATAATAGTCAAAGGTGTATTGCCGCGTTAGTGATATTTTTGTCAACCTGTTGACAACAGTTTCTGTGCCTACTTTTGGAACCCCAGGCAACAGTTGCCATGCCCACTTTTGGAACCCCAGTCACTCTTGCATGGCCTCAGAAATGTGCCTTCTCTGTGAGGACCAAGAGCTGCCCTCCCTTGCTAATGTCTTACAGACAGGTAAAGAGGAAACATGGAATCCTGTCCCCAGGGAAAAATCTAGTTGAGCAACCAAGACACAGACAAAATAAAGCATATCATTCAGCAGGAGAGGGTGTGATAAAACTCCAAAGAGGAATCCAGCAAGTGCAGAAATAGCTGAGGGTCCCCTGATCTCATCCAGAGATAAGGTCCTGCCCATCTGCCTAGGAAAAGAAACATCCAGAAGGGAAGGAGGTCTCACCTGTGCCCATGTCAAGGATTCTAGTCCAAGGAGCAGAACCCCACTGACCTGACTCAAGAAGACTCAAAACCTTCCAACCAAGATGGTGCTGAAAAAGACCTTCAGGAACTGGCTTTGACCTAGTCTCCAAGGTCTGAGGCTGTCCACTTCAGCCCTGAGTCTCTTTAGAAGGTGCCTCATTGCTTCCCATCACTGGTTGGGGAGGAGCTTGGAACACTCAAGTTGAATCCAGGATGTGCTCAGACAGGTGTCGTCCTTGGAAGTCCTGGCAGGAGCCAACTCTGCACAGGGGAAGCAGGGGAAGCTTTAACTATGAAACCCCTCTAGCATATAGCCCTAATATTTACTTCTTCTCAGCCTTAACTCCCAATAATTCCTTCACATACCTAGGATTTTAGCCAATCCTGTATGAATCTACACACCGTGCAACATGCTGAGGCTGGCTGTCATGTAGGAAGTTCTTCAAAGCTGCCCTGCCCCAGCCCCCAGCTTCTGCATGCTCAATGCCTGGCCCCTGCTTTTTGCAGTTGTCACACTGTTTATGACCATCCCCTAGTCAGCCTGGCCCCTCTGAACTTTTAGCTTATAACCAAGCCAATGGCTCCCTTTATAAAATTTCAGTTTTATAAAAGGGTATGTTATGCCCTCTTACATGCTTTCTCCTAACATCTCATTTTCCGGTAATTCAACCACGCCCATCATTTGTCTGGCATTGGCCTCTGCCCAATCTAATTATTTATCTGATGTAATCCCTGCCAAAAATCATAACGAACTTCACCCTAAGCTGTTCGTATGCGTCTCCAGCTTCAGACCTTACTGTCTCTATGGGGGACATAGATGTGGGGGGAGAGATGAGGGCCCAGATGTGGACGTACGGAACTCAGTAGGTGGTAGGTAGGTTCATAGGAGATTGGCTCAAATCCTAAGAATGTGTAGGAATTATTGGGAGTTAAGGCTGGCTAAAATCCTAAGAATGTGTAGGAATTATTAGGAGTTAAGGCTGAGAAGAAGTAAAAAGTAGGGCTATATGCTAGAGAGGTTTCATAGTTAAAGCATTCATATGGGACCGAGATCTTTTAAGCCAATAATCTTCACATTGAAGAAGAAGATTGCCAATCCTATACAGCTGAGATTTATTTAGTGGTTTGGGGGGGATCCTATAATTAAGCTATTACTGGGAAGGGACATATTCAGATATGTTATTGGCAGTGGATGGGCAAAATGTGGTATATCCATGTAGCTGAAACTGACAGTCAAAAAGATGAAGTACCAATATATACTACAATGTACATGAAGCAAGATTGCTGTAGCATTTAGCATCAAGAAGCCAGACACATATTGTATGATTCCATTTATATAAAATGTCCAGAATAGGCAAATAGATAAAGACAGAAGCAGATTTAGTGTTTGCCAGGGTAAGGCAAGTAGTGGGGAAGACAGAATGGGAGTGATTACAAATAGGTACAGGTTTCTTTTTGGGCTGGTGAAAATGTTCTACAATTAAATAGTGGTGTTGGTTGCATAGCTTTCTGAATATACTCAAGTTGTACAATTTAAATGAGTGAATTTTGTGAATTATATCTCAATAAACTTGTTATAAAAGTATTTTCTAAAAGATATTTTTTGGTTCAATTTTCTTTTCTCATAACTGCAAACATATATCATCTTGCTCTGTCAATACTGGTATCCTTCATATTAAAAGTTTAGACGTTCAAACATAGGAAATGGGAGATTTTGTTTCATCTCCACCTTGAACTTCAGAGAACTAGAGGTCATGACATTTTAGCTATTGGGTGATGGTTTCTGCTAGCTTTGCTACCTATTCCGGCCTAGCATAACCTGACTTAAAAGATCCCAACCAGAGAAAAAAAAAAATCACCAAAATCTTAGTTATGTGGAATACAGCAATTCTAATGTTCAGGATAATAAATCATAGTACAATTTTATTTATTTATTTATTTTTTTGAGATGGAGTTTTCCTCTTGTTGCCCAGGCTGGAGTGCAATGGTGTGATTTCAGCTCACTGCAACCTCCTCCTCCTAGGTTCAAGCAATTCTCCTGCCTTAGCCTCCCCAGTAGCTGGGATTACAGGCGTGTGCCACCACACCCAGCTAATTTTATATTTTTTAGTAGAGACAGGGTTTCACCATGTTGGCCAGGCTGGTCTCGAACTCCTGACCTCAGGCGATCCACCCGTCTTGGCCTCCCAAAGTGCTGGGATTACAGGCATGAGCCACCACGCCCGGCCCCAAATATTTGTTATATATTGAGTGTATCTATTGTTTCATTTAGTTACCCCAGTGGCCTGATGCATGAGATATTGCTGTTAGGCTTGCTTTACTGATGGATAAACTGAGGCATGGGGATGTTAAGTCTCTTGTCTGTAATCATATGTTTTGTGAAAGAGTAAGAGAAGGCTTTTCACGTGGGATCTGATGTAGTTTGGATTTGTGTGCCTGCCCAAATCTTATGTCAAATTGGAAGGACAGGCCTGGTGAGAGGTAATTGGATCATAGAGGTGGATTTCCTCCTGGCTGTTCTCATGACAGGGAGTGAGTTCTCACAAGATCTGATGGCTTAAAAGTGTGTGGCACTTCCCTTTTTGCTCTCTCTCTCTCTCTCCTGCTCTGCCATGGTAAGATGTGCTTGCTTCCCCTTTGCCTTCCGCCATGATTGTAAGTTTCCTGAGCCTCCCCAGCCATACTTCCTGTTAAGCCTGCAGAACTGTGAGTCAATGAAACCTCTTTTCTTCATAAATTACCCAGTTTCAGGTAGTTCTTTATAGAAGTGTAAGAACAGACTAATACAAGATCTTTCTCCCAATCCCAAACTCTTATTTCTGTAAATTGGTTGAGATCAAAAGCATCCACAATGCTTAAGTTGTAAATTTCTCAAAACTGCTGACTATTGGCGGAACGTCTAGTGTTCATTTACCTGCTTCACTGCTCAACACACCATCAAAGTTGCCTCAGACCCTTTTTCATTTCAGACAGCTTAGAATCTTTAGTATTTTATATGTCTTTGTTTACATCATGAAATCGACAACAAAATGAAACTTACAAACACATTTTCTATCATTGGAAGGGAAGGACAGCAGGTTTTGCAAGATTGGGTATTTGTTAAAATGCAAATATTCAAAAATTATATGCATAAATTATAATTTTAAATTAGAAATCTGTGTATGTGTAGCTTTCTAATGGATCAATATTTTTCCTTTTTCTTTTTGCAGAACAATGGTTCCCTGGTTTGGTGCCAGAATCACAAGCAATGTTCTAAGGTACGTTTCCTATACCTGTATGAATGGTGCAAAAAACTTTTAATTTTGGAATAATTATAGATTCACAGTAAGTTGCAAAGACAGCACAGAGAAATCATATATGCCCAGTTTCCACCAATGGTTACACTTTAAGTAATTGTAAACAATATCAAAAGCACAAAATTGATATGCATGCAATGTATGTATATGATTTTGTGACATTTATCATGTGTAAGATTGGATTTACGTAGCTACCACTGCCATCAAGATGCAGGTATCAATGGTTCTATATACTACTGTATTTTATTGTTGTTTGTAATTTTCTGTTAAAAAACATTAAGAAGAAAATGCCCTCTGGTTAGACCAGAGAAGATTTAATGTATTCTATTTATACTTATGTTATTTTGCATGTATTTTGGTTTCTTTGTAGGAATTGCTGGTTAAATAATTTGATTTTTTCATTAAAGAGTCTCTCTTCCATTTTTGAGTATTCTTTGCTGCACACTAAAGTACTATAAACTTTATTATGTTACTTATTTATATGTTTGATATAATACAATTCTTACCTCAATCCCAATACACCAAAATCTTTGTTTTTTAAATATATATATGATGGTACTCTAGCTCCAGTCTGAAGTAGGTTTCGTAATCAGGTTATGTAAATGAGTAAAGTTTACAAAGTTTGCTAAAAACATTGGAGCAAAACTTTGGGATCATAATAGTGTTTCATAAAATTCATTTCATGGATATTACTTTTAGTCCTAAAATAGAAGTACACCTTATTTTATAAACAACAAGTAATCTAAGGAATATATAATAATCTTGAAATAGCATATTTATGAAAAGGATTATTTTGTGAAAGGTCTTTCAAATACATACAATAAATTATTATAGAATAATATTCCTAAACCAAAAACTTTGTTCTAATGATGCATTTCCACAATCATGCTCACTGAATACACATGAGTGTTACTTTAAAATAGAACAGAGTTCCTACGTGAATGTTAAATAATTTGATGAAGATAAGCTTTGCTTATCTCTGACTGTCTAGATACTAGGCAGGAATGAAATGCCTGGTTACGGTCCACTTACTCTTTTTATGTAATGTCCTAAGCATTTGTTCTGTCCAGACATTTTCTGGTATTGATTATATTAATTGGTCTTCAACTGGAATTTTAGATAACTTTTTCATGCCATCATTCCAGATAAAGCACATAATGCTATGAGGCTGATTAAATTTCATAAGTATTCTTTTTGTGCAGTGTCGTATTAATCGTGTATTATAGGAATGATAATTTGTTACATTGGTAATACTTCTTATTTAAGCACTCATTTTTTCCATATTCCATCAAGAAATTATCTTTTGCAGACTTATAAGGAATTTGATTAGAACAGGCTTATTTGAATTACTTTAAAATTATTGCAGTGAAAGAAATTTGTACACTAGGGATCATAGATGGTTAAACCATATTTTGCAAATGATTAATCAAGGCTGCCATGAGGGACTTTGAATTTCACAAGGAAAGAAAGCAATCCTTTTTGTCAGAAAGCAAAAATCAATCAATAAGTCACAATTAAGCCCAACTGAAACTCTGGAATATATTACAAAGCTGACAGAAATTGAAGGGTTGTCTTTAACTTGGGATCCTTGGGAATCTTTGGGAATGAATCTTGCTTATTAATCAGAGTTTGACTCCTTTGGATGTTAGCATGACTGGATACCTGTGCAGATAATTACAATTTGCATTTCTTTTGGGATTCATGAAGTACTAGGTGGGCTTTTTCTCTTAATGCGTAGGTTAATAAGGTTACTGGTAATCCGTAGTCACATAGTCATCAGTTTTACAAATGGGAAAATTCAGGCATGTGCATATTGATGATGGTTCTGTAATCACTCAACAAACCAGTAGAGACATATACATCCCTGTCTTCTACACTGTGTTTCTTACAGGCCAACAACTCTAGAAACCAGTTTGTACAAATATAGGGAGAGAAAAGTCAGAAAACTCAGAAAAGTCAGAAGCAGTGTTAATGCTACAATTTTCCGATGATGTATTTTAAAAGATTAGGTTTGCATAATGTTTTCTAGAAACCACACACTTTTTAATCACTTCTGGTGACCATCTGCAAAGCCTGTCAGCTCCTCCTTCAGAGCCCCTGTGGAATAGATCTCATCTAACCACTCTTCCCACCTCCAACCTGCCATTCTCTCTGTCTGGGATGAATCCAAGAGCAACCCGATGGGTCTCCTAGCTTCCACTCTGACCCCAAACAATCACATTTCCTCATGGCTGCTGGAAAGACCCTTCAAACATATAAGTGGCATCACACTGCTGTCTACCTTAAACCTAATGATTCATTTCCGTCTCACTCAGACTAAAATCCAAAGCCCTATTCTGATTCTCACTGGCTGTCTCTTGACTGCCTGTGCTCTGTCCCCAACTTTGATGTTGTTTTTGTTGTTTGTTGGTTTTTCGAGATGGAGTCTTGTTCTGTCACCCAGGGTGGAGTTCAGTGGTGCAATCTTGGGTCACTGCAACCTCTGCCTCCCGGATTCAAGCAATTCTCCTGCCTCAGCCTCCCGAGTAGCTGGGATTACAGGCGCCTGCCACCATGCCCGGCTAATTTTTGTATTTTTTAGTAGAGATGGAGTTTCTCCATGTTGGCCAGGCTGGAAGAAAACATTTTAACTGTAGAGATTCGTCTCTGTGCTTCATCTGACTTCGGGTATGCTGGGTTCCACATAATGGAATCAGCACTATGAGCTCAAGGGTCTTTAGCCCCTGCACCACTCAACCCTAGAGAATATAGAAGAGTGCCTATTGTCCAGCACAGGTCTAGGCCAGTGGTTCTCAACCAAGGGCAATTTCCTCCCCCAGGAACAATTGCCAATGGCTGGAAATATTTTTGATTGTCACAGTTGGGAGTGAGGAGTTACTGGCATCTAGTGGGTCAAGGCCAGGGATGCTAATAAAGAACCTATACTGCACAGAAAAGCCCTCCCACAGCAAGGATTATCTGGCTCCAAATATTAGTAATGCTGAGATTGACAAACTCTGGTCTACACATTTGTGAAGTTATAAAAGAAATTAAGAGCATAGTCCTCAGCAGTTTTACTTTATTTATGAAAGAAAATAAATGTGTAGTTTACTGAGTACAAGGTATGTGCCAAGCACCTTTTTAGGGGCTCATTATGTCTAGGAATTCTGATTGTCATCATGTACTCTGTAACACTGGTGAGAGAGATTGCTCTTTGCCTGCTAATCTGGTTTCTCCTCTTCTCTGCTAATCGAAAGCTCATTCCTCACCTGAGCACATTGTCACCTTGTGTTAAACATCTATATTTCCCCAAGCTCCATTGCTTCTAAATATGGCCAGTAACTAATTTCTTGCCCAAGTGGAATCATTGTGAAGAAATTTCAAAATGCCTCTTTTAAAGGGAACTGATTTAGCTAGAAAATGCACTCATTTGTTCTCTTCCCCTTGTCTTTCCCTGCTTCTTAGAGGGCATACCAATGGCAGGGGCCCCAGCAGCTCTCTTGGGCCATGAGGTACTTTTGAGGATGGAGTCCAGGCTGAGAATAACTGACAAGAAAGATAGAAGGAACCTGGCTCTTTGATACTGTGGGGCCCCATACCAGCCTTGCACATGAAGAGGAAATACCTTTCTATCTTGCTTAAGTTACTGTTATTTCACATTTCTTTTGTTCTATGAAGATGGAATTGTGTGTGAGTGAAATTAATCTCGGCTTCATCTTGGAATGACCACCTTCATGTCATAGATGCTCAGAAAAGGTGGGTGACTTTCTTACAAAGTCACTTTACTAATAAGTACCAGTAAATCCCCTACACAGGATTTGAACTGAGTTCCGGTGGAATTAAAAGCCAGTGATTTTCTCATTGTATACCTCACACATATGAAGTCTTATAGAATAACTTTTTAAAAGTTATGAAAGATCTCCTGCTCAATTTAGTGGTTGATTGTCTTGATGCACTAGGTTTTTTTTTTTTTTTTTTTTCCACCCTTATAGCTACTGTGAATAGTGTAACTTCCTGGCAAAACTGTGACCCAATTCTAGCAAATGAGCCATATTTTCTCTTTCTTGCTTTTATGTTCCTGTTGTCTGGTGGGAAGTCAGAAAGATACAGCCTAAAGATGGCCTACTCTTCTGATTCAGCTTCATTTAGGGATACATAGTAGATTCCCGGAGAAATAGATTCCTTAGATATTCCTCCGTTAAGGTGATTTTTCTTTTCTTTTCTTTATTTTTTATGTTGAGAGAACATTTAACCCATAAGAATGTGGTATGCCCTTGGCCACTCCAGAATAAACTGTTCGCAAAACTGACATCTAAACACAGTTTCAGTCTCGGATGATTCAGGGCAAACCATTTATTTATTAATTTAGAGACGGAATCTCGCTCTGTGTGCCAAGCTGGAGTGCAGTGGCATGATCTCTGCTCACTGCAACCTCCGCCTCCTGGGGTCAAGCAGTTCTTGTGCCTCAGCCTCCCCAGTAGCTGGGATTACAGGCACCTGCCACCATGCCCAGCTAATTTTTGTATTTTTAGTAGAGATGGGGTTTTGACATGTTGGCCAGGCTGGTCTCAAACTCCTGGCCTCAAGTGATCTGCCCCCCTCAGCCTCCCAAAATGCTGGGATTACAGGCGTGAGTCACCATGCCTGGCCAAGCCTTTTAAAATATATCAAATCTATCCTAAAAAGATGCCTTTACAATCACTTATTTTTAGTAGTTCAATTTTAGTAGTAAGTAAGTAATAAGATCACCTATTTCTAATCAAGAAAGTAAATATACACCTTTGGCATAAAAAATAATGTATTTTAAAAATTCTATCTAAATATGTTTTGCAAACAATTTTTATCTTAATTTCCTTTTTTTCAGTCCAAGCCACACTAAATACTTTTTGGAATGAAATATTACTATAGTAATGTAAAACATACTGATAAAACGTGATATATTTCCATTCTAATAATATTTTTAAGTTGGTCCAATCTTAACAATGTACATTACTTTTATTTTATTTTATTTGAGATGGAATTTCGCTCTTGTTGCCCAGGCTGTAGTGCAGTGGCACAGCCTTGGCTCACTGCAACTCTGCCTTCCAGGCTCAAGTGATTCTCCAGCCTCAGCCTCCTGAGTAACTGGGATTACAGGTACCCCCCACCATGCCTGGCTAATTTTTGTATTTTTAGTAGAGACAGGGTTTCTCCATGTTGGCCAGGCTGGCATCAAACTCCTGGCCTCAAGTGATTCGCCTACCTTGGCCTCCCAAAGTGCTGGGATTACAGGCGTGAGCCACCATGCCCGACCTATTACTTTAAGAACCTATTTTCATTAACCTTTCTCTTAAATAACAAATTACTCCATGCCAAATATAATGTAAATCAGATCCTATTTTTTCCCATATATTATAATGTTGTGGCTGTTCAGCCCTTTTATTTATGTTTCTAGTTTAACATTTTCTTTAAATGCATTTCATTTGCTCGTTCCAATAGAGTCTGATTAATCCCATTTCAGTAGATACTCACTGAGCATCTACTATGCCCTAGGCCCTAGTGATAAAGTGATATGAAGGGTGAACTTGGTCTTTGCATTAATTTTTTACTTTTTTGCTCACTGAGAAAATTCCCAGATATTGTTACTTCATCCATTCTTAAAAATTCATGCAATATTCCAGCCTGGGGCGGTGGCCCACGCCTGTAATCCCAGCACTTTGGGAGGCTGAGGTGGGCAGATGACAAGGGCAGGAGATGGAGACCATCCTGGCCAACATGGTAAAACCCCATCTCTACTAAAAATACAAAAATTATCTGGGCATGGTGGTGCACACCTGTAGTCCCAGCTACTTGGGAGGCTGCGAAAGGAGAGTCGCTTGAACCCTGGAGGTGAAGTTTGCAGGGAGCTGAGATCCAGCCTGGCGACAGAGTGAGACTCTGTCTAAAAAAAAAAAAAAAAAAAAAAAATTCATGCAATATTCCTTATGAGTCCCCATTACTGTACCAATGGGGACATAACCACCTTCTCCCCCTTACTTTGCCCATTAGAGCATTTGTGTACCTTTAGAATCCATTTCTGCTTTTTCTCTTTGCTAATCTCACAATTCTAACTCTTTTCCATCATTCTGAAGTTCCTCTGTACTCACCCATTAACGGTTAATATGTGAATTACCCAGTTTCTGTTAGGCTCTGCTCATGGTCTTAAGGCTCAATTCTCATGTTCGTAACTTATTTGGTACTCTGGGATGGAAATATTTGATGAAGAAAGAGAAAACTATTTGAGTGAGCCACAGACACATGGATCCTAGGACTGACTATGTTAAGAGTTAGATGGCTCCTCTCAGTAAGGGAACATAGGTGATACAGACCACTGAGATCATTGTTTGCATGAAGGATGGAGAGAAGAATTCTAAAGCTAGAGAGAATATTTAGGAATATCCAGTGCAATTCTTTCATTGTGCGCTTCAGGAACCTGAGGCCTGAAGCAATGATATATCCAGCCAAAGACAGCCTCCAGCTCAGAGGAAATGCTTATTCTTACATTCTATTTTTCATTGTATGTAATTTCCCTAAAAGCCCACTTAGGAATGATTTGGAGCATTTGACAGGAAATTCAAATTCATGGGCAAGATGCCCTGGTGTTTAGTCATAGCACAGAGTCAAAATATTGTAATGAGCCATGTTAACATCTATGTTTCCCAGTGGCTTTTTCTGGTAGAGGAGGACAAATATCCTTCTCTCTACCCATCCTATGTTCATGACTTAGGTCCTTTTAACACAAGATAGACTAAGAAGAGAAAAACTTGCAAATTTATTTAGTAAGATTTACATGCTGTGGGAGTCTTCCTAAATAAATGAAGACTCCAGTAAATGGTTAATTCTGTGTATTTTTATAGTAGCTTTGATGAAGAGTGAATACTGATGGAGAGATATGATAGGACAAAAAGGGTGTGATCTAGTGTAGATAAACTGGGGAATTTAGCAAGGCCTGTTTGTTCAGGTTCCTCTCTGTGACCCTTCATCTTCAGAGATGAGCATGTTCCTTTCTTCCAGGGATCGGGAGGCCCTCACATGAGTGTCTTCTGACCTGCTTCTTGGGAATGTTGGAAAAGCTTTCCTAAGCTGTATGCCCTGCATCGGGGAGAAGCATATGTGTGGGTGAGGAGGGGAGGTCAGAGAGACTTTCCTGCTTCTGTTTTTTTAATATGCCAAGGTGCCGTATTTTGAGTAGTGTGTCCTGAATCCCATCATCCTTTTCAATGTAACTTTTCATTAAATGCAGTGTTCTAGGATAAGGGTTAGCAAATGACTTCTAAAAAAACACCAGATAGTAACCATCTTTGTCTTTGCAGCCCATAAAGTATCTGTTGCAACTACTCAACTCTGTTGTTGCAGCACAAAAGCAATAGTAGAAAATACATAGACCAAGAAGAGTGGCTATGTTCCAATAAAACATTTTTTGTAGATAGTAAAATTTCAATTTCCTGTAATTTTTACATTATAATATTTTACTTATTTTTTTTCCAACCATTGAAAATGAAAGAACCATTCTTAGCTTACTGGTTCTACAAAAACAGATGGCAACCTGGATTTGGCCTGCTGCTGTAGTTTGTCAACCCCTCTTCTATGACATTACATTCACACAGACAAAACTAAACCCAAACAAAACAATAAAAATGCATTCTTCTGACAATACAAAGACATATCTTAAAATATTTAAAGTCAAACAAAAATGGACAGTTTCTGACATAGCTTATAGAACATTGTTTGTCAAACTGCAGGGATTTGAAATAATGAATAGTAAACAATAGTGAAAAAAAAACTTCAAATAAATCACAGCTAATTTTTGAAAATCCAGTGTTAAAATGTGATGATCAGAGTCAAGAAAAATTGTGAAAGATTTGAAAATTGGCAAAAGTAAAGATTATTTTTCTCTGTATTGCACTTCTCCAAGTTCTGTCCAGTGTTCAGTGCTTTGAACTATTTTCCCACTCTGCAAATGGTAGAAAATTGATAATGAAAATAACTCTTGTCCATGAAAATGCAAATACATTTTGTCTAGTGGAATGCACTTGATGCTTCATCCAGGAATACAACATTTTGCATATATTTGTAAATCCATTTCAGCACCAGCATTCCTTATTGACCCTATTCATCCATCCATCCATCCGTCCATCCATCCATCCATCCATCCATCCATCTTAATCTGTCTATCATTTATCTGTCTATTGTCTATTTATCTATGGGATTTTTCCTTTGAATCAAATGTAACATATGACTATTTCTTGAGTTAAATAAAATCTTTGGTACATTTCCATCTGATATTTGCATGAGTCTTGTCTTCACTTTATAAAATATTTCTCCACTTTGGGAGTCCAAGGCAGGTGGATCACGAGGTCAAGAGTTCAAGACCAGCCTGGCCAACATGGTGAAACCCCGTCTCTACTAAAAATACAAAAATTAGCCGGGTGTGGTGGTGCACGCCTGTAATCCCAGCTACTCAGGAGGCTGAGGTAGGAGAATCACTTGAACCCAGGAGGTGGAGGTTACAGTGAGCTGAGATCGCTCCACTGCACTCCAGCCTGGGCAACAGATTGAGACTCTGTCTCAAAAAAAAAAAAAAAAGATTTCTCCTTTAACTTTCAGCTCAGAGTTATGTTTCAAAACCTTGCATCTAACAAACAATGGCATGCCACTTAGTAACAACCACCTATCTGTGGGGAGCCTGCATGCTTATCTTTCTGCCTTTGAGTGCCAGAACTCACTGGCTTGACTTTTGTTCCCCATTTGGTTTGGAGTGTATGTGTTGAAAAGTGGTAATTTAGGGCCCAGTCTTGGTGCCTTGGCTTACAGCTTTAATCTCAGTGGGAGTTCAGTTCTTATAAGGGTACAACTCCTAACTGTTAGTGATTTTCCAGCTTTATTCAGAACCACGTTTAGAGGTGAGGAAGATTGGTTTTGCTTGTGTAAAAATCTGGACAGCTTCATTTGCCATCTGTGAAATTTATCGAGTGAGGGCCAAACCTCTGAAACACATCTGAATATGACTGTGGAAATTTTTGTTTTGTATGAGATGCTTTCTGTGATTTATGTGGTAATGACTGTAAATCCATAGAGCCCAAGGAAGACATTTCTTAGGAGCAAAATGAAAACTCAGACATACATGAAAATGCACCATGCCCCAGTACCCAAGAACCAAAGGTGAACGTTTTTTATCTGATTGCAATTCTAATATGTAGTGGATCAAAATTTTAAATGTTTAGATACTTTAGACCTGTTGCAATACTTACTGATGCTTATACAATATCTCTTGACTTTATATATGATACATTTCAAGAATAATGTTGCTGTTCACCAAGCATCTGTTGTCCAACTTATTGATCTCCTTTGGAGCAAACAATGACTTCACAGCCAAATCACGTTTGACAATGATTTCAGGAGAAGTGCAGGCTTGTGTAATTCAAAGAGAGAGATTTGTGCAGAAAATGTCTCAAGTCGGGTATAATTAATTCCCCTTCATTTTGGATATTAATGTTATTATTTCCACAAGTACATGTCTTTACTTACATGAGATCATGTCTTTATTTTTCAGGAGAAAATAAATATGATGTGAGAATAAACATTAGAAGAGATAAGAGAAATATTCTATTATTTCCTTAAACCAACATTTTGGTCTTAACATTTGTGTAGAATGCATGCGAAAAGAAATTGTTAGTGTGTGTGAGGTTTCAACTAGTGTTCTTTTGAAAAAGCCATCTTATGTACAATATTATATTAGCATGATTAATATAAACCACTGGATGTAAATTTCTCCAACTGTCCTATAGCATGATGCCACAAGATAATTATAAGTAGCCTTGGCGTTTTGTGCTTAGTAAGACATGAAGTCTCTCTCTCTTTCTCTCTCTCTCTCTTTTTTTTTTTTGTTTTTTTTTTAAAGCTTTATTGCTCACACAGAACCTGTTTGGTAGTTTCTTCACACGGATGTGTGTGACAACAGGGTCTTGCTCTGTTGCCCAGGCTGAAGTGCAGTGGCACCATCTCGGCTCACTGGATCCTTGACTTCACAGGCTCAAGTAATCCTCTTGCCTTAGCCTCCTGAGTGGCTGGGACTACAGGCATGTGCCACCATGCCTGGGTAATTTATTATTATTATTATTATTATTTGTAGAGACAAGATCTCACTATGTTGTCCAGGCTGGTTTGAACTCCTGAGCTCAAGCCACTTGTACACCTCGGCCTTTCCAAAGTGCTGGGATTACAAGCATGAGCCACGGAGACCGGCCTGAAGTCTGTCTTAAGGGAGTTGATGGAATTGAAAATTAAGTTAGGGCTGGACGTGTGGCATGATTTATAAGTAATTCATCCATTGTTGCTCTAGAAGGACATTAAAGTGGCTATCATCTCTGATGCAAAGGCAGAAATGGAAAGAAAAAAGAAGAGAAAAAAATGAGAGCCTGGGAAAAAGATAAAAAAAGAACTCACAAATAGCTACATAAACAACTAGTTTCAAAACACCATTTCTTAAATGGCCAGGAAATAGTCCTGAGATTTTTGAGAAACCACTGAAGGCTTCCAGCAGGGTCCCTTCTAGTGATAATGCAGGTGGATGGATGAGTTAATGATTTAAACAATTAGAGATTTGCTGCAAACTTCCATCTGTCACTGCCCCCTGGAATGCAGACTCACAGTTCTAATTGGAGCCTCCAGCATTGAAGGCGGCATGAGTTGGTGTCACTGATTTGCTTCCCCTGACCACTGTCATTCTCATGGTAAGCGTTTTCTGCCCTCACGCTGAGAACTTTTATCAAACATATTAGTGTGCATTTGGGTGATCATTAGCCTGTGGTAGCTGAAACATTCCAGGTTATTTTAGCCTAGAAACTAGCCTGTCTGCTGAAAGAACATGCAAAGCTTCCTGCTAAGCTGGTACACAATCAATATATAAGGGAAAGAACGGGTTCCTATTTAGATTTAAATCCAATATGTGACAAGTTAATAGCTCAGTGTGTTTCTGCTTTTCCATGTCAATTTTACGGGTGTGAAAGACTCTTCCACCTGCTATAAACTTCAAAGGAAAAACATGCGGAAGGGGAAATGCACCTCCGTGTAAGTCTTTCCCTAATCTCTTACGATTAATTTCTTCTTCCATCTGATGAAAGAAAATGCAAACGAAATCTCTTATTTGGTTCACAGTTGAAGACGAGTTCCATAAAGCTGCCTTTAGAAAGGGAATCTGTTTTGAACATATGAAAACCATCTGAGTCAAGATGCATTACATGGTGATTACAGTCTGACAGATGTTTTGAAGTTGTAATGTGTTCATCAGAAAGCACGCAGAGCAGGGATGAGCACCGCTTGTTTGAAGATGTTGAGGTTTATTCTGGCAACTGGAAAAATGCACCAATGCTGATTGAAGTTTGGGGACCCTTATATTTGAGAAAGGAGACAGAATTGGATTTCAGTCTCTGGTAGATCAGCATTTGTGGGCATTGAACATGAGATTGTATCATGTTGCTTTATCTCTGCCGTGACAGTCACTGTCAAAATATTCTCTACTGGGGTAGAAAACTCTCACTTGAATTTAAGGGGGGTCCACATTTGCTTTTCTATGTTCATAATTTTGACTCCACCTTATACGTAATCGTTGGAATGAGGTTCAAGTCTACTTGTCTCCCGAATCACACATAGGAGTTCCTCTTAGAAAACCTAATTTGTGTTTGTGCGTAGTCTACTTTGGAAACTTTTCATTTCTCTGTGTTTCTGAAAGAGCAGTCATTGTAGGAAAATAAATGGAGGTTTTAATTTAAACTCGATTTTTACCAACTGGGTGAACATAGAAACTCTTGCTGTCTCACTTGCCTGAAAAAGAGAATATAGACTAATTGTTTGAAACTAAAACAATTTGCCTTTCTCAAGAGATCTTTTATCTATTCAATGGGGAAGAACCTGCCTTGCCCCATAAATAATGACATTCAACCACCTTGGCATATTTATTTTCCAACTAATTTAGGTCTAAGAATATCCTTGTAAGATTCACTACTCAAAACATGATGTTCTTTGGGTAATCAGTGTGTGTGTGTGTGTGTGTGTGTGTGTGTGTGTGTTTACTGGATTACACCTTCTGTTTTCTTCTGGGTTGGAAAATGAAATCACGTTTTCTGAGGAGGATTTTTGTCAGATACTCCCTTCTCCCTATTTGATGCATATCTATGCAGGAAGTGGGTTGCTTTTTTTTTTAATATTTATGTATTTATTTATTTATTTATTTATTTTAGACAAATGTCTGTTAGGACCTTTAATTTCACAGTGAATGTCAGAGCTAATGAAAGTTTTGCTAGCTATGAAGTGACAATGAAGTATAAGCAAAGCCACCAGGCATCTGGAACTTTCCAAGTAGTAGAATATGAAACTCATCGTATCCTGGTGGTACCAAAAGCCACTGGAGAGAGACAGTATTTATACCTGCCTGATGGATGTATCACTTCCAGGTGCTCTAGAATCTATGCCTTGATTACACGGCTAAGCTATGTCTTTGCCATTTCAAATCTTCCTTTAACAAATGGCTTTTGCTGAATGGTAAGTTGCTGCAATGCAATATGGATGATAACCTCAGAAATTGTCCTACAAACCTAGTCGTTGGGGCTGCTCTAAGAAAGTTGTTGAGGACATTGGTCTCTTATGTCATGCCATTTTGGGGAGGAAACTTGGAGAGATATTAATTAATTAATTATTTAATTTTTTTTTGAGACGAAGTCTGGCTCTGTCTCCCAGGGTGGAATGCAGTGGCGCGATGTTGGCTCACTGCAACCTCCACTTCCTGGGTTCAAGCAATTCCCCTGCCTCAGCCTTCTGAGTAGTTGGGATTACAGATGCTTGCCACCACACCCGGCTAATTTTTGTATTTTTTTAGTAGAGTGGGGGTTTCGCTATGTTGGCCAGGCTGGTCTGGAACTCCTGACCTGAGGTGATCTGCCCACCTTGGCCCCCAAAGCGTTGGGATTACAGGCCTGAGCCACCATGCCTGGCCTAGAGACATTCATTCTGATTGCATTATCAGTACTAATTGTGCCTCCTTGAGAAATGGGTAGATACTTTTGGCCTATGGATACTGTGGATTTTGCAGTTAATAGTGTTTTCCTCTTACAATTGGTCTTTAGAAAGCTAAAACTTAAATCAAACAGCCTGTCTTTAACAAGTGTGCTGAAATTGATCATATGTATTTAGGAAACTTGCTTTATCCTTGACAGTATTTATTTTCTCCCCATTTTAATTTCCCTTTATCTCATTTTTTTTTCACTCACTTAAGATGTGCTTTCCAGCTGTAATCATATGTAGCTTTGTAAATTGTCTTGAATTATTTTAAGAGTGAGAAAGGCCATAGATAAATGCACACATCCATAAAATAATAAATCGGTAGAAGGATATCATACTGTGGCTGCGCATGTTGCCAGATGAGTTGTTTAGTCTCTTGAACCCTTTTATCCAGAATTTCATGGTTAAACAAAATGAAGTGACAAGACATCTATATTCATACCAAAGTTCTTTCAGCTGAGAAGTGATGATTATGGGAAAAGATTTACTGGAAAAGAGCAATGGGAGCCTCTTGTAAATTAGGTAATGGCTGTAACTGAGCAAGAAAAATTTAAGAGAACACAACTTAAATTATGAAAACAGGGAGTGCGGTAGAAACTTGTCCTGATGGGAAATGTGGTAGTGGAACAAAGGTGGGGCGCTTTTGTTTGTGTGGGCCATGGGAGCCAGAGGGGTTTGGCCCTGCCTTCACAGATCTCAAGTCATAAATAGCAGAGGTCAAAGAATCGTCTTTAAAACTACACAATAAAGAAAGGACTTCTCTCAACTGGGTCTTTTCAGAGCATAGCTACCAATGTGGGTAAGTTCATTTTCCATTTGTGTGGGGGAAAATGACTTAAAGTGTGCACTTTGTAAATCTTGCTCGTGCACTCTTTCTTTCTCTTCTTCCCTCCTGCCTTTCTTTTTCCTTCCTTCCTTCCCTTCCTCCCTCCTTCCTTCCTTTCTTTTTCTTTCTTTCTTTCTTTCTTTCTTTCTTTCTTTCTTTCTTTCTTTCTTTCTTTCTTTCTTCCTTTCTTTCTCTTTCTTTCCTTCCTTCCTTCCTTCCTTCTTTCTTTCTTCCCCTTCTCCTCTCTTTCTCTCTCTTTCTCTTTCTTTCTCTTTCTCTTCTCTTCTCTTCTTTTCTTTTTTCTGTTCAATTGTTCCCTCCCTCCCTCTCTGTCCCTTTTTCTCTCTATTCTTATGGGTGGCAAATGTTTATGTTGGTTTCCATGAAAGACTTTCTCTCTGCCTTAAGTTATAGGAGCCCCAGCTGAAAATTTTAAGCACAGAGAGGTATAATGAATGGCTTCTGGCTTATTTAACGATAATGGAATGGCCACTCTGTCGATACTGTGTTCATTATATTAATAGCAATAGCTCAGTTGGTGTCAATGTGTATATTCCTGTGTGATGACAGGTTGAAGAAAACGCAGGGTTTAAATAGGAAAATGTTGCTGTTGGTTAGAAAATTGGGCTTATGCGAAACTGTCTAATTAAATCATACTCATTTTAACTCATTGCAAGTGACTAATTCTGTGTCAAATTCCACATAAGGAGCACTGTTTGCAGGGAGAACTGTGAGAGCCGCAGGGGCCAGGACAACCCCTGAACTGTGCAAGCAGAGATCATTTAAGAGTTGAGCTGCCTGCAGATGCACCCAGATTCAGCCTTCTGCAGACTTCTCTTGTGGGGCTGGAACGGATCCTTGTGGAGAGGAGAAGCGAGTTCCCGAGATCTTCCTTGGGGACGCAGCTCCTCTGGCTTCCGCTTGCTGAGGAAGGTGGGTCTTTTGATGGCTGCAAGTCTCCGAGTTCTCACAGCTGAATGGTTGAACTTGGTCAGTCGCAGATGAATGAACAGTGTTTCCCAAGAGAAACTTCACAATGGCTTCGGGACTATTAAGCTGTGAAGATTCATGCTTTCGTGTTTGGGAGTGTGTGTTCAGCAACTTTTCCTCGGGGAAGGCGGGGGGTGGGGGGCAGGCATTCGAGGTTGGCTTTTTACATCCAACTGTATGCACATTTTCCCTTTTTGTATGAGGAAATAATGCCTGCACTAAGGATAACCCTCCCCTCCTCCTAAATCCTTCCACAAAAAGATACTTATTAAGGCTGGCATTCTGAAGAACTAAATGCTTCTTTAACTTTACTTCATCTGCTTCAGTGAGCACAGTGTACCGACTCTGGGGAATTCACATTACGGCCGGCAAGCAGCCTTCTCTATTCTCTAGGGGCTCTTTGGGCACAGAAATAATCCCTTCCTAGAATCTTTTGAAAAAGCAACTGAACTATGCAGGCTAATCAACTGTAAATCTTAGCCCTCTTGGATGAAGCAGCACCAAAAAGTCCCCTGATGACCGGGAAGCCCTGTTGTGAAGGCCCTTCAAAGATAGCAGTTCCAAGACCCAAGGCAAATTTGCCACAAGTGCAATTGTCTGCTGTGTTTTCACGTTTCTGAATGTTGCCCTATTCCCCACATGCATCCTGTGCATCCTCTGCCTGTCTCCCTAGTTTGTTTTGAGGCAGAAAGGCAATAACCTTCCTTAGAACTTTTGTTTTCTGGTTGGTAATGGCCATGTTATAAGCAGACATGAGCTCAGATAGAATAAGTACATGGGGAGGATTTTCTATATTTCTTCTGAATCATTTTCTGCGCAGTCCTAGCATAGTATTTGTCAGGAAAAAGTAGCATAGATCAGAAGGGTGACATCTCCCAGCCTTTGCGTGCACCGTGCTGAAACCTCCAGTGTTATAACATTAGCTGTCACTCTGCTGAGAGGTTACCTCCTGATCCGGACAAAGGCAACACTAGTTTGCCTGCATTCTGTTTGGACTTGCAGGATAATGTCAGTCATGCATTCGCAGCAGCAGCATAAATCAAGCCCTAAGATGATTTAAAGAATAGAATTGAAGCCTCTCTTTCACAATCACCATAATCTAAAGGAAATGGGGGCAATGGCGTTGCTCTCTGATATTTGGGAGGCAGAGCAAGAATTCTATTTTTGGCCAAGGAAATACCTCTTCTTTACTTGCCTTGTTTCTGTAACACATGTAGACCGTTGCAGTATTCCTGTCCTTCTAGATTCAACTTTTTACTGGCTATTTCTGATTTAAGATCCTATCTAAATCCTTGACATTGATGTGTCCTGATTTAAATGGACATCTTCTGCCGTTTGAGTGAGAGGCACAATAGAGTTTGGTCTTTGGGCACCAGTGTTAAAGGCTGAAGGGATTCACTAGCTCCATCACCTGGGCCGAGTTACTTACTAGTGCTCCCCAAACCTGTATATCTCTCTGGAATTATTAATATTAATTAAAAGATTAATATATCTTAAGCACCCAAGCTAAAAAACTCAAAATCCTCCTTCATCGCTCCTCGTCCTTTACTTTTCTATCTAGCTGCCTGCAAAGTCCTTCTGATAAATCTCTCAAACTGTTTTGCTATCCCCTCTGATATCACTGAAGCATTTACTATCCCTAAAATGTGGTAATCCCATAGCCCCAATTTTTCTCTCCATTTTTGCTCTTCACAGATCCCAAGGTCTTAAAGTTTGTGCTTCTCAAACTTTAGCATGCTCAAGAATCCCGTGGCGGGCTTGCTCAAATGCAGATTCCCGGGCCCCACCTCCATAGATTCTGATGTGGTGTGTCTGGGCTGGGGCCTGAGAGTCTGCATTTCTAAGAGGATTCCAGTAGATGATGGTCCGTGGTAGCCCTAACCTACAGGATCACATCAAATTTTTGGCACATTTTTCAGCATCCTTTATATTGAGTCTCCATCTAACTTTCCAGATGACTCTGCTTTTTTTTGTGTGTGTGTATTTTCTCAGGGTTCATTTTTTTCTTTCTCATTAGACAATTTTCCCAGACTCCTCAGCATGCCACATTCTTTCATACCTCTTTGCTTTTGCTTGTAGTACTTTGGAGAGGTAATACAGCGTGGGGATGAAGAGCAAGTGGCAAGCCTGTGACTACTAAAATTCAGTTCAGGAATTAATCAGCACATTATGGCCTCTCTACTTAGGGGCTATGTGATCTTGAGCAAGTGATTTTGTTTTGTGTACCTCGATTTTGTCATCTGAAGAAAAATGGGGCAGATAATAGTAGGGGCCACTGTATAGATTCTTGTGATGATTAAACGGCTTAATGCATCCCACGGGTCTTGAACAGCCATATAGCATGTGTTAAATCTCTTTGTTGTTCTCTTTACACTTATTACATTACCTGTTGCTCCAGTCCCTTTTGTGTATGTGTGTGTGTGTGTGTGTGTGTGGTGAAATTCTCGTTTTCCGAAAAAAGCCAGATCTTACTTTTTTTTTTTTTCTTCTCTGTAGCTTTCTCTGACATTTATCTTCCTTTAGTCCCAGGACCAATTGATTAATCCTTCCTGCCTGTTAGCCATGACTTGTAGTTTTTTGCTTACATATTTTTTGCAGGTAGAGCCTGAAATTATTGAGTCTTGGAAACTCATTACCCCCATTCCTCCTTCTTAGCTCACTTTTCATTTGTTAAGTTTTAAATATATGCCATCCATGTGCCTGACCCCGTGCTTGCGAAGGGTTCGTTTGGGTGATGGAGTGCTGTGTGGGGAGTGGATTGGATATAAATTCAGTCATCTGAATCAGAAATCTTAAATTCTGTGCTCTCAGAAGTGTACCCCCAATCAGTGTGATTCTTTCACTTCCTTATCTTACATTAGGAGTAATTTGACATTTTTATTACTTCTGGATTTCTCCCCAAATATGTTGATAGTAACTTTGGCTTGATCTTTGGTCATTATCTTAATATCTTACATTTGGTTAGGATTTACAGTTTGCAAAGAATTGTCACATAAATGAATACCATTTGCTTTTAAAGCATCTTTCTGAGATGGGAATGGAAAGTATTCACTTTCCTTGATTATTATGCAAAATGCTGGACAGAGTGACCCTCTCAAAGTCCTGTGGCTAATAAGATGTGGGGACCATAGAATGGGCCTTGATGTCCTTGGAGACTTTGAAAGAGGAGTCTTAGGAAAGCCTGGAAGACAGGGGGCAGACTGCATGTTACTTGAGGAAAGTGTGGAAAGGGAGAAATTTCATTCCGGGTATGGTTCTCCTTTCTTTTGGTAGTGTGGCCATGAGGAAGAGAAAAAAGAGGGAAGTCAGGTTTTGAGAGGCTGGGCAATCTCTCAAACGAGATGTAACTATATTCTCTTGAAAGCACGTAAATATTCATCTTCACATTTTACTGGTTTGTATTGATACTAGTTTTCTTTGTCATATATAAAATATCTAGGTAAATACACTAGTATAGCAATGGAAAAGCTTTCCTTTTACCCTTGCAGGGTTCTGTTATTGGGGCCTATAAATTTAATGCACAAAAGACATTAACAGGAAAACAAGGCAAACAAAGCTTATTTGATGATAATAATTTCACATGCACAGGGACTTCACAGAAAAGAAATAAAAACTCAAAGAAGTGGTTAGACCTAGAAGTTTATATACCATTTTAATGAAGGGCAATACATTGTGGAGAGGAGAATAGACAAAGAAAAGGGGGTTTTGGGCTCCGGGCAGTAAATTGTGGGAAAGTGACCTAGAAATGTATGGTAGATAAGGCTTGTTTACTAAGGCTTGTTATGCGGATAATATGAGTTATTTTTCTCTTCCTGGTATGGAAGAAGGGAACCTTTTTACAAATGGAAACTTACATTGCCTTTACAAAGGGGAAATTTATGTCTGCTTTTAAGCAGAAATGGGGAAGGCAGAGAGTTCTTCCTGCATCTACTGCTTCTCAATTGCTCTCAGCTCAAAATAATCCTTATGCCAAAGTAGCATATTTTGGGATGGCATATTCTGATACTCTTAACTAGGGAATCTGTACCATACATAACCTGATCACATATTATGAGAGTTGATTAGTGCTCAGTGCTAGAGTGAGAGAATGACGGGAAGAAGGAGATTACTGGACATGAGCTGAGAGCAGTGTTCTCAGTGTGGAAGGTGAAATGAGCAGGTGCCTCCATGTCACTTAAGTTGTATAAAATAGGAGAAATAAGCACAGTTGATTAGATTGCCTTATGTCTTCCTGGGATATCATCTGATCGACAACTCTAAAACTTTTCCTCACCAACAAAAACACCCTGGTTCAAAATTTTTATTACAGTTGTCTGTTTGGAAATTTAATTTGAAGAAATATCATTGAAATATGTTGAAGAAAGTTAGTGTTTTATGACTATTACTTCTTTCTAATAAACAGCTTTTCTTTTATTATAAAAGTAACATTTTTATTTTTTATTGTGGTAAAAAAATCACACCATACACACACACACAAAACATAAAATTTACCACTGAGAGCTATGATCACATCATTGCAGCCCAGCCTGGGTGACAGAGTGAGACCCTGTCTCTAAGAATAAATAAATAAATAATTTAAAAATTAAAAATTTACCATGAAAGCCTTTTTTTTTTTTTTTTTTTTTTTGATGGAGTCTCATTCTGTCACCCAGGCTGGAGTGCAGTGGTGCGATCTTGGCTCACTGCAACCTCTGCCTCCTGGGTTCAAGCAATTCTTTCTCCTGCCTCAGCCTCCCGAGTAGTTGGGATTACAGGCACACACCACCATGCCAGGCTAATTTTTGTATTTTTAGTAGAGATGGGGTTTCACCACATTGGCCAGGCTGGTCTCAAACTCCTGACCTCAAGTGATCCACTCACCTGGGCCTCCCAAAGTGCTGGGATTACTGAGCTTCAGTATTCACAATTTAGTTGGTTAGACTCTTGCTACTCAAAGTGTGGTTTATGGACCCTGCAGCCTCAGATCACCTGAGACGTTGTTGGAAATGCAACTGGTGAGCCACCGCGCCCAGCGTGAGAGCTATTTTTGAGTGTATAGTTAAGTAGTGTTAAGTATATTCACATTGTTGTGCAACAGATCTCCGGAACTTTTTCATCTTACCAAACTAAAACTCCATACTCATGAAATAACAACTTCTCATTTCCCCCTCCCTCAGCCCCCGGCAACCACCAGTCTACTTTCGGTTTTTATGAATTTGACTGTAGAAATAACCTTTTTGCAGGATAAGACTTTTTTTTTTTTTTGCAAGAAATCCCTAAAGGTGGATATTATAAGCATAAATAATTTAAAAGTGTGAAACATTTGACTCTGTGTCTCTAGAGGCCTAAGGATCTCAATATGCCTACTTATAGGGACTCTTGTAAAGAAAATCAATGTAATTATTAATTGATTCCCCCCATTCCACAACCATCATTCTAATTTCCTTCTCTATGAATTCGAGTACTCTGAGAACCTCATACAAATGGAATCATAGGATATTTATCCTGTTGTGTCTGCCTTATTTCTCTTAGCATGCTTTACCTCTTAAAGCCGATTTTTAATTTTATTATTATTATTTTCACTCTGAGTTGTTGAACTGAAGGTTGGCAGGATGGTATCATCCTCAGTCTCTTGGTCTCTTGAGTTGGATAACTACATATATGAACCCATGATTTTATAACTGTTTATCCATTGGAAAGGCCCCTTGAACCTAACAGATGCCTGACAGTTTCTGTTTTGTAATTAAAGTTGTTTACTTTGCTCTCTTTGGGTGGTTGTTCACTTAGGGGAACATTTTCTCTGTAGATTATATGAGCCGTGGAGTTTGGGTGCTCTCACAGTAAGTGGTGTGTGTTTCCATGATGGACTTCTTTCATCTGCTCCAGTGTTTGGGTAACTTGTTTATGTGTCTGTCTCCCCAGATCGTTTGGCATCTCCTTGGGAAAAGAGGCTGTGGATTACAACTGTTGGGGCTCACGTGAACTCCTTAAAAGGCAGAGCAAGCTTTTATTCTTTTCTGTGCCTTTGAGCACTAAGATTGGCCATGCTCAGTAAAGGGAATTGAAGTTTAGAGAATGTGAAATGGGCGACATACACAGGTTGGTCTAGGGGCCCTTTCAAGTTCTCCCAATAACCCAAGGAAGTAGCTGTCATTTTCCTCATTGTACAATGTAGACAACTGAGGGTCAGAAGGAATAATGGACAAGGTTCCCAAAATTTGTCATTTGGGGACTACATTGCAGGACTTTTTGTTTTTAAAGCCCATGTTCTTTCTTCATACTTTAAATTTCTGTTCTTGGCATCAGAAACTGAGTAGATTCTCTCTCCAAGTATTTGGAAAGGAAATATAAAATTTAATTTTTTCATCATACTGAATATTGCTTCTTTCAGATCATCTCCCTACATGTAGAACCAGAAATGAAGACATTGGAATCTCTAGGCACTTGGGGTTCAATCTCCTTTGAAATTCTCAGGGATATTGTTTGTTTTACACAATATTCCCTTTGAACTTGGATTCACTTTGGGACTTTAAGTAACGTATAGGATTCCCTAACCTAACACAGTTGTCCCATTATGATAGGAAATTGTTTTCACTCCTCAAATGAAAGTGATAGTTACTAAACTGTTCAATGTGTAGGATGAACCCTTGCAAACACTTTTTTAAAAGTTTCTTTGCCTTGGCTCAGTGTCTAATGAGGGAAGTGAGAAACCATCAGCGCAGGTCTGTGGAGAGCTTGCGGGTCAGGTCATTCCTGCTGCTTGTGAACAATCCAGACCTTGCCTGGGTGGGGCAAGCATGGCGAGCCCAGCAGGAACAGCTTGGGGTGGTTATGGCTGTTAATTTTTTAATTTAGTTCTGGACCCTACAACCCATCGATATCTGTTCATCTCATTATTCCCTCCCTGGGTGGCAGGAATGGATATAAAACCACTGTGGTAGTTTCCCCCTCCTCCATTTTATTATTACTTTTGTACCTTTTTATGCCTTGCTAGGTTATGAGCTCTCTTACTGCTCTGAGTTAAAGGCAGCACATAAATAATTATGTGTAAATAAAATGAAAGCTTACATTGTTTAACATATGCTTAGCCCTTTCAGAGGAAAAAAATATATATATATGTATGTAATCTAAACTTTCCAACATATTTCTTAACTGTTGTATCTGTTTTCGAAAAATAATCTCAGTAAATTTTCTTTTTAAATTTTAATTTCCTTAACTTTGTGTGGGTACATAGTAGGTGTATATATTTATGGGGTACATGAGATGTTCTGATACAGTCATGCAATGTGAAATAAATACATCATGAAGAAGGGGGTATCCATCCGTCCAACATTTATCTTTTGAATCTCAGTAAATTTTAAAGCAATTCCGTTCAGTATGGTAGACATCAGCCACATTTACTATTTAAGTTTACATTTACTTAAATTGAATACAATGAAAATTCTCCATCTCTGTAGCCTAGTGGTTTTCAACCAGAGGTGATTTTGTCCTCAAGGGGATATCTGGCAATGTCGAGAGACATTTTTAGTTGTCACTACCAGGGAAGAGGTGCTACTGGTATCTAGTGGGGGCGGTCAGGGATGCAGCTCAACACGCTGCGTGGTAGTGTTACCATGCACAGAACAGCCACCATCGCAAGGAACCATCGGCCCAATATGTCAACAGTGGCGAGAGTGAGAAACTGCACTAGTCACATTTCACGTGCTGAGTGTCCTAGGTAGCTAGAAACTGCAATATTGGACAGCACCAACTTAGAGTATTCCCCACTGTCACTGCTGACATTTGGTTCTATCAGGCAGTGTGGTCTCAGGCGAGAGGGAAAAGTTAAGGAGGACTGGGAGCAGGGAAGTGATATTCTCATGAAAATACATTTCTTTGAATGAGACACCACAGATTCTAGATTTCTTTGCCATAGACAGGCTCTGTCTTAAGTTTCTGAGGTTATGATTGTCACTGAAGTCATATTATTAGCAACAGTACTCAGCTGTTTGTGGAGTACTCCATGATCGACAAATGGTTTGTCATAAATTGTCTCATTTAATTTTGTAACACTGTAAAACAGAGAAGCTCTCTGTTTATTACAGGTGAGAAAAGTGAAGTGATTTATTTGTCTGTTATAACAATGTGTAGGATGAACCCTTGCAATAAAAAATGAATATATTTAAAAAAGAAAACTGGCTAGACCATGACCGTGTTACATGGGTGGAGTCCAGGTCTTTATGTGACAGTTAGGGATCCTTACAAATTCACAAATCATATTTTTATGGGGACATCTCATTAAAGAAAAGCAGAACTTCACTCCCTTCCCCTCACACTTCAACAGGACTTATTGACAGATGATGTGCCCTTTTTTGACATGTATCAAGTCATTTTATTTTTCATATTTGGGAAGACCATTTTACTCTGATTAGCTTATACAAATAAAGATAACATAATGCATGTGTCTTAGTTTTCCTTTAGCTTCCACTTTAAAAAGAAAACTCAGGGATGTGCTTAAGTAGTTGCACATTAGTTATGTTATCTTGGCCAAATGAGGTAATTTGGAGAGAAAATCAAAGTATATAATATTAAATGAGACATATAGGAACCCAATACTAAAATTTAGTTTTTTGCTGGCCCTACAAATAAAGGTGGCTAGTTGGCCATTTGGGTTAGATAAAAGAGAAACAGTCAAAATGACATTTTGCTTACAGAAGTAAAAAATATATGATACACCGGATAAAGAAAATGTACATGTATATCATAGAATACTATGCAGCCATAAAAATGAAAAAATCATGTCCTTTGCAGGGACATGAATGGAGCTGGAAGCCATTATCCTCAGTAAACTAATGCAGGAACAGAAAACCAAACACCTCATATTCTCAGTCATAAGTGGGAGCTGAACGATGAGAACACATGGACACAGGGAAGGGAATAACACACACTGGGGCCTGTCGGGGGGTGGGGTGGGGGGAGGGAGAGCATCCAAACAAATAGCTAATGCATGCTGGGCTTAATACCTAGGTGATGGGTCGATACGTTCAGCAAATCACCATGGTACACATTTACCTATGTAACAAACCTGCACATCCTGCACATGTACCCTGGAACTTAGAATAAAAATAAAAACTAAAAAAAAAAAAGAAATATAAATTAAGGCACCCAGAGAGAGACCCCTCTTAACAATTTCTACACTGGATTGTTGAGATAGTAGCATTAAGCTTTAGAGACGCATGAAATGGTCTTCTTATATTTAAATATCTTAATGATTGCATTGTATCAGTGGTTAAGACCCACCGCTTTTTTCAGCTCCACTTGCAATAGAGGCTGCTGTTGTCATTATTTCCTGAGGCTTTATTATGCATCTGGGTGGACTGTCTTTGCACACTGCCACGGAGGGAATGATTTCTGATGAAATGGTTTCCATGCCTTTCTTAGAGTAAAGGATTTGAGGAAATCCTTTGAGATGCTGCCTTTCTCTGCTGAGCGTGGCAGGCAGCATATGATCAGTTTATGTATTACCATATGTTTTGGCCTAAAAATGATGCCTATGGAAATGTGGAATACATTATGTTACAAAATACTTTGGAGTCTCTTTTTCTCTTTCTCTTCCTAATGTTTGAAAGGAAATTTGTGCTAGTTGAGAGGTGCCAAATTCACAGCTTTGGGATTTTGCAAAGTTCATTTCTTGTATAGGATGTACAGGAGCCCAGACGAACTAGACCCTATTTCTGGATTTCCTTCACTGGCTCACATAATGCATTTTCGATCATATTTGGGAAAAATGACTCTTCCACCAAAAGTGGGCTGTGGAAATGAGGATTTGCTGTTACATTACATGAGGTTGATTGTGTGGAAAGAAGACAGGGCAGAAGGCAGGGCAGAGAAGACCTGGTTAGGAGGTAAAATATATATTTATATATTACAGTTTGCTTGAGAAAATCCATTTGGAGCTTCTCTGTGGTTCCTGGGGTCCCCCACATTTTAGGGGTGAGTCAGGAAGTTACATGTGTGAATTACGAATTTCACATGAATGGGACATGTGCATTTTCTTATGAAGTCTTCAGTTCCATGCTTATCATTTTAACCTTCTGTTTCCCTAAGATCTTAAAGCAAGCGTGTCCAACCCATGGCCCTTGGGCCGCATGAGGCCCAGGACGGCTTTGAATGCGGCCCAACACAAATTTGTAAACTTTCTTAAAACATTGTGAGTTTTTTTGCAATTTTTTTTAAGCTCATCAGCTATGATTAGTGTTAGTCTATTTTATGTGTGGCCAAAGACAATTCTTCTTCTTCCAGTGTGGCCCGGGAAAGCCAAAAGATTGGACATCCCTGCCTTAAAGAGACGATAAAGCAATCACATCACTCAACGGGTAACATTTGTTATTTTAAGGAGTGATTCTTATTCTGTTTGTGAAACTTGTTGATTTTATAAGTCTGACGTCACTGGATCACAGAATCGCTAACATAAACAGCAAAACAGACTAAGTAGGCATTTTTTTACCCATTTCTAAAAAACATGAATTTATCAAGCATAGTTTTTTGGGGAAAAGTTAGTTGAGACTTTGAGGAAGTGCTTTCTGCACTCTTTATAGCAGATTTGTATGTTGATTCTGCGTCTTATCTTTCTATCACATAAAAGTGAAAGGAGTCCCAGATTATTTCTATGTCAAAAAGAAAAAAAATAATCCAGCTAATGAGTTTCTCATTGTAAAGAAAGAAGCCAAAAGGTTGTTACACTTGGTTTATAAGGCCCTTCTTGGGAGCTGGGGAAGTTTCCTTTACTAGTGCCATTTGCAACATGATGACAGAGTGAGTGTTTGACACCTTGGGTAGAGAGAGACAGTAAAGCAAATCTGGGATAAAGAGCTTAGTGTGGGTGGTAAATTACTTCTTGCTGAAGTCGCCCTGCCTGTAAAGGTGTGAAGACAATACAGCCTCCTTCACTGTCTCTGTCCCTTCTCTGTTGTTCCTGTTCTCTAAGCATCTGTACCTATGGTGGTTCGATCCCACTCACATGTTAACTACAACTCAACCTGGAAAATGAATCAAGCATTGTCTCTGTTCTAATGAGGGGATACTTACCTAACGTGACCACTTAAAAATATGAGTTGAGTTAACGTTTCGAGGCATAACAGGATGCACAATTCATTTCTCAAAACTCTCAAAATCCAGACCAGTGAGCACAGATAGAAATCAGGAGCTGTGTGTGCTGCAGGGGAGTTCTTCAGAACTGCACTGCTGCCCATGTCATGCTAAATCTAGAAGGCTGACGTCCCACCAGGCTGTTCTGGCTCTCTTGTTCAAGCCAGGGTACATTTTTTTGAGGGCATTTGGAAAAACTCTCCAGTTCTGTCTGACTGAGTCCTTCCTTTTCCATAAAGGTTGTAGTTGGGGCGAGCAGACACTGGTAAACCTGCCAAGTTCCATAGTTCTGGATGCTTTGGAAGCAGCGTCATGTTGCATAAAATTGCTTGTAAGTCTGTGGAAAAGAACAACAAAAGCGTCATTCTAGATGACATCAGTAAGCAAAGAAAATAGCTAAATTTTAGTATGGCCTGCCAATTTAAAAGCTACATTAAATTAGTTGTTTGCCGTGCATGGAACATTCAGTGCTGTTTACCAAAATAATGCCAAAAGGTAAATTTATGGTGACACATTAACAATGTTAAAATACAGGTTTCATCTTAATATCCTGTTATATCACCTTCATATGTTTATATTTAAAAACATCTGATATAACAAATGATTTCAATGTAAAACTTAGTTGTCTTTTTTTACAGTTCTCTTTTATACTATGATGTGCGGACATAAAGTTGAAAGTACATTGATGATGCCCAATATTAGATGGCATTTATTTAGTTATATGCTCCTTGGATAAAGTTTTAATTTCCTTATTGCTTTTGTTATTTTCCTGGGTTTTATTTTCTCTGGAGAAATTAAGAAAATGCTTTCTTAATTGTTAATGCTTTCTTTCACTCTTGTTTTTTGCTCCCTGAAACAATACAAGTAACAGTTATGGTCTCCTGCCCTGTTAGATCAGACATCCTCTAATTGATGAGATTTCCTGTTACAATCAGGATATCACTAGTGTTCAGGTCGAACACCCTAGTTGATAAATTAACAGATTCGTGAGTCCCTTCATTGGTCAGTGAGGAGCAGAGTGCGGAGGGTGTCTCTTTCTCAGTACCTCATCCAGGAGACAGGAGATAAGCCTCCCTGCTCTCCTATCCCAGGGGCTCTCTCAAATGCAGTGGAGCTTGTTAGCAATGAAAGACTCATATGCTGGGAACCAGTGCACCCCTGGCCACTGACAGAGATAATAACACTGACCTCCGGTCACTTGACAAGGAAACTCTCTTGTGTGGTTCGACTTCCCACTGCTTCAAGCCAATTCAGGGGGAACTGGACAGGCAGATTAGGGATTTCTATGCACAGTTCTCTGCATTACCAGCAGGGTGTCCTCAGCATCAGACCATGGAGGCAGTTCACATGCAGGGGCCACTGAAGGCCTGATGCTCCCTGCCATAAAGGTGGGTTTGCAAGCTCCCATTGCATGCAGAGTGGGCTCCAGTGTTAACTCAATCTGACCTCAGAGGAGTGGTGTGGTGTAAACATGACTGGGGTGTGTTTGTGTCTGTGTGTGTGTGTGTGTGTGTGTGTATGTGCATGTGTGTATATGTAAAGCCAGTCATCAGTCTACTACTGTGATTTCTTCCAGGAAGAGATTTTTTAATGAAATTTAAGAAAATTGGGAAGGAGGTAGTTTGGGGACATGTTGGTCAAATGATACAAAATTTCAGTTAGGAGGAGTAAGGTCAAGAAATCTATTGTACAACATGGTGGCTATAGTTAATAATGTATTGTATTCCGGAAAATCACTGAAAGAGTAGATCTTGAGTGTTCTCACCACAAAAAAATTAATATGTGAAGTAATGCATACGTTAACTACCTTAACTATTCCACAATGTGTACATATTTTAAAGCATGTTCTGCACAATAATTATATATAGTTTTTATTTGCCAATTAAATAATAATTTTTTTGAAAGTTAAAAAAGAAAGCAAATTAATTCCTGTCGTTGGAATTTTTTCACTTATGGTCTTGTATACTTGTATACTGGTCTTATATATATACTATACTATTGTATACTATGTATATGGTACATATATATACTATACAGCATATACTATATATATAGTATATATATAATGTATACAAGACCATATATATATATATATACTCATACACATAATATGCAGCATTATCATGTAAATTATGTATAGATGTTGTTTTATTTGACAAAAGATTGCAAGGTACTACTCATACAGATATAGACCGTGCCTTCATGGAGCAGAATTAGTACACTAAACACAGAAGGTCTTAAGAAAGTAAGGAAGTCAGTGTTTGCTCAGTTAATACACATGGTATTACATGATTTTGAGAAAATAGGGTACTATGCTAAGAAAGATAGGAGATATGAATTATTGCAAAAGTTCTCTGAGGATATGAACTTCTGAAGAGTCGGGTTTTCTAGTTAAAGAGAAGAGCACGTACAATGGCACTGAGGTGGAAAATTATTTGGTACCTATAGAGAAGTTTAAGAAGCTGCTGTATCATGACAGGACACCTGGCGACAGGGCCTTAGAGGATCAAGTCTTTTATATTCTGTATAAAGTGCAGTGATGGAAGCCAGAGAGGCTGTAAGGAGGGGAATGATTTGACACAAGATATTTTGGGGAATGATGAAGAAGGCTGAGAATGGAAAGCGGGAGTCTGGTTCCAAAACAAACACACTAATTTAGACAGAAGAGGTGGGTAGCTCACTCAGGTGAGGCTGCAGTGAAGGCAGGGTGAGGCGGATGGATTTCGGGAGATGGGAGGCAAAATTGGCCAGGGTTGGATACAAGAAGCGAGGGAGATGGAAACATCCGTTCTGATGCCAGTTTCTTAGGAAAGTGGGGAGAAAGGCCAGTTACTTAGGTGAAGGCGACTGGAAGAGGAGCAGCCGGGCTTTTCCTTGTGTGAAAAAGGGAAGCCCTGTTAAAATTCATTTTGGGCATAATAAGTTTAAGCCTGTGAGATTATATCAAGGGGAGCTACTAAACAGGCAGGTGGACATCTGAAGTCTCTGGCCCAGAAACAGTCAGGACTAGAGATGTAAATTTGAGTTGTCCAGAATTTCATGGTATTTATGGCCATCTAGGAAAATTCTTGGGTAAGTTCAATATTTCTGTGTGTTGCTGGGATTCTTCCAGGGTTTGGCCCTAGGAGTATTTGTAGTTGCTTCCCTCAATGGTAATTAAACAAGCGTGGTTGGAGAGATGAGGACTGGCATTTTCTGAAATGTTGGCCTCGGTGAGAAGGCGACATGATGGATGTTAGGTGGTACAGCCAATTGGAATCAGAGGCTGAGGAATGAGCCAACGCCAATTCCAATCCCAACTCTCGGCTGCATCCATCACCATTATCTCCCTGCCCTTTTCTTCTCCAAAATAATGATTAGAAAAATAAAACTTTACCTTGCAGGTCCATGAGGCTTCAAAAACAAAAGGAAATCATGATTTCTGTAAATGTTCTGGTACATCTTAGGCACTATGCTGATAGATACTTTATAAACTCAGGGAAAGAAGGAAATGATGAGCCCAGATTCTGATGATGGGGAACCACTCCTGAATTTTTTTTTTTTTTACTCCACAGATTTACAGACAGAACGAGCATACTTTTAATAGAATTAATCACATAGTTCCAACACATTTTGTGGGGGAGGGTTAGAATTTATGAATAAAAAAGATAGTAAATGTTTTCTCTACTTTTCTCTCATCGTTTATCTATTGGGCAAGCTACCTTCATGTCAGCTGTACTTGGATGAAAGTTACTTAAGAGTATATGCAAACTGGTGTGTTTACCCTATCCAAATGATGGTAAGATAATTAAAGCAATCGGTTCTGTGTGTCTGTTTTTCAGAAAACTTCTATATAGGATTCTAAATTGTGCTTTCTTTCTGATCTACCACATCATCTCAACCCATCCACCTTCTTTGAAGGACTGTTAATCTCAACACAGCCTTTGTAATTAAGTGATAAATTCTTACAGGTATCATCGTTAGTTAAATATTATGCATGAGATTACCTATATTATGATGTACATACATAATAGTACACATTATTAATCATGTATATAAGAATATTAAGCAATCTGAGATTTAGAAAATAATAGGCTATTTTTTTTTTTAGCAGTTTTGGGCCTGATAAGGCATTCCATTTCAGACCCTGTGAGGTCTATTGGATGCTGAATATCATCAGCCATATGATGATTTGGAGTGGAAAATGAAGAGTTCCCATGCCCTCCCTTCCTCCTCCCTGGTATTTCCCCTACTGTTATCTTGCATTAGTGTGATACATTTGTTACAACTGATGGATTACTATCGATACATTACTATTAACTATAATCCATAGTTTACATTGGGGTTTACTCTTGCTGTTGTATATGCTGTGGTGTTTGACAAATGCATAAAGTCATGCATCCACCTTTACATTATCTTATACCATGATTTCCTAGTCCTAGAAATACCCTGTGCTGTGCCTGGTCATCCTTCTCCCATTCCACACCCCTGGTCTTCTTGTTGTCTTCATAAGAGACGATATTTTCCCTTTCTCTTTTGGCTATTTCCGCTTAGCCACAATGAAAGGACTTGCTGTGACGCTTTGAGGGAGGAAGGCACCACCAAGTGTCCCTTCAACTTCCCACACACAGAGCCAGACATCTCCAATTACTGAGAGACAGCTTTGCCTTCTCTGACCTCCTGGGCAAAAGGCCGTCAGGCGGCAGAGAGCAGCTGCAGATAAGCAAGGAGGAAGTTAAAAAGGAGAGTGACTCAGAACTCCTACCAGGCTCTGGAGACTTGATCGTTTTGATACTGTGACTCCCCTTTCTCATCCCAAACCTTTTGACTCAAAGTCGATCAGTCAAACGATGTGTTTGTGGCTAGAACAGTGGAAGGTTAATGGCTCCCACAGGTTGATTTGCCTCTCTTGGGTCAGTGGTATTCTGGAAGCTGGCACCCTGCACCTTTGTTGATAATCCCAATTCTGGTACTATAGACGTGGAGGTTTTCATTGCTATTGTTTTAACTTAGTAGACCTTATGTGTGCCTCAATTCACAATTGTAAAAATGTGGAATCAACCCAAATGATCATCAGTCAATGAGTGGATAAAGAAATTGTGATATATATATGGTATATATAATATAGTATTCCATCATATATATATATGGTATTCCATCATATATATATATATATATGGACTATCATATATATATGATGGAATACCATATATATATATGGACTATCATATATGTATATGATGGAATACCATATATATATATGTATGTGTGTGTATATATATATATATATATATATATATATATATATATGATGGAATACTATTCAGCCATAAAAAGGAATGAATTAATGGCATTTGCAGCAACCTGGATGAGATTAGAAACTATTATTCTAAGTGAAGTAACTCAGGAATGGAAAACTAAACATCATATATTCTCACTCCTAAGTGGGAGCTAAGCTATGAGGATGCAAAAGCATAATAATGACATAATGGACTTTGTGGATTCGGGGAAAGGGTGAGAAGGGGGTGAGGGATAAAAGGCTACAAATTGGGTTCAGTGTATACTGCTCGGGTGATGGGTGCACCAAAATCTCACAAATCACCACTAAAGAACTTACTCATGTAACCAAATACCACCTGTTCCCCAATAACCTATGGAAATAAAAAAAAAATTTAAAAATACCTTAAATACGCCTGACACTTGACACTCGTCAGCATTTTGCAGTCACTCAGACCTCATTGCACTTCTACAAAATAGTTATTCCTCTTTTCTCATTATGCATATGGGGAAGGCAAGAGTGACAAGATTCTAATCCAGTCCATCTGGCTCTACAATTCATGCTCTCAGCTCCCCCACTCTCCTAATCCTCCACAGCCATACTCTTACCCTTCTCGGCCAGGCAGGATTTGGGAGAATGTCTTCTAAAAACACACTACTCCTTTCTGGTATTGGGCCACTAAATCCCTTACCTTACTCTACCTTACCTTACTCCTTCTAAGAAGCAACCCCCATACGGCTGATGATATTTTATCTCCAGTAGACCTCACAGGGTCTGAAATGAACAAAGGGTGTGTGACCCACATTACAGTCAACACTTCGTCTCTTGCCCACTGTGCAAGCCCCGGCCCACAGTGGTTTTCATTCTCTGGAACTCTGCTTTTCTATTTAAAATGTGGAGTGATTTGATGAGATGGTTTCCTCTGTTTTTGTCTAAAATTAAGGATGAAGTTCTAAAACTTGAATGAAGCTCGCACAGTGGTGCACACCTTTAATTCCGGGTACTCTGGAGGCTGAAGCAGGAGGGTTGCTTAAGCCCAGGAGTTTGAGTCCATGCTGGCCAACATAGCAAGGCTCTGTCTCAAGAAAACAACCAACTCCCCACCCCCATCCCCCCGCAAAAAACAAACAAACAAACAAACAAAAGCTTTATGGAAATTAGAGAAGAGTTTCATTTGTCCAGTACGGGAAGGCTTGAATATCCAGTCAAACCAATGTAAACTCAATTCCTCCACTTTTTAGACTTGAATGTTGTGGTGCTAGAATTTTAAGGAGAAATTTCAGCAGCTCTGAGCACCTGATGGGACAGCCTTGGGTGAAAGCATCAGGAGGACAGAGTTTATAATTTCTAACACCTATGGAGTTCTATACTATTCAGCCCAAGCCATGGGTAATGGCTGGCCTAAAAATGAAACTTTTTCATAGTCAAATTAGCCTAGAGCAGGGTATATTTTCTCCCTGGCTATTCCTACTGCTGATACTTGGTGTATTTGTTTGGGGCAGTTTCCCCTCATGGGGTGATGTTGTCTGGGCCCCCCTCAACCTCATCCTGGGGCATACAAGGTGAAGTGAGTTGTGTGAGAGTCAAAATTTCCAGTTATGAAGAAGCCTGGAGACGAGGAGGAAATGCAAAGTTGAAGGGGACTTATCAGCGCCGATGTCAATGTCCACATTTTGGATGGACGCCACAGTTTCATTTAGTACAAAAACAGTCTGTCCATTTTTGCTTCTTGGGCATGTGGGGAATGTGGAGCATTTTTCCTCTGAAGGTCATCCCTGTGTCTGAGATACCATTTCATGACTTTGGGGATATATCAATTTAGCTTTTTCAGTGTTCATTGTAACCAACTAAGAAGATGCTTCAACACATTGAAAGTTACAACGGGAAAACTTACAATGTTGCAGATTTTATGACTCCATTGTGTGTGTATATGTATTTATTTTCTCTCAGGCTCCAGGAACCTTATTTCATTTTTTATTATGACATTTATGATATAGGGAAAATAATCTAATACTGGTTGGGGAGTTGTTGAATTGATAATAGTGAAAATGTAAACATTCTTAACCTCTTTCTATTTCCTTTATTTTCCCTATAACCGTGTTATTCTTTAGAATTTGTTAAATACAACAAAGGGGACTCTTCATACTGGTAAATATACATCAAAGATTATATAATAAGGTTAAAATTTGGGATTTTTTTCTTTTCTTTTATTAGTATCATATTTGTTTTTAGAGACAGGTTGTTGCTCTGTCACCTGGGCTAGAGTCCAGTGGCGTGATTGTAGCTCACTGCAGCCTTGAACTCCTGGCCTCAAGCGATCCTCCTGCCTCAGCCTTGGGACTACAGGTGCATACCACCATGTCCAGCTAATTAATTTTTTTTTTCTTTGAAGAGACAAGATCTTGCTATGTCTCCCAGGCTGGTCTTGAACCCCTGGGGTCAAGCAATCCTCCTGCCTCAGCCTCCCAAAGCTCAAGCATCATAGGTGTTGGCCACCAAGTCTGGTCTTTCTCTTCCCTTTCTTTTTAAAAAATGGGGCATGGAGGACTTGGAGTAAAGAAATGCCAACGTTTTAAATGTTAAAGAATATCATCCAAAGTAATTTGCTTTGCTAAAATAATCATGGTGGATATTGCCACCATTATCTCTTAAGTTATTGAAGGTCAACTTAACTGATTGTTTTATTTTCCAATACTAGTAACTTATATAAAAGGAGAATTTAAAAAATGTTTAAGTGAATTGGGTCCCCAACATCTCAGCACCTGCAATATTTACATCCATACTGAGTAGTCTTAATAATGAAATATTTTGATGTTTTAGAGTTCAACAATTGTCTTTATGAGCATGAGAAAAGCAGTACACACCCATTCAAAATACGTAAAGAATGGAAATAGTTGGAGGGAAAAAATGTTACCCATATATCTACCACCTAGCTATTAGCATTGGACAGTATTACCTTCCACTATTTTTTTCCAAGATTAGAAAAGTCTTTTGTATTAACAAGACCTTTTGACTAGTGATTGAGTTAGGGAGTGCAATATCTCACCTCTGAAGTACAACTCTGTGACAGATCAGCCTGGGCACTGCCAGGCACTTCTTTCTTTATGCAGTTAGTAATTTACTTTCTGTTTTAAGGCAGAGCTTTATCTTCTTATTTGTGTGTTGTCACTATGGACTCATGGGTTCTGAAGTATTGAAATGGGTTGGAATCCATTCCCACCATTATTTGTTTTGATATCCAGTTTGTCAAGGTTTGACTTGTGGGGAATTTTGAAGCACACTGCTGCGTCCGTTGGATGAGTGCCTGTCATTCTGGGAGCACGTCCCGCCTTTGCAGCATGACGGGATGCTTCAGGCTTGTCTTGTCGTTCTCTTGCTCATGCCTGAGATCAACTCTATCTCAGAGGGGTCCTGGGGACGCTTTGTTCATCATTTTGTGTGCCTGCTTATACAGTGTTCACAAGAGAGCCCTGGGGGAGACGATATGCATAAAAACATCTGCTTATGCGGACCTGTGAAATTGTGCCCCAAAAGCCATAATCACTGAGTTCTTCAAAAAGAGAAATGGTGCTAGAGAAAGAATGCAGAAGAGCCTGTGATGGAGGCAGAGACACCACCGTGGCTGCTCTTCTTTCTTGCCCTCTGTGCCTGTTGAGATTTTACCAGGAGGAGAAACCTATCTGCAGAGACCGTGGGGTACCCTTGTGTCAGCAGGCTCTCCTCTTAACTTACACCTTATTTGGTTTTAGCCTTGCAAATCAAGTTCATCAAGGGAGGGTGAATTTGTTTATGGAAAAGGCTCAACTGAAAGGGTAAAGGGGTGTGTGTGTATGTGTGTGTGTGCATGCACGCATACATTTATTTTGTAGTGGCTGGAATTTCTGTATTGCTGTTCCAGAGGCTACAAAGTACCATATTAAAAAAAAAAATCCCTGGCCGGGGGCGGTGGCTCACACCTGTAATCCCAGCACTTTGGGAGGCCAAGGTGGGCGGATCACGAGGTCAGGAGATTGAGACCATCCTGGCTAACATGGTGAAACCCCGTCTCTACTAAAAAAATACAAAAAAATTAGCCGGGCGTGGTGGCGCACTCCTGTAGTCCCAGCTACTCGGGAGGCTGAGGCAGGAGAATGGCGTGAACCCGGGAGGCAGAGCTTGCAGTGAGCCAAGATCGCGCCACTGCACTCCGGCCTGGGCGACAGAGTGAGACTCCATCTCAGAAAACAAACAAACAAAGTTTATTTTATGTTCTGGGATACATGTGCAGGACGTGCAGATTTGTTACGTAGGTAAACATGTGCCATGATGGTTTGTCGCACCTATCAACCCATCACCTATGCATTAGCTATTTATCCTGATGTTCTCCCTTCCCCCACCCCTTTGACAGGCCCCAGTGTGTGTTCCCCTCCCTGTGTCCATGTGTTCTCATTGTTCAGCTCTCACTTATAAGTGAGAACATGCAGGGTTTGGTTTTCTGCTCCTGTGTTAGTTTGCTGAGGCTCCCAGCTCCACCCACGTCCCTGCAAAGGACATGATCTCTTTTTATGGCTACATAGTATTCTATGGTGCATATGTACTACATTTTCTTTATCCAGTTTATCATTGATGGGCATTGGATTGATTCCATGTAATGTAATAATTTTATTAGAAAAGGTGGATCCTGGGATTAGTGGTTGATTGGTGGAAGGAAAGGGAAGGTATGGAAAGTCCTTGGGCAGGCATAGTTACCTCTTCACAGTACTTCATGGATCACATTCAGAGGGAGTTAGTAGGAAACACAAGATAGAAATTCAGGCCATGATGTCAGCAAGCTTTGTTCTGGGCAGGCTCCAGTTGGATCTATTGGTTCCAACTGATTTCAGCCAGTTTTGTTATCTTACAAGCATAGGGAGTTTCAGCATTTCAGCAGGTTGTTTCTTTTCTTATCTACCATCCTGCAAACTCAAGAATTTCTGTTAGTCATTGGTTTCTTTAACTCCTCGGGGCACAGTTTCAATAGGAGTCAGCAAACTACTGCCTGCAGCCCAAATCTGCCCTGCTACCTATTTTTGTATGGCTCATGAGCTAAGAATGGGTTTTGCATTTTTAAATGATGAAAAAAAAATCCAAAGAAACAGAATGTTTTTTGACACATGAAAATTATATGCAATTTAAATTTCCGTATCTCTTATCAGTTTGCTCAGGCTGCTGTGATAAAGTATCACAAACAGCTTTGCTTAAACAACAGAAATTTATTGTCTCACAATTTTGGAGACTGGAAGTGTGAACCAAGGTGTCAGTGGGGTTGGTTCCTTCTGAGAGGGCTATGAGGGAGGGATGAGTTCCAGGCTTCTCTCCTTGGCTTGTAGATGTTCTTCCTATGTCTCCACATCTTTATTTTATTTTATTTTATTTTATTTATTTATTTATTTTGAGACAGAGTTTCACTCTTTTTGCCCAGGCTAGCACGATCTTGGCTCATCGCAACCTCCGCCTCCCGGGTTCAAGCGATTCTCCTGCCTCACCCTCCTGAGGAGCTGAAATTACAGGTGCCTGCCACCATGCCTGGCTAATTTTTGTATTTTTTTAGTAGAGACGGGGTTTCACCATGTTGGCCAGACTGATCTCGAACTCCTGACCTCAGATGATCCGCCTGCCTCGGCCTCCCAAAGTGCTGGGATTACAGGCGTGAGCCACGGCACCTGGCCTTCTCCACATCTTTTTCCCTCTATGTGTATCTCTGTCTATGTACAAATTTTTCCTTGTTATAAGGAGACCAGTCATTGGGTGAGGGCCCACCCTAAACACCTCATCTTAAGCAATTACATTTGCAAAGACTCTATTTCTAAATAAGGTCACATTCCAGGGTACTGGGGGCCCAACATATCAATTTTGGGGGGAACACAGTCCAATCTATGACAGCATCCCACATGAAATGTTATTGGAGCACAGCCACACTTATTCATTTTCTTATGGTCTGTAGCTGATTTTGCACTACACCGGCAGAGTCAAATAATTTCAGTGGAAACTGCATGGCCCGCGAAGATGAAAACCAGGACCTGTGGTGTTATACGCAGAACCCGGTGAAAAATGAGAATGCAAGGCCCCTTTGAAAAATTAAGAATCTGAAGACAGTGATGGCAAAGCATTAAACCAAGGTTGGGCCCCTTCTAAATGTGGGGCCCTGCGTGACTGTAATTTGCTCACCCTTGAAGCCATCCCTGCCTAAAATATCCACTATCTGGTCATTTACAGAAGAAAGCAAAAATTGTGGGTCCTGCATTAAGAGCAGAGCTGGGAGTGAGATCTTGGGCTTCAGGGGCATCAGCCTGATGCAGGACTACAGATGCCTCAGGCCTGAGTGTAATCAAAAGATACCAAGAAACGAGGTTCATGTAATTTACCAAGGACTAGTGTTGGTTTAGTTCCTCTTTCTTCTTTCATCTTTGTTGAGTTTTCTGTGCTCAGCGTGTCCTTAATGGTCATTGCAGCTTGCTCCATTTCATTGGAGTGTTTTAAACCCTCTTTCTTGCAGTTTCCCCGAGAGGATGTGCTCCTGTTTGATGTCCGTCCCTTACAGTATGTTATTGTAGCACATGCACTCTGGCAGAAGGGCTAGTTGAAACGCGATGCTGTTGTTTTTAAGCTCCTAGAAGTAACAGTGCTAATTGGGATTGTGATCAACTGTGCTTGCCCAGGACCATCAGGGGGCAAGGACCACATGGGGGTCATGGGGAAGGTGGTTCTTTATTACCTTTGTTATGGCTGCAACCCTTCTAGGCTAGCTATAGTGTTTGGACTTGTAGTCAAATATAATCCTGCATTAAAATCAAACAGGCAGTAGCATTCCAAAAAGTCTACTGTTACGGGCTGTATTCTGTCTTCCCTGCAAATTCAGATGTTGAAGTCCTAACCCCCAGTTGCTCAGAATGTGACTGTATTTGGAGTTAGGGTCTTTAAAGGGGTAATTAAGGTAAAATGAGGTCATTAGGGAGGGCCCTGATCCTATAGGACCGGTTGTCCTTGTAAGAAGATGAGGACACAGACATGTACAGAGGGATGACCTGGTGAGGACACAGGGAGAAGACAACATCTACAAGCCCAGGAGAGGGGCCTCAGGAGGCACCAACCCTGCCCACACCTTGATCTTGGACTTTCAGCCTTCAGGACTGTGGGAGAGTAAATGTCTGTTGTTTATAAACTGCCCGGTCTATGGTATTCTGTGATAGCAGCCTGAAATGAATAAGACATCTCATAAGAAGAGGAGATGAGGACATAGACACACACAGAGGGTCGACCACATGAGGACACAGGGAGAAGACAGCATCTACAAGCCAAGGAGAGAGGCTTCTGGAGGAACCAGCCCTGCCCACACCTTGATTTTCAACTTCCAGCCTCCAGGGGTGTGGGAAAATAAATAGTCTGTTGTTTAGGCTGCCCAGTCTATGGGACTTTATTGTGGCATTTCTAGAAAACTGACCCATCCACCTAGATCCTCATAATTTCTCACCTGGCTGCTCTGTGTACTGCTGTAATGTGTAGTGTGTTACTTAAAAATGTCTTCTACTTTGCACTGCTGTGGTTCTCTTGTCCTCCTGTTTGCTGTTCAGCTTCTAGGCCTGCCCCGGCTTGTAGCACTCTCTGGGCCATTAAAGTTTTATTTATTATGATAAATATATATCAAAGACATGCTACTTACAGGATACTCTATACATTCTTTAGGGCATGTATGCATAGGAAGCATGAAGCAGAGTTTGTATTCTCAACAAGATTATATCATAGTTTTGGGTTAAAGTCTATATGCATTTCTCTTTTTTAAAAATTTTCTTTTTAAAATTATAGACAGGGTCTCACTATGTTGCCCAGGCTGGTCTCGAACTCCTGGGCTCAAGCAATCCTCCCACCTTGGCCTCCTAGAGGGCTGGGATGACAGATATGAGCCCCCGTCCCTGGCCATATCTCTTGGTCATAAAATGAGGTGGGTTTTAGAGCCAGTCTGGCAAGCTGGCTGACCTTGGGCATGTCATTAAAGTTCATGGTGCAAGCAAAGGTTAGTATTAATAACTCATCAGGGAGAAGTATGTGCAAGGGCCAAACTTGAGTCTGATGCCTAGTCAGGAGAAGGCAGAGGAATGGGGAGAACACAAACAAACCTAAGCCAGTCTCCCAAAGACAATGTCCACATGTCCACCTGAGACCTTTTTGTGTGTGTGGAACAAGAAACAAGTTTTTGTGTGTATGGAACAAGACAGCGTTGCCCAGAGAGCTGCCTCGGAAGTCATTATCAGGGATGGGTTTCATGTTATATGCAGGAAGGTAGCCCCTTCTCCTCTATGCTGGCTCCCCTGTGTTCAGTGGGTGTCAAGCTGATGTCTGCTCTTGTTCATGTTTTCCATGATGTTCTAGTGCATTTCTGCCTACATCTGCCTGAGAACTTGGCCAAAGTGTGAAAGTGTCCCTCCTCCAACCTGCCATCTACTCTCTTTTTTGCTTTTTGTTTTTGTTTTTCTCTAAAAACAAGCTGGGCGCAGTGGCTCATGCCTATAATCCCAGCACTTTGGGAGACTGAGGTGGGTGGATCACTTGAGGCCAGGAGTTTGAAACCAGCCTGGCCAACATGGCAAAATCCCATCTCTACTAAAAGTACAAAAATCAGCTGGGTGTGGTGACGCACACTTGTAGTCCCAGCTACTCGGGAGGCTGAGGCAGGAAAATCACTTGAGCCTGGGAGGTGGAGGTTGCAGTGAGCCAAGATTGCACCACTGTACTCCAGCCTGGGTGACAGAGTGAGACCCTGAAAAAAGAGAAAAGAAAGAAGGAAGGAAGGAAGGAAGGAAGGAAGGAAGGAAGGAAGGAAGGAAGGCAAGCAAGCAAGCAGGGAGGAAGGAAGGAAGGAAGGAAGGAAGGAAAGAGAAAGAAAGAAAGAAAAGCAAGCAAGCAGGGAGGGAGAGAAGGAAGGAAGGAAGAGAGCAAGCAAGGAAGGAGGGAGGGAGGGAGGAAAGGAAGGAAGAAAGAAAGAAAAAGAAAGAGAGAGAGAGAGAAAGAGTCTCACTCTGTCGCTCAGGCTGGAGTGCAGTGGCACAATTATAGCTCACTGTAGCTTCTACTTCCTGGTCACATTCAATCCTCCTGACTTAGCCTCCAGAGTAGCTGAGACTACAGGCACACATCACCACACCCTACTAATATATACATAGATGTGTATTTTTTTTTTTTTTATTGAGACAGAGTCTCATTCTCTTGCCCAGGCTGGAGTGCAATGGCACGATCTTGGCTCACTGCAACCTCCGCCTCCCGGGTTCACGCGATTCTCCTGCCTCATCCTCCTGAGTAGCTGGGATTACAGGCACACACCACCACACCCGGATAATTTTTTGTGTATTTTTAGTAGAGACAGTGTTTCACTATGTTGGCCAGACTGGTCTCAAACTCCTGACGTGATCCGCCCGCCTCGGCCTCCCAAAGGGCTGGGATTACAGACGTGAGCCACCGTGCCTGGCCTCCCTGCTAATTTTTTATTTCTGTAGAGACAAAGTCTTTCTATGTTGCCCAAGCTGGTCACAAACTCCTGGCCTCAAGCAATCCTCCCACTTCAGCCTCCCAAAGTGCTGGGATTACAGGTGTGAGCCACTGTGCCCAGCCTGCCATCCACTCTTGATCATGTTTCCACAGCATTCTGGTGCATGCCTCTTTACCTGCAAAGTGAGAGCAGAAGAGGTAGTCCTCTAATCTAGGTGGTGTAATCTGAGGGCTTGTGAAGATATTTTCCAGCATATCTTCATCAAGGAGGTTGTTCCATGGCTACAATTATTCCATTCGAATTTTTGTGACCCCCTCTAAGGTGAGACTGCTCCTGAGAGCAAGTATTAAATTCATTCATACATTCAGTCCCAGAATGAATTCATCCATCCAACAGATAGATATTCATTGAACAATTCGTAAGTATCTTTGGCATGGAGGTTAAAAAACAGATGAGTCCAACCTTTAAGCAGTACATAGTCTTAGGAGGGAAAACAAGCAATAAAGAGGAAATTTTAACAGCTTGAAAATGCTATAAGTGAACTGGCAGGGAAAATAGGAGAAGGACCCATAACCCTGGGACAAATTAAAGCTGACCTCTGAGGAAGAGCTAGCTAATTGGAAGCGTGGGAGGTGGAGGGGTTTGGCCGTGTCCAACAGGGAGGTTGGACAGCATGTTACAAGAAAGCAAGAGGCACCAGGGCATATCTGAGGCATTAGAAATAGCTGAGCTCATGCAGTAGGGCATTAACCATGTCCCTTCCATGGTGCTTGCCAATACATTGAGCACCCACAGCTCTTTCTGCTGCATCTGCCACTCTCTATCTGAGAACTTGCTCATAGTGTGGAAACTTCCCTATTCTGACTGAGAAGCAGGCTAGAGGTACTGGGAGTTAATGCCCTCGGGAACTGCCCTCAAGTGCCAATAGACAGGAGGTAGTAGATGAGAAATACCATGGCTTCCCTGTCACTTGAGAAGGAGAACAGACTCCCAGTGGTTCCCAGTGCAGGTGACCCCCAGGTACTCAGAGCATAAAGCATTACCTTAGTGTACCCTGGACTCCCTTCTGTCCCCTGCCTCACTCCCCTTCTTCCTTATTCTCCATCTTAGGATCATGTAAAACCAGACTGTGCCAACCTCTGAGGTTAAGAGCATAGTCCTGGCTGGGTGCGGTGGCTCATGCCTGTAATCCCAGCACTTTGGGAGGCTGAGGCAGGCGGATCACAAGGTCAGGAGATCAAGACCAGCCTGACCAACATGGTAAAACCCCATCTCTACTAAAAATACAAAAATCTGTTTGGCGTGGTGGCACGTGCCTGTAATCCCAGCTACTCAGGAGGCTGAGGCAGGAGAGTCGCTTGAACCCGGGAGGCAGAGGTTGCAGTGAGCTGGTATCGTGCCACTGCACTCCAGCCTGGGCGACAGAGCAAGACTCCGTAAAAAAAAAAAAAAAAAAAAAAGCAAGCACAGTCCTCCAAATTGCCAAGTATGTTCAAGATGTCTGCCCAACCACAAGTTCAGCATTTCTCAAAACCACCCTCAGGTTTCACAATTTGCTAAAAATACCCCCAGGATTCACTGCAGGCTATTATGCTAAGGCTCACGTCTATTACAGGGATATGATCTGAATCTGAACCAGCCAAAAGAGGAGTTCACAGGGTAGAGTCTAGGGGAATTCCCAATGCGAAGCTTCCATTGTTTTCAGGATGCATTTCCACACATGGTAGGATGCACGAAATATCACCCACGTGGGAAGTCACCTGAGCTCAAGTGTCCAGAGTTTTTACTGAGGCTTCATGCCGTAGGCATGATTGATCGAGCCATGACCCGTGTGGTTAAAATCAATCTCTGCCTGCCCCCTTCCCACTTCTCTGGAGATTGGGCTCATACCAATTGGCCTGGAGGGGCTCTACCAGGTGCCTCCTAACTAGCAAAAACTAACAGGCATGGTCCTAGGGGCACCATGAATAACAAAGACACCTACCACTCAGGACATCCCAAGTTTAGAGATTGCCTCCCAGGGGTAGGGACAACAGATCTCTCTTTGAGTGAGATCAGATTTCTTACTGCACAGACTCCCTCAGCATGTGTCTGGGGAACCTGAGGTACTGGCTCATTGGGGGAACATATGGTCATCTGAGGGTGAACGCCAAGAGCCTCACATCGGGAGTTGAGCTTTTCAAGTCATGTATGGCGTTGAGAACTGTGTTCCAAAGAGCCTGGACTTTGCAGAACAGGGATCCATGCCATGCAGAAAGGTACTGGCTTCCATGGGAAGAACCAATTTGTAGAGACTCAGGAGGCAGGGAGATGGGTAAGAAGATATTTGCAATGATTGCAATAACTTCAGTAGAAAAGCTTAGCAACTTAGACGAGGATGAATGAGTGGCTCAGGGCATAAAGGAAAATGGAAAGTCTGCCCCAAAGGATGAGGGCAGTAAAGGTTCCAAGCAGCTGGATGGACAGGGTATGGCTGACTCGTATCATGAAAGGTAGGTGCCTTAAATATTGTTGGGCAAGACTCACAGGTATGTTTTTGTCCCCATGGTATTGACAAGAAAACTGAGGCAGAGAAAGGCTACACAATTTGCCAGGCTCCTAGGACATTTCACAACAAGGCATTCTAATGCATCAGCCTGTGCTTTTAACTATCACTGCTGGATCAAAGGTAGAGAGGCAACAGGTTTAGCCCTGCTTTGATATGAGGAAGGATTTTCTCCCAATTTGACACATTTGCGGGAATGCAGAAAGATGTCTTATGAAGTGGAGATGTGCAGGTAGTGGCTGGGTCAGATATTGTAGGCATAAAAATTGGGGCCTCTTTCAATTTTCTGATTCCTTAGCTCCATTCCTGATATTTACTGGCTGCTACCCTTGGCAAGGCCTAATGCTCGTGTGTGTGATAATGGTGTTGGGTATTGATTCTAGGATTCCTGGAATCAAAGAAACAATTCCACAGTTCTGCTTACTCCACTGATGTTTTGAGGGACTTGGACTGAATGACATACCATCAGATAAAATTACCTTCTCCAGTTTTTCCTAGCTGGGGAACTTTCTATGAGAGATGAGTTTGCTTTGTAATTGCTAGAGCCTTTGCTAATTGTATTAGAAGTGCTTTATAAGATAACAAAATAATAATTTGGGGGATCTCAGATTATTTCCAGAGGTCAGAGTTTTGCTGACAATTTCAGTTCATTTTAATAAACACTGATGAACATCAGCTATGTTCTAGGTCCTTGCTGCACTGTGGGGAGGAGGAGATAAATTAGACCAGGGGCTGGAAAATTATTTCTCTAAAGGGCCAGATGACAAGTGTCTTGGGCTTCCTGGGACAGAGTTGTCTCTGTTGCAACCACTCAGTGTGACGATGTAGCATGATTGTGGTGATGTGTCTCAAGTGTCCCCAATCCTAGGGCCTCGGACCCCTAATGGTCCATGGCCTGTTAGGAACCAGGCTACACAGCAGGAGGTGAGTGCTGGGTGAGCAAGCAAAGCTTATTCTGTATTTACAGCTACTCACCATGGCTCACATCACCACCTGAGCTCCGCCTCCTGTCAGATCAGTGGCAACATTAGGTTCTCATAGGAGTGCAAACAAACCCTGTTGTGAACTGCACATGTGAGGGATCTAGGTTGCAGGCTCCTTATGAGAATCTAATGCCTGATGATCTGTCACTGTCTCCCATCACCCCCAGATGGGACCGTCTAGTTTCAGGAAAACAAGCTCAGGGCTCACACTGATTCTACATCATGGTGAGTTTTATAATTATTTCATTATATATTACAATGTAATAATAATAGAAATAAAGTGCACAGTAAATGTAATGCTCTTGAATCATCCAGAAACCATTCTCCTCCTCCTCACCCAGTCCATGGAAAAAAAAAATATATTCCACAAAACCAGATCCTGGTGCTAAAAAGGTTGGGGACTGCTAATGTAGCTGACATAGCGTGAAAGCAGCCATAGATAATCTGGCAATGAATGGGCATGGCTACATCCCATTGAAACTTCGTGTTTGGACACTGATGTTTGATTTTCATATAATTATCAGGTGTTACAAAATATTATTTTTTTTCAACCATTTGAAAATTAAATATCACCATGGGGCTGTACAAAAGCAAATGTCAGAGTGGATTCATTTCCCAATGGGCTTAGCTTGCCAAACTTTGAATGAGACACCCGGCCCCTGATTTTAAGGAGCTGATAGACTATTCTAGAGCAGTGAACAGATGAGAAATCATGTCAACACACCGTACTGAGAGCCGTAGTCATGGGACAGGGAATCACAGGGTGGGCTCTTCATGAACTTTGCTTCTTGGAGACGTTAAAGGCTCTTTATGTTAAATTCTTTAGAAAGTGTACTGCTTCTACACTTGGTGAATAAAACGGAGATGAAAGCAAGAATCGAGGTTTGTAAAATCTGTGCTTGTAAAAAGACTTTTGTTTTATTTTAGTTCCCATGGTGGTGAATTTTTAGCAGTAGGTCAAAAACATATTTGGTTACTGAGATAAATATCTGTACAGGTGAATGGAATAGAGATAGACCTTCAAGAAAACCACAGCTTTCTTTTTTTCTTTTATGGAATTCTATTCCTTTGGAGCAGAGCACAGATTGTCTTTGCTGGGGAACATTCGTACTTAATTTTATTGGTTGCTTTTTGGTTACACATGTGGTTTGTTTATACTGAAGTATTGTGCCAGAATCATCTGCCCTCCTGATACAGACCTATGGGAGACATAAGACCAAATTTGGCTTCAAGAACCAGGGGAACAGGTTTAACGAAGGCAGTGTCAGCTCTAGCCCTGGGGCTGGATGGCTTGGAGTTGAGAGTAAAGACAGAGAAGGATCTGAGGCTCAAGCTGATATTCACAGCCATGAATTTTGTGTCTTTTAGGATCAGTGCCAAGGGATTTAGCTGGCTGGAGGGCTATAGCCATTTCAGTTCTGGTCACTACTGAATCCCTCAAATGTGGCATCATGCTTGCTACTCAATACAATTTAACATGAAAACAAAGTCATTGGCTTCTTTTCTGCAACCCCATGTCATGCTGTCTCCTTCTTCACTCATGCACTGGATATTTATTGAATACCTACTGTGTGCTGAAAGCTTTTATGGACTCTGGACCATAGGGTGAAAAGACAGACACATACCATGCCCACATGAAACTCCCTTCTAGCGTGAGACAGACAAAAAACGCAGTGAGCCAATTCAAGTACTGTGGTTAGTAAGGAGAACCAGGGAGAAAAATTGAGCCAGATAAGGGGAACTAGGGTTTGAGGAGGGTGTTTATTTTCCGACAAGTAAGGTAAAAAGGTCATGTGTATTTGTACACTTGAGCAGAAATCTGGAGGAAGTAAGGCAGAGATTGTAGGTATGTGGGGAAGTACTTTCAAGGTGGAGCCTACAGGATCTGCTGAAGGATTGAAATTGGGAGGAGAGAGGTCCAGGATGACTCCAAGGATGGAGGCACCACTTCACTTACTGGAGTAGATAACAAGAATCCACTATCTGGTTACTAGGCTCTCAGTCCAGGAACATTCAATCTAGGAGAGCATCCAAGCAAAATGACAGTGGGTTCATGTAGACCTGTTCCAATAGCTACAGGTTGAGCCCTATTTCTTCTTTCACCCCGAGATGACCAAATCTAAAGCAACTGCAATGAAGAGGTGAGCAGATGATAAAAGCAAGAACAAAAGAAACAGATCTTAGTGTGAGTGAGTGTGAGTATAATAATACTGAATTATACTCAGTATTCTAAGTAAGCATGATGGCTGGGCACAGTGGCTCATGCCTATAATACCAGCATTTTGGGAGGTTGAGGCGGGTGGATCACTTGAGACCAGGAGTTTGAGACCAGCCTGTCCAACGTGGTGAAACTCTGTCTCTACTAAAAATACAAAAATTAGCCGAGTGTGGTGCTGCATGCCTGTAGTCTCAGCTACTCGGGAGGCTGAGGCAGGAGGATTGCTTGAACCCGGGAGACAGAGGTTGCAGTGAGCAGAGATCGTGCCTCTGCTCTACAACCTGGGTGACAGAGCAAGACTCTGTCTCAAAAATAAAAATAAATAAATAAATAAATTTAATTAAATAAGTAAGCACAAAGACTGGTTTGGTCCAGGTGGACAGAGGACTGGTTATGCTCATGCAATTTGTTGGACCCTGTAGAATTGATGATACTGACTTTGCTTTGGTGAGATGCTATCCTTGTGTGAGGCATGCCATGAAGAAGAGCTCTATGAAACTCCTCAACCTTGCCATGGTGAGGATGCTTGAGTACCTTCTATTGTTAGAACGTGATATTTCTTAACTTCAGAAGAAAATTATTTTTAGATTTTGTATTGGGGATAATTGTTCTTCCAGGTTCCTTTCATGCTTTTAACTTATGTGAATACTTGCATTGTAGGAATTGATCAAGTTCTTCTTTTCCTGTTGGGAATTAGGAAGCTGAAATCCAAATTTGTGGCCTACATTCAGTGGGTGTTGAGGACTCAGTAGAGTGTAGTTTGGTATCACACTCTTTACAGATTCCACTTGATGTCCTCATTCCCTCTTATTTCTTCTTGCTAACTTCCATTTTAGGTTATTTTGCTATTTCTTATGAATATGTGTATCATGTTGAATCATTCCTAAAAACAAAAATCAGAAACTAAATGTACATGGGAGGCCAGGTGCAGTGGCTCACACCTGTAATCTCAGCGCTTTGGGAGCCAGAGGTGGGAGGATCGCCTGAAGCCAGGTGTTAGTGACCAACCTGGGCAACATAGCAAGACCCTACCTCTACAAAAATCTTTCAAAAATTAGTGAGGAAAAAAAATTAGCCAGGCATGGTGGTGCATGCTTGTAGTCCCAGCTACTCGGGAGGCTGAGGTGGAGGATTGCTTGAGCCCAGGAGATGTAGGTGTCACTGAGCTGTGATTGTACCACTACACTGTAGCCTGGGTGACACCGTGAGGCTCTGTCAAAAAACAGAAACAAAACCAAACAAAAAACCAAGTAAATAAAAAATAAATGCACATCAGGCCAGTGCCAACGACTTCCTTGTTTTCTTTACCTGCTGTCTAAAATGAATGTTCCCTGGGAGTACACCCTAGGGAGACAGGACCCCAGATGTCTTTGATCACTAATTGTGGCTGAAACTTTAGGAAAGTAAATGAAATGTCAGCTAAACTACTAGGCAGACAGGAGTTTATTCCACGTGGGTAGGAAGGCGGCAATGTGCCTAGTTTTGTACGAGCAATTTCCCACTTCAAAATGTTTTATTATTGAGTGACCTTGTGGAAGCCAGTGGAGAGATCTCAACTTGGGAAATCGTTTCTTGATTTCACATAATTTTAAATTTTAAATGAGGTCTATCTCTCAGACAAACTCCTGTTATAAATCAGGTAAGACTACGAAATTGAAGACACTTGGCTACCCATTGGTGAGAACATAGCTTTGAAAAAGGATTTCTCTTTAATTTTCCCCAAGTAGTCTTTTTTTTCCCCCATCGATGAGGTAACAGTTTTGTTACTTTGCCAATATCTAGTTAATTTTATTTAACATTTTTCTCCCCAATTCTTCAAGACCTTAACGTATTCAGTTCTCCTTTCAGTGAGTATGGGAGTATTGAACAGTTCTGGGAGGCGATTTGCATTGGTGTTAAGGACGAGGGCATGGGAAGGCCATCTGCTTTTGATCAGGGTGTGTTTTGTGGTTTGGGAGGTAAAGGGCCACAGTGGAGCCATCTCTGAGGTCCTAGCATGGGCTAGGCTGGAGCCCTGCTTTCTGTGGCTTGGCCGCCCTCAGCGGCTCCAGAGTTCCCAGGGTATTAGGGGATCATACAGGGGGCTGTGTACCCACACATGCCATTGCCTCCCAGGCATCGCTCCCGTCCGGAGACACTGTGTGCTTTCTTTCAGGTGTCAGTGCAGATCAAAGCCATCCAAAGAACATTTGCATGAGAATCTGTAGAATGATTAATTAGCAATGGGCATTAGTAATTTTTCTTTCAAGGCTTTGAAATGTCTTTCATTGATAAACTAGTTCTGTTGAGCCCCGACTCCTTTTCAAAATGTTTTTCACCCAGTACTCCCTCTGTGACTACAAATTGGATTTTGTTTCCCCCTGTCTACACCTCTCCTTTGACTTTGATTCAGCAGTGTGGTCAAAAGGACAGCCTCCTGTGGGCGATAATTCATTCTCATCAGCCCCTGTATCTTTTTTTGAAATGGAGTCTCACTCACTCTGTTGCCTGGACTGGAGTGCAGTGGCGCTATCTCAGCTCACTGCCACCACCGTCTCCCGGGCTCAAAAGATTCTCCTGCCTCAGCTTCCTGAGTAGCTGGGATTACAGACGTCCGCCACCATTCCCAGCTCATTTTTGTATTTCTAGTAGAGACGACGTTTCACCATGTTGGTCAGGCTAGTCTTGAACTCCTGACTTCAAGTGATCCGCCCACCTTGGCCTAGCCTGTTTATCTTTTTCAGATGATATTTTATAGTAGGATATCTTCAACCCTCTCTTTTTTTGCTATCCTCTTGAAACGCCTACTGTTGTTCTATTTAACCCATCTTCTAGCTCTGATTTCTGACCATGCTGTTCTCATTTACAAATACATGTGATTTGACATGTTCAGATTCTCCTCCTGATTATCCAAGAAGGCTTCAGGATCTCCTCAGAAACAGAAAATGGGAAATGCACCAGCAGATGTGTTTATCAGCACATTCCAAAGCAATGGTTTAGCAAAGCTCAGGGACACTGCAGTGTTCTGCAGTTGCCTGGAAATGCCAGGAGGGACCCAGGAGAACTGGAACCTCCAGAAAAAGTTGCAAGTCTCAAGAGGATTACACTACTTATGGGTCCCCCAGGAAACTATCATAAGCAGTAGACACAAGTAACACTGGGCAAGTCATTGTCAAATATAAAGCCTGTCACTTCTACAGGATTTAGGCATGTGAGATGCAAGCTTATGTAGTTTAACAAAAAGAAAATAGGTTAATTTTGCAAATTTTATAATTTGCATGTGAACACATTTCCTGGGTCTCTTCCAGTGCCATGGAAGGGGCTCCTACAAGTGAGGGGCCACCTTGAACTTGATTGGCTTCCTGGGAAATCCACTGCAACCCCCAGATTGGGGCTCAGCAGGCTGTTGCACCCAGAAGATGTAGCTGAGAAGTGGATGGGACTTGTTGGAGCACCATTTTATGCAGGCAAAATTTGAGATGATTGTTACCATTGTTGAGAAATTTTAAATTGGGGAACTTGGACATGTTAAGACTCAGGTTGATGCAATTTTATTGTTGTATTCGTTCACTGAATACCTATTGCTTATGCAAAGTGTTCTTGGGGATACTGATATGGACAAAGACAAAAGTCTTGTCCTCATTGATATAAGAGGATAATAAGGCGTATGGCAACAAATAAAGCAGAGGAGGAGATGGGAATGGTAATGGTAGGTCCCACCTCTGTGGACCATGTTGATAAGATGGCTCATTGGTGAATCCCTGGGGATGATGGTGGGCTGGCCATGATGAGACATATCTTCAAGTTCTAGCTTTGTCACTATCAAGATATATTGCCCTAGACATAGTCACGTATGTCAACTCCCTGGGTCATAAAATCCTCAGCAGTAAAAATGGGACTCTTCTCGCTCTTACTTGGGGTTAATAAACCCTGACATTTTGTTTTCCCTCAATGCTTCCATCCATACCTGCCTCTCACCATCAGAGATGTAGACAATAGATTTGACTTTATAATTTATGAAACATCTTGGAGGTCAGGACCGGCCCTTTTGTGAATACTCTGGGCACTAAAGGAATTTGGGTATCGTTCCTGGGGGAGCTGTAGACGAGGGTAGTGAAGCGTATGTCTAGTGGATTTTCACTTCTTAACACCTTTCTGTATTGGAACCATTTTAATGGAGGCTGATAAAGGAGATGCTGCCTGGGGAGACTGTCCGTTTATTGGTCCTTTATATCAAAGAAAAGGTGTCTAAGTGGCTATTCTCTCTTGGATTCAATTTTTCTTTACTAAACACCTAGAGTGCACCTGATGCTGGTAGTGTTCTTTAACATCCCACAGGACTAATCTTTGCATTTACTGAACAAAGACATCAACGGAATTATAGAAAGATAGAAAGTATATATGTCAAAACTGGCTATTTAATAGCATATGTGGACCTTTTGGAGATTCATGAAAGCATTGTTAAAATAATATTGCTATTTGATAATAAGTGTAATTTCTATGATATTACTTTTATGAACAATAGTCCAAATATAAAGAATTAAAAATTAACACAAACAATTTTTAACTCCTCAACTTAGATACAGCAATTTTTAAATGATTGTCATTATTTTAGACTAGATTTATGGCAAATAGTTATTTGAGTGTTTATTGCATTTTTGTGGCATTTACTTCATCCAGTTAAATTTGTTTCCTCAGTTACACAATAATTTCCATGTAATTGTTCTTTTTTTTTTTTTTTTTTGACGGAATTTTGCCTTGTCCCCCAGGCTGGAGTACAGTGGCACGATTTCAGCTGACTGCAACCTCGGCCTCCCAGGTTTAAGCAATTTTCCTGCCTCAGCCTCCCAAGTAGCTGGGATTACAAGCACCCACCACCATGCCCGGCTAATTTTTGTACTTTTAGTACAGACTGGGTTTCACCATGTTGGCCAGGCTTGTCTGGAACTCCTGACTTCAGGTGATCCACCTGCCTTGGCCTCCCAAAGTGCTGGGATTACAGGCATGAGCAACTACGCCTGGCCAATTGTTCTATTTTAATATATCATATTGGTTCACTTTGGAGGCATATAAATTGTTTTCCACTACGAAGATTAGTTCATCCTGGAAGCATTATTTTAATTGTTTTGTCTATCAATTTATAATATTTGTACAGTTTATCAATTTATAACATTTATACAGTTTATAAATTTATAACATTTATCAATTTATAACACTATGCCATTTAATAAACTCACTGGATTTCAAATGCTTTGTGGAGATGGGAAGTTCTGATGATATTATTTGTCCCTAATGAGATGCCCAAGCTGCATAGAGCATGTCAGGGTGTTGAAATGAGAAATTATTAAAAGGTATAGGTTTAAGATGCTTTTTTGGCTCAAACGATTCATTTTCTCCTCTGTCACTCACCCTAATGAAGTCCCAGGTCTTTTCTTAAGGAGATTGAACATACGAAGTGCACTTGCTTACTGCTTGTAGCTAAGAGGAAAAATGTCTCTAAAATAGTTTCTAAGCTGGCAATACACTCAACTCACTCAAAAGCTAAGAGTTCACTTTTTTTTTACATAAAGATTCCAGAATTATCATAGAAATATGCTTCAAAGCAGTTTGGATTTGTGGGAATTGTTTGAAAGCTCTCAAGTTATTTTCAAGTGTTAGTGCGACTTGCTATATATTTTGCTTGCTCTTTTCTATCATCCTTTGAATTGCGGTGACAGTGAATTGCTTCTCTCCTAGCCTACGTGAGTTAGCCCTTTCTTAGAATTTCCATCTGGACTGTGTGATTGGGAAATCAATATTGTGGAGATGAGGGTTCTGAGTCATAACCAGAAAGACTTGTTCTGAATGCCTTTCCCTATGGTGGTGATGGTTTCGTGCTTATTTATTTATAAGCATGTACCCTATATCACTGGTTCTCAACCCGGGGGCAGTTCTTGTCCCTGGGGGGCATTTGGCAATGTTTTGAGACATTTCGGGCTTTCACACCTGAGGATGGAAGTGCTACTAGCATCGAAGTTGCTAATATCCTCCAATGCACAGAACTGCCCCCCACAACAAAGGCTTATGGATAAGCCCTGCATGTCAGTAGCGTGGAGGCTGAGACACCCTGCCTATACAAGATGAATAGTACATTTCTGCCTTTGATGGTAGAACAAAGCGTTCTATGCTCACGACAAATTGTACCCTAGACAAGGATCGGACCCTCCACCTCGATCTCATTGGTAGCATGCAAGTGCCCTGTGAAATCTTCTTTTTTTTTTTTTTTTTTTTGAGACAGGTTCGCACTCTGTAGCCCAGGGTGGAGTGCAGTGGTGCAATGTCGACTCACTATAACCTCCACCTCCTGGGTTCAAGTAATCCTCCTGCCTTAGCCTCCCAAGTAGCTGGGATTACAGGCGTGCACCACCACGCCAAGCTAATTTTTGTATTTTTAGTAGAGGTAGGGTTTCATGATGTTGGCCAAGCTCGTCTTGAACTCCTGACCTCAAAGCAATCCACCCGCTGCAGCCTCCCAAAGTGCTGGGGTTACAGATGTGAGCCACCACGCCGGTCCAGAAATCTTCTTTTGAAACAGGATTTTATTCTCAAGCCTTCCCCCTTTTGGCAGGGAAGGGGATTAGCCTTTACTTATAATTGTAATCTACAAAATACATGAAGCTTTCTATTGCAGCCATGAAAAGATGGAAAATGAGTGTTAGCGTTCACATTTATTTTCATGCTGAGAAATACAGTATCACTTCAATGTAGCAATTCTCAAAGGACTTTAAAGGCCTAGCTATGGTTTCCAAAATCACTAGGCCCACAAAATCCTACTTTATCTGCCTACTACAGGTGGCGGCTACTACAGGTGATGGCATGCCTATTACAGGTGATGGCACGCACCGATAGTCCCAGCTACTCAGGAAGCTGAGATGGGAGAATCGCTTGAGCCTGGCGGGTCAAGGCTGCAGTGAGCTGAGGTCGCGCCACTGAACTCCAGCCTGGGTGACAGGAGTAAAACCATGTCTCAAAAAAAGATGTCTTCCTTGACTGTCCTATGTTTATTGCCTTGTTGCTAGACTCACCATCTTTCCTTTCGCTCTTTATTATTAACCTAAAAGAATAAAATTGTCCCAGCACGGTGGCTCACGCCTGTAATCCCAGCACTTTGGGAGGCTGAGGGGGGAGGGGGTGGATCACCTGAGGTCAGGAGTTCAAGACCAGCCTGGCCAACATTGTGAAACCCCATCTCTACAAAAATACAAAAATTACCCAGACACAGCCAGGAGTGGTGGCTCACGCCTGTAATCCCAGCACTTTGGGAGGCCGAGGCGGGCGGATCACGAGGTCAGGAGATCGAGACCACGTTGAAACCCTGTCTCTACTAAAAACACAAAAAAATTAGCTGGGCGCGGTGGCAGGCGCCTTAGTTTGACAATATGAATCTATTCATATTTTCCTATAGTCCCAGTTCCTGAGAAGGCTGAGGTGGGAGAATCGCTTGAGCCTGGGAAGTTGAGGCTGCAGTGAACCAAGATTGCACCACTGAACTCCAGCATGGGCAACAGGAGTGAAACCCTGTCTCAAAACAAAACTAAACTAAACTGAAACTAAAAATAAAAATAAATGGAAACAACAGCAACAACAACAAAGCTTAAAGAGAACACATTCAGAAGAAGAGTGGAGAAATATGAAGAGGGGAAGTAATAGTAAAAACAAAAGTCCAGACAGGTAAATCTACTGCTATGTTAGGGTAGGATATTTGCTGAAATCAGGTTGACTGAAAGGTGTGTGTGTTTTGAGCCTGGGGTCTGAGGGGCCACACGAGAAGTATTTCTTCAGAAAGGTGAAGTTGAGAATCTTTGTCAATTCACATTCTGCCGACACCTGCAGAAAGCTCTTTGGTTCCTCTTTCTGCTGAGACATGGCCATTTCCCCTCCTGCTGGACAACAGGATGCCTGGACTCCCTTCGTCGATGTTGCACTCAGCTCCTAGCTTCACCTCTGCCTCAGTGCTTCTCCCTGGAGGAACTTTGAGCTGCCTATTGAGGGGCATGTGTTTGCAGCTGAGTTCTTTTACAGTGAAAGCATTGCATTTTGAAATTACACATGGGAAACCCATCTAATATAATGTTAAGGTTTGTAAACCAATAAGTATTGGAGACAGGTCTCAATCAATGTAGAGGTTTATTCTGCCAAAGTTAAGGACCGTGGCCTATGATAGGGCCTCAGAAGGTCCTGAGAACATGTGCCCAAGGTAGCTGGGTTGCAGCTTCTCAGTACATTTTAGGGAAAAAGAAGTTACAAGCAAAGATGTAAATGAATACATGGAAGATATACATTGGTTCAGCCTGAAAGGGCAGGACATTTCAAAGCAGAGGGCTTCCAGGTCATAGGTGGGTTCAAAGATTTCCTGATTGGCGATTGGTTGAAAGAGTTAAGCTCTGCCTGAAATGTTGAAGTCAGCAGAAAGAAATGCTTGAGTTAAGATAAGGACAGTGGGGTTGAAGAAGCCAAGGTTCTTGTCATGTAGGTGAAGCCTCCAGGTAGCAGGCTTCAGAGAGAATAGATGGTAAATACCTCTTATTGGACCTTAAAAGGTGTCAGATTCTCTGGAAAAGAACTAATAAGGGAAGGCGATTCTCTACAGAATGCAAATTTTCCCCACAAGAGATGGCTTTGCAAGGCTATCTCAGAATATGTCAAAGAAATATATTTTGAGGTAAAATACTTTTTTTTTTTTCAGGGCCTGCTATCTGTCATGTGATGCTATACTACGGTCAGGTTGGAGTTGGGTATCTTATTGCTACAAAGAGTCTGTTTTGTCAGTCTTAAGATCCCTATGCTAATGTGAATGCTGGTCAGTTGTGCCTAAACTCCAAAGGAAGGAGGCATGTCTGTCCCTTCTTTCCTGTCATGGCTTGAACTAATTTTTCAGGTTTATTTGGGACCCCTTGGCTAAGATGGGGTCCATTGAGTGGAGGCTTAGAACTTTATTACTTTATTTTTACTTTACAGGCTGAATGGTCCTCTGCATAACGGTATTTTCGTCAAGCTAAATCTTAAACACAAGTATGTCGACGAAAAGAGTCAAACTCTGTAGAATATTTGAAGAGATTTATTCTGAGTCAAATATGAGTGACCATGGCCCATGACGCAGCCCTCAGAAGGTCCTTAGAATATGTGTCCAAGGTGGTCGGGGCACAGCTTGGTTTTATACATTTTAGGGAGGCATGAGATATCAATCAAATACATTTAAGAAAGACATTGGTTTGGTTCAGAAAGGCGGAACAACTCAAAGTGGAGGCGGGGTTGGGGGGGTGGCACTTCTAGGTTATAGGTAAATTTAAACATTTTCTGATGGACAGTTGGCTGAGTTTTTGTCTAAAGACCTGGGATCAATGGAAAGGAAATGTTCAGGTTAAGATAAAAGATTGAGGAGACCAAAGTTCTTTTGAAGTCTCACAGTGGCTGCTGTTAGAAACAATAGATGACAAATGTTTCCTATTCAGACCCTTTAAAAGGTGGTAGACTGGAAGGAAAAGGTCTAGCTATGTTAATAGGGATTCTTTACAGATGTGCATTTTTCCTCACAAAGGATGGCTTGCAGGACCATTTCAAAATGTAACAAAAAACATATTTTGGGGGTAAAATATTTTGATTTTCTTCCTTGTCTCGTAATGTTATGCCAGAGTCACGTTGCAAAATAAGTCATGATATATAGAGTTAAATAAAGCCCATCTAATGAGAACTTATGGTTTGTAGGGCATGACTCCCTAGACCCCTTAGATAGGAATTTGGACAACATGAAAGAATCAGAGCTTAGTCCTCAAGTAGAATGGAACAACAGCATAACACAAAATGAAAGGGCCCAACTTATTAATGCAACACATGATTTATACTGAAAATTTTAGTCACCAGATCTTTAAATGATACATTATTTTGTTAAATTGACATTTAAAAAGAGTAGATGATTCTGAGTTGCAAACACTTCTATTTTATTCAATAAAGACCTTCTATATGCATTATTAGGAGTTCACTGAGTGCCAATTCTTTCATTGATATGTCTCTAAGTTTTTAATTTTTCAAGTGGTCATTTTCCTCTAGGTCATCAACACCTAGAAAAAAATGTGTTTCAATTGACTCATAAACCTTAAGTTAATGTAATTGCTGTCTAACAGTTTCTAGAATTATTGCTTTTGAATGGTTATGTTGCATGAAAAATTATTATTCAAAAACTAACACGAAAGAGGAGGCATTGAAAGTTCTTTATAAAGTTTTCCATTTTTATGTGTTGATGATCTATTCTCAGACTTCATGTAATTTGAAGTAATTGCTGCTATATGGCTCATGACTCTCAAATTCAGCCTGCATCAAGATCACCTGGGGTGCCCATGGATGCATTTTTCTGGCTGCAACTTCAAACCTACTCAATCCTAATCTTGGTGGAGTGTGGGAGAGGGGAGGACCAAACCCACACTTTAAGAGATACCGATCCATGTGCTTAGTCCATTGAATGGAATAGACATGTTTGACAATATGAATCTATTCAAAATGGGATAGTTGAAGATCACTGAATTTTTAACTTACAATCTATTTGACAGGGAAAGTCAGTACATTTTTAATTATTGTTCAATATAAATTACATATATATACTGGTGAATTTAGAAACTTTTTTTTTTTGCCTAATAACATTCTTGAAATATAATTCACATGCTGTACAATTTACTTGTTTAAATAGTTCATTGGTTTTTCATGTATTTATAGTCTTGCAATTATCAGCAGAATTATAGAATATTTTTATCACTACCCCCAAAAAAATCCCATAGCCATTGGCAGTCGCTTCCCTTTCCCTCCAATTCCTTCAGTCCTACATATCCACTAATCTATTTTCTTTCCCTACATAGATTGACTCATTCTAGACATTTCATATAAATGATGGAATCATACAGCATGTAATCTTTTTATCTGGCTTTTTATTTTACTTAGCATAATATTATAAAGGCCCATTGATGCTGTAGCATGCTTTAGTATTCCATTTCTTTTCATTGCTAAACAATATTTCCATGTATTCTTTTTTCATTTTATTTATTCATTCATTCGTCAGTAATTATATATGAAATTTGCTTCCACTTTTTGGCTATTATGAATAATGCTGTAAGGAGCATTTGTGTACAAGTCTTAATGGTATGGATAGAATTATAAATATGTTGTATTTATTTTATTCTGAGATTTTATACATAAAACTTTACTAATTTACTCTAGAATTACATTACAATATTAAAATAAACTCTGTGTCTCTTCCTTTGCCCCTATTGCAAACCCCTGACCTAATAAAATAAAATCCCAGACAACAGGGGGAAAAAAACCCGGCAGAATGGATGCCTATCTAGAACTCTAAGCATTAATCTTAAATCAGTTTTCGGGGAATTTTGATGAATACTTTTTAGAAAAGATGAGCAGACTACCTAAACACCACACAATTTTAAATCATTACCTTGGAATGACTTTACTTTCATGTGCCAAACTGACTATGGTGTGTATTTAATATTTGACATAATATTCCCATGCGCTTTAAGAAATCCATGAAGACTTCCAATAAGATAGCCTTTGTATTTGTGTGTGTATGCACACCAGTGTAATTTGCATTTCCATCTCCTGATGTGCAGGTCTTGAATTTTTGTGTGTGTGATAGTGTAATGGAGCAATGGTGACAATTGCTAAAGAAGCTGATTCTCCAGTGGATACTGTTTTTCTTTTTAAAATATTGATGGAATAATATCATCCACTTTGCTGAAGAAAAAAGGGATCACAGAAATAAATAATGGTTTAATGAGAAGATGAATGTGAGGAATGCTGTTTTATATCATGTGATACCTCCTTTTCCCTCTTTCTGCACATCTGATTATTCCCTCCTTTACCAAGGGTGAGCTAGATAGTTGGCAATTTATGCTTTAGTTTCTTTGTGCTGTGTGTATGTGCATGCATGTGTGTGTCTGTCTGCATCTGATGATTTTTACAATGATTCTTCAGATTCATGAAGTATGTTATTTTTTATTGCTTTCGAATCCCCTGTGATATTCCTTACTCTTCCGGATACTCCATACATCTGACTGACCTACTTATTTCTCATTTATCATTTCCTACTAATTTTCTCATCATTTTAAAAGGCTTATTCTTCTTGCATATAGGCTGACATGAGGAAGTAAGTATCTATTCTTAGAGAATGACACAGGGAACGAAGTATAATTCTGTTTTCTGAGAAAACATTGATATGTGGGTTTTAATTATATTAGAAAACCAACTCTACTTTTGAACTATTGACTTTGGTCATATTCAGTGGTTTGAGTTTTTAGGGAACAATCCCTACCCACTGGTTTCTTTCCAGAGTAGAAATTGTATCTATGACTTGTAGAAATAATTAATATTAATCATGTCTTGTAAAGCTTTTCTACATAAAGGCTTTCTTTAAATAGAATGAGCTCTTTATTTGCCTTGAGTAGCAATGTCTCCCAATTATAGCAACAGGGTTTCTGTATTGAGAAGAATTAATTTTAAAATTCTATGATTATATTACAAGAGAAAAAAAAAACAAGAAATGCGACCTTTCCAACAGTTTTTTTTTTTTTTTTGTACAGGTTCATTTTCTTTATAAAAAGTCTGAGCAAGAAAGGGTCTTGCTTTGTTTTTTCTCTTTAGAGCAACAAGTGAGGCCTCAGCCTATAAGAAAGGAAAAGCTCCCTGTCTCACGGCTCAATCGAATTGATTCGGTGGGGCCATCAGTGTGGTAGGCATTGGATTTACATTGGCCTCATAGTCTGTCAAGCCGCTGAAGGGAATTTGCTTGCCACTGTGAAGGTGGTTTTCTGAAACTGTCTCTCCTCTTCCCGCTTCCCTTCCTCTCCCTCCCCCTTGTTAGGAAGATCATGGCGTGAAGACAAACAGATGCCTGCTGCCAAAATGTGCTACTTAACCTGACCCTCAACTAGGCCCACAAAGGAGGGCTTTGAGATCCCCAGAGAGGCAGCCCCTGCATTTCATCATGCCGTGAAATTTGGAGTGAAAGCCCCATGCCTCTGGCTGCTTAGCCATGAGGGATATGGTGATGATGGTGCCCGGAGGGGACTGGGAAGCCAGCGAGAAAAAACACAAAGTAACAGCAGGGACAAAGACGGCCTCCCCCTACTGCCCTGCTTTGATTGTTAGGTGGTCTATAAACTCCGAGAAATAGAGGGCCTAGGGCACAAGAGCATTTTGTTGTCACTGGTTCATTTAGTCCTCTGGGTGGGGATGCGGTGGAGGCAGTGATCAGGAGTCTTTTCTGAGCTAGAGGGGTCACTGATTTTGCTCATTAACAAAGAGCAACAGCAAGTACATTTCCCAAAGAAAGAGAGAGAAGCTTATCACTTCATGGGAAGGACTTGCCTTATATCTGACAGATGTGTAACCTCCAAAAATATTTAGTATCCTCTATTTCCAACAGAAGATGCCATTCTGATATTTTTGCCTTGTATTCTCTTTGTAATATATTCTTTGCATGTTAGTCTATCACATTTCCTCTTTAAAATGAGTAAGTTGGATATGAGTTTCTTGTTTTTCTATAAACATGAATACATTTCTATTATAGTAAAGAAGCAGAAGAGAAGCATTCTGTAAATTATAAACGTACATTCAGTGACATTAGAAATAAAGCAAATCTGTTTCCTCTTGGTGAAGTGAGGGTACATTATCAGCAGCATCTTGGTGAAACAGTTTTCTGAGGATACAGGGTATTTAAGTTACTCTTATGAATTGATATATGTATAACAATCTGAATGAGTTGGAAAGAAACTAATAAAACATGGAAAATAATTACTCTTCCTTCTGTGTGTTCTTGTCCAGTTAAACTGTTACATGTAGTGGCATTAAATTACATTAAGCTGCCTATTTAAATTTGTGGGATTTGTACACTTTATTTTAAATCTCCAAAATGATTTCATGTGTGAGTGAGATTCTTTTTAAGCTCCCCCCAAGTGGAAGAAAGCAGGCATGAATGGCATCATCTATATTGTAAATATCACATGTCTGTTATAAAAATGATGTTCTTATATAAGTTATTTTCAGGTGCATTAGAATTTCACTTAGGGAATCTTATCATTTGATAAAGCAGACCTTCGAGTGCTGTCTTTTTGAAGTAATTAGATTACTCGTTTTACCAGTGGTATGCATGCTTTGGGGAAAGGAAAGCTAGGTCCTTTCTCTCTGATAAAGGAAACGTACATGTCTTCAATAAGAATCATTTTCTTTTCTTTGTTCTACTGGTCTACATAAAGCCTGCTATACTTCTAAAAACATATCCAGCAGTCGCTCTAAGCATTGCTAAGATCCAAGCTCCCACTTGTCCCAAAGCTAAAGTTGACTCTAAATAGCCTGTGAATTATAGATCATTTGTCTTCATCTCAGAACACAGCAGAAACCTCTGGAGTGCCTCTATGTTGCTAAAATTTACAGTTTTATTTTCATGCTTAAAAAGATCAAATCTATCTGGAACATACTCTTCTCTCATCCCACCTGCTTTTGCCTGGTTAATCCTACTCATTATTTTGTTTTCTGCCTAGACATATCCCTTTGCCCAGGGAATTTTGCATAGTTGTCACTTGGGTTAGGTTCTCCCCATCTGTACTTCTGTACGCCTTTGTCTCACGGCTTTGATCCCACTGTATTGTAATGGCTTAATTTTGTTCTCCATCATATTCTAAGGTCAAAGCATGCAGACTGTGTGTTTGATGCATCCACGTGCTCCTAATATCTCTTGGATTGCCCAATGCATAGATGTGAATCAATAAATACATACGCAGAGAAGGTAGAGAGGGAGGTTACAAAGTAAAGGGAGACTCTTGTAAGATTAGAAATGATATTGGTGACACAATAGATAATCAGAAAAGTTATGGCTACATTCTTTGCATTTTTGATGTCACAAGGGTTAAAAAATTTCAGTTCACATGTATCATCTTAGTTGCTTTCATCAGGTAGTGTCAGTGAAGAAAACAAACTACTCTAGGTACATAAACTAGAAGGAACTTAATACAAGGGATTAGATGCTTCTAAAATGATTAGAGGTGTTGAAGGAATGGACTCTAGGCTCAGCCTCCAGAAGTGACTCTAAAACAGAGAGCTGACTCTCCTGCTTGCTCTGAGCCCTCTCTGGAGTAACAATGTGAGAGTCAAGGGCCATCCCCTGATGAAGCCTCTACAGATACCCAGGAAGCTGGAGAATGAAGACTTGAAGACTGCAGCAGAAAACCCTCACATTTTCACAAGGGTTCTAAACCACAGAAATAGTGAACAAGGCACAAGCAAGAAAATATCTTCTGTTTTCTTTTTGCCTTCAAATGCTGCGTAAATATATTGATGAGCATAACCTAATTGAATTCAGAATTTCAGTGGCATGATCATCTGGGAAATGCAGCTTCTACTTCCTCTTCCACTGGAAGGTGGGTGTGATGGATGTTGAATGCATACTTTTGTACTTTCCTTTTAACTTTTTCAGTTTCTTCTCTCCAATATGGTAGCTACCAGCCATATAGCTTTATAGATTTAAATTTATTAAAATTGAATATTTCATCTTTCAGCCTCATTGGCCACATTTCAAGTGCTCAGTAGCCCCATGTGGCTGCTGGCTGCCATATTGGATGGTGTACATGTAGAACAATTCCATTCTTGCATTATGTTGGACACCACTGGTCTAGGTAATGTGAGCTACTCCTTTTTTCTTTTTTCTGCATTTTTTTGGTTCAGCAGAGCAGCTGATGAATGAATGGGTAAAGGGGTAATGAAGGTAAGCTTAGAGTTAATCAAAACAGTGTTCAGTTAGCTAAGTTGTAAAATGCAAAACAACAAGAGGAAGAGACATCTTTGGTTGAGTCCTTAAATGTGTATTTCAGTCAAGGGGATAACAAGGGAAAACAAGCACAAGAAACTGACATTTGCATTGCCCACAGTATGAAGGAGGCTCTTCTAAACCCTGTGCAAAATCTCTTGAAAGACTGCAGTAGTTAAACAAACCTTCATGATCCAAACTTACTGAGTTAGTGCTTGCTGCTCGTTTTGGTTGAGTTCACAAATAGCTTTCATTGTTACTGTATTATGATGGAATTCCATTGGCCACAAGAACTTCAACATCACTCTTTTTGTGGTGAAGAGAGAATAAAATTAAATATTCAAGTGAGGTTGTACAAATTTCAAGTTTGGGTTAAAGGCCAAACAGGTTCTATTATAAACGGAGTTTTCCATCCATAACTAACATACATTCTCCACCATGGTGTTTCCTTTTAAGCATCTGAAAAGTTATGAATATGATGTCTAACTCATTAATCTGGAGCAGACCTACCACATAATGCCAAATTGAATGAGTTTGCTCAGGGATGCACTAATGTCTTAGAGGAGCTTTCATGTTGACAAAGCTGGGGTGATTTGATCTGGCAAGGGAGACAGGAAACATGAAAGTCCCCATGAGATTTGGCTCCCTGGTCTTTTCAAGAGCACACCATGCCTTCCTTGAGTTTGACATATCAGACAACCAAGCCACACAGATAGATATTAAGCTGTCAGTGTTACAAGCTCCTTCTATCAGAAGAGGATTAGTGTTGACACTGTTGCTGATTGGTCTCACTGCACAGACATGCTTCATTTTAGGTTCTCTCTTAGAACCTACTATAATCACTCACCTCTCAGACAAAGAGATGCATTTATTGGAAACAATAAGCCAACAGCATATAGTTACCCATGGCATTCTTATATATTACTGATATAAACAATCTTGTTAAGCAAGAAGCAGATATTATAAATAAGACAGGCTTATAAGTAGCTCTGTGAGATTTAACACAGGGACAAAGAGCAAAATCCCATTCCTCCTGTGATGTATGCCGCATTTTGTAAGGTCATTAGCACAGGAAGAAAGGACACCAGGCCACCCAACTTGGGAATAAGATTGACATGGTTCTCCAGGACTACCAATCAAATGTTTTCTTAGGAGATGTGTGTTGTCAAGAAAATGTGTAGGAAAAAAATATATATGGAGATAAGGATCAGAGCTAGATGAGCATAAGCTTTTAAACATAGCACCAAGTGAGGGAAATCCTAATCTCCATTCAACTTGTCACAGTTTTTTTTTTAACCTTGCAGCACAGTGATGTCAGAATCATGCTGTGCAGATTCAATTCTGACCTTCACTGGGGAGACGGGCCTGGCTGTTTAAGTTCTTCGAATGCTGTGACTGGTGATTCCAGTTGAGTTACGCAAAATCTGATCTAATGAACACTTGAGATTCTGGACGCACAACATGGATCCCGTTAATTCAGCCTGTAAAACCTGGCTAATGGCTCTGCCAGGATTCTTGAGTTATTTTGATTACCTGGGGGTCAGTATTGGAGAAAGCTGAGCGATGGATTTGATAGTCTGCCGAAGGATATACAGATGTCCTATAATCAGATTATAATTTTAAAAAATTGTGTGTCTGTGTGTGTGTTACACTTTCTGGGTTGGAAATTACATGTACAGATAATAGTTTCTAGCCCTTACTGATTTTTTAGCACTTTGATTAAATATGCATTTTTATTTTCCCAGAGAAAAGGCTGTCTTGTTATGTATATCATTTTATTAAGCTGTCTGTGCGCCAGTAAACTTCCCACTGAGGGTGAGTTTTTTTGTGTCTTTAGGAAAATGTTCATGTGAGGATGTAAGCTTCCTCCTGTGAGGAAAGGACACCTACCCCTCCTTTACTGCTCTGTCTTGGCAAAACACCAACATCAGTTTTCCTTCATTGGACTTTTAATAAACACAGACTGATTCTGCTGATTTTAGAATTCATGTATGAATGTAGCCAGGGAGTGAACATACTACTGAAAACTAATACTTATCTAGGACATGCCATGCAGTAGTTTGCAACTGCAAAAGAAGTAGGTTCTATCCATCTCCTATCTTCGTTGTGAGGAACATCGTGCTTGGATGTTGTAAGAAGGACTTATCTAGTATAAAGGAGGGAGGGACACAGAGGGTCCAAGAGGCAAATTGGACCACAGTGCTGAGTGACCTCGTTTCCTGTGTTTTGTAATTAGAAGTGATGGCAGAGAGGAAGGACAATTGGGATCCTTACAGAGTCACCCTGGAGCTTACCTGGGACTTCCAAGATGACTGAGGCTATGCTGGGTCCTCTACTTTAGGGTTTCTGAGGCTGTGGTTAAACCACCAGTTTATACAGCCTATTGAAACTGACTTTACAGAGCCTAAAAGATTCTAGGTTTTGTCTCTTTCTTCTTGAACAGTTGCTTGGGAAGACATATCATCTATTTGGTATGAGGTTTCAGATCTGAAGCATTTGTCTTTAAATCTGTTTATTCCTATAAGCCCATTGATAGGAACTTAAATTTTTTAATGCTCTCTGCCCATAGATTTATATCCATAATAGCTTTTTAATAATGCCAGCTAGAGAAAACTTGTGATTTGAGATTTTAAATAATTTTAAGATTATTTTATGAATTTATTTTTTATTTTAACTTTAAAAAACACACTTAAGTTATGAGAACACTGCAAAGAACTTCCATATACTTTTCATCTAAATCAGGGTATTGCAAGCTCTCTGTCAAAGATTTATAAATATTCTTTGCTGGCTTGGTCATCTGTTGCAACTACTCAACTCTGCTGCTGTAGTGCAAAAGCAGCCACAGGCAATATGTAAATGAACAGACATGGCTCTGTTCCAATAAAACTTTATTTACAAAAACAAGAGGTGGGCCACATTTGGTCCCTGGTTTCTAGTTGCTTGACCCAATCTAGACTTACCAGTCGTTACCTTTCCTTTTTTTCCTTTTCTTTTTCTTTTTTTTGGCTATATTTGCTTCATCATATTCTCTCTCTCTGCATATACATATATGTATATATACACAAATGTATAACGTATACATATATACTATGTGTATATATACACACACATACACTTATAATCATTTTTTTCCAATCATTTGAAAAGAAGATGCAGGCATCATGATTCTTTACCTCCAAGTAATTAAGCATGCATTTCTTAAGAACAAGTGCATTCTCTTAGTAACTACTAAGAGAATCTACTAAGAGAATGGAATTATCAAATGTAAGTGATAACACTGATATAATACCAACATCATTTGATAAAATTATCAAGTGTAGGTGATTTAACATTGATGTAACGCCAACATCTAATCTACGGTTTATATTTAAACTTCACTGATTGTCCCGATAATGTTCTTTATAGCCTTATTTTGTCTGATTCAGGATCCAATTCTTCATTATGTGTGGCATTTGTTGTCATGTATCTTTAGTCTCCTTTGGTCTGGAACCATTCCTCAGTCTTTCTTTGTCTTTCAGGACATTGATATTTTTGAAGACTAGAGGCTAATTGCTTTGTAGATTGTTTGGTATTTCCTCTTGGTTAGATTCAGGTTCTCTATAATGGGCAGGAATCCTGCCTCTGTGAGATGCTGAGTCCTTGCTAGTGCATCCTTTCAGGAGACACCTGAGTTTCGTTTTGCTTTTTTCCCCCATTCTTGGAGGCAATATCTTTGATCCTTTTGTTAAGGTGCGCTCTGCTAGGTTTCTACACTGGAAAGTTAGCACTTTCTCTTCATAATTAATATCTTTTAAATTTGAGCAGTGACCATGGGAATACTATTTGAAGCTTCAATACTGTACCAAAAATGCCATATTAGAAGATTGCGGTTGAAAAATAGGAATGCAAAGAAGGTATGCTTTGTCTTCCAGGTAAGAGAATTCCATGACTTTGTCTACTTCAAGAAACTTAATTAAGTGGAAAAGAATTACACTGAGAGTATGGTTTTCTGATTGCTTTCCTCTCATTTACTTATGTAGTTTCTAAACACTTCCCCCGAAACTCCAAGGACTCCCTTTGTTGTGAAAAAGTAGTTGTGATAAAATGAGGCCCGTGTTTCCTGATAAGTTTCGCAGTGAGAGAGTCATTGCCCTTCGGACGTTTCAGAGCAAGTTGATTTGTGATGCGAACGTCTCAGGCCTGATGCTGTTGTGGTTGTGCTAGGCTGGCATGCTAATCCTCTGTGATTGAGGCTGCAATGATTGTTCAACTGCACTTCAGAGGGCTGTCTGCCAAAAGATTTCATTATTTTGGCAAGACACAGTGCACTTTTCGACACACAGGATTGTAACAATTTCTATACAGTACCAATTTAGAGCTGGAGGGAGGCCATGAATACTTCTAAAGGCAGTAGGGTGCACATATTTTAGGAAATATATTTGGGAGAAAAAAACAGCTTTCATCTAAAAAGCAGGTCCACAGCTTTTTAGAGAAACTTGCTGCCATTAATTCAGAAAACAGAAATGGTCTTTGCAAACTTTTGTAGATAGCATTGTTATATGATATGAATGTATACCCATATAAAATAAAAAGTTGGAGGTTTTTTTTTTTTAAGAACCCCAAGGCTTATTCTTTATATCCAGGCAATACTCCAGACAAAATTAAGTATAAGGCATTATTTGATTTTTTAATTATTCAACAGAAAATACTTTTGTGAAAGAAAAGGTACTGGGCTATGGTCTCAGGATATCCCTTCTCATTCCATGTTCTGGCCACACACAGAATATTACCACACCATTCAATCTTAGCTTTTGGAAATGTGGGCAAGAAATGTGGCACTTTAAAAACAATTATTAGAACATGCTTGAGAGACTGGAATTAAGAGAAATTTGAATTTCTTTTCCAATTAAAAGGGAAAATGTAGGTAGGCATTAGGGAAATATGAAAGAACTATAAAATAAAGTCTCCTTATTGGTCCCCTAGAAATGGAAGAGAACTAGATTCACTAAGTACCTACTATGTGTAGACACCTTAAAAGGTGGTCTTTATAAATTTCATTTGAAAAAAGTCCACCTGAGCAAATATTTTTTCACTGTTTTATGTATCAGAAACGTATAGTTGAGAGAGGTTAAAATAAAACTTGAATGGGAAAAAATCATTTAGCTTGAGGTAGATGAGGGATTCTCCTCTGGGTCAGTCCAAATCTAAAACTCAGTGCTCTTTTGGTTGCCTTCAGACTTGGCTAGAATCATGAGTTTCAGAGTCCCTCACCTGGGAAGTGGCCTGACTTATCTATCCATTCAAGACTACTAAAGCCCAGCCACCAGAATTGCATCCACGAAGGCACACACATCTAAACATCAGTGCCTTCCCACCATATTGGAAACCTGTGGCTTATTCACACAGGTTATCAACATGCCACATGATCATTGTCACATTTCCCTACATCCAAATGCTTACATCCTCTAAGCTGGAGTGAAACTGTACGTTCATGTCCAGTCCTAGGCAGAGCCATGGATCTAAACCCTACCACTTGGCCGTTGCCTCTGTGAAAATGTTTCAGTTTTCAAATCTGGAAGCTGTATAGGGTTGGGTTCAATGATAGGAGTGATACGTTGCCTCTCTAAAATTCATTGTTTTCATATTGTAACCCCTACAACAGTCTCTGGGACCTTGATCAATTGATAATTTCCTACTTCTTCTACATCTTCAATCATCCTGATCTTCAGTCAGACTTCCTCCGTTTGATCCTTTGTTTTCTGCCTATTAACGTGTTCCAGTCACCTCATTTTGAAGCACAAACACGTAAAGAGAGAACAAAACAGATTAAAGAAAAAAAAACTTTACTAAACCATGAAATCTCATACAGGTTGCCATTCTAGTTTTCGCATAGCCCAACTCCTAAAATTTTTGACACTCCAATTTAATTTTGTCTGTACCTCTTTATCTGTATCTTTGACGTTTGCTTGTAAATGTACATGCTATGATCTTTGTAGAGACTTAAGGTCCTTGAAGGCAGTCCCTTGTGTAGTTCATAGATTTAGCCATAGGCCCATCACTTAGCATGATACTGTGGTTATAGTTAGAACTCAGGAAATGGTTGTAAAAGGAATAAATTAATGATGAGAGAGAAAGACAAAAGAAACTTATAAATGCCATCATTAGCTTTAACCTTTATCCTAAACTGCATATCCACAATTTCAATAGCTTGTTGGACAACACTCCTTGTACGTACCCTGGACACCTCTAACTCGCTGTGTTAAGCACTCAGTTCCGTATCTTTCCCCATGCTTGTTTCTCCTTCTTCCTTCGTCTTGGTGACACCATCAGTTCCCTTGAGATCTAGATTGGAAACTTTGGTGCCTTTCCCCATTTGATTTCTCTCATCCCCACTTCTCAAAACAAATTGGTAACCATGTTGATGAGATTGCACTTCCATATTCCCTTTCATAGGTTAACATCCTTTTCCTCCTTTCACCCAATGTCCTCTGACACCCTGGTGGCATACTGACACTAGAAATGGCAGACAGAAGATTGGAAGACGTTGTAAAGACTTTTGCTCTGGTTTACTTTACTGCAATGTCTCACCTCTCTAATCCATCTTCTGTTCCAACACCCAAGTCTTCATAAACACAAGTTGGAACAAACAATTAGTTCTGAGTGTGTCAGTGGCTCCTCATTGAATCCAAGGGCTATCCTTCCAGCCTTGTTTTCTGCTATGTGTTTTCTCCTACTAGCAATCAGACACCATACTCCCCACTCCATACATTCAATATTATCCTTATCCCAAATTTACTTACAGCTGGTCAAGTTCTAGTCACAGTCACCCTTCTAAGCTGATTTATGGGTCCCTAGTTCTGTGAAGTTCTTTTCAATGATCCTCTATGAAAATACATATCCTTTTTTTCATTTCTTATGACTTTTTTTTGGTTTTGTTTGTTTATTTATTTATTTATGAGATGGAGGCTTACTCTGTCACCCAGGCTGTAGTGCAGTGGCACAATTTCAGCTCACGCAACTTCCAGCTCCCAGGTTCAAGCAATTCTCCCACCTCAGCCTCCCAAGTAGCTGGGATTACAGGCGCTTGCCACCACACCTGCCTAATTTTTGTATTTTTTGGTAGAGACAGGGTTTCATCATGTTGGTCAGGCTGGTCTCGAGCTCTTGACCTCAAGTGATCTGCCCACCTCACCCTCCCAAAGTGTTGGGATTACAGGCATGAGCCACCACGCCTGGCCGGCATGTCGTTCTTAACTCGTTTATTTTATGATTCACTGATGCGGACTTATTTATCTACATACTTTTCTCCCATAAGAGATTCCATGCTCCCTCAGGGCAGAATGAATCATGCCACATTTCCCCCTGTCTTGGTGACTAGATAAGTACTTTGCACATTAGAAATATTAATCCATATTGTTGATTTAGCTAATTTGTTGCTAATTCGAACAGATTGAAATCTATGGACCTGCTGCTTCTTTGTTTTAGCATGGGTTCTATTCATTTAGCATAATCTGATCACGAGTTCCACTTGTTGATTATTGGATAATGTAAAATTTTGAATTTCGTGTGAACCTTTTTTGCTTTAGAATTTATTGTGATGGCTGTTTTGGTAAGAACATTTCTTCTGCTGTCCTTTTATGAAAGTGTTTGGTTAAATGTAAAGTATGGAATTTGGTGCCAAACTGGCCAGGTGGTGATTCACAAAGTAGTATCCACAATTTCCTTGTTGATCAGTACTTCCACTCATGAGTTGGAGGTCTCTCTCTGTGACATGAAATAGTCTTATTGGTTGTGCTTATATGAAGGTCTTGGAATGCGTAACACCTAGGGCATTCTGGAACTGAATCCCAGAGAGATCTGGGAGCACCATAGTTTACTAATCCCATGGATTTGCAAAGTACTTTTCAGTGTACAGATATCTTTTATATACATTGTCTCATGAATCCCCTGTAGCAAGTGGCATAAAGTGCTTTATCATGGAAAATACCCTTTATTTGAGTGTGCTAAAGCATGGGTTCAATCCCAATTGCCCCAATCTCTCCCAGAGTCACTAGCTTTGTTTCCTTAACCTCTCTTAACTTCAGTGTTTCCTCTCTAAAATGTAAGAATAATTGTGCCCTTTTTAAAATTTTTTTTTCTTTTTTGAGACAGAGTCTTACTCTGTTACCCAGGCTGCAGAGTGCAGTGGTGCATTCTGCAGTCTCAAACTTCCGGGCTTAAGTGATCCTCCCACCTCAACCTCCTGAATAGCTGGGACTACAGGTGCACACTACTATGCCCAGCTAGTTTTTTAATTTTTAGTGGAGACAAAGTCTCACTATGTTGCTCAGTCTATTCTTGAACTTCTGGGCTCAAGAGATCATCTCATCTCAGCCTCCCAAAGTGCTGGGGTTACAGACATGAGCCACCATTCCCAGCCAATAGTGCATAATTTTACATACTTCTATAGATGTGTTGTGATGAGGCTCCACTAGACAAATAGTTTTAAAAGTGGTCTGTAATCTGTAAAGTTTCTATGTTAAGTAGAAACATACTTAGTATCTACCTGCCAAACGATGACATATGCGATTAGCTCTCTCAATCTACATATTTTTCTTTGAAATTTAAAGTGTTTCTTCATTGGAATTGAAGCAGTAGCCTCGGAAGAAATGATTTTAGTCTATCATCCTAAAACTTGAAAGCCTAAAACCTTTGCTAAAAATATAAACTTTGGTTACTGTTTTGGATAGTTTTAGGCAGTACATGATCATGGCGCCTATAGGAGTTTATGTAATACATTCTAAAGCAATTGTCTCCTGGTAGTAGTATTTCTCTCATAATCACTCCTCTCGTGGAAGAGAGATGTGGGGTTGTCACAAGGTAAACCCCAAAATTGGAGTTCAGTCTGGGAGGCCACATGGGTTCTTGGCTTCATGCAGGAAGGAATTCAAGAGCAAGGCTACAGAGTAAAGTGAAAGCAAGTTTATTAAGAAAGTAAAGGAATAAAAGGGTGGCTGTGCCATAGGCAGAGCAATGGCATGGGCTGCTTGATTGAGTAAACTTATCATTATTTCTAGATTATATGCTAAATAAGGGGTAGATTATTTATGAGTTTTCTGGGAAAAGGGTGGGGAGTTCTGGAACTGAGGTTTCCTCCCCCTTTTAGACCATATAGGGTAGCTTCTGGACATTGCCATGGCACTTGTAAACTGTCATGGCACTGGTGGGAGTGTCTTTTAGCATGCTAATGCCTTATAATTAGTGCATAATGAGCACATGGACAACCAGAGGTTGCTTTCATTTGCCATCTTGGTTTTGGTGGGTTTTGACTGACTTCTTTACTGCATCCTGTTTCATCACTGGGGTCTTTGTGACCTGTATCTTGTGCAACTAGTCCTGCCAACCTCTTATCTCATCCTGTGACTAAGAATGCCTAACCTCCTGATAATGCAGCCTAGCAGTTCTTGGCCTCATTTTACCCAGCCCCTGTTCAAGATAGAGTCCTTTGGGTTCTAACACCTCTGGCAGGGCTGCAGTCTTTTGACATACCTTTTTTTTTTTTTAAATTGCTTGCAGAAATAGGAAGTTTTTTGTTCTACATGAAGTATGAGAGAAAGTGTGTCATTGTCGTTTTCTCCCGCAACACTTTAGCTTTTGTTGAAATCTTTTTTTTTTTAACTGGCCAGAGTATTATAAAGAAATAGACTTTTGGCAAACTTATCCTGCAAACATTTACTCAGATGATTGTATATAGGTTGTGCTTGTCAGAGAGATTTCATGGAGGATTATTAAAAGAAAATGTTGGCTGTCATTAATAACATTTTGAAAAATGTCTTTAGATACTGCTGATTACTAGTTACTGGATCTGAAGCAGGAATGCAATTAAAATAGAGCTTTAAATGAATGACATATACTGATGCTAGACTTGGCAGAGCTTCTGGATTAATAGCAAAACAAGTGTGTTGTGTATTGCTTTGATTAGCATTCCAGAAATATGCCTGTTTTTGTAAATAGTATTTGTTTTGTATAAGGTATTTGACAATTCCACAAGCTCTCAGGACCATGGTTATGTGGGATTATGGAGATTTCAAAGGCTTGAGACTTTTTGTGCACCGATATCTATAGTTGTGAAAATGCAACTGTGTACACATGTAGCAGCATATTTTTATAATTTATATTTTTAGCAATAAGAGAAAACAAAAATCACATGCTTATTTTCAGACGTTGTTAGCCACATAGCATTTAACAGTGTCTTTATGGAATAAATGTTTGTTGGGTGTTTCTTGAGTGAAATGATAAAGACTTACCTTGCAGTGGCAAGAGTGTCATGTATTCATTTCAAATGGTCTTGAGGAAGAATTAGGTCTTAGCATACTTTTAAATAACTACTAAACATTTTTGCCTTGAAGCAAATGTCTAGAAAAAATAAGTAACAAGAGCTTTGAGGACAAAGCATTGATGTAGCCATAGGAAACAAAAAACTAGTTCTTTAAGGAAATCATAAGTAAGTTGGATAAGTTTTTTTCTTTTCTTTTTTTTTTTTTTTGAGACGGAGTATCACTCTGTCGCCCAGGCTGGAGTGCAGTGGTGTGATCTCGGCTCACTGCAAGCTCCGCCTCTCGGGTTCACGCCATTCTCCTGCCTCAGCCTCCCGAGAAGCTAGGACTACAGGCGCCCGCCACCACGCCTGGATAATTTTTTTTGTATTTTTAGTAGAGACAGGGTTTCACTGTGTTAGCCAGAATGGTCTCGATCTCCTGACCTTGTGATCCGCCTGCCTCGGCCTTCCAAAGTGCTGGGATTACAGGCGTGAGCCACCGCGCCCGGCCTTTAGATAAGTTTTTAAACAATGTTTCATTACTATTAAAATTGTTTTTCTTTTAGAATTGCTATATTGATGAAAAATTTGTTTTTGAACATTCTTGAGAGAAGTAAGCACTGTAACTTGGGGCAGGCTCATATATGTCTTAGAAAAGAATTATTAAAGAGCTCAAGTTTTTTTAAAAAAATGAAAATAATTTAAAATGTTCATATGCAACATTACTATGACATCTAAAAATTTTTTTATGAGAAATATATGTTCTTAATGGCACTTATATGAAGCAAGAAAGAGACATTACTCCAAAGAGTAATGGTCTAGGGATTGTTCACGGGCAGAGATTCAGCTACTTGCAAGGTAAGTCTTTGTCATTTCACTCAAGAAACATCCAACAAGCATTTATTCCATAAAGACACTGTTAAATGCAAACATCAAATTTGGTGGCAGTTCTTTTTTTTTTTTTTTTTTTTTTTTTTGAGACAGAGTCTTGCTCTGTCATCCAGGCTGGAGTGCAGTGGCATGATCTCAGCTCACTGCAACCTCTGCCTCCTGAGTTCAAGCAATTTTCCTGCCTTGGCTTCCCAAGTAGCTGGGACTACAGGCGCCCACCACCACACCCAGCTAATTTTTTGTATTTTTAGTAGAGACAGGTTTTCACCATGTTAGCCAGGATGGTCTCGATCTCCTGACCTCATGATCTGCCCGCCTCGGCCTCCCAAAGTGCTGGGACTACAGGTGTGAGCCACCGTGCCCGGCCAATGGCAGTTCTTTTTAAAGTTTACTAAGCATCAGAATTTTCAGTAGAACTTGTTAAAATAGATTCCTGGACCCTGGTCCCAGAGATTCAGACTGTAGGTTGAGAATGAGGCCCATGAATTTTCATTTCACACAAACTCCAAAGGATGCCCATAATATCAGTAATTGATCACACTTTGAGCATTATTGTTATAAAGAATTGACAGTTGGCACAGGGGCAGTTGATTTCATACATATAATTGATAAAAAGATGGCAACAAATATTGAAAATTAAGTTTCTTCAGAGTTTTCCAGTGTATCTTCTAACTGTATCTGTATTTTAAAACATGGAAGAGATTACTAGAAAACAGAGTGCAAAAGTAGTATTGCTTCACCATATATCCGGAATTCTACATTATACATATCTGAAATTTAACTGAGAATTTCTACTGTCATTTGAAAACTCATCAATAATGAAATAGAAATAATATAGATAAAATAACCATGAATGTATGAGAGCTAGGGCTATGCTTATATTTAGATGACTGACATCTGACTATATGACTATTAATGTTTAAAATTACAACTTGCATTAAATATAATTTTGAGGATCAAGTTTCCATGCATATGAATGTAACATTTTTTTTTTCAACCATGAGGCCTGGCTACTAACAATCAGGCACACACAGACATCCCGTATGTACACACTATATATGCTTTATTTTTATTTTTATTTTTATTTTTGAGACAGAGTTTTGCTCTGTCACCCAGGCTGGAGTGCAGTGGCCCGATCTCGGCTCACTGCAACCTCTACCTCCTGGGTTCAAGTGATTCTCCTGCCTCAGTCTTCCGAGTAGCTGGAACTACAGGTGGGCGCCACAATGCCAGGCTAATTTTTGTATTTTTTGGTAGAGACGGGGTTTCACTTTGTCGGCCAGGCTGGTCTCAAACTCTTGGCCTCAAGTGATTTGCACACCTCAGCCTCCCAAAGTGCTGGCATTACAGGCTTGAGCCACCACACCTGGCCTCAGAGTATATATATTTTATATATCATGTGTGTATATATAATATATATAGTGTATATTAGTAATAAACTATATTATATGTGCATATAATTTGTTTATCCAACAATCTTACTATTTATTATTACAAACGTTCTTGAACAATGGAGTCTGGCTAGTGTCTTTGATTTATTAGAATGTATATAGTAATAAGTTATATGCATGTATGTTTAAGCAAACCTTATTTTCTGTTATGAGACTCTCATGTCATAATCTAACAGATTTATTCAATGTATTTTAATGGAGTGATTAAACTCGATGTATCTGAGTGCTGTTGGATTCATTGAGATAAGGACACAAGTTAACAATAATACATATGTGTACATACATACAGACATAAATTTAATACAATGCATTTTCACTTGTAGAAGAGTGTACAAAAAATAGCCCTATGCTGCCAATTTAAAAGAAATGTAATATTAACTTTTATGAGGAAAAAAATCCCATGAAACAACAACCTTTAGAAAGTATTTCTTGGCTGGGCGCAGTGGCTCACGCCTGTAATCCCAACAGTTTGGGAGGCTGAGACGGGTGGATCACCTGAGGTCATGAGTTCGAGACCAGCCTGGCCAACATGGTGAAACCCCATCTCTACTAAAAATACAAAAATTAGCCCGGTGTGGTGGCAGGCGCCTGTAATCCCAGCTACTCGGGAGGCTGAGGTAGAAGAATCACTTGAACCTGGGAGGTGGAGGTTGCAGTGAGCCGAGATCGCCCCATCACACTCCAGCCTAGGGACAAGAATGAGACTTTGTCTCAAAAAAAAAAAAAAAAAAAAAAGAAAAGAAAAGAAAATATTTCTTACTGAATAGAAAATATGTCTTACCCCAATTCCTCCAGCTGATGGTGACGATCATTACTTTTCCTGTAAGTCACTGCCGGGCGCTGTAACTTTTCCTTTCCAATTGTGTTGAAATACATTTTTTGGTCCGCGTTCTGTAATGATGCTTTTGCTCAGATTCGTGTTATACCCAGTTAAAAAGAGCAGCTGATTCTTTGGTTTTCTAAACTAACTAGAATAAACAGGCATTGAAAAAGCAACAATCACAGGTGAATTCTTTTTTCCTCTCAGCTTTGTTTGTTTCCATGTTTTATTTATTTTTATTGTTCCTCTCTTCCAGTGCCTGGAGCCCTGCAAGGAATCAGGGGACCTGAGGAAACACCAGTGCCAAAGCTTTTGTGAGGTAGGAGAACGTCAGTGGTACTTAAAACACTTGACCCAAATCTGACTATGCTTACGTGGGGTCATGGGAATGAATGGGCCTTCTTATTCTTCTGCAGCTTGGGGAGATCATTAACTGCAGGTGTGTGTGGATATACGTAAATTCATGTAAAAAATATAGAGCCTTCTTAAAACCTGGCTACCCACTGCTTGCATTATTGGCTAACCAGACCAAAAAAAAAAATATGATGTGTAGATGGAAGACTACAGGCTTTCTAAAGGTATAGATTGTCACCACCCTCCCACCTTACATCATAGCTATTCTGAGTAGTTTTTACATGCTTTTGAAGTATTCATGCCATTTGGGAGAAGAGACTCATATTATTGCTAATGGTGTTTCTCAAATATTTTCATCTCTTTGTTCCCCTCGGGGTTCCTCCTCATATCCTGGGCAGAATGCTTGCCCGCTTTTAACTGTACAGGAGGCATCTTACTTCAGCTAACTATTAGTTAGATTAGTATCTATCTGTTCATCTATCCAGCCAGCCAGCCAGCAAGCCATCCATCCATCCATCCATCCATCCATCCATCCATCCATCATCCATCCATCCATCCAGCTATCCATCCATCCGGCTATCCATCTATCTATTATCTATCTATATCTATTTGTCTATCTATCCATCCATTCATCCATCCAGCCATCCACCCTTGTATCTACCCATTCATCTCTCTATCATCCTTATTGGGAGAATGTGTAATATTGTCCTAGAGGACCACTGTCTAAAATCACCAATAGTGCAAAAAAGGAGATCTGCTTTACTGGACTGTCTTCCCTATGGAATACAGGGGGCACAGGCCCTGTACCAGCCTGGATTCTGCTGAGAAGTAACCAGACACAAGGCCAAGCAGACTGCCTGGTTCCAAGGATTCCAAGGACAGTGGACTTGAGAAGTAGGAGAATCTGAAGGTTTGGGGAGAATAGTAGAGAATGAGTCAAAAGAGTCCATTTTGGCAGTCAGGAGAGCTCAGTTGAGGGTCTTGGCCAGAAGAGGTGCCCCCGACATCAGAATGAAATGATGTTATGGATTATCTTTGAACAGAACTGGGGGGTGAAAGGGAACTCTTCCAAGGATCCAGAGACATTGGTCTGGTCTTCATCCACTATAGCAAATAAATGCTAGTGTAATCCCATTGCCTATGTTTCACTCTGGATCTTATTCTGAGAAAATGAATGCAGAATTAGGACAATAATGGCTTCATCAATATGTATTGTGTGTAAAATATCTTCATAATCTTACTTGACCTTTCCCATACTCCTGTAGTTAAGCAAGGCAGATAGTAAGTCCCCAAGAGTTACGTGTGGAAGCCAGGAAGGACTGGGAAGTTGAGGCTCCTCAGACGAATGGCTTGTCAACGGTCAACCCTCCAGGTAGAAAGACTGGGTCTAAAACTCCTTGATTTTGATCCCTCTTTTGATCCCTCACTGATTATCTGAGTGTTGTTCCTGGTCAACTCCGCTTGGCCAATCACCAGGGGTCATAGTGGGTTTGGGCCCCTTGAGATGTAGAAAAAACATAGCAGAAATAAACAAAACTGGTGATTTGCTGCAAGGATAAGGAGAGTGAGGCCATCCCATGTCTTTGTTTGTGTTCTGCTTTTACCTTTTCTGTGTTCCTACTTTAACTATTTTAAAAATATCTATTCATTCATTTATTCAACATGAACTTTTTGAATACCTATAATGTGCCCTGCAGTTTGGTAGAGATGTGGCAGTAAAAAAATCACGCAAAAATTCCAGCTTTTGTGGGGCTTATTTTCTCCTGGATGAAAGATCTCAGCTGTGAATGATGGTAACTTGATTCTAATCCTAACTGCAAAACCAACTTACTCTATGAATTCAGTTAAATCAATTAACCTGTGTCTTCAACCTCATTTTTCAAATGAGGGATTTATCCTATTGATCTTACACGGTGTTTATTAAAATAGATAATGAATGTAAGTGCATGGTACAGAGCTTATCAAGCTGTACAAAAGTAACACAATGATATTTACTTTGTATTATGTGTTATAGGCTTGTGGGTCACAGCTCTGTGAGGTATCTGAATCAACTATTTATTCTGAATTTTTACCCGCATTGGTAATCCTTGTCAACACAATTAGAGCACACTGTCTAGTGGAGTGACTGTTGTGCTCTTAACTTTAATTTTCTACCCTATTCCATACACAAACTATACATCTATAGGCACAAAAATAAATATTTATAGAATCTTTTTTTTTTTTCGGTTTCCCATGCTGGAGTGCAGTGGCGTGATCTCGGCTCACTGCACCCTCCACCTCCTGGGTTCAAGTGATTCTCGTGCCTCAGCCTCCCAGATAGGTGGAATTACAGGCGTGCACCACCATGCTCAGTTGATTTTTACATTTTTAGTAGAGACAGGAGTTTTGCGTGTTAGCCAGGCAGCTCTCAAACTCTTGGCCTCAAGTGATCCGCCTGCCTTGGCCTCCCAAATTGCTGGTATTATAGGCATGAGCCACTGCTCCTGACCTGTTTATAGAATCTTGAGGAACAAGGTGTTTGTTTTATAAATTTATTATCCCTAAATATCAGTGACTCTGGGCTGATATTTTTACATCTGATCGCTGAGAAGGAAGATATAATTGAAGGTCATTTGAAACCTTTCTTCCTGTAAATTTCAAATTCAAGAGCAGGTTTCTGTAATTGCCATTCTCTGAGGTAACTGTGAGGTGTTCTGAACCAAATCCAGTTTATTAAAATGGGACTCAGGTGTTTGAATGTGATCCCTTCTGGCATGAAAGGTTAATTGAAACTTGAAAGGTGGGGAAAACAGATGCCATTTAATGTGAGGAGCTTTGATGAATTGCTTCAGCCCAACGGTTAAATAACTCAAGACTTGATGTTCCATTTTAGTGGCTTTGATTGTTTTTAGGTCCCTGTGTGTTTTTTGCATCTGTTTTATTTTGCAGTAAGTATCTGACTATTGTGTTGAAGTAGGCTGAACCTTGAAAACACTGATGGCTGTTTCAGCATTTTTAAGCCTAGTCACTTATGGAGACAGGCCTAAAACAATCCCGTTCATCCTCCCCATTCTCACATTATTTGTTAAGAATGCACAGAATTCCATATTGTCATGACTCTAAGCTTTCCCTTTGTAAAAGTTCAGACCCAGAAGGGACTCTAGATTACATTATTCTTCAACGGAAACAATTACACTGTTAGACATGTTCGGCCCGGTATGTTTACCTGCAGGGCAGTCTGAGCTTATTTGTCTTCTAAGGCATAGGTTTGCAAACCATGACTCGCAAGGCAAACTGGTCTGCCTCTTGTTTTATAAATAAAACTTTATTGAAACACAGCCACACTGGTTTGTTTACATATTGTCCATGGCTGCTTTTGTGCTACAACAACAGAATTGAGTACTTGTAACATTATATGGCCCTTATAGCTGAAAATATCTAATATCTGGCCCTTTATAGAAAAAGTTTTTTAATTCCTGCTCCAAGAAAAAGAACAGGCTGGGCACAGTGGCTAATGCCTGTAATATCAGCACTTTGGGAAGCTGAGGCAGGAGGATTGCTTGAGGCCAGGAGTTCAAGGTTGCAATGAGCTATGATCATGCCATTGCAGTCCAGACTGGGCAAAAGAGTAAGAGCCTGTGTCAAAACAAAAAACAATAAAACAAAGAACAGTCATAATTATATTACAAAACTCATCTTACCATTTAGAGTACTGTTACTTCTTAATCTGTATTATCAGCACCCATTTCTAAACATAAAACATTGTTCTTGGTAATTTTAATCACAAATAAGTTTTCCTACATGGAGGAGACTTTTGGAGGCATGTTAATAACAACATACCTAGAATTGGTTCATTTCATTCTCATATCGTGATCTCTCTCACTTCTCATTTGATTACCGATTTTGTTATAATTTGCACGGTAACTTTTGCTACTTTTAGGCTAATGTCAGAGGTAATAATGTCTTCTTCTTTTTCTTTTTTTTCTTTTTTGAGACGGAGTCTTGCTCTGTTGCCAGGCTGGAGTGCAGTGGCGCAATCTCAGCTTACTGCAACCTCTGCCTCCCAGGTTCCAGCAATTCTCCTGCCTCAGCCTCCTGAGTAGCTGGGACTACAAGCATGCATCACCACGCCCGGCTAATTTTTGTATTTTTAGTAGAGACGGGGTTTCACCATGTTGGCCAGGATGGTCTCCATCTCCTGACCTTGTGATCCGCCCGCCTTGGCCTCCCAAAGTGCTGGGATTACAGGCGTGAGCCACCTTGCCCGGCCAATAAATGTCATTTTTTAAATGAAGAAGTTAAATGTTTGTATCAAAACAGGAAAAAAATTGAGATATTTCAGCAGTCCTCTGGATTATATGAGATTTTATTTTCATGTATCAAGTTTTTGGAACATGGCACGTAATCATAGATACATAGATAGGCAAATAGATTCTGTTTTGTAGGTTCAGTTTATTAACTAACCATTATCACTGTTCTTTTCTTTTCTTTCTTTTTTTTTTTTTTTTTTTTTTTTTTTTTTTGAGAGAGGTTTGCTCTGTCGCCCAGGCTGGAGTGCAGTGTCATGATCTCGGCTCACTGCAACCTCTGCCTCCCGGGTTTGAGCGATTCTCCTGCCTCAGCCTCTTGAGTAGCTGGGATTACAGACATGCATCACCACTCCCAGCTTATTTTTTGTATTTTTAGTAGAGATGGGGTTTCCCCCTCTTGTCCAGGCTGGTCTCGAACTCCTGACCTCAGGTGATCCGCCCACCTCAGCCTTCCAAAATGCTGGGATTACAGGCGTGAGCCACCGTACCCGGCCTGTTCTCTTATTTTCAAAAATCTTAAAAACCATGACAAACTTTTTTTAACCAAATACAAAATATACATTTTCCTAGGTTGAAACATTCCTTTCTCACAATCAATGGAATCTTAAATTTTAAATGGCATTATTTATTTCTCATTCTTAATGATCTTAGTTTTGGTGAAACTTGATATATCATTGTTTATGACTTGCCTCCTTGCTGAATGAAACAGCTCCCATCTTTGATTTTGACGTTTCTGATGCATGGCATCTCAACCCTAAGTAAGAACTCAGTGGATGTCAGCATTGGATAAAACAGCTGGTAAAACAGCTGCCATCTTTGACTTTGACGTTTCTGATTCATGAAATCTCAACACTAAGTAAGAACTCAGTGGATGTCAACATTGGAAGTATGCAGTACCTGTTAACGTCATAGAAAGCTGAAACCTTATTGGCTTCAGGGATCAATCAAGGGTAAAAATACAAGTTGTTTGGGATGAATATGCATCCTGAGATAAGTAGTCTTTCTCAGCCTGGAAATGGGAAGGAAAAGGAGGTTTTCACTTTACTACATATATAATTATCAAGTAATTTCTTTGCGATTTTGCATTTTGAAATGTCTTTCAGGCTTATAGATTTGATTCCCATAACAGTCCTTAGAAGAAGTTAGATGTGAATTTCATTAGGTAAGCTTGATGGACAAGGAAACTCATACACAAGGAGAAGAGATTTATTTGTCCAAGATCACATGGTTGGTTAGTGGAGTATAAGATCTAAAATCCAGGTGGTGTAGCTTCTAGTTACATTTCTTTCCTGCTGTATTGTAGGGTTTCCCTTCTAAACCTATTCTGTGTCACAGCACACAGAGCAGAGGAGGAGGTTTTACTTCCCTCATCAGGGAATAAAAGATGAGCCTGTGTCGAATGTAAGGTTCTTGGCCCAGTCATCCCTGCTTGGACAGGCTTATCCTTAAATGAGAAGGAAGTTTTAGTGGTTTAAAATCATAGTTAATTTTTTTTTTCTTTTTGAGACAGAGTCTGACTCTGTCACCTAGGCTGGAGTGCAGTGGCTCGGTCTCAGCTCACTGCAACGTCTGTCTCCCAGGTTTAAGCGATTCTCCTGACTCAGCCTCCCAAGTAGCTGGGATTACAGGCACCTGCCACCATGCCCAGCTAATTTTTGTATTTTTAGTAGAGACGGGGTTTCACCATGTTGGCCAGGCTGGTCTTGAACTGCTAACTTCAGGTGATCCACCCATCTCGACCTCCCAAAGTGCTGGGATTACAGGCGTGAGCCACTGCGCCTGGCCAAATCATAGTTAATTAATGGCACCTCAAGGAGAGAAGGAAGACAGGGCTCCTTGCCCCTTCACGTGGCTCTGAAAGAAATATTCCAACACTACTGAAAAGAGACCTCAGAAAGTAAAAGGGTTAACATGCCTCTCCTGTGGGGATTTCTTGCACTCAAAACTTTTTATCTCTTCGCTGCTCTATAACTGGTTTTATGTCTTAAAATTTAAAGTGATAATTAAATGCATACCTGTAGGGATTGGAACAGAACCTGTACCTGTCTGGATATGTCTGTAAAATAGTTAAAGGTCTTGAAAGAAGCTGATGAGAGCTAAACGTGAAAGTGATATAATATTCCCCAAATGTGTGTTGGCTGGAAAAGGAGAAGCACATAGAATTTGTACCATTTAGCAATGTTTTGCTTTAACATATCAGAACAATAGCTTCCCCAATTAGAATATACTTGTGAAAGGGAAATAAAGATTAACTTTGTTGCTATTCTTTTTAAACAGATATATGTCCAAACTGAAAGACAGACTCAATTTTTATTACAAAGATTTTCCACTTGGAAATATTTTCCTAAGAGCATTAAAATATGGCTCCTGAGTACTTCCTTTTAAGGAAGTTGTCAATTCTTTAGAGACACTAGAATGGGACCTGCAGTAGTGTGTCTAGTGGGTGAGACACTCAGGCTTTTTCTTTTACTTGGTACAATCTAATCCACTGAGCAAATGAGAGATAGTGGTGGCTCAGTCTAGAGTGGTCATGGTGAGAGATTCAATATGAGGAACGGGAGAAAGAGTTGAGTCAGTGGTGTTGCCAGGGCTTTTGTCCTTAAAAACTAGGGTAAGAAAGCTGGAATGTACGAGATGTGGGATATGTGTCAGGCACAGATAGTTTTGGGGGTGGGGTGGGGAGAAAGAATAGACCAGAAGTTTGGTGTTGAGCATGGCATGTTTCAGATGTAAATGGAAATCCGTATGAGATGTGCTGTAGGGAAACAGGCATAGGAGTTTGGAATTTAGGTGAGAGTTCTAGGCTGAAAGAACAAATGCCATGCATGAAGGTACTGTTTAAAGTAATGAAGCTCAATGAGGTGACAGAAAGAAAACAGGTCTATGAGTTAAACTGAATCACAGCAACATAAGAGGAATAGGGAGATGAAGAAGGAGATTTAAGAGAGGCCAATAAATTGGGAGAAAACACAGGGGAGTGTGGTGTTCCGATAGCCAAACGATGAAAGCTTTTCAACAAGGAAGAGGTAATCAGTTGCGTCAAGTGCTGCAAGAGCATGGAGACTTCAAATTTATTAATCGGATTCTGCGACAGGGAGCTCACTGTGGACTTTGACAAGAGCAGTGTTATTGGGTGGCAGAAGAAAATGCCTAATTGGCATGAATTTCAGATAAATGGTTGGAGGAAACAGAGAGGGAGTATAGAAACATTTCAGTGAGCATTACTGTAAAAAAAAAAAGTGATCAGGGGCGCAAATGAGATTGTGGGAAGAGGTGTGAACAAGGTAATCAAACATTTAATTGTTTTTAGAGTAGAGAAATAATTATATTTTACAAGCAGATGAAAATTATTCAGAAGAGAGGGGTTATTTGATGTTAGAGGAGAAAGGGGGGAATTGCTGAAGCACATGACCTTAAATGGCAATGTCTACCATTGTGTGTGTATGGAGGCAGGTTTGAAATGGGAGCAAGCTTCTACGTCCTGGGACAGGAGATGCATGAGAATTCATGGATACATGAGAATCCATGGATGCATGAGATTTTAATGCACCAGATGCAGCTGCATTGGTGGGTGTGAAAATGGCGTCTATGGAACTTCTCTTTTGAATGCTTTACTTTTCTCAGTGCAACAGGAATCAGGGTGACCAGCTGAGAGTAAGGACCAGACAAAGGGATGGAGGCTGGAGTGACTGACACATAGACAATTTTCTTTTCTTTTCTTTTCTTTTTTTTTTTTTTTTTGAGACAGGGTCTTGCTCTGTCGCCCAGGCTGGAGTGCAATGGCACGATCTCGGCTCAGTGCAACCTCCGCCCCCCAGGTTCAAGCGATTCTCCTGCCTCAGCCTCCTGAGTAGCTGGGATTACAGGCACCTGCCACCACACCTGGCTAATTTTTGTATTTTTAGTAGAGACAGGGTTTCACCATCTTGGCCAGGCTGGTCTTGAACTCCTGACCTCGTGATCCACCCGCCTCAGCCTCCCAAAGTGTTGGAATTACAGGCGTGAGCCACCGCACTCAGCCACATAGACAATTTTCAAAAAGTTTTTAGTATGATAAATAATAGGCTTTTATTTTTAAAAATGATTAACATTGGTATTTTACATTTTTGTAACACATAAAAGTGTTACTTGTATTTCTAGATGGTGTTACTTGGGCACCAATGAAGAGATGCAGAATTCATCTAAGTCTTCTTTTCGACTTAGGGGACGTAGTAGTAGTAAAGTGGAAATGTTTTGAAGAATGCTTATGAATTTTTATAATTATTATGAGATATTCTTTGCCAACCACCATATGATGGGTACAGTCTGCATTGTATCAAATTTTATAGATCTGGAACATAAACTTTTTTTCCTTTTTAAGCACTGAGACTCAATTTTTATATTTTTTATAAAATATAAAAATTTTTTTATATTTTTCTTATATTACTCGGGGGAGTATCAAATTATTCTAGACTCAGTTGTAGGAGAATTGATGAGTTTTGAAAATTTATGGGACCAAGACTGGAGATTATTCAGAATGATTTAAAGACCTAAGCCTGAAAAGAAGGGCTAGGCAAATAGGCACATAAGGAGTTAGGGGAGTATCATGAAAATTGCAAAAGCACTAAATTTAAGTAAAAAAATTTTTTTTGAATGCATATAAAGCACTTAATCAGTATCTGAAGATAACACACATTACATATATATTAGCTACTTTTATTATAAAAGAGGAAGACAAGGAGACAAGGTCAACACTTTTTAATTCTATTGGAGGTCAGTGAGATGCGAACTAAAAGGGCTCACTGAGTTTTGTAGTTAGGAAGTCACTGGAAATCTGTGTGGGAGACTTTCTGTGGATCAATAGTAGGTAACAGATACAACTCTGCGTTATAGAATAAAATGTAAGGAGGAAATTCAGACCAAATACATGCAACTTTTTCTATAAGTTTAAAGTCTTTCCCTAACACTGTCTCTAGAGCATAGAGGAGAGAGAAGAGGCTGTGTTTAGGGGGAATTCACAGTTGAGAAAGTGATTTTTGTGTTTTACCTTGGAAAGACTGGAATACATTTATATGTCAGGGGAAATGAATGCTGTCAGGAGTGTGAGGTCAGAGATACATGGAGCACAAATTGGATAACTTGATCTCTGGAGTAAGGAACTAGGGGTGAAGGAAATGTAAATATGGAGAGGGAGAAACTCATGCATCTGAAGATGCCAACTCCAGTGTCCAGCATGATCCAGAACTGGCCTTCTCAGACTTGGTCACGCACATGAATCATCTAGGAATCTGCTTTAATGCAGATTCTGATTAAGTAGGTATATGGTGTTCAGTAGGCATATGGTATTCAGTAGGTATATGGTGTGGCCAGGAGAGTCTGCATTTCCAGCAAGCTCCCAAGTGATGCTAATGCTACTGAACCAAGGCCTAGCCTTTGAGTAGCAAGTGTGTGGTTGTACTTCTTGGATACTGGGGCTCCCTGTTTTAGGGATAGCCATGTTTATGCCTGTGGTGGCACATGCCTGTGGTCCCAGCTACACAGGAGGCTGGGGCAGGAGGATTGCTTGAGCCCAGGAGGTCGAGACTGCAGTGAGCCATGTTTGTGCCACTGCACTCTAGCCAGGGTGACAGAGTGAGACCCTGTTTTAAAAAACAAACAACAAAAAAGCACTCACTTGAAGTTTTCTACCAATTCTGTGAAACCTTCTGTGATTTGTGCAGTGATAGTCTATGGGGAGAAAATGTGCAATTGCTTAAAATGATTGAAAACCAGCAGATGAGGCTAGGCTCAGTGGCTCACACCTGTAATACCAGCATTTTGGGAGGCCAAGACGGGAGGATCACTTGAGCCCAGGAGTTTAAGACCAGCCTGGACAACAAAGTCAGACCCCATCTCCTCGAAAAATAAAAAATAAAAAAAATCAGCCAAACATGGTGTCACATGCTTGTGGTCACCTGTGGTCCCAGCTAGACAGGAAGCTGAGGCAGGAGGATTTCTTGAGCCCAGGAGGTTGAGGCTGTAGCGAGCCATGTTCGTGCCACTGCACTCCAGCCTGGGTGACAGAATGAGACCCTGTTTCAAAAAAAAAAAGAAGGAACAAGAAAAAGAAAAAATCAGCAGATGAAAATGGTTCTTTATAAATAAAAACAAAAAACACTATTTTATTATTCAAGATACAGAATTATAATCGTTGATTTATCTTTATTCCCCAATGCATTGTAAACATGATAGCAGGAATAAAGTTTAGCCTTCTCATCTCATGTAACTAGCAGAATGATGTACTCAGGTTAAATGAATCAATGAATGAAGAGAGTCTCCTTTTATGTGAGTTGGTAGAGCTTTCATGGAGGAATTTAGAAAGAATTCTGATATTTATCTTCTCTAAGAAGTAGAAGCTCCTGTATGAGCTTAAAGTTTATTTATTTACTTATTGAGACTTTTATATGTTATTTCCATTTTTTAGTAGACATAAGACTATTCACGTTGTCTATTTCTTCTTTAGTAGCATTTATAACCTATGTCTTTGTAGGAAGTGAACTATTTCATCCAAGTTATCACATTGATAAAAATAGCATAGGTCATATTATCGCCTAATTCACCTTTATCGTTAGCATTTTGATGTCTGTTAGGTTTGTAGTGATGAACCCTTTTTGCAATACTGACATTGGTAAGTTATGTATTCTCTACTTTTTCTTGATTCATCCCAATAGAATTTTGTCAATTTTAGTGCTTCTTTAAAAAAAAAAAAAAAAACTTCTTGTTTTATTGTTTTTCTTTATTTTTTTGTCATTTCCTATGCTATTGATTTCTGTCCTTTATTATTTCCTTACTTTTGCTTAATTTTGATTAGTTTGACTCTCTTTATATAATTTCTTATTGTAGGAGCTTAGATAATTAATTTGAGACCTTATTTTCCTTTCATATATAAGAGCTTTATGCTATAAATTTTGCCCTATGCACTATTTTAGCTAAAACCCACATTTTGTGTTATAGCATGTTTTTATTTTTACACAGGTATTTTCTGATTACTTCTGTGATTCCATTTTTGAATTTCATATGAGTGTATGGTTTATTTTGTAAATTTTTGAGAATTTTACATATATCTTCCTACTGATTTCTAGTTAAGACAAAACTTAGGATTTCTATCCTTTTAAATTTTTTGAGAATTGCTTTTTGGAACACAGTATGTTTCATCTTGAATGACTTCATGTATAATATGAAAATGTCATAACAATATACTTTCATTGTTTACTCCCTTCATTTGTATTCTTAGTGTCCTAAATCATACTTCTACATTTGTTGCAAGCTCCACATCACATTTTTATGGTTTTTGCTTTAAACTTATCTTCTTCCAGAGATATAAAAATAAGAAAAATCATCTTTTAAATATAATCATGTATTTATTATTTCTAGAATTCTTCATTCTTTGTGTAGACCCCAAGGTTCATCTGTTATCATTTTCCTTTTGCTTTTAACATTTCTTATAATGCTAGGTTGCTGGCTATGAGTTCACCTTTTGTATACCTGTGGTAGTCTTTAAGGCATCTTCACTTTTCAAAGATATTTCATGGGTATAAAATTCTAAGTTGATTTTTTTTTTAAATAGCATTTTAAAGATATTGCTTTATTTTCTTCCGACATGCATATTTTCTGAAAAACCTTTGAGATTCTTATCCTTGTTTTACTATATATAAAGTATCTTTTAATTTTTCTATCTGCTTTGAAGATTTTCCTTCAGTATCTGGCATATGAAGCAATACGGTTAAGTATACTTTGAGTTAATTATCTTTGTTTCTTCTGCTTAGGGGTAATTGAGATTCCTCTAACTTTGGACATACAATTTTAATCAAATTTTTAATTTATTGTTCAATATTATTTATTGATTTCTCCCATCTTCTCTCTTCTCTTGTTCTGAGACTCTAATTACACACATTAGACCAGCTTATTTTGTCTCATGGGTCAATGAGTCTATGATCTTTTTTTTTTCCTTTTGGTCATTTCCCACCCTCTGCTTCATTTTAATAGTTTATTTATTTATTTATTTATTTTAAATCATTGTGTCTTTGCTTTCCTTTTAAGTAATCTTATCTTCTATGGTGTCTAACATTTTAAAAATCCTATTTGACATATTTTTCATTTCTTCCTTTTTACTTCTGGAATTTCTATGCAGCTCTGTTCTGTAGCTTTCATTCCTGTCCTCCCTATGTCCATGTTTTCCTCTACATTCCTGGGCATATGGAGCATATTTATATTAGTTCTTAAATGTCCTTTGCTGTTAATGCTATCATTTCTATAATTTCTGGTCCTGCTTCTGTAGATCCCTTTTTTCCCATTTTATGTGCCGCAATTTCCTGCTTCTTTGCACACTGGATTATTTTTGATTGGATGTCAAATTTTTGTGTTTTGAATTTTGCTGTATCTTTCCAGAAAGTGTTAGACTTTGTTCTGGCATGTAGTTAAGTTCCTTTTGAGATTCATTTTCTTATTTTTAAAAGTTTCTTTTAAGCTTTCTTGGGGGCGGGTTCAGAGTAGTAGCCTTTAGACTAGGCCCAATTTATCCCATTACTAGGTGATATCCTTCTGAGGACTCTAGCCAATGCTTCATGAATTGTGCATTCTCTGCACTCTGACTGGTTGAAATGTGAGTTTTTGCTAGAATGGTTTCCTTTATTGCTGTCTGATTATTCTTTCCCCAGACTTATGCAGTTTGAAGCCATGCACATTCAAGTCAGTATTCAGCCAGAAATCAAAGGGTCCCTCTGAATCCCTGTAGGTTTCTCTCTTCATGCAGTTTCATCCTGCTTTACAGTCTGCCCACAAGATCTGGCCATCTCAGCCTCAAGCTTTAATCTCTTTATCCACAACTTGGAAAAATTGCAGAGCTATCTTGGGATTAGCCTTCCTTGCACTGTGGATTTGAAACTACGTCAAATCATTTTTTTGGCAAAATTGTAGCTCATCTCATTTGTGTCCTTATAGGTTTTCTTGTCTTGTGCTACCTATTGTCCAATGTCTGAATAACGTGGTTACATACACAAGAGGACTTCAGAAAGTTCATGGAAAAATGGAATCAAAAGCCAAAAATAAAACATATAAGCTTTGTTTCCCAACATAAGCTCCATCAAGCTTAAGACACTTTTATAAGTGATGTTATCAGCCACTTAGTCCATCCCTAAAGAATTGAGGGTCCTGGGAATTTAACCATGTCAATGTAGGTTTTGAAAAATATTATTCACTGAAGAAAAATGGGTGCTCTTTAAAGGTTGTTGTTTTTTTTTTTTTTTTTTTTTTTTTTTTTGAGATGGAGTCTTGCTCTGTCGCCCAGGCTGGAGTGCAGTGGTACAATCTGGGCTCACTGCAAGCTCCGCCTCCCGGGTTCACACCATTCTCCTGTCTCAGCCTCCCGAGTAGCTGGGACTACAGGCGCCCACCACCACGCCCAGCTAATTTTTTGTATTTTTAGTAGAGATGGGGTTTCACCGTGTTAGCCAGGATGGTCTCGATCTCCTGACCTCGTGATCCGCCTGCCTTGGCCTCCCAAAGTGCTGGGATTACAGGCATGAGCCACCATGCCCGACCTAAAGATTCTTATAAGAACAGGAAACAAGAACAAGTCAGGAGACAAATCAGGACTGTAAGGTGGATGCCTAATGATTTCCCATTGAAACTCTGGCAAAATTACTGTTATTTGATGAGAGGAATGAGCAGGGCCATTGTTATGGTGGAGAAAGGCTCTCTGATGAAGCTTTCTCAGACATTTTTCTGCTAAATCTTTGGTTAACTTTCTTAAAATACCCTCGTAATAACATAACATTCAATGTTCACTTTGGGGCAGGGTTTTAGCATTAAGATGAGGTGGAATTTGGCTCTTTACATCGAAAAGTGAACTACAGGACACAGAATTTGTGCACAGCCTCTATAATCTAGCTGAAACTGGCTTGTGGTCTGCAGTTGCTTATCAGAAAATAATCTTTATAAGGCCAGTCTTCTGTCCAATCAGAGTTGTAGAGGTCTGGGTTGTAAATCAGAGTTGATAGCTCCTATTGTTAACAAGTTTAGCTATAGGAATTTAGAAATGTGCCATGCCAACCAAGAACCTTAGCATACCCCTTAGTTGATAAAGGGGCATCCATTTTGGTCTCTCAGATCATACCCACTAGATGCCAATAGCACCTTCCAGTTGTGAGGAACAAAAATATCTCCAGATATTACCTAATGTCCCCTGGGAACCAGTCCCTTAACTTATGGAATTTGTACTTTCTCTTACTTGTTCATAACGAGGAAACTATGTTCTATGTACATTAGTGTATTGGTCTGTTTTCATACTGCTATAAAGAACTGCCAGAGACTGGGTAATTTATAAAGGAAAGAGGTTTAATTGACTCACTTTTCAGCATGGCTGGAGAGACCTCAGGAAACTTACAATCATGGTAGAAGGTGAAGGGGAAGCAAGGCATCTTCACAAGGCAGCAGGAAGGAGAAGTGCCTAGTGAAGGGGGAAGAGTCCCTTATAAAACCATCAGATCTCGTGAGAACTCACTCACTATCACAAGAACAGCATGGGGGAAACTGCCCCCATGATTCAATTACTCCCACCTGGTCTCTTCTTTGACACATGGAGATTATGGGGACTACAATTCAAGATGAGATTTGGTTGGGGACACAAAGCCTAATCATATCAGTTAGTTTCTATTTCATTTTGTGATGATCTAACCAGTCCAGAAGTGGTATAATATAGTAGTGTATAAACAAAGAAATAAGAAATTTCAAGGAAGATCTCTAAGAGGTAAAATATGAGATTTTTTTTTCTTGTATCTTGGATGGATGTGATGAGTTTGTAGAATTTGACAGTGTTTGCAAAATGAGATGAGCAAAGAAACTGAACAATATAAATCAAAGAGTAAACAACTGTATTTGACAACTTTCTAATTTGTTCCTCTTTAAAAGAAATTATTTACATGAGGATTTTAGGCCATCTATAATTAATGTATATGGATTCCTATTGTTTCTTGTAAAATTTCTAGAACTGCGTTAAAGAATTCTGATGCTAATAAAGGTGGCTAGCACTGATTGCACCTTTATTATGTGCTAGGATCCATGCTAAGTGTTTTGGAAGCTTTATTTAAGGCTTAGGGTAATATTTTATCTTCCTTTAATATTTTGAAGAAAGTGACACTTGCCAAATTAATTTTGCCCCCCAAATTGTACAGCAGTTATCTTGCTTGTGTATTTGTCAAGCTCTGAAGGGGACAGGCTGTATTTGTTTCTGTTCCCTCTCTCTTTTTCTTCTGTTTTCCACATCACTTTTACTTGCCTAAATCATCAGTATTGATGACTGGTCTTTAAAGTTTTGTCCTTGTCTAATTATTTGTTGATCTCGTCCTTATATCTGTAACTTCCTGTGTCTACCTTTATTATAATGCAAACTAAACTGTTTAATGATTTTTACCTGTTTGTTAGTAAACATGTAAACTAAGCATAGTGGGTCATCATTTTCACAATTTCACCTGTTCACCATTAAATTCCTAGTACCTAGAATGCCGGTTTGGTCTATAAATCAGTATATAAATGGTTTAGTGGGCTGAACATTGCATTGGCATTCTTGGTATTCACTACTAACAAATGCAGAAGTAGGAGAGGGAAATAAATCATAGTTTAAATGTGGTACCTGAACTATCCCTAATTCTCTAGGGATTTGTGAACTTCTCGAGCTATTTATGTGCCTCATGATCTTCCAGAAATATTGCAGCAAGATTCTGAGGTGTTGCTGACTCATACAAGGTGACACATTTGTTTTCAAAATAAATAGAAGAGCCAGGCCAGGAAGAAGGAAGCCAAGATAAACATAAGTAAAGATTACTGTAATTGAAAGAAGAGGGTATGTACTTGTAGAAAAGTGACTTCTCTAATATGCGTGTTTCTGCTTTTCTCCTAATTTTATATTTTCCATGGCCAATGTCTATAATTTGCCTGGGAATCCAATTAATTGCAATCACATCTAAGAAATTAGTATTTATAATTGGGCTTCCAAGCAAATTATAATAATACTTCCAAGCATAAATTAGTAACATTTGAACGGAGAGTTATTTTTCTTATTTCATGCCTAGTGTTTAGATGTCTTCTTTGAAAGACACACTTGGCAGTTTTGCCTCATTTTTTAAAAGTACACCCTATTTTCTTTTTTGAGTTGGAATCTCACTCACTCTGTTGCCCAGGCCGGAGTGCAATTGTGCAATCTTGGCTCACTGCAACCTCCGTCTCCTAGTTTGAAGATTCTCCTGCCTCAGTTGTCCAAGTAGCTGGGATTACAGTTGTGTGCCACCACACCTGGCTGATTTTTTGGATTTTTAGTAGAGGTGAGGCTTTGCCATGTTGGCCAGGCTGGTCTCAAACTCATGACCTCAAGTGATCTGTCTGCCTTGGCCTCCCAAAGTGCTGGGATTACAGGCGTGAGCCACCACACCCAGCCAAGTATACTATTTATTTTTAATAGAAACTATACATGCCCATTAAAAATTAATAAACCGCACAGAAAAGTAAAACCAAACCATCATTCCAGATTTACCATGTAGAAACAGCCATGGTTTACTGTGCAGAAACGTGTTAACACAGCAAGGCCAAGACTGCTCTCCCAATGCCTACTTAAATGGCTGGCCAAGAGGCCAGCACCTGGAAGCTCTGTGCACACTAGTTTCAAATAAATGCTTAAAGTTTAATATTACTTGAAGGCAAGAGAAGACAAAGACACCCCAAAATATTATAAAGAAAAGATTATAAAAGATATTATGTGGTTGGAATTGTTACTCTTTCAATTCCATATTTGTTTTATTATTTACTGATGTTCTAATATTAAGTTCAAGATAAGTCACACTCATAGGTTTTCTCCACCACTCCTCCCACCTACCAGTTTTTCTAACATATTATTATTTGAAAATTCTTAGTTTTATCACAGCAAATTCTCCCTCCTATCATTCTTATTTTATTTAATTTTAGTTTCATACTTAGGTACATAGAAAAATGATTAATTTTACTGATTCTTTTTTCCACTGTATGCTTAATTTTGTAAATTTAATTCATATCTTTGTTTTTAAACAGGGGTCTATGGATGGTGTTTTCTTTAAGTTTATGCATGATAAATTTTACCTACAGTTATATCTAAAGTACACTTGGATTGGACAACTTTTTTTTCTTCTATAAGTATTACTTTATTTTATCTGGGTACCGAATATTGTACTAGCCCATTTGTTCTTGTTTTCTGTTTATGATAGGATGGCTAGGTTTTGCCATTGCATGGCACATCATGCCCCCTGCCCCCAACACAACCCCCCCACAAGGCACATACACTCACAGAGTTTATTTTCCTTAGAATTATATAGACATTGCTTTGTTAGCTTCACATACTAAATTTAGTAGAGAGACATTTGGTAGCAATTATATTTTCTTCCTCATAATCAGCTTGCCTTTTTTACCTGAATGCCTGAAAAATTAAAGTTTTCCCTTTGGTGTTCAGAAGCAGAAGCTATATTCCAGTGTTGCTTGCTCTTTTCAGTTATTCTTGGAACATAACCTGCCCTTTGATTTATAATTTTTTTCTATTAATTCCTTGATCTATCTTTCTTTCTTTTCTTTTCTTTCTTTTCCTTTTTTTTTTTTTTTTTTGAGATGGAGTCTCCTTCTGTCGCCCAGTCTAGAGTGCAGTGGTTCAATCTCGGCTCACTGCAACCTCCGCCTCCCAGGTTCAAGGGATTCTCCCATCTGAGCCTCCCGAGTAGCTGCCACCACACCCGGCTAATTTTTGTATTTTTAGGAGAGACGGGGTTTCTCCATGTTGGCCAGGCTGGTCTCAAACTCCTGACCTCAGATGATCTTGATATTTCTAGTTTATTTCTTAACTTTATGTTTTTGTCTTATTTCACATTTTATATTTTTGTTTAACTCTTTTCTAACCCTTTTCATCTCATTTCATTGTCTCACTACCTTGTCTTCATGCTCTTGTATTGAATTCATGTTCTGTTCATCTCGCTGTGTTTTTTGGGAGTGAAGTTTTCAGAAATTTGGAATCAGACCCTTTGGCCAGGTTAGGGAGGGGGCAATGCTGAGATGGGGGCAGCAGCGGCAGAAGTCAAACTTTAATGATTTTAACATTTTCAAAGTGCCCAGGACATGTGTACAAAGACACATTTAATGGAAATTGTGTAGGTTGCTTTTTTGTTTAATCTTAACATTTAATCTTAACATTTTCTGATTTAAAAATTGTAAAATCTTGTTTAACAAAAACTTTTATGTATTAACATACTATTTTCCTTTCATTACAGAATTGTTTATAAAAGTTCCTTTGTTAAAAAATAAGGATCCTTTTTAACACCACAGCATTTGTACTGTTGCTTTTTAATATAGTGAAAATACAAAAGGAAGAGCATGTGCTATTTTTTTGATGTCACTGACTTCAGAGACACTGTGTTCAAAGAATTACCAACATACTTTAATTCAGTGATTGCTTGGTGTTTAGAATGTCAGTGCTTTAATTTTGAGCATCCTGAAATATATCTTTTGTACATACAGAGACGGATGTATCAGAATCAGATTTTCAGTAACCCCTGGATTATAGTTTGGAGTACTTTAATTTAGTTACCCTCAGTGGTCTCTAGGAGTTTATGTACACTTAGATTTTCTGTTTATAAATGCATTTAGCTTTTCTGTATCTGGGTAGATGGAGCTATTCAACTACTCAGCATAGAATTAAGATTAAAAATTTGTTTGCTAAAGAAAAGGAATAAAAAAAGAAAGAAATTTGAAATCACCCCACTATCTCTTCCCAGGAAGTGTAAGATTGCATTTTTGAATATTCAGGTTATTTCTAAACATGTAGAATCAGGAAGTCTAATAACTGAACACAAATTAGAGAGCTATTCATCCAGCAGATTTCTAGTCTTGGCCAGACATTGGGACCATCTGCGGTTCTTTCCAAAGTGCAGTTTCCAGGGTCCATGCCTGGAATGCTGAAGAAACGGGTCAGAAGTTCACCCAAGACATCAGTTTTAGAAGCTCCCTGGGAAATTCTAATAGGGAAGCAAGCTGAGAGCCACTGGGTGAGCCCAGTCCTCTTATTTTACCGTGAGATATGGTGGGGCCCTCAGAAAACACTAGCTCTCATCGTTGCCCAGACTCTTACGTGTTTTGTGATTTGGGCTATGTTATGATCTCCCTGAGCTGTTGTTTCCCCATTTTTAAAATGGAAATAATAACAGTTGTGGGGACTGGGGAAGAATAGGTGAAATGAGAAAGTAAAGCAGCTGGGGTAGAGTGAGGGATGTGATAGACATCAGCATCTCTTGGTGACCAACTGCCACTGCTAATGATGATGGTAATGATGGTGATGGTGGTGGTTATGACAGTGGTGATAATGATGGAGCACTCACTTTAGGAAATTGTATATTTGAGGTTTCATTGTATTCAGCAATCCCAGTTGTTGGCTAGGAGCAGGAAGCGAAGCCCCCCATTCCCTGACTCTTTGCAAAGGCAATTATAATCCTAGAGAATTGACGTATGGTACAAGTCTGTTGAATTGAACCAAATAGCCAAATGCAATGTTCTCCTCATAGCTGAAGCCTTGTATTTATGTGATTTTAAACACATTAAGATAATTTACTGAATTGGATGTCTTTATCATTCCATGATTGCTGAACAGATTATTTTACTGTACAATACCTTGCATTTTATACCAAACTAAACAAAGATAGTACTGTCTCTCTTTCTGAAAGCATTCAAGAAATGTTGCCTACTTTTGTTAGTATTTAATTTTATTTTTAGCTACTTGCCACAGGTGGATAAATTAATGTTTTATTCATTTTCTTCTTAGTGGAGCTTAGCATATTACCCAGGTAAGTCACTAAAAACCACATTTTAGTTTTTAGCTCTTAGGAGATGACATGTAGAAGGGATATATGAGAATTCATTAATACTGCATATTAATATATAGTATGACATATATCTATTCGTTAACATATGAAGGATTTTTTACTTAATCCAATGCACCTCAAAGATATTTTTCTTTAACACTTTGCTTTATCTCTTCTTTGGAGGCATAATGACATCCATTAGATACTATTAATCACTAATCTAGAAAAAATACATAATCTTTGCAGACTAATTCTTTCTTAGTTTTGGGGACAGTAAGGGCAAAATAAACAAAATTAATGGGCATAGTGACCATATTCTTTTCAAATTTTAAATTGGAGCCAATGACCTGGCAAAAGAATGACATTTGGCTGGGTGCGGTGGCTCACGCCTGTAATCCCAGCACTTTGGGAGGCCAAGGCAGGCAGATCACTTGAGGTCAGGAGATCAAGACCATCCTGGCCAACATGATGAAACCCCATCTCTACTAAAAATACAAAAATTAGCTGGACATGGTGGCGCATGCCTGTAATCCCAGCTACTTGGGAGGCCGAGGCAGGGGAATCGCTTGAGCCAGGGAGTTGGAGGTTGCAGTGAGCCGAGATCATGCAAGTGTACTCTAGCCTGGCGACAGAGTGAGACTCTCTCAAAATAATAATAATAATAATAATAATAATTTGAGAGTGACATTTGTGTGATTCGTGAAATTAATCATATGAATAGTTTTATAAAAATGAATTGTAGTTATAAAAACTAAATTTACAGTTAACAATTTGCCTTCATTACCTGCATATAATTTTAGAAACAGGAAATAGAACATAGAATCTATGTTGTCACACGTGTTTATTGACCATAAAATTGATGGGTATTACATGCATACTGATTTGAATAAGTCTTTTTCTATTATTTTCTCATTCCTTTTAACAAATCTCTGAGTAATTTGTATTATCACATGAAATTTTACATGCTTAATGGTCAGAAATTATTATACTTTTGTGACACTCAAATTACCTTTGTTCACAGGATTTCCTACTGGAGACCAATTTGCACATTTTGTTTATATCTAGAGTATTAATATTCACACAGCATTTTCTCTGACCTGTACACATTTTTCTCCTTATTCCATTCAATCAATAAATTCTCATTAAACTATTATTAATGACCTGGAGAGAGACCTTATGTACACATACCATATGTTCTCTAATTTATATTCAAACAAATAATATTTTTTCAACCCAATCCAAGAGAATTATGAAAGAAAATTAATAGACAGCATCAAAACCTCCCTTTGATAAATCTGCCTTTAATAGAACAGTTAAATAAAGCTCCTCTGTAAGACTGTTGCACCAAATCCACACTGCTCTAAGATGAACTTCATTTAAGTACAGGGTACAATTCCTGAGATGCAGATTTCAGTGCTTAATCTGGAAGTAGTGGGTTGGAATCTAGTGGCTGGACACACTGTAGAAGAATACAGACTTCCTTCTGTCTTTGGATCTTACAAAATTTTCATGAGCACACCAGAAGAATTTTGAAATGTTAAAGAGTAAACTTGTAGCAGTGATAAAAGAAAAAAAGACACAAATTACTTAATTCTTATTGAGTATGTATTGTGGGCCAACTATGCACAATAGTGCTTAATTCTTTGTGTGTGTTACCTCATGTAATATTCATAATGTTACCTGTATTATTTCAAGATTATAAACCAGTCTAGAAACCATGGGTGCAAAGATGAACATATGTGTTTCTATGTCCTTACCAAAAAGGAAAACATTGAATATCCATACAGAATAACTCTCATATCAACTGAAAGATCTAAATTGTTGGGCTAATTATGATCATTCCCCTTTTATAGTCATTGGGAACACATGCTTCATAACTGTTCTAGGTTACTGTCTTTGTTTATTTGTTTTTATGTCTGCCCCAATAGTTCAGTAAATAATGAAGATAAGGAGACATAGCCTCTGTTTTCCTGTCCCTCACAGTTCAAATGTGTGGCAGTTGGCATATAGATAATTAGAATAATATACGAATACAGGATCCAAACTTTATCTGATTCTTGACTCATACTCTGTTTTCATAGATGAAGAGTATGAACTGAGTTGATTTCATTATATCATGATGCAAACTAAGTCACTGTGATTTCCAAGTTACCAAGCAGGAAACACTTGCCAGATTTAATACAAGTATTTCTTTTTTTTTTTTTTTTTTTTTGAGACAAAGTCTCGCTTTGGTTGCCCAGGCTGGAGTGCAGTGGTGCGATCTCGGCTCACTGCAAGCTCCGCCTCCCAGGTTCATGCCATTCTCCTGCCTCAGCCTCCCAAGTAGCTGGGACTACAGGCACCTGCCACCATGCCCGGCTAATTTTTTGTATTTTTTTAAGTAGAGACAGGGTTTCACTGTGTTAGCCAGGATGGTCTCGATCTCCTGACCTCGTGATCCACCTGCCTCGGCCTCCCAAAGTGCTGGGATTACAGGCGTGAGCCACCACGCCCGGCCTAATACAAGTATTTCTACTTGGAAATCTCAGCCCATGAGGCACTGGCCAATGATTTTGGTAACTAAGTATTTTCTTTCAGTGTGTGTAATGTATATGAATTGTTGAAAGAAGAAAGTTGGCAAATACTACATAATTGTTACAGATCTGTTAGCATACTTCTTTGATTATTAACTTAGGTTTGAAACTAAACTTAGAGCTTCAAAACTCAATGAAGTAAAACACATCTAACAGCTAACAGAAAAATGGACTGTGAAATAGAGTAAGAGATAAAAGCCTTGAGAGTTAATAATGCTTTAAATACTTATAAAGTTTCTTTTTAATTAAATTAGCTGTAAATTTGTCATAATTCAATATTGACACCATGGCCCTTCTAAGTTTTACCTTAAAGTTCTTAAATTGAGAAATAATTTTAGTTCAGTCAACTCATGTTATTTTCACGTTTTATGTATGATTAATTACTAACAAACAATTTTATATGACATCTACAATTCTAATTCAAACCTTGAAATTATAGTTTTTCTAGCTAGTGTTTCCACTGTTTTCCTTTTGTTAATTAAGAAAAGAACAGGCATTTAATTGTATTTAACTTGTAATGAAGTACTAATGCTTTGTCATCCACTAAATTTACAATATCAGAAAGATTATTGTCACTATGAAACAATAACAATTTGGTGCTGCACACATTCTCATGGTATAAAAATTTTCTGTCTCTTTCACAGTGTTTTTTTAAAATTGTGGTAAAATGCACATAATATAACATTTGCCGTCAACTCTTACGCATATTTTAATTGAACATTGTTTGGGGAAAAGAAGCAGGTGAGACAGTGGAGAATCATTTACGTTGAAATTGTAGTTTATTCTAGGATTACTAAGATATTCCTTGCTGAAGTTATGTTTTGAGTCTTCAGTGGAATTTCCAGTCATCATCAATCTGAGAATCATAGGCTAAAATTAATGAACTAACTGCCGGAAAAGAGAGACATTCCTCCCACCAACCTTCCACCTCCCACTAGAGACTTTGATAATGGTGGTTTTGTTTGTTTGTTTGTTTGTTTTATAACATACCTCCACTATTGGTGAAATACTCTCTGGTTAATAGCCCAAACCATTCAGTCTCCTGCCTAGATAACCTCCTATCTCCAGGGTATCTAGGTGCTACCAGACACCTATCTGACTAAAGGGTCATGGTTGTTTAACAGTGAGGAGTAGCCAGCAGCATGCTGGCAGGTTTGGCAGGTGTTACCTCGTGGTAGGGAGCCATATTCAATCACTATTGAGAAGCAACAGCAACACATGAGCTGGTCTTACCAGGTGTTGCCCAGGCATTACCAGGCAATGGTAGGGATGACCCGGTGTTACCCAGGTGTCACGATGGTGCAGAGCCATATTTAGTCATCAGGGAGGAGCAGCAGGCAGCACACAGGCGAGTGTTCCCAGGTATCGTCCAGGTGTAACCCAGGTGTTTCCAGATGTTACCAGTAATGAGCCCTGGTTAGGGATCACTGTGGAGCATCAAGCAGCATGCTGGCACTGAGCTGCTTGATGTTCCTATTCTCCCCCTAGACTTCTGTTCACCAAAGCTACCACATTTATTTCTTATATTCCTAACCCTGTTGTGACATCAAATAAACAGAAAGTGTCCTCCTTGTTCATCTTCCACTTCCAACGTTGAGGAACCATGGCAGCCCTTCACTGGATGGCCTTTGCATTGGTTCAGGTACCCTGAATGGTTGTAGCAAACGGAGCTTGACATGTACAAGAGTTCAAACACGTGTGTACTTGCTTTATACCCATGAAGCAGTTCAAGGCAGCTGTTCCCGGCAGGGTGCTGTCCTTCTCCATATGGGCAGACAGCATTCTGGCGTCTCTCCTCCTGTGGCCCCACCATTCCCTCATTCCCTACAGCTGTGGTGCCACCCATATCCAGCTAATAAAGAAGAACACGGGGGCACCATCCCCCACCATCTGCAAGCCTCGGTCCACAGTGGCACAGAACTTTGCTGATTACGTTCCATTCACAACAACGTAGCCACCCCCAGGTAAAAGAGACAGTGAAATTTAACCTGGCTATGCACAGGCATTCCAGGTGAAAATGCATTTTGATAAAAGAAAATGTCACTTTGATAGGAGAAAAGAAAACAAATACATCTATTTTGTTAAACATTCAAGCAGACTTCATGTGTCTTTAATGGAATAGTAGTTATCATGGAAACCATCTCCCATAAGGATAAAAGGAGGCTTGGTATAAAAGTTAGGGTTATGGTGATCATCTTTTCAGCCATCTTCTATAAAGCAAAAAGAGGGTTAGGGATAGGGCTGGGTGGAGGGCTGGGGCTGGTGGGGCTGTCTTGGCCATTCTCTTCCATAGGAAAAAGGAGAGCAAGAGCACAGAGAGCATCCTTCCCTTTCTTTCCCTGGATGGGACAGCTTTTAGAAATCTCAGCAACTCCTCTGTTCAGTGGCAGAAAAGAGCCATTATCTTCCAATTGCAGCTCCTGTCTTAGGGATGACCGAGTGCTGTCCTGAACCATTTTTTCCTAAGGAAAAATAGGCATTTGATAAATGGCTCTTTCACATTACTCAGGCTTTTTCAATAATGCATTCCTCTAATAAGTCCAGGGCTTCCTATTCTCACTAATGGTTGATTGATTCTGGGCTCAACCAAAATGTCCTCAGCAAGATGCTGTTCAGACCCCAACTGTGTCACAGATAACATAGGTGTGGGCTGATTTTTAAAGAAGATTCACATTCTTCTACTGCAGAACTCATTGACAATTCCATATTAATAATAAAGGCTGGAAATTATTGAAATATGTTCAATTAGAACGCTTAGACAACTGTGCTATACAATACCAATAAATATGTTACCATTGTGAGAATTGTAAAGTTTTATAGAGCTCCTGCTATTTTGATGAGTATTTATGATATATGAGAAAATAGCCAGGTGCAATGGCTCATGCCTGCAATCCCAGTGCTTTGGGAGGCTTAGAGTGGGAGATTTGCTGGAGGCCAGGACTTAATACCACCCTGGACAACATAGCAAGACCTCATTTCTACAAAAAATAAAAATTAGCCAGGGATGGTGGTGTGTGTCTGTAGTTCTAGTTACTTGGGAGGCTGAGGCAGGAGGATTGCCTGAGGTTGGGAGTTCAAGGCTTCAGTGAACTGTGATTGCACCACTGCACTCCAGCCTGGGGTGACAAAGTGAGACCTTAACTGTAAAAAAAAAAAAAAAAAAAAAAAAAAAAAGGGAGAAAGAAAAAATTAAAGAGAGTGATGTGTTATAAGTGTAATGTATATAATCCAAAAAGGGCCCTCAAATTGTACTGAACAGGTTTTGTGACTATAATCAGTTTTTTTGGAAAACATCTTTGACCAAGATAGAATATATGATCTGTGAACGTGGGCGCATATACATGGTGTTTGTCTGTTGCATGCAATATAAAATCATCACTTATGGATTATGTTCCTTTGAGAAATCAGCACAAAATGTCACTTGGATAGGAGAAAAGAAAACAAATACATGCATTTTGTCAAATATTCAAACAAAGGTTTGGTGGGGAAAAATGTTGAACTTCCTTTCAGATGTCTTGGAAATCAGACTTCATGTGTCTTTAATGGAATATTTTTTAAAATTCTTCTTTGACTTAGCCTCTCTTCCCCAAGAAGAGCTACGAATGCTTGACCAGCTGTGAGTTCCTCAAATACATCCTGTTGGTGAAGCAGGGGGACTGTCCGGCTCCTGAGAAAGCCAGTGGATTTGCGGCCGCCTGTGTTGAAAGCTGCGAAGTTGACAATGAGTGCTCTGGGGTGAAGAAATGTTGTTCGAATGGGTGTGGACACACCTGTCAAGTACCCAAGACTCTGTACAAAGGTAAGGGGCAGCACTGGGGGTGTGAAGACACATGCAGTGTCACATATATCTGTGTGTGCCTAGGGAAGGGTGTCCATCATAGGTGTGAAAAGTCTAAAAAACATAAAATCTTTAGAAAATTTATTTTATACCACATACAGACATCTTAACATAATCACAGACCCATAAAGATTAGCCATATTAACTCGACATGGGGCAGAGCAAGTCATTCATATTAATTCTTTTTAATTTGACATATGTGATGGACAGCAACAATTCAGGAACATTTTTGTCTTTTTCTTCAGTCAGACTGATTCAAGTAAGCTCTACTAGGTACACTGGAATAAATCGATTTAAATCCTTAGAAAATAGGCTGGGAGATGAAGCACACTTGAAAAATGCATAACAAATATACTGGTATTGTGCTTTTTCTGCCGATATGACCCAAGAACATTAGTGTCGTTGTACAGATCTTAAATATTTTCATTAGTACCTTGAGATTCTAGACAAAGGATTTCCCTTCCTCAAAACATGGAGGTTCAGTTTATCAAACGGTTTAGCAAATGCAATAGTTTATATTCAAAAGCCGTTTCTAGAGCACTTAGCTCCTTAATATCGAGTGCTGCTGATCATTTTCTGTAAATGGGACTAAGCTCTTTTAAAGCCAAGATGAATCCATTGTATTAGGTATAGTTTGGGATACCATCAAAATACACCGTGACATATAACATTTTGTTAATTTTGGGGGTCTCATTGAAGAGTTATATAGAGCAGCAGTCCCCAACCTTTTTGGCAACAGGGACTGGTTTCATGGAAGATAATTTTTCCATGTTGGGGGAGGGGGCAGGGGATGGTTTTGGGATGATTCAAGCACATTACATTTATTGTGCACTTTATTTCTATTATTATAACATTGTAATATGTAATGAAATAATTATACAACTCACCGTCACGTAGAATCGGTAGGAACCCTGGGCTTGTTTTCCTGCAACTGGATGGTCCCATCTGGGGGTGATGGGAGACAGTGACAGATCATCAGGCATTGGATTCTCATAAAGAGCATGCAACCTAGATCCCTCACGTGTAATTCACAATAGGGTTCATGCTCCTATGAGAATCTAAAGCTGCTGATGATCTGACAGGAGGTTCAGGTGGTAATGTGAGTGATGAGGAGTGGCTGTAAATACAGTTGAAGCTTTGTCCACTCACCCACCACTTACCTCCTGCTGTGTGACCCAGTTCCTAACAGGCCACAGACTGCTACCAGTCAGTGGCCCGGGAGCTGGGGACCCCTAATATAGAGTCAGTCAGTAGGCAGTATTCATTAAAGTACAGAGAGAGTAACAGATGTCTTTCTCTCTCTATGTCTTTCACATACACATGCCAAATCCATATTATTTCTAAATACTGGTACTTAAAAAAAATGTGTATAAAGAAGTATTCACCATCAATGCCAGTTTTGATTTATGTGCTGGCTGCCTATTTTTGGAAGTCCATGTTACTCTAACACTTACAACAATTCACATCTCCCAGAAGTTAAGTATCTGTCCCATCTTCCTTTAGCTCCCACTTGGGAATACTTTCCTCTGAAATCTATGTAATTCAACCGGTTTTTTTTTCTTTATCGTTGGAAACACACCATAAGTCCTATGTCTTACATTCAAAATAATCAATGCTTTTCTCTTCTTACCAAGTGATGTTTCTTTAATAGTTTTAAAGTTTTATTGTGGTCATGCCTCTTATTTTAAATTACAGCAAGTCACTTTTGCGAAATTTAAAACCATCTAACTTTTAAAGCATCTGTTATTATGAAATCTTATCTGTCATTAAAGATAATATGCTATGTATGAGTAGCATTCACCATAAAAATAGGATGCTTTGGGAATCGTCTTTTTAAACCCTTTTGTAAAACCTATAGTGTTTTAAAGAGATAATATAAATTAAAATATGCACTTTTATAAAAGGACTGAAGAGTTAATATGAATTTCAAATATGCCTGTTTCACTTGAGAATAAGGGGAATATTGTAGAACGGGCCAGAATAAATGATTAAGTATACAAAGACACTTTCAATGTAAAACTACGTTTAACGAAACCAGGTGAACTTTTGTTAAAGTACTGAAGTCACTCTTCTACTACAAATTAGCTCTTAACTTAGATTTTTGTGGAGAGAGAGAGAATCAATGGGAATCAACTACAAATAGAATAAACAGACTCTGTTAACCTGACAGTGACTTTTGTGTAATGAAGACAGTCAAGTTAATAGATTGTTATTTTGCAAAAAAAAAATATATATATATATATGTATATATATATACACATATATATGTAGATATATATATGTGTATATATATGTGTATATATATATATATATATATATATATATATATATATATACACATATATATATATGTAGATTTTTTTTCTTGCTTTCTTCAGTAGTCCCTCCAGGAAGGCTGGTTTTCATGTCCTGGGAGCTTTGACAGTGCCTCTTAATATGTTAGTGTGTGTAAAAGGAGGGCAAATAGAGCCTACAGCAACTCCTTCATCATCTTAGCTAATGAGGCATTTGAAGTCCCTTTTGGCATTCCCAACCTGGAGTCCAGCTGCTTCTTCACTCTCAAAAGAGGAGAGGGGGACTGATGTACACAAGCCCCAGGGAAAGTGTCCGTTCTAACCCATCCCTTGGCTTTGCAAGGAGAAAACCATGTGCCCAGTCAGCGCACAAACCAACCTGCAATCTTAGGATACTCGTGATCACTGTCTTTCCTACCTCCAAGATGCCTTCTTATTGCCCCAAACTAATGTGAAATAAGATTGCCTCCCTCTCTCTGTCTCTGCTAGGTCTGTGTAGTTTTTTTCTTTAATAAGAGTGGGAGTCATGGTGGGTTGAGATTATCTAGTCCTGCTCTCTGTTCACAGCTGCTGAAACAGAGGTTGCAGGCTATGCCTAAGTGATTTGGTAGTAGGTAGCAGAAATAGATCTAACATCTGCTCCCATCTGGGCTAGCTCTCCTGTCATTTTTATTTTGAATGTATGGATCTCTAATGGAAACACTCACTGGGCATGGTTGTGTTATGATATAATAGGCTAACTAAGGTCTGACACAGTGGCTCACCCCTTTAATCCCAGCACTTTGGGAGGCTGAGGCAGGAGTTCAAGAGTAGCCTGGGCAAGATGGCAAGATATCCCTATCTCTACAAACATAATAAAATTAGCTAGGCATGGTGGCATGTGCCTGTAGTCATAGCTACTTGGGAGGCTGAGGTGGGAGGATCATTTGAGCACAGGAATTCGAGGTTACAATGAGCCATGATCATGCCACTGCACTCCAGTCTGGGCAACAGAGTGAGACCCTGTCCCAAAATGTATCTAAATCTGTTATCCACCTGTCTATCTAATAGGCCAACTAAAAGATTTGTCAATATAGAATATTTTTAATCCAACAAAATCACTACTTTATGAATCATTTTAGGCTAATGAATAACATGGGATTGTTTTACATTGTAGAGTTGAAGCGTATAAAACTAGATACAGAGTGTGCTATATGGAGAACCACATTCTATGGGATAAATATTGAAAACCTGAAGTTCCTCATTCATTCATTTTTTATGTATTAAAGTGTTGCATAGTGCTGTTTGGAAATCCGAAATAACATTTTCTTAACATTTCCCCGGTTTACCTTTACAAGGGGCTGCTGTCACTTGGATGGAGAAGTATTGACACATTTCAGTTGAATACACATTTACGGAGTGCCTACTATTTGCTGTCATCTATAATGGGCATTGGGGTGCAAGGATCCATGTGACACTAACCCCCCACATGGTCCAGTAGTTTATTACTGAGATTGTCATGCTCACAATACTCTTTAAGTGGGCAAATTGTTTTTCTAACCTTTAAATAAATGGACATTTACCAACCTCTGTATATATTTCATTTTATTACTTAATGAATTAATTTTTAAAAATATTTTTAAATTATAAAAACTCATACATACTTTCTGTTTGGTCTGCTGTGTTTGTGGAAGGGAAGATAGAAAGTACTGGTTTTATAGCTTCAAGAGCTTTTTATACTGGTCACTTGAGTTTTTAAAAGCGATGGGTGTCTTGAAAATATGATTTTGGGCTATGCTGTAAGAACTGCACTTAACTGATGCCTGGAAGTAAGTTAACCTTCATAGACTATAGTTTAAAACAAACAGCAGAGATCCTTTCTTTTACTTTTTAAATAAAATTATTAGCATCAAAATGAAGGCTTGGAAATATTAACATGATTGGAGATGCCTGCTGGTACTAGTTCTATGAAATGCAAAACTTCATATAGTTGTAGAAAGTCTACAGGTAGAATACAAATGAGTGCATTTGGGGGCACTCACTTCCTTTTTCCTTTCTATTTCTATTTCCTCTCTAAGTCTATTTTATGGCTTGGTGAGACAATCTTTCCTCCAGAGGGTGATATATTTTACTATTTTGTTGCCAAATCCCACTGCCTCTCTTGGCTTCCAACTGTAGCAAAAATGGTTTGGGCAGGGAGAAAGAAAAGTTAAAAAATTTTACAAACGTAAAGATTCAGACTAATTTGTGACCTATAGTTTCCTTTTGCCATGGATAAACCAAGAATTAATTGTACTTCAGTCTGTTTCTTTTCAAAAAGACCCGATCATAGAGTTAATTTAATATTTCCACAAATAATTAATATATCAAATAGTGAAACTTCAGACCTCTGGAAATAGATTTATACAACTTCTCACAAATAAATTTTCAACATTTTGCATCCAGTAGCCCAATGCCTTAATGTGATGTAAATACAAATTCTAGAGTTCTAATTACCTTTATGAGAGATATCAAGTAGTGATTAAATCACTAGAACAATACATCTTGCTACATTTTTATATCATTTAGATTCATGATAAAAATTAATAGTAATAAAATCTCACAATGAGTATGCAACTGTAGATTGCTTATCCTAATTGATTTTTCTATCCATATATTTTCAACATTTTTAAAAAGCATTGGGTTTCTGTTCCTTTGATTTCAGCAGAATGTTTCTTGCATTTCAAAGAAAAAAACTGGACGTCACATATTGCAGTTTGCCATACGATAACGTTTGTAAATTTTTCAACAGAATCATTTAGATTTCAGATGACTAATTTGTTCAAAAGTAATTTTAAAGAGAAAAATGCTAATCATTTACATAATAAAAAACACATTGAGAAGAGATCCAGTCTATACATCTGGTTATGCAGTTGGGATGCTGGTTCAGCCAGTGAGGACTGTGCGCCCCGGCAGTGAGGGCTGGAGGTCTTGAGGGGGGTTGAGCCCCATCTGCACACAATTACAGTAGAGCGCTGGAGTTACTTCCAATCAAAGGAGCCAACTGACTTTAATGGAAAGCAGATGGACCATTTCTTAACATGCAAATTGCAGGGTCATGCTTCATCATAATTAAAGAGATTTTTAAATGAAGAAATTTGAACTGACATCGCCCTGATGCTCATTACATTTGATTAAGGCTGTTGGTCCTTGAATGCTATTCAAGATTAAAACCTTACAGCGAGGGCACTGGGCTGCTTGGATTGGCTTCTGGTGAGTTCAGGTCACTTCGGAGGCTATTTACTGTAGCTATATTTACTCTAGAAGATTATACATTGGAAAGCCAAAGAGAAAGGTAGATTCAGAAGTCTCGGAGAATGTGCTCTATGAGTTTGAAGAATTGGTCATCATTTTTTTTTACTATGCACCAAGGAATCAAGTAAATCATGAAATGTTCTCTGCGGCTACTCTCCCTCGCCTTATCCCCTTCGGTAGAACTATTTGTCTGGCATATGCAGGCCACCCTTCAATGCAAGAATGATACTAAATGATCACCTTGTTGAGATTGGTTTTTCATCACTCTGAACAAATTTTGGTGGCTTTTTTCTTGACACAAAACATACAGAGCTGCTTCTATTAAAATCAATTAACTTTGGGTTTTCTCTCCGATCAGGAATTGGTCTTTTTTTTCTTTTTAATGGGAAAGTCCTATGGTCAGTGTAATAAAAACGTTCTATCTTGTAAACATTTTGGCATTGCTTTATTTTCTGGTATTTATCTTTTTAAAAAACAGAGTGAATGTACATGTGAGTAATAAGACCATGCTGGAAAAGAGATCTGAGTTGCTTGAAACAATATATGATAAAGATGGCAGTACAGAATACTTATGATAAATCTTCACCCTTCCCTAGGTGACTTTCAAACAGAGTAGGGATTACCATTGTTGCAGTGGTTTGCATAAATGTTGCACTAGTCTCTTATTTCCACAGACATATTCTTGAGTGAAGAATAAGAAAGTGGGTTTGGCTATTAGTTCAGCAAACATTGACTGTTCATTGAACATTTGCTATTGCAGAATGTTCTCTTCTGGGACATTGTGAGGTGCGGGAATGAAGGAGACATGGTTTTTGACCTCTGGGGGCTGTGGCTTAATGGAAAGACAGGCATCATTAAATGAATTTGCTGCAGCAAGAGGCAGTTAAATGCATGTCTTGACAGTTACAGGCTCAACATTGAAGGGGGGCAAAAGAATAAAGCCTTTATTTCCAATTGAGAAGTTTAGGGGAAGTGTCACAGAGGGGTGGCATTTGGTCCGAGCCTGGAAATATTCAAGGGCCTACAGTTAGAAAGCAGAAGGCAAGACATTTCAGAATGAAAACAAACAAACAAACAAACAAAAAAACCATAAACAGGCCATGGTATTATTAAGGACCTGGCAGTGTATTTGTAGGAAAGCTGGGTTTAAAGATAATATCTGTGACAAAAAATTAAAGATGTACCAGGAGATAGATTGACAAATAAATGGTAGCCAATTATGAAGAAGGATGCCTTGAAGGGGATGCCAAGAAGTTTCCCTTCATTCTATAGAGAATGGGATGCAATTAAAGAGTTTGGGAAACTGAAGGAGAGAACCTCGCTTCTACGTTAGAAAAATAACCCCAAAGTACCAATAAGGGGACAGTAGAAAAAGAGATTGAGATGCAGGGAAATAGGTTGGGAACAAGGAAGGGAGTAAAGTCAGGTGGCCATCATGGAGACAAAATGATTTGATAATTCTTGAAAATGTACTATGCAGTAAGACAACTAAATGTTGTTAGCTGCAAGAACATATCAAAAAGGTTCTAAGATCCCTTAGACATCCTAAAGAATAAAGTTGTCATAAAGATAGATATCCCAGGAGAAGGGGCATATCTGGGACAGAGAAATTCAGCAGGCAGGTGGAAAAGATGGTCTGCAGCTTAGCCAGGGATTAGAGATAGACTGGAAAAACATTTGCTTAGCAGCAGTATGCTAATCATCCAAGTCTAGGTACCCCCATTGCTATGGTTATGCACTGAGATGAAAAGTTTACAATACAAGCTTGAAATAAATGCATGTCATGGCAGAACAGGAGTCAAAGACTGACTTGGTGAAGTTCCAGATCCACCAGGAAAGCTGAGGATCTTAGAATAAGAATGTCCAAGGGATTTGCATATCTATCAAAACCATCTCTTTTCTCTATCTCTCTATGTGGCCTTTTCTAATATGAAATGTAGAAAGCAGCAGATAATTCAGAGAGAAACCTGAGATCAGATTGTAGTCCCAGGCAACTAATTTAATATTCCTTAGATTCAGTTATCTCCTATTCAACATGTAGATAATTAACCCTTTACCCACTTCACAAACTCACAGTGAGGATCAGATGAGACAAATTTATTGTAAACTAAAGGTCACTACTCAGCCATGACCCATCAGTAATAAAGGAGACTGCAATAGGTATGGTAAACATTTTCTCCAGAAAATAGCTTTTTTTAGATTAATGACTTTTGACCATATATAAATATGCTTTAAAAAAATTATTCAATTCCATCCATCCAAATATTTGATGACTTTAAAATTTTCGTAAACAAGACTTACCATGAATTAAGATCAAAATGAAATAGGAGTTGAAATTCAACCATGTCAACATGCATCAAACCTTATTTGCATTTGGTGTTTGCACATTTTCCAGTTTCTTCTGTGTTTAAACTTACAAAATGGAAGAAGAAATAGAGCATTCTTAACTAGCTTTTGAAATGAGTTTTCAATGCTTTCAGCAAACGACCATTGTGTACAGAAAATGCTATTAATGGTAATTGGTGTTCTTGGTGTTGATGGCATTCACCATCATGGAGCCATAGATTCTATTTCATTCAGTTAGTTTTGCATATTCTATTAGTATTACAAATTTCTTTACAAATTCCCTTTCTGAAATGCCTGCTATTTTGAACTGTGGTTCTTCAATGTATCAGTTGCCAGACAACTTGCATGTACAGAAGGCGATAAAGAAATCAGAATGATTAACTACTTTAAAATGAAACACCTGTGAGAAACTTTTGAAGCAGCACACTCACTCATGCCAAAACCAAACATTATAAATTCATTATTTTCCAATGTTAAGCCATTAAGACTATATATAGGGGAATGCTTGAGCAATTGATTGCGGAATCCAAAAGACTTGAACTTTGGAAATCACTCTTAGGAGATTTCACATGAAGAGATTTTGCTTTGCAGTGTTTTCCTTAAATGAAAAACTCCCTGAGAAAGAAGGAAGATCAAATCTGGAAACCATGTTATAATGACCTTAGGATATATCAATAGACACAGAGCATGATAAAAAATGGGAAAATGACTTGAAACTCTTTATAATGATCTCCTAGTGTGAATTCCATGTTAACCTCAAATGAAACAACCTTGTAACATGATTTATTGAAAAGAATGCACATGAAATGATTGCTCTAGAGATTACTAGGGAATAAGCCACTTGTTACAGAATCAGGAACCAATTTAGACTGTCTTATTAAAAAAAAGAAAAAAAAGACAAGTTAAAAGAAAAAGGAGCAAATAGCTGAACTGAGTGTCAGAAGACTTCAGATGTGAAACCCTGTATGGAGAGGCCACTTTTATGAAAGGAAATCTCAGTTGTCATCAGATCAGATTCATCTCTTCCATATTTGTTCTTCCTCAACTTTTACTTCAATTTGAGTCACACGCAGATTGTTTTAATTGATACGGTCCTGTTTCAGGTGTCCCCCTGAAGCCCAGAAAAGAGTTACGATTTACAGAACTGCAGTCTGGACAGCTGGAGGTTAAGTGGTCCTCGAAATTCAATATTTCTATTGAGCCTGTGATCTATGTGGTACAAAGAAGATGGAATTATGGAATCCATCCTAGCGAAGATGACGCCACTCACTGGCAGACAGTGGCCCAGGTAAGAACCTCATATAGACTTTGATTTTCATCCTGGAGGTAGTGTCTGCTACATAGCTACGCACAAAAAATTAACTTGCTATGCCTCAAAATAGCTTGACTACAGAAATAAATTACTCAGATATGAAATGAACATCATGGGGTCTTCTAAAGAGAGGATGAGGTTCATAGATACAAACGAATGTGCTCGGAAACTCGACCATTGGCTTAATTTGTTCAAATACACATGGAAGGGAGATAATTTTATAACCTGATTATTCACATGTATTTTCTCCAAGAACCACATTTTCCTCAGCTAAACTCAAAGCCAACTAGAGGAAGGGAAATGCAACATTATAAGGACTAATTTGACATTTAATAATCTAAATGCCTTCTCTTCTGTTTCTCCTGCATTTACACCTTTATTCCACCCACAGACTTTAGGAGCATGGCATAAGATTTGTATCACAAAATTACTTAGTGGGACATAGCCAGCAGCCCATAAATCTTCACTAAGTACTTTCTTCTTTGTCTTAGTCAACTTAAAAACTGATATACCACCTGCATGGCAACACTCCCAGAGAGTGCTTCCTCCTCTTCTGTCTTGTTGATGAGAAAAGCAAAATATTTTCTTTCTTTTTAAGAGCTGTTAAATCCAGTACCAGCTGCTAACCACCCCCCCACACACACACACAAACCCTACATGGATATAAAAAGTAACAGATTCTGAATGTGAAACTGTTTCATGCCTTTAGACAACTAAAATGCCTTCTCCACATCTATGTCTATAGGAAAAAAAATCTCACCTTATGTTGATTAGATCATTTTTTCCAAGGACTAGATTCCTATTTTTTTTTTTTTCAGTAAATGTAAAATAAATGTCAATATTTAGGTGTTTGGAAGAAGAATATCTTCTAAATAGCAGTATCTCAAAGGGGTTAAGCACTAAAATAAAACAATGTAAAGACCCCAAAATAAATAAGAAGTTTGATGTAAAAACACAACATTAAATTAGAAAAAAAAAAAACCTGGTCAAATAAATTTAGTAATTCTATTCTATACCTATATTTTATATAAAAAAAATTTGCTTCAGTAAAACATAAAGCTAATCAGAATACAGCCTGAAATTCCATTTGATTTACACGGCATGCTTTCATAAATCGTGGTACAGATTCATTTGTAATTTTTCCAAATTACTTAAAGAATTATGAAAGTAACCAGCAATAAGACCATCTCTTTTATCTCCAAAAGATTTTTGGAAAGTGAAAAGCTCTTTTATTATTGTTGCTGGTATTATTTTTTACTGTTAGTGCTACATGTAGTACTTCCTTCTCTGCTAAACGCTGTGGATACCATGCTGACTTTAAGCTTTTTAAATTCGCAGCTGAAACTCTAAATGATGAAGTTGAAAGTGTTTTCTCAAAGTCTGCCAAATCAGGTAGAAAGCCACATGTAAGAGTTCATATTCTTCCTTTGATCTCAGAAATGTTCAGCTTCTTTTAGATATTGATGTAAACGTGACAGTCATTTTCACATTAAGTTATTTTAAGCTGAGGTTATTATAATCTGAAGTTTGGGAGTGTTCAAATCCAATCCTGTTTCCTTAGTTTCATCCACAGATCCAAGTTGAGTTCGGCACCTGGTGTAGATGAGGGCATAGACTGTAGATGGTTATTTCTTGGAATTCAAGGCAAAGGTTTTCAGATCTACCAATGGAAACAAAACACAGAACATTGTTGAAAGCAGGTATATAGTATGAAGACTGTTAAAGTTATTTGATATCTTAAAATTGTAGCACTAGAGACAGCAAAACCTTCTGATCTTCCCCAGTGTCTATTTTTTTCCTTTTGGGCATTTTATTGAGCAAATATATGCTAACACATCTCACCCTTTTAGATCAGGACTGGTTCTTCATAGATGTTATGTGACTTACTCAAGAGATTTTTAAACAGTGGCTTGGGTTATACTTTACTTCCAGAAATTGCTAGTGGGTTGCATGTGGGTTGTTATACCTATTTTACAGTTATATTTGGCATGTGAGTTAAAAAGACATTTTCTTTCTATAATCTGAAGATGATTTCATCTTCTTGCTGTAATGTAACAATTACTATACATAAATATTCTCTATTGATTGAATATCTCAAATGCTGTAATTAGTCACCAGATTTAAAAATAGCCCAAGCTCTTGTCATAAGGTTTTGACTTCAAGAGATGTTTAATTCTTTGGGGTGAAATATCAGTGGTTCTTTGTTCCCTGACAGCTCTCTTCATAACTGGGCATGATAAGCCCCTCTTATCAGGGGGAAGACAGACTGAGTTGCATTGGCTGATGGGTTAGTGTATTTTTCTAAACAGATCCAACTAACATGTCGGAATAAAAAGTGACATGTTCCCTGTGCTCTGTGACATGTCCCCTCAGACCACAGACGAGCGAGTTCAACTGACTGACATAAGACCCAGCCGATGGTACCAGTTTCGAGTGGCTGCTGTGAATGTGCATGGAACTCGAGGCTTCACTGCCCCCAGCAAACACTTCCGTTCTTCCAAAGGTCAGTCTTCCTTTTCTTCCCAGACACAGAATACTATCCTTGCTACCAGGCACACATGGAATGCAGATTCACTGTCTCTATGTTCATATTTATAGTTAGTCAACAGGTGGCTTTGCTGTTTTAGAGAATGGGACCAGATGTGTTTGAAGGTACCATGTACATTTATGGCTAAGGACAAAATTGGAATTTTACCTGCAGTATATCATAGAAGATAACATAAGGGAGTTTTTTTAAACTTTGAAGTGGCGGGGGGGTTTTCATTATCAACATCTGTTGAGTTTTTGCTTTAAGATATTCTGTATCAAACACCATTCAATTGATTTTCAAAGAGAAAGACTGAATTTTAGCTATTCTAGACAAAATAGCCTTTCTTGAAATGATTGTTAAATTGAAAGTGAATTTGACTCCTACGTTTGCTTCATAACATCTAGAATTTAAACCCCTCCTGAGTCATTTAATCATTGCTATAATTTTGTTCAGTTCTGACTGCCTTGATATTTTAAAACCTCTGTGTAATCAGATCAACAGTGTGTTACATTTGTGGTTAATCTGTGACGGTTGAAGGACATAATTTGACCAGCTATTAATAATATCTTCAAGTTTATTTTTCTAGTTGCATCCATATGGCTGTGTACCTTCCAAATTAATTAGACATCTGCTTGACTAATTATAAGGATCTGGTTTCATAAATACAGATTAGTTACATTAGTCTCTTACTAATAACAAGTCATCTTCTTACACAGAAGCTAATTTAAATTTATTTTATTTTAAGTAAATTTATTTATTGGGACATTAACAAATACTGTAACCTTACATTTAAAAGCCTCTTTTTTTTAAAAACAAACAAACAAACAAACAAAACACTTTTTTTTTCTCCTCAGGGAGGCAAATTCATGAACTAAGCAAACTTTAAAGTGAAATTGTAAATAAAGACATCAAACCTTGTCTTAAGACTCTGTCTCCAAGTGATTTGAAAATTTAGAGAGGCAAGTGAAATAAATAATTAATTGTGGGTTAGGAGGTAGTTATCAATAAAAAGCCTCAGAATGCTTCACCTTGAGTTTCATGGTTCAAATGCGATCCAGAGATGTTCTGGTCAAAATATATTACCATCTGTTCAGTTGCCTGCAGGATTTGGGCTGGTGCTCTGTGAATAAGACTGCAAAATCAGACCTCAGACAGAAGTGGTTCTCAGCCTCTAGAGACAGATGCTGAATTAATTTCCTGTAAGAGTTGCAGTGGCACCTCCTGCCTAGTGGAGGTGACCAAGGTGGTTTTGCTCTCATGATTTGTTACAGAGCCTTACTATCACAAGATCCTCAGGATCTGGGCAGAAATCCTGTGACAGCCCCAGGGTCATGAGGGTGCTAACTGAAAGTAGGAAGGCCAAGCTGTCCTGACACTTCCTAGTATATCGGAGCAACTTATAATCTAGAATGGAAGCTGCATCTCCCAAATTTAAGTGGACTTTTATTGAATGAAAATGCAACTATTGCAGTTTTCATTAAAATGTTGTTCTGTCACTGTTACAAATATACCCAAAATTCACATTGCATATGTCTCATTGTGAGGAGCATCCCAAACTTTAGTTCTTGCAATTTTACAAACCAAAAATGTCTGTACAGAATTCATGGAAGATTCCATTATATTTTCAGTGAAGATGAGTCCTAGAATGACGGGAGTTTAACATATCAGCCAAAGGGTGGTAGACATTCCCTCTATGATATCTTTAAAGCAGATTTAATCACTAACAAGGTGGGACAACATCCTTCCACACTTTTCTCATTCTCACCAAACGTTGAAAACAGCCTCACTGGGAAAAATGTTTTAAAGAACTTTATTGAAATATAATTTCTATACCATAAAAATCACTTATTTTAAGTGTACAGTTGAGTGATTTTTAGTATTTACTGACTTGTGCAACCATCACCATCATCTAGTTTTAGAATGAGTGCATCACCCCGATAAGATCCTTCATGGCTTACCAGGAAAATTTAAAGGTAGAAATAAAGTTAATTCTGTGTCTTTTGCCTCTTTTATTACCCATGTATCTGAACTGCAGTCCTATAGCGTGGGAGTATCCTGTAGCTTGGTACTTGATCTATTCCTTAGAAAAAAGCCTATTTGGGAAAAAAAAAAAAAAAGGCCAAAAGCATAGCAGTCACAGTGATCGACAAATGATTACTCTCTTTCTGGAAATACGAGCATCCCCAAGGAAATTAAGGACTTTTCCCTTAAGCACTCTTTCTCTCAATAGCCTCCATTTGAGTAATCGGCAATGCTGCTCTTGCAGCAGTTTGTGGCAAAAGAGGCCTGCAGTCATTCTCCACTCTAAACATTTTCTGCAAGCCACCGCAAATCCTCAGATCTGCCTTGATTCACCTTTCCCTGTGTTTCCCCTAATCCGCTCAGTTCTGTCTTTAACTGGGAATTGTATTAGCTTCCTAATCACATCCCCACTTCTGCCTCCTGGCTTCTGCCTTAAGGCTTCTGGATTCCTGTTTCCTGATCCTGGCCCCTCATTCCTGCTTTCGGATCCCCACTTCCGGATCCTGGGTTTCAGACCCAGGCCTCTCATCCCTGCTTCCGGATTTCCACTTCTGGATCCCCTCCTTTTTAGTCCTCTCTCAACGCAGCCACCTGAGTGATCCTTCTAAAATCTGAGCCACTTCCCGACAGTTTTTTGCTCAAAGTGTCCCAGCAGCTTCCCCCATCTGATTCAGAGTAGAAGCCATGTTCTTTACAATGGATTTTAAGACCCAGTTGACCCCCCCTTTCTCCTTCCTCTTAGACTTCATCACTACCCTCCCTGTTTTCCTGCTCAACATGCTAGGCTCCTCTGTGTTCTCTGAATACTATAATCTTTCCCTTGCTTCAGGATATTGGCATTTACCTGGTCCTGGACCGGGGATATGCTCTTCCTTCAGATTGTTGAAAGGCTGGCTGGCTCACCTTCTTTATACAAATATCTCTATTCCAGCAAAACCATCTTTAGCCATGCTACTTATATGTGTAAGCAAACAAGCAAACAAATCCACGTTGCCCGTGTTGTATTTTTGTTCTTATTTTCTGTTATGACTGTCTACCCTGCCTTAGTATTTTGCTTGTTAATCTTGTGCACTGTTTCTCCTTGCACTCAATTAGGATGAATGTGTGTGTCTGTTTCTGTGTTTCATAAGACCAGATGTGTTTTCTTTTTTACTTCTTATTCCCACTGCCTAGAACAGTACCTGACACATAGTAGCTGCCCAACAAATCCTTGTTCAATATATGAGGAAATGAAACAAGAGTAATAAAAAGAGAAGGTAAAGACAGAAAATGTTGTGTTGTTGTTTCTACCTTTAAATTTTCTCAGTAAGGGATGAAGGATCAATCTTTTTGGGTTGATGGACTCATTCTAGAACCCAGTGATGGTGATAGTTACACAACACAGTAAATATAAGAATGTCAGTGAGCACTTAAGATGAGACAATTTTATGGTATGGAAGTTACATATTTCAAAAAAGTTGTTAAAGACATTTTTTCGCAGTGAGGCTCTTTTCTACATTTGATGAGCTTGAGAAAGGTAGGGAAAGATGTGGCAGCATCTTGTTAGTGTACTGGTTAAGTCTCCTTTAGACATATCCTGGAGGGAGTGTCTTCCACCGTTTTACTGATTTGTTAAACTCCCATAATTCTGTGATGCATCTTTACGGAAAACATAATGGAATCTACTATGAATTCAGTGCTTACATTTTTGGTTTGTAAGACTGCAAGAACTAACATCTGGGATGCACCTCAAATTGAGACATATGGAAATGTAAATTTTGGGTGTTGTATTAGTCTGTTTTCATGCTGCTGATAAAGACATACCCAAAACTGGGAACAAAAAAGGCTTAATTGGACTTAGAGTTCCACATGGCTGGGGAGGCCTCAGAATCATGGTGGGAGGCAAAAGACTCTTCTTACATGGTGGCAGCAAGAGAAAATGAGGAAGAAGCAAAAGCAGAAACCCCTGATAAACCCATCAGATCTCATGAGACTTATTCACTATCACGAGAATAGCACGAGAAAGACCTGCCCCCATGATTCAATTACCTCCCCCTGGGTCCCTCCCACAACATGTGGGAATTCTGGGAGATACAATTCAAGTTGAGATTTCGGTGGGGACACAGCCAAACCATATCAGGTGTATTTGTCAACGTGAGAGATAGAACAACATTTTCATAATAACTGCAATGACCGTGGTGTTTCAAAAAATGGTGCATTTTCATTCAATAAATGCCCATTTATCCCTGTTTGCTCCAGAATTGAAACTGTGCCAGTCTTCCAGTGGTTTAAAATTACTTTTAAAAAACAGTCACCACTTCCAAGGTAGTAGTCTGTGCAAGGAGTAAGCAATTATCTAGTGTATTTGGTTTGGGTAGAGAGACAGTGTTGATAACTTAAGGCTGGGTCAAGGAAAGCAGGAAGGGTTTTTATTTTTATTTTTTTCATCTACCATGAATATCTCAGCAAATAAAAGTAAAATTAAACAGCAAAAATAGGTAAAATGAGTTCCAGTTAGTTTAGGCTCACTGCATAGGATTCATGGACTATAAAACTGATTTTCATGGAAAAGCCAAACTTCTTGTCCTTATCTTCTTTATAGTTATTTTAAAACACAAAATTAGTCCGTGTTTGGCAAAATGGATTGACTACTATTTAATTTCTTCTTAACTCATTTATTTTCCCATAACTTAGACCTAACTCAACATTAACTATTTTTATAGAAAATTCTAAGTTATTCATAGATTAGTAAATTAGTTTCATGCTTTTCCTTTTCCTGGGGAATACCATTTCTGAGTATTTTTATTGCTAACTCTTACCCCTCCCAGAAAAAATGCATAAATATAGGATGGGCAAAATCATTAATTTTTTAAGAGTTTTGGATAATTTTTATATTTGCCTACTTAAATACTGTATTTCTTCCTGGTACTTGAGATGGGAAATTGGCTTTGAAATTAAAGATGCATAATAGTTTAATAGATTAATGCCTAGTGCTCATTTCTACTTTTTGTCTCTTTATTTAGAATGTGGGACTGCATCTTTGCACATAGTAAGTTACCTTCACAGGTCATTCCTGGGGGTCTACCTAAAGTTTTCTATCCCATTCCATTTGGAACAAACAACATGAAACCTCTGAGCACGAGATGTTGATATGTCTGCATATTGCTACATAAGTTGATATTTGCTGCTTTGAAACACAGATTTCAACAAATAGAGATTGCCCATCAAAGATCAGACACCTTCAGAACCTGATCCAAGTGAAGGCTTTGAGTGTGAGCAGTTTACTTAGGAAGTGATCCAAGAATGTGGTAGGTAGGAAGGGAAGTAGGACAGGGTGTAGAAGGAATACAGTAAAGGGTGAATTATTTACCATAGGCAACCTAAGCTTCCTCTCCACGGGGCACTCAGGGAGCTAGCGTGAAGCACACACACCTCAGAACTCCTCGCTGGAGGGGGGTTAAGGGTGTTCAAGTCAGTCTTTGTCTGCAGCTGTTCCTAGCGTATCTGGTCTGCATGCTGGCGGAGCTTGCTCTGAGCCCAGACACAGCCTTAGGTGAGGAGGTGTGGGAGGGCATTCAGAAGTTGAGCTGGTGTGCCCTGAAACAGCCTAGCACAAGAAAGTCAGGGTGGGACCCTGAAAACATCTGTTGTTTACCTCTTGTTTAACTCAACATCAGCGTGATTCCTGTTACAGAGTGGATCTAATACATTTTGAATTACGGTTTAAAATAAATATATTAATAGTTTCATGAATAAAATGTGATGAAATCATGAAAGGAATTCCCACATTACTAAATATTCCTAATCTTCTTCCTCTATGGTACAAAGTTAATAATCAGACACAGGCATCCCTTTCTAGTTTCTTTTATTTTCACCTCTCTCATTTCCCAAAATCTGACGAGCTTTACATTATTGTTCACTTCTTGGAATGAGAAGACCACTAATGTCTAACCAACAGAGAGCCCAGATTTTGGGAATGACCAATTTGGAGTCAGGGTTACAAATATAAAAACACCTTTGGGTTCCATGTTGCAGTTGCTTATCTTTTTCAGTAAGTTGGTGTTTAACCTTTCCTTGATATTGCTGATATTTATCAAATGAGTAAAAATAGTTATTTTACAAATAAACATTCGTATTTTTACAAATAAAGTAAATACAAAATTACAAAATACAAAAATACAGAATATTGCATGCTTAGGATTGGAAATATATATTGCTAAGTAGCTACTACCTATTACAAAATAGTATTTACCAGTTTGCTGAATTTGGGAAATAATGTGTTTGTTTCTGGCTACTGTGACTACATCTATGTGTCAATATGGGTAGTAAAAGAAGGAAGAGTTCTGATTTTGTGGATTGTATAAGGCAAAATCCAAATTCATTTTTTTTGATATGTTGCCAAAAGCGGGCAAGCATGTTTGTTCATTTGAAATTAGTCAATATCAATTTGACATCACAAAATAACACACTTTTAAGGGATCTTATGAAGAAACATAAAAATCCAACTTAAATTATCCTTAACCTAGCATATTATCTTTTAGTAATTATATTCATTTCCCTCTAAATTCCAAGTTCTTCATCCATCTTTTTCTCCTTATTTCTCCATGTGCATAGGATACATTACAAAGGAAAAGGAAGCAGACAGCATTGTTTTCACAGCATATAAGTATCACACTGGATGTTATTCCATGCATGCATTACAGAGTGTCAGTAAAACTAGAGCAGACATCACTGATGGTAATAAAGTTCCCTGTTGCCCCGTGGGGACCCATGACTTTTTACTCTGTTCCACAGCTGCTCGGGATGTGCCATTTCCAATGGGCAAAAGGCTTGGCTGTACATATGTCTTGAAACTATTTAATAGTTGGAAATTTGCCTGCAGTGTAGCTTCAGCAGCTTTGCTAAGTTTTTTTTTTTTTTTAAGGGAGAAGGAACACTACCCCAACTGCCAAGTCTGGAAAGAAAAAAAAAGGTTTAAATATTATTAGAAGCAAACTTCTATTTAGTTGAAAACTTTGTGACACAGTTATATTATTGTTTTTAAAATATAACTGCACTTGACCAAAGTTACATCAAGTATATACCATAAGTATACCTTATGAGGTGTTCTTATGATGCGTTTCAGTGCGAAGTTTAATCTATAGACATTATTGGTAGAAATGAAATAAGTAAAATCAACATTCATTTTCTTGAAATAGGTATTGTTCTCCATGTGCACATGTGCATGTTTCTTTATGATGATCTATAATCGTTGCTCTCTTTATGGCCTCATGGGTTTCTGTATTTAACAAATAGTGTTGTCTTAAACCTAGAGGAGCCTGCCTCAGAAAAAGTGATGGCATTTCTGCTGGGACAAGCAGAAGTGGTCTTTTCCCATGAGATTCATGTCAGTGCAATAATAGGCCTGCATTTCTCCAAGGGTGATAAGTGATTTTATTGTCACTTTACCCAACATAGGCTCAAAGTCTTTCCATTGTGTCAAACCTTCGTGCTTGTTACTTTGCCTGTTTGTGGCATGAAACACAAGAGGTTAAGTGATGAAACCTGAAATTTATCTTTCTGAAATCCAAATGTTCCATCTTTCTCTCCTGAAAGCACCACATGTGATCATCAATAAAAGGAACTATTTTTCCCCAAGGCTGAAATTGGGTATACATGCTAAATATTTAGCATATTTTACGTTGGTAATCACACTAATTGTATAGCGTAGAAGGAGCTAATACAGCCTTCCTATTTCAGTTATCTCTGAAAATGTGCTTGCTCTCTGCAGTGTGTTTCTGCAGATAATTGTGAAGATCATAAGGAGGGAGTTGGCATCAAACAGAAAGAGAAGTGAGCTGGGGGAAAATGCCCAGATTTGAGACTCAGAGGAAGGGTTAGGAGAGCACTGGTCTTGTGGTGTGCCTCCCATCCTCTCACTTGAAGAGGTAGTAAATCAAACTCTGCTCTTGAAGTAGTGAATCAAACTGTGATCCTCAATTTCCCCATCTCTAAAATAAGAACAATAATGTTAACATTTAATAGACAAAATGCAGCTGTATGTTTGTAAAATTAGGGATAAACAGTGCTCATGTCGAGTTTCCTAAACCTAATGGTTTCACACTTTTTGAAATTCTCCCAACTAGGGGAGAGCAGTCTGTGGCCCAGGGTCCAAATTTGGCCTGCAACCTGGTTTTGCAAATAAAGTTTTATTGGAACATAGCCACACTCATTTGTTTACATATTGTCTGTGGCTGCTTTTGAGCTATGAGGGCAGAGTTGAGTGATTGTAACGGAGACCATATGGTCCGCAAAGCCTAAAATCTTTACTATCTGGCCCTTTCCAGAAAAGGCCTATCAATGCCTGCACTAGCCTATTGTAACAGACACTTTTCCCATTAAAAGGCTTTGAATTTTTACATTCTGTAGGGATATTGTCCCTTATTTTGATGGTGGAATATATATGTAGAGTGTGGCATGTAGAGGTGTGTATTGTTAGACCTTCAACCCCGTTTTTCTCCTTTCCTTTTTGTTCTCACGCTCCTTGTTCTGCCATCAATGATGTGAATGACCTTGGACATATATCTTTACCTCTCTGACCCCTAAAACCCTCCCCAGTTAAAAAAAGGTGAAATAAGTTGTAAAATTCCTTAGGGCTTTATAATAACGTATAGAGTTTCCCTCTCTGACTCTCTGGCTCTCATCAGCCACTGTCTATTTATGCATATGTACATCTATATATGTGTGTGTGTGTGTGTGTGTGTGTGTATGTGTGTGTGTGTGTGTGTGTGTATATATATATATAAATTTCACATGGAAATCTCCAACTACATTTCAAAATTCTAAAACAATTAAAATATCATGCATAATGAAAGAAAACATTCTGTATAATTCAGCCGAATGAATACACCTTGCTTCATAACGTAGGGAACCAATTCTCAAGGCAGAGAATGACTTAGATATAGAAACTTGTTAGGACTGAGTAAAATGCTTCAGATTAGAGAAACTGGATTGACCCTGTCTCACCTGAACCCCATAGTGAATAAATGGATAAATGAATGGCTGGTTTACAGAGGAGAATCACGGCAACAAACAGGTGATCGCTGCCACTCTCTTTTGGTTTTGTTTTCTTTTTGTTCTTGTTTTTTTAAGAGCCAGAATCTCACTCTGTCATCCAGGCTGGAATGCAGTGGTGCAGTCGTACCTCACTGTAGCCTTGAACTCCCAGACTAAAGCAGTTCTCCTGCCTCAGCCTCCTGAGTAGCTAGGACAACAGGCACACAACACCATGCCCCAGCTAATTTAAAATTTTTTTTTCTGTAGAGACAGGGTCTTTCTCTATTGCCTAGGCTGGTCTTGAGCTCCTGGCCTCAAACAATCCTCCTGCCTCAGCTTCCCAAAGCACTAAGATTACAGACGTGGGTCACCATGTCTGACCTGGTTTTACAGTTTTATGGTGATTATTTTGGGGGAGAAAGAGATGGGAGTACCTTATCTTGGTAATGGAAGTTTGCCATTTTGGTATTGTAAATTCAAAATGGGCCTTCCTTTTGAGAAAAATGTAAAGAAAATATTATTAATTCATATCTTTTAATGCATTGTTTTCTCAAATGTTGTTTTCATAAATTGTGTTGTTTCATGTTTCATAATGTTTCATAAAATAGATGATGTTATTCTAGATTATTATGATAACATCTAAGAAAAATTTTCCAGGGCAGGAAATGATGTAATGAATAACATAAACTAAAGAAGATGATCAAATTCAGTGACCTTCTTAAATGTTAGAGTTTCTTTAGAAGAGGAGATTATTTTGAGCTTTTCCTTCTGAGCCTAGAATATCTGCAATATTCATGTGACTACTTATTTTCAGCATATAGACATTCAGGTGCATTGCCGAGAACACGAACGGCTGTTATTTTCACACATTTTAATTCTTCTCTTGCCTTGAAGTGACGATTCAGTTGTAAACTAGGTTCCCTCCCAGAAAGGTTGGTAACTACCTTTTGTAGGTTAAGGATTGATTCCTACACCAGAGGAAGAGGTGTTGCTTTAATTATTTTATTTCAAACTGGGAAGAACACTCCTTTGATTTTGCAATTCACTTTAGGATCTTGTGATCTAGCAATTCTGATTGACAGAGTTTGAACCTGAAACTGAAATATCACATTACAAATCAAAGCTAACGTTTAGAAGCCTGTCCTTCATTTATTCATTCAGCAATTGCTTACTGAGCACATACTGTGTGCTAGGTGCTCTTCTGGACTCTGGAGATACAGATGTGAAAAAACAAGCAAACATTCCTCCTCTCAGGGAGCTTTCATTATCGTGAGTAGAAGCAGACAGCAAACAAGGTACCTAATAAGTCAGTTTGTGTATTAGTCACGGTTCTCTAGAGGGACAGAACTAATAGGATAGATGTATATATAAAGGGGAGTTTACTAAGGAGTATTGACTCACACAATCCCAAGATGAGTTCCCACAATAGGCCATCTGCAAGCTAAGGAGCAAGGAAGCCAGTCCAAGTCCCCAAAACTCCAAAGTAGGGAAGCCGACAGTGCAGCCCTTCGGTCTGTGTTCAAAGGTCTGAGTCCCAAAGCTGAAGAACTTGGAGTCTGATGTTCGAGGGCAGGAAGCATCCAGCACAGGAGGAAGATGTAGGCCAGAAGACTAAACCAGTCTAAAATTTCCACATTCTTCTCCCTGCTTTTATTCTGGCTGCACTGGCAGCTGATTGGAATGGTGCCCACCCAGATTGAGGGAGGGTCTGCCTTTTCCAGTCCAGTGACTCAAATGTTAATCTCCATGGCAGCACCCTCACAGACATACCCAAGATCAACACTTTGCATCCTTCAATCCAATCAAGTTGACACTCAATATTTACCATAACAGTTAGTAATAAGGGCTTGGAGAATAATAAAGCAAGGCATAATCATGGTGACTTTTTTTTTTTTTTTTTGGTAAATGGAGCAAAGCATATGTAGCTATTTTAAATAGGGTCACCACCTGCAGCAGGAAAGGAGCCAGCCGTGGAGACATCAGGGAAAGCGTTTAGGCAAAGGGAGAGGAAAAGCCTCAGTAGCATCGCGGTTTTCCTCTCCAAGAAACAGCATGGGAACCAGTGTGGCTGGGCTGAGGGGTGGAGGTGATAAAATGAAAGGTGCTCTGGGAGGTAACTGAGGCACGGGTTGCAAGGCATTCAGGAGACTCCTGGGTTTTTACCCTAAGTAAGGAGATTCTGTGCACAGGAGTGACATGGTCTGGCAGTATAGAATCATCAGACTGCTGTATTCAGAAAAACCTCTAGGGAGGCAGTGGAGAGCCCTTGGCACTTGGCCCAGGGCATTGGAAGTGGTAAAAGGCAGTTAAATTCCTGTTACACTTTGAAGGTAGTGCTAACACAATTTGCTCAAGAGATATGAGTGGAAAATAAATGTATGACTTCAAGGGTTGGGGCCAGAGCAACTGGAAAGAGCAATTCCCATGTACTGAGATGGGGGTGTCAGTGGTGGGCTGTGTGTGGTAGGATATGTGTTGGTGGTGGGCTGTGCATAGGGATCATGATTTTTCTTTGGGACACATTAGTTTTGAAATGCCTCTGAGACCTCCAAGTGGAGCTACTGGAAGGTATTTTTTGAGTATTGATATTTGAATGATTGGATCTGCATTCAGGAGCATAGTCTATGTTAAAGATATCAATTTGAAAGTTATCAGCACAAAGATTTTTTTAAAACTGTGACACCTGATGAGATCCCTAGAGAGTGAGTGTAGATGAGAAGAGAGAGGCCCCTGAATTCAGATGCAGAACACTCTCCTGTCTAGAGATTATGAGATGTTAAGGATCATGGAGCATGGGGCTGAAAAATAGCTTCTGTTGAAACTGAATGAAAATCCAGTAGAGACCAGGCGTGGTGGCTCACATCTGTAATCCCAGCACTTTGGGAGGCCAAGGCGAGTGGATCACCTGATGTCAGGAGTTCAAGACCAGCCTGGCAAACATGGTGAAACCCCATCTCTACAAAAATACAAAAATTAGCCAGGCATGATGGCAGGTGCCTGTAATGCCAGCTACTTGGGAGGCCAAGGTGGGAGAATCTCTTAAACTAGGCAGGCGGGCAGAGGTTGCAGCGAGCCAAGATCACACCATTGCACTCCAGCCTGGGTGACAGGGTGAGACTCTGTCTCAAAAAAAAAAAAAAAAAAAAATCCAGTAGAGTAGTGTCCTGAACACCAAATGAAGCCTGCATTTCTTAGAGAAGGAAGTGATCAGCAGTGTTGTGAATATTGATGACTGGGGGAGTCCTCACATGGCTCTGCCAGACCTCCATATTGGGGTGCTTCCCATTCCAATAACGACAGGAAAAATACATTTCCTCCTTACATATGTGATGTTCAGACCTCATAGGAGCCACCTGATGCAGTACTTTTGACCTGCAGGTCATCTACCTCATATTACCTGTGTGTTTCATATAAGATATACATAATCCTGGGTCCCACCTGCACTCAGGGAATCAGCATATCCCAGTATAAGTCTTGGACATTCCAGAGATTCCTGATGTTGATTGAGAATGACTTGACTCAGAAATACCATTTGATCCAGCAATCTCATTACTGGTTATATACCCAAAGGAATATAAATCATTCTATTATAAAGATGCATGCACACTTGTGTACATTGCAGCACTATTCACAATAGCAAAGACATGGAATGAACCCAAATGCCCATCAACAGTAGACTGGATAAAGAAAATGTGGAACATATCCACCATGGAATACTATGCAGCCATGAAAAGGAACAAGATCATGTCCTTTGCAGGGACATGGATGGAGCTGGAAGCCATTATCCTCAGCAAACTAATGCAGGAACAGAAAACGAAAGACTGCATGCTCTCAGTTCTAAGTGGGAGCCGAAGGATGAGAACACATGGACACATGGAGGGGAGCAACACACACCAGGGCCTGCTTGGGGGAGGTGGGGAGGTAGAGCATCAGGAAGAACAGCTAAATGGTTGCTGGGCTTAATACCTAGGTGATGGGTTGATTTGTGCAGCAAACCACCATGGCACATATTTACCTCTGTAACAAGCCTGCACATGTACCCTGGAACTGAAAATAAAAGTTAATTTAAAAAAAAAATGACTTGACTAGCAGTATCACATAATATGCTTTCAATTAGCCTCTTACCTAAAAAATACTATGAAGCTTTCTTATTTTAGAAAATAAAGGAACTAACCTAACTAAATGTCCAGACATGATATATCATAGAGGAAAGCAAGAAATTTCAAAAAATAAGTTATGTTTCCATCATTCCAAAACCACAAATGACTGAGAATAAAAACAAGGATTTTTTTTCTCCAGTCTTCTTCATGTATATCAAGTTAGATATTACTTTTTTGAGCCTCCAACACAGATGGTGCTATAATTAGAATTATTGACAGCATCTTCCCGTGATGGCATCTTGAAATGAAACCCTCTGTAAATCACTGGTGGTGAGCAGCATCTCCACTTGCTCAATTTGTAATAGAAAATGAAGTAAAGACCCTCCAGCTTTGGTATATTTAATCTTCTTCATATATGTATTTTCAGTGGAGATTTGTGAGGTGGTAATTCCAGCACCTCATCTTTCTCTTGACAGCTGAGAAGGTTTTTGTTAATAAGACAAACCAGAAATGGTACAATCACAAAAATGAATGCTATCCATAAGTCATCCAGTGTGCAATGTGGATAAAAAATGGTGCAGGTTTTTATATTTTTTTTCTTTTCTGATTTCCCTTTATTGTTCTTAACTGATGCAAGAATTGCTAGCTACAGGGCACGAAGATGAAAACAATTGCTTTTATGAGCTGAATTTCTTTTTCTTTTCAGAGTGTTAAAAGGTGATTCTTTGTTGCTTACCTATTTAATGTCAATTCACCCACATTGAATTGTACTATATTTTACTAAAATATGTCAATTTCAGCACAGTAAAAATTTGGCTGGGTTGCCGTGGTATGGAAATGCCTAAAACGATCCTTCTGTATTACAAATTTGGACCAAACAAATTTATCTTACTGTTTAATACTCTATCTTTTAATTTGAGGCTTAACAAGGAGATCTTACTTAACTGCTTGTTTTCAGCTTTGCCTTTCTTTTACTTTTTTTTTTTTTTTTTGAGACAGTGTCTCATTCTCTTGCGCAGGCTGGTATGCAGTGGTGCTAATCGCGGCTCACTGCAGCCTTGACCTCCCGGGTTCAAGCGCTCCTTCCGCCTCAGCTTCCTGAGTAGCTGGGACCACAGGCATGCACCACCCTGCCCAGCTAATTTTTTAAATTTTGTAGAGACAGGGTTTCACTATGTTGCCCAGGCTGTCCTCAAACTCCTGAGCTCAAGATATCTGCCAGCCTCAGCCTTGCAAAGTGCTGGGATTGCAGACATGAGCCACCATGCCCCTCCACCCCCGTTTTCAGCTTTTCTATCTATAAAAAGCAATGCTTCACGTGTTGACCATGTAGTCATTACATGTCCAAAGATGTTAGTTTTGTGGAGTCATATGATGTGTCTTTGTACTGGGATTTCAGATCCATCTGCCCCACCAGCACCGGCTAACCTCCGGCTGGCCAACTCCACCGTCAACAGTGATGGGAGTGTGACCGTCACTATAGTTTGGGATCTCCCCGAGGAGCCGGACATCCCTGTGCATCATTACAAGGTCTTTTGGAGCTGGATGGTCAGCAGTAAGTCTCTTGTCCCAACAAAGAAGAAGCGGAGAAAGACTACGGATGGGGTGAGTGGGAACTGGAGGAAGGATTGTTATTCCCACAGAGGGTATTTCAACTCAAGGCAACTGGCCTGAAAAGAGGCCTCTGCTAAACTGAGAGATGCCATGGATGCAGGAAAGCTTCCCTCCCATTCATTTCTACCGAGGAAGTTCACAGAATGCAGGGGCATGCCGGCTGTTTTGCCTTTTATATTTTAGGCAGAAGCATTTGCATTTAGACCATTGACCTACTCCTATCTAAATGTCAGTCAGAACTCTGGAAATCAAAGGAACAGTTTAAATGATCCCCATCTTACCTGTCTGGCCATAGAAAATGATATTATGCAAAATGTACTTTACTTTTAAGTTTTTTTTTTTTTTTTTTGAGAGAGAGAGATCCTTGTAAATGGAAGAGTGGATGTTCATGGCTTTTCTGTTGCGAAGTGTTTCCGTCTGTAATCTAATCACTGAGCAGTAACAGCTTAGGAAGGCCACGTCTCACAATATGTTCTTCTCATTGATTAAAAGGATCTGGAGTGGTTTATCCGTCAGATGCCAAGAAATAAAATCTTCATTGAACCATTTTCTGCAATGAGATTCTTATGATAACAAGCATCTTGTATTATTTGAAATGCTTACTGCATAAAAATAGTTATTTGGATTCCTTTTAGTATACATTCCTTTATCTTGTCATAAAATTTACATAAATACCTTTTCCTATCACTTATAAAGTTGAATTCCATAAATAAATGTTTAGAAATGAAAAGATAGCAAGGCTAAAGATTTCAATATCTGTGCTCTTCAGAATTATAAAACATGCCTCAAAAAGTTGGTATCATTGATATTTAGCCATTATACTATTTTAACTTTATTTATTTATTTTTGAGAGGGAGTCTCGCTCTGTCTCTCAGACTGGAGTGCAGTGGAGCAATCTCGGCTCACTGCAAGCTCCGCCTCCCGGGTTCACGCCATTCTCCTGCCTCAGCCTCCCGAGTAGCTGGGACTACAGGCGCCCGCCACCACACCCAGCTAATTTTTTGTATTTTTAGTAGAGACAGGGTTTCACCATGTTAGCCAGGATGATCTCTATCTCCTGACCTCGTGATCCGCCCACCTTGGCCTCCCAAAGTGCTGGGATTACAGGCGTGAGCCACCACGCCCAGCCCCACTTTATTTTTATGAAATTTTATGACAGTTCCATTTTTTATATTGAAGGATTTTGCTACAAATGATAATGGTAGTGCACACTTATTGCATGAGCTGGAAGAGCTGAAATTGGGGAATCACTTAGGAATCTAGAGCAAAAAGTGACATGATGAAATGCTGACAGGTCCCACCCTCCAGCCCCCTGCCCAATACATTATGACAGAAAATAATGAAGCACCTTGAAGCATTTTGTCAAGTTAATTTTTCTTTTGTATAGCTTTTGGTGGAAATTTGCTCCTAGAAAATTTAGAACAGATATCAAAGAATTGCAATTAGTGCCAATTCATAATTTTTCCATGTATGTGGCAACATAGATCTCTGTTACTTTATTATAAACAGCTCCCTTTCCTTCGAGAGGTGGTGTCTCAGAGTGGCGAGGGCTCAGAATGATTTATTTCCATGGTATCTGAGACCAATAATTGGTTTAGAAACAGTATTTCAAAATACATTTGGCCTTTCTATGAAGTTTATTTTTATTTTTTATTTCATTATATTTTTTGAGACAGGGTCTCACTCTGTTGCCCAGGCTGGAGTGCAGTGGTGCGATCACAGCTCACTGCAGCCACAACCTCCTGGGTTCAATCTTCTCACCTCAGCCTCCTGAGTAGCTGGAACTACAAGTGCACACCACCATGCCCAATTAATTTTTTTTGTAGAGACAGTCTTGCTATGTTGCCCAGGTAGTCTCAAACTCCTGGGCTCAAGCGATCCTCCCACCTCGGGCTCCCAAAGTGCTGGGATTGCAGTCAGGAGCCACCGCACCTGGCCTGAAGTTTATTTTGATCAGTAGTAAAACTGAATTTTCAGATCCCAAAGATATAGAAAAGTTGGTAAAAGAAATCAGAAGTTGGCATGCTTCATAATGACACACGAGATTTTGCAATGAAGATGAGAGACGTGGAAGGTTTGTAACGCATTTTGGGTATATTCTCTTAATTTCTAGTTTCAAAATTCTGTGATCCTGGAGAAACTCCAGCCAGACTGTGACTATGTTGTGGAATTGCAAGCCATAACGTACTGGGGACAGACACGGCTGAAGAGTGCAAAGGTGTCCCTTCACTTCACATCGACACATGCAACCAACAACAGTAAGTGACTGTGTCATGTTTTTCAAGATGATTGTGACATGATGGGCGCCATATCACAACAAGGCACAATGGAGGGAGAGTGAGTTTTTGATTTGGAATAATTATATGGCAAATCTTCTTACCCACATGCATGTGACTAAAGTATTTAAACTACGACATACGAAACAGTTTGACTTTTGAATTCTTTCTTATGGTTTTTATCTATTGTAGGTGCAATTTTGGTGTTGTAATGGAAATTTAAGAAAACTTATTGTGTCTCATTTTAACAGATTGACTGTTTTTATGTTTACATGACGTGCACATATGCATTCTGCATACTTGTTTTTCAGGAGATTACGTACAGTTAAACTGTTATAACTTGATGTTATTTCTGCTTCCACTGTTTCTGTAATTGTTGTTGTTGTTGTTTTGTTTTGTTTTGTTTTGTTTGGTATTTTTGAGACAGAGTCTAGCTCTGTCACCCAGGCTGGAGTGCAATGGCGTGATCTCAGCTCACTGCAACCTTTGCCTCCCGGGTTCAAGCGGTTCTCCTGCCTCAGTCTCCTGAGTAGCTGGGATTACAGGCGTGCACCACCATGCCTGGCTAATTTCTGTATTTTTAGTAGAGACAGGGTTTCACCATGTTGGCCAGGCTGGCCTCGAGCTCCTGACCTCAGGTGGTCCACCTGCCTCGGCCTCCCAAAGTGCTGGGATTACAGTGTTTCTCTAGTTCTGTATACAATACACTTATTTTTGTGCAATTGTTTTACATATTTATCTCCCAAATCAAAGTTGGGCACTTTTGAAGGCAGAGACCAAAATAAATCATAGTACTGAGAATAATGTGTTTGTATGTACGCGAGTGGATAGGGGGCACAAAAAGTGGTGTGGCATGCCTGTTTTTCCTAGTACTACACAGTGGTCATAATTACTGCTTGAAAGGTTACTTAATACTCCATTGAGTGAAGTTACTAAATCATTCTCATATTGCTTTTCCTTGTTTCTTTTTTTCTTACCTAGTATGTTAGTATGTTTGCTGGGAACTGAGCAAAACAATAGAAGAGTCTTTCTTATATGACACTCATATCTTAGAGAATAAGTTACTTGATGTTTCTGGCTTTGTTCAAACGTCGATACCGGTTAGAACTGCCATGCAGGGGCTCCTAGCAAGGTTTCAGGAAACTGGGACAAATTAAATGAGAGTAGGAGGGAGGAGGCGTTTGTCGCAGGGGCTCCTCCGATGTTGATTTTTTAGGCTAGCAGGACCCCGTCATCATAGCTGCCTTTGATCAGGACAGTGGGCCTTGTTCAGAAGGAGAAGAAGAATGTGTTAAACATTTGTCTGAATTTAGGAAAGGCAATGCTGGTCCTGCAGAGTGAGACACAGGGGTTGCTCATAATTACCTTCCACCCCTGGGAAAACGTAGGATCCAAATGGGCAGGTTTGTTTGAAATAATGCTTCAAAAAATGGTCCAGAAACAGAGATTTCTATCTGTTTGAGAAATAGTCTCTTTGGAGATTAAATGGACTTGAAATGGTCAATTTTTATGTGAGTCTCGGTACAATATAAATTTTACCTAAAAGTTCTCATGGAAATATGTTTAGTAACCTCATTCATTTTTAATCCATTCATCCATCTACCCATCGCATTGAAATTGTGTGCCTATGAATTATGACATCACTGTGTCTAATGCCAGGAATACTATATTATATATACACTATATACTGTAATACACTATATACACTATATATACGTACTGTATAGCAATATGTTCCATAATTTTCTATAAATAGTATGCACATAGGTATATATGTACACATATGCATACATATACACATGTGTCTACAAATATACACAAACACGCACATAACTATACACACATACATACTCATACACACACACACACACACATATATACACACACATACATTATTCCTAGCACGATGATGTATTTTGGTTTCTGCCTTAAAAGTGCCTAATTTTGAATTTGGGAGATAAATATGTAAAATAATAACAAAGATCTGTGTGTTGCATACAGACAGAACTACAGGAAACAGTGGAAGCAGAAATGACCAACATGGAGTTGGGGAATGAGAGTCACATCATCCCTCATGAAGTCCTGAAGAGTGAGCGATCTGCAGGCCCACAAGGAATGGACATCATTCCACACAAACGCAGCAGCGTGGATGAGTGTAGAGAGTTAGAGAAGCGCATTGCATGGGCAGAGAACTCAGCGTGAGGAAAGAATGAAGGTGGATGGGCCACTGGTCTCTCCCCTGGAGGTCTCATTGAGTTGCAAGGATTTAACCACCATCTGTGTGCTAATGACTCCCTGCCCTCCCACCCTGACCACTCTTTGAACTCCAGAGTCCTGCATTCAGCCACCCACTTAGCACCTCCCCTTGGATGGCTTGCAGATATTTCAAATAAAACGTTCAAACACAAGCTCTGGATTTTCGCCCATACCTGTTCCTCTCCTGGGCTCGCCTATCTCAGTAAATGGCACCAACATTCACCCTTTTGCTCAAGCCAAACATGCAGAAGTCATTCTTCATTTTTCTCTGTTTTTTCTCTCCAGAAATTCAATTCTTCAGAAAGTCCTTTTGTCTCTAATTTTAAATTCCATATGGAATCTGTCCAGTTCTTTCGCTTGTTCACGCTATTGTCTTTTCTTTCCTATAAATTGAAATAGTCTCCTAATTAGTATTATGTTTCTGCTCTTTCTTAAATATCTATTCTTTGTAAAGAGCAGTCAAAGTTTTCTTTAGAAAATATCAGCGTAGTTACAGATCTCTCTCTTTTTGGAGTTCCACTCTCAAGACAGCTACCTAGTTATCTTCAATTCTCTCTTTCCCCAAAACTTCATCCTTCACTATATTCTTCTATATTCCTTACCAACCCCCTTCTCAGGCCAAAATCCTTTAAACTTCAGCTTCATGCAAGAGCTGTCTTTCTCTACTGGTGGTGGAGATTTCATCTATTGTATAAAATAAGCATGTCTTTTAGTCTCCTGGTTCTTCCAATAAACAACATTCTTTCCCCATTAGAAACTGGTATGGGATTGCAAATTCCCATAATTTAATATCTGTTAATTTCCAGAACCAAAAGCAAGGAGAAAAAAAGTCCGACTTCAACTTGTCCTTGTTGAGGTTACATTATCTAGAGCCTTGTCATGGTCCAGCCCACAGACAAAACTTTTATGGAACCCTGGATCTCTGTAGCATATCCACAGCTTCTTCACCCTTCCTGGGGCATCCCCACACAACCCTGTAACTCAGGGAGATATTCTTTAATTAGCTTCTTCTGCTACCCTCTCAAGTATGATTATAAACCTTTTTCTCTCCTTTGAGCCACATTGCACATGGAGTGCACAGTCCCTAAATCCCTTCCTCTCAGTAAGCCATGCGGTTCCCCATAAATATAAACATATCTATTACATGGAGTACACAGTCTAGTCTAAATCCCTTCCTCTCAGTAAGCCATGCGGTTCCCCATAAATATAAACATATCTATTCTTATGTCCATGTTTATCTTCTCCTGTCTTCTGTATTCTAAGGTGGAGGCACCCTTCCTTCTGCATGTGGTGGACTTCACCATGCAGTTTCTAGACCCATTCCTCCCCAACTCAGATACCTGCATCCACTGAAGTCAAATCTCATCTACATCAGAGACCATGGATTATCTACATATGTGGTCACAGTATCCGTCATAATCCCTGGCATATAAACACGGCAACAAAAATATTTTTGAAACCAAGTTAATTAGTTATTCCCTCATTTGCCTACAACCTCAGCCTATTCCTCTCCACTGGCTTGATCTGCTCAGCTTCCAGTTCTAAAGCAAACCTTTCATTGATGCTGGTTTCATTCTAGCTACCATCTTATCTTTCTCCTTTCCACATTTTTTCTCAAGTTTCTGCAATCTATTTTTCAATCTCACTTTTCCACCAAATCTGCCCCTGCTAATTTCTAAGTCTGATGGATGTTTTCCATTGTAATTTTATTGACCATTTCTGATGAGTTTGTCCTTGTTTAACTACACTTTCCCCATTGTTACATCTTGACCCTTGTATGTTTGACTCCCAGATGTCTTAATTTTTCTCATACCTCAGTTTCCTTGTAGGATCTCCTGCCTCCATCCGGCTCTTGGACATTGGAGCTCTCCAGGGTTCTACCTTATCTGCTCTGACAACTTAGTCACTACCTACTCATGGTCCATTCTCAATGACTCAGCTCCAGCCTTGATTTCTCCACTAATACCAGATGTCTGTAGCCTGTCATTCCCTGTATCTGAATGTCACACAGGCATCTCAACCTCAACATACTCCACATTGAACTCACTCCCTCCACTTACAAAGCTCGATGTTCTCATGTATCTCTGGTCTCCATTGAGGTTACTACTGACCAGAAACTTGGGAGACTTCCTTTTACCACTTTCTGTTCACTTCAGTTTGTTTCTAGGTCCTGCAATTATTTCAGGACCCACAGGTTTCTTGAATTTTCCAGGAACATAGTAAGAGCTCAGTAAATTGACTGCAACTCAGCTGAATGCAACTGTCTTTCCATTCAACCAGCTCTGTGCCACACTCTAACACGACAGCTTTCTTAAGCTTTCATCTGCTACGGTCATAAATACTAAAGGGGAAGAGAGAAAGAAATGGCTTTTGGTGTCATCTTGGAACAACCAAGGTTGGACATCTTTTACAAGCCATTTGCATATTTTAACTGTGTCCTCCAAGAGTTTGTGTTTTCACTTGGTTGACTATTCCAAAGGAATTATCTTTACCAGTGAGAGTTTTTAGCCAGGTGGGGAGACACTAGAATTATGGCAGTTAAATGAACAAAACAGGCAGTTAAATGAAAGAAATCTATTTGACCGGTTGATTCCCTGTGTTAAGGTCCTTTGCTAATTATCTTTTAAAACTAGGTAATACTTTAGCTGACCAATTAAAAGATAGGGTAGTTAATTAAGAGATATGGTAGTTAACCTATCAAAGACCACTTTATTCTCAGGACTGATTCCTCTTACATAGATTAGAAAAGGAATAAAAGAAAAGTAAGAAAAAAGAAGTCATAGTGCAAAGTACCTATAGTAACACACATTGTTTGGGTCTCAGGTGATTCCACAGAAGAGATTGACTTTTCAACGGATTATGTAGGATACAGTTGAATGTTTGTCAGGATTTTATATCCCAGTGTTGATATATAATCTCATAAACACTAGTCTGTGACTTTTATAAGAACATTATATATTTCATCATGAACCAACTAGAAGTAAAGAATAATTACAACGTTACAGTATAAGCAAGGGAAATTACATTTTATAGGAAGGAGAGTAGTAAATGTCACTATATAAATTACTTTTTGAATTATATTTTTCCAGGTCTGCAGGCTGCTAGGTGTTTTAATGATAAACATTTCTATTCAAGTGAAGGCTGAATGTTCATGCAGTTTTATGAAACAATCCCTTGAAGGAAGTATGATATAACATTGTCTTTAATGGAAAGGTAGCTTGCTTCTTTGAAGGCAGGAGGAATATTTTCAAGTTTGACAGGTTCCAAATGTTTTATAGTTGCCTCATGGAACTGGAATTATTTTCTGGCTCTCCAGAACAAGAATAGATGGGAGAGAAAATACTCTGAATCTCTTGATGATCTATAAAATTAATCAAAACTTGGATCTTTGAAAAATAGTGTACATATTTTATTTTCTTAATTTCTATGACTATCGAGTGTAAATCAGACATCATAACTTTTTCAGAATATTGTAGATATGATATTCCATTTTTGCTTATTACTGAAAGTGGAGGAGACATTCTTATAAAGTCAGGGTCATACTGCTAGCATTGTAGTATGCACCTTATCTGTTTTTTACCCATGGCGTGTGTCAGCAACACTAATTGTTGGTGGATTTCTCTTCTTGAATCATTTTAATAAAGCAACAATGGTTCAATCTTAAGATATATAAAAATATGTTTTTACATCTATAATTAAATACTAAAGTTTGCCTAGGGCTGGGCGCGGTAGCTCACGCCTGTAATCCCAGCACTTTGGGAGGCCAAGATGGGCAGATCACTTGAGGTCAGGAGTTCAAGACCAGCCTGGCCAACATGGTAAAACCCCATCTCTACTAAAAATACAAAAATTAGCCGGCCATGGTGATGCGTGCCTGTAGTCCCAGCTACTCAGGAGGCTGAGGCACGAGAATGGCTTGAACCCGGGAGGCGGAGGTTGCAGTGAGCCGAGATCATGCCAGTGCACTCCACTACAGCTTGGGCGACAGAGTGAGACTCTGTTTAAAAAACAAAAAAAAGAAAGAAAGAAAGAAAAAGTTTGCCTAGGATATAAAGCAAGTAGGAAGACAAGATTGACATTGAGCTTAAACCTAGTATCTAAACACAGTATCTATCTAAACTGATTATCTGTCCTAGTTATCTGCTGGTGAGTTCTCAATATTATCACAGATTATTAGAAACATAAATGGGTTTGTGAAACTCTTAGATCCTGGCTGGGCACAGTAGCTCATGCCTATAATCCCAGCAATTTGGGAGGTCAAGGTGGGAGGATTGCTTGAGGCCAGGAGTTGGAAACCAGCCTGGGCAACATAGTGAGACTGTGTCTCTTAAAAAAAATTAGCCGGCTGGGCGCGGTGGCTCACGCCTGTAATCCCAGCACTTTGGGAGGCCGAGTCGGGTGGATCACAAGGTCAGGAGATCGAGACCATCCTGGCTAACATGGTGAAACCCCATCTCTACTAAAAATACAAAAAAAAAAAAAAAAAAAAAATTAGCCGGGCATGGTGGTGAGCGCCTGTAGTCCCAGCTACTCTGGAGGCTGAGGCAGGAGAATGGCATGAACTCGGGAGGCAGAGCTTGCAGTGAGCCGAGATCGCACCACTGCACTCGAGCCTGGGTGACAAAGCGAGACTCCGTCTCAAAAAAAATTAAAATAAAATAAAATAAAATAAATGATTCTCAGTTATCCACACATTGATTTGAACTCTTTAAGCTAAAATAGCCTAAATGCGAATCTAACAAATGTGCGTTTTTATTTTCCTTTCATCTGGTCCGTTGGATAGACAATTCATTGGGCATGCCAGTGTCAGGAAAAATTGAGTTGATGTAGATTATCTTCTGGGGTCCACAGCTTTCCTTGACTGATCTTGTCTTACCGCAGGTTGGGCATGTTCTCTCCATCTCATCTTTCTGTCTTCCTCTCACCTGCCCAAGAATGCAAACCTCACTGCTTTTATTAGAAGAGTTTCGATAACACATTGTTTATAGGCATAAAATCAACACAGCTTACCCTTTTATCTCTCAGAGGGCTATTTGAAATTCAGAAAGCAGAAAAGTCTTGCATCAAAGGGCAGAATTTCTATGTATGCAACCTCTAAATTCAGTGAGTGGATGAGGGAGAAATTTGGGGCCTAAGGAAATTTTTGGTGTCTTAATTATTAAACCATATAAATGGGTGCTCTGTAAGACTCAGTACATGGTGATGGAAACAGAAGTTTGGCATGGGATGGCCCTGGGATTAAATTTCACCTTCACTCTTTGAATTATGTGAAACTGGATACAATTCTTAGTATTTTTGAGCGCTGGTTTTTTCGTCTTCAGTGTATACCAATTCCTCTTTCTCAGGGGTCTGCAAACTATGGCCCACAGGCCAAATCCAGCCCCCTCCTGGTTTTGTAAATAAGACTTTATTGGCACAGGGTCACATTTGCTTACATGTCATTTATATATCATGTCCGGCTGTTTGGGGGGTACAACAGTAATTGAGTAGTTGGGAGAGAGACCAGTCTGCAAAACCAAAATCATTTACCATATGATGCACAGAACCAAAAATATTTACTATCTGGCCATTTAAGAAAAGTTTAGTTTACTGACCCCTGCTTAATTTCATAGGATGGCTCTATGAATATAAATTAGTGTCAAAATTCACCACCCCAACCAAGCCCCCCAGGAACACACCTGGAGTCAAAAGTGAGGTTTAGTGGCATGTACCTATACTGCTAACTACTTAGGGGGCTCAGGTGGGAGGATCACTTGAGCCAGAAGTTTGAGACCAATCTGGGCAATGGTGGGAAACCCTGTTTCCAAAGAAAAACAAATATTAGGTTTATTGCCCTTTCTGCAACATGTTTGAATCTCATGTTAAAGGATTACTGTATTGACGTAAATAAAACACCCCGAATAGCCCCAGGCAAATGAGCATTTGGTAATATATTTGGTATAAACAGCCATCAATTCATAATTTTATTTATTTCATTTCATCCAATACATATTAGGCAGCTACCATGTGCGTGTTTCTGAGCTAGGCAGTTGCCATCCAAGGAAGATTAGGATGAGCTCTGTTTTGTAGAGGACTTCTGGGTTGAGTTTGAGGAACAAATTAAAGAAGAAAAAAATTACTTAAAACTGAAAAAATACAGGAACACAAAAGAGTGGTGTGTTTTGATTCACTCTGGAAAATCTTCACCAGGGAGAGCCTCTGAGAAGTTTTCATGGGCAAAGAAGGTTGACAGAAACAAGTAGTGCTGGTCCATTCTGAGCTAAAGCAATCAGAATTATAGATACAAAGAAAACCAGCAGGTTTGGGGAATTAGGAATGGCACAAGAGAGAAAGATACAGCTAAATTAAAACAAAATAATAAAAAGCAAACTAAAACTGGAGTCAGATCATGACTCTACACAACAACACAGTAAGAAATGACCTAGGCTAAGAATGAAATCTTGAACTACCTGATTCAAAGATATATTTAATGGTGTTTTGATTTATAGTAGCATATCTCTATCTTCCACTGGATATGGGATACGTAGGGCTTGGAATCCTTCTTGTTCAGTTTTGTGGTGTCCTACGTTGCAACGAATATGTGTTGAATACACTTTTAATGGACAATAGGGAAAAAAAAGTTCATGCTTTTAATAATGAACATGTGAACATACTCTCGCCTCATCTTTCATGAAGTGTCCTGGTTTCTTCACAAAATACCACGTCACATGGCACCAGTTATATTCCCATGGCTCCATTCCTCAGAAAACTTGTGGCCACTTTTTCGAAGAACAGAAACAGTGGCTGGTCAGACTGATGCTCTTCTACTGGGCAGATGCCTTTGGTCAAGCTCACTGCCGGTGCACCATCATTAGAGCAGATTTGCCTGGTGGTATTTCAGGAGTCCCTCAGGTACAAAAACTTTATCTCTGCAACTCCTAGCTCAATGCCTGGCTCTTGGGAAGTGCTCAGAATTGCTGACAGAAAGAGCTAATTACTGCCAGAAAGAGCTAATTACTGAATGGGTTCTTGTATTCCATTACCCAACCTGATGTACTGTTGCCTTTGCATTTCATTTCATTTACTGGATATTTTAAAGTTTCATTTCAATGTCTGTCAGAATTTGGATGTCTGTCACTAATCTGAATGGCACACAGATTGGTTGCTGAGTGATGAAGCTGAAGTTGGCATTGTCAACTGAGTAGGTGCAATTTGCTCCTTACTATTTATTTGACAAAGCTGAACCGTATTTCCGTTTAGAGCCCTGCACCAAGTATTGATGTATAATGCTCATACTTCCACATTACGTATAGGTTTTCCACGAAAACCTATCTACTTTTTTCACGAAATGGTATTGTAATATTATTTTATTTTCCTCATAACTATAAAAAATCTATAATGAGAAATATTATTCATACTTATTATTTACATTGGAGCATCTTTCAAGCCTGGTGAATATATGTTACTTACCAAATTAAATACTGGGGATTATATGTAATATACTTTTAGTATTCCAGTGGATTTTGAAGGGGGGGTTCATTAACTTGAACATGAAAGAACATGCGGTTACACCACCTTTTACTTAAAAAAAAAACAGACAGTTAATATGACTAAATAACAGGATGAAATGAAGTACACTGGGACTAATATCAGGTTATATAATAATGAAGTTGTGGGATACATGTGCAGAACATGCAGGTTTGTTAACATAGGTATACATGTGCCATGGTGGTGTGCTGCACCCATCAACTCGTCATCTACATTAGGTATTTCTCCTAACACTGTCCCTCCCCTTGCCCCCCACCCCCAACAGGCCCTGGTGTGTGATGTTCCCCTCCCTGTGCTCATGTGTTCTCATTGTTCAACTCCCACTTATGAGTGAGAACATTCGGTGTTTAGTTTTCTGTTCCTGCGTTAGTTTGCTGAGAATTGTGGTTTCCAGCTTCATCCATGTCCCTGCAAAAGACATGAACTCATTCCTTTATATGGCTACATAGTATTCCATGGTGTGTATGCCACATTTTCTTTATCCAGTCTATCATTGATGGGAATTTGGGTTGGCACCAAGTCTTTGCTATTGTGAATAGTGCTGCAATAAACATATGTGTGCATGTGTTTTATAGTAGAATGATTTAAAATCCTTTGGGTATACATCCAATAATGAGATTGCTGGGTCAAATGGTATTTCTAGTTCTAGATCCTTGAGGAATTGCCACACTGTCTTCCACAATGGTTGAACTAATTTACACTCCCACCAACAGTGCAAAAGCCTTCCTATTTCTCCATATCCTCTCCAGCATCTGTTGTTTCCTGACTTTTGAATGATCGCCATTCTAACTGGCATGAGATGGTATCTAATTGTGGTTTTGATTTGCATTTCTCTAATGACCAGTGATGGTGAGCTTTTTTTCATACGTTTATTGGCCGCATAAATGTCTTCTTTTGAGAAGTGTCTGTTCATATCCTTTGCCCACTTTTTGATGGAGTTGTTTGTTTTTTTCTTGTAAATTTATTTGTTTCCTGTAGATTCTGGATATTATTAGCCCTTTGACAGATGGATAGATTGCAAAAATTTTCTCCCATTCTGTAGTTGCCTGTTCACTCTGATGCTAGTTTCTTTTGCTGTGCAGAAGCTCTTTAGTTTAATTAGATCCCATTTGTCAACTTTGGCTTTTGTTGCAATTGCTTTTGGTGTTTTAGTCATGAAGTCTTTGCCCATGCCTATGTCCTGAATGGTATTGCCTAGGTTTTCTTCTAGTGTTTTTATGGTTTTAGGTCTAACATTTAAATCTTTAATCCATCTTGAGTTAAGTTTTGTATAAGGTGAAAGGAAGGGACCCAGTTTCAGTTTTCTGCATATGGCTAGTCAGTTTTCCCAGCACCGTTTATTAAATAGGGAATCCTTTCCTTATTGCTTTTGTCAGGTTTGTCAAAGATCAGATGGTTGTAGATGTGTGGTGTTATTTCTGAGGCCTCTGTTCTGTTCCATTGGTCTATATATCTGTTTTGTTACCAGTACCATGCTGTGTTGGTTACTGTAGCCTTGTAGTGTAGTTTGAAATCAGGTAGCATGATGCCTCCAGCTTTGTTCTTTTTGCTTAGGATTGTCTTGGCTATATGGACTCTTTTTTGGTTCCATATAAAATTTAAAGTAGTTTTTTCTAATTCTGTAAAGAAAGTCAATGGTAGCTTGATGGGAATAGCATTGAATCTATAAATTACTTTGGGTAGTATGTCCATTTTCACGATATTGATTCTTCCTATCCATGTGCATGGAATGTTTTTCCATTTGTTTGTGTCCTCTCTTATTTCCTTGAGCAGTGGTTTGTAGTTCTCCTTGAAGAGGTCCTTCACAGCCCTTGTAAGTTGGATTCCTAGGTATTTTATTGTCTTTGTAGCAACTGTGAATGGGAGTTCACTCATGATTTGGCTCTCTGTCTGTTATTGGTGTATAGGAATGCTTGTGATTTTTGCACATTGATTTTGTATCCTGAGACTTTGCTGAAGTTGCTTATCAGCTTAAGGAGATTTTGGGCTGAGATGATAGGGTTTTCTAAATATACAATCATGTCATCTGCAAACAGAGACAATTTGACTTCCTCTCTTCCTATTTGAATACCTTTATTTCTTTCTCTTGCCTGATTGCCCTGGCCAGAACTTCCAATACTATGTTGAATAGGAGTGGTGAGAGAGGGCATCCTTGTCTTGTGCCAGTTTTCAAAGGGAATGCTTCTGGCTTTTCCCCATTCAGTATGATATTGGCTGTGGGTTTGTCATCAATAGCTCTTATTATTTTGAGATACGTTCCATCAATACCTAGTTTATTGAGAGTTTTTAGGCATGAAGCGGTGCTGAATTTTATTGAAGGCCTTTTCTGCATCTATTGAGATAATCATGTGTTTTTTGTCATTGGTTCTGTTTATGTGATGGATTGTGTATGTTGAACCAGCCTTGCATCCCAGGGATGAAGCCAACTTGATCGTGATGGATAAACTTTCTGATGTGCTGCTGGATTCGGTTTGCCAGTATTTTATTGAGGATTTTCACATCAATGTTCATCAGGGATATCGGCCTGAAATTTTCTTTTTTTGTTGTATCTCTGCCAGGTTTTGGTATCAGCATGATGCTGACCTCATAAAATGAGTTAGGGAGGAGTCCCTCTTTTTCTATTGTTTGGAATAGTTTTAGAAGGAATGATACCAGCTCCTGTTTGTATCTCTGGTACAATTCAGCTGTGAATCTGTCTGGTCCTGGGCTTTTTTTGGTTGGTAGGCTATTATTCAGAGATTCAACTTCTTCCTGGTTTAGTCTTGGGAGGGTGTATGTGTCCAGGAGTTTATCCATTTCTTCTAGATTTTCTAGTTTATTTGCATAGAGGTGTTTGTAGTATTCTCTGATGGTAGTTTGTACTTCTGTGGGATCATTAGTGATATCCCCTTTATCATTTAATATTGTGTCTATTTGATTCTTCTCTCTTTTCTTCTTTATTAGTCTGGCTAGTAGTCTATCTGTTTTGTTAATGTTTTCAAAAAACCAGCTTCTGGATTCATTGATTTTTGGAAGGGTTTTTTGTGTCTCTATCTCCTTCAGTTCTCCTCTGATCTTAGTTATTTCTTGTCTTCTGCTGGCTTTTGAATTTGTTTGCTCTTGCTTCTCCAGTTCTTTTAATTGTGATGTTAGGGTGTCGATTTTAGATCTTCCCCGCTTTCTCCTGTGGGCATTTCGTGCTATAAATTTCCCTCTAAACGCTGCTTTAGCTGTGTCCCAGTGATTCTGGTACATTGTGTCTTTGTTCTCATTGGTTTCAAAAAACTTATTTATTTCTGCCTGAATTTCATTATTTACCCAGTAGTCATTCAGGAGCATATTGTTCAGTTTCCATGTAGTTGTATGGTTTTGAGTGGCTTTCTTAATCCTGAGTTCTAATTTGATTGCACTGTGGTCTGAGAGACTGTTTGTTATGATTTCCATTCTTTTGCATTTGCTGAGGAATATTTTACTTCCAATTACATGGTCAATTTTAGAATAAGTGCTATATGGTGCTGAGAAGAATGTATATTCTGTTGATTTGTGGTGGAGAGTTCTGTAGATGTCTATTAGGTGCACTTGGTCCAGAGCTGAGTTCAAGTCCTGAATGTTCTTGTTAATTTTCTGTCTCATTGATCTGTCTAATATTGACAATGGAGTGTTAAAACCTCCCACTATTATTGTGTGGGAGTCTAAGTGTCTTTGTAGGTCTCTAAGAACACGCTTTATGAATCGGGATGCTCCTGTATTGGTGGCATATATATTTATTTTAGCTCTTCTTGTTGCATTGAACCCTTTACCATTATATATTCCCCTTCTTTGTCTCTTTTGATCTTTGTTGGGCGACAGAGCGAGACTCCATCTAAAACAACAACAACAACAAAAAAAAAAAAAAAAAAAAAAAAAAAACTCCTGTAGCCAGCTCTGTGTCTGCCCAAATGGCCTCCCAGTTTTGCACTTGAAACTCAGGGGCCTGGCGGTGTAGGCACCCGAGGGAATCTCCTGGTCTGCCAATTGCGAAGACAGTGGGAAAAGCGTAGTTATCTGTGCTGGATAGCACTGTCCCTCACTCACGGCTTCCCTTGGCTAGGGGAGGGAGTTCTCCAACCACTTGTGCTTCCTGGGTGAGGCAACGCCCCACCCTGCTTCTGCTCGCCCTCCATGGGCTGCACCCACTGTCTAACCAGTCCTAATGAGATGAGCCGGTACCTCCGTTGGAAATAGAGAAATCACCCGCCTTCTGTGTTGTTCTCGCTGGAAGCTGCATAATGGAGCTGTTCCTATTTGGCCATCTTGCCCAGGAATCTATAATTACTTTTAACAAGTAACTTAGAATGTTGTACTTTGTTGTAGAAGAACAGCTTGTGAAAACTAGAAAAGGTGGAATTCAAACACAACTCCCTTTTCAAAGACGACGACCCACTCGCCCGCTGGAAGTCGGAGCTCCCTTCTATCAGGATGGCCAACTGCAAGTTAAAGTCTACTGGAAGAAGACAGAAGGTACATAAACATTACTTACTTATTTCTTACTTGCTTTAAACAGCACAGTAATATAGAGATAGTTTTGAAGAAGTAAATGTCAAGCCACAGTATCAATACTAAGGCAAACGGTTGTTGAACACAAGTCTGAATGAGTTGACGGTTATCTCACATCTTGAAATCTACAACAGTCAATTGCTTAAATATTTTCCTTTCAGGGATATTAGCTTGTCTTCATTTCTTTCCCAGAGGGCTGATTGGCTGATGTTATATCCAAAACACTCAAAATATTCATTATTTTGAGCTGTAATTTTTGTTATAAATTATTAATTATTATTTTTTAAAGATCCATAATACAAATAATTTAGAAAGTAGGGGGGGAAAGTCACCTATTATCTCAATATCATTTCCTGAAACAGCACTTTGGTGGGTTTCCTTTCAGAAATTTTCTATGCATCTGTCTTTCACTCAGTTAGGGTGTGTGTGTGTGAGTGTGTTTTTAAAACATACACACATATTTCTGTGTAACATTGTTTGAGCTGCTATATTGTCATGCATTTTTCATAACATTCTATAAATGCTACTTTGTATGGGTATATCTTAATATCATAATACATGTCATTATTCCAGTACAATGAAACATTTCAGTTCTTTAGAATTTCTGTTTTCTAATTAAGGCTGCAATACATTTATCCTTAGGATAGATTCATTTCATTTGTTTGAACATTTATCTTTAGCATAAATTCTTTTTGTTTATTTTTTTTTTTAGTCTTAGAATATTTGTTTTTCTGTTATCAAGGTGGTACTTTTAGAATTTATTCAACATACAGTCTTTTATCTTTATCACTCTTATGCCTCTTAAAAACATAAGCAGAATAGATTGTTTCAAGAGTTAGGTTTTTAAAATTCTCCTCACTCCTCTGAAATTCACTTTTACTCAAGGTATTGATGGGCCATGTGCCATAAGCAATATTGGTGTTGGAGTGGTTCCTATTCCAGGATTTTCTTTCAAGCTGCTGAAATCCATTCTGCAAGTAAAATAATATTATTATTAATATTAACATATTTTATTTCTATAATGTTAATTAAAGTTTATTCAACATTTATTGCATTAAGATTATATTATGTCTATATTACAGTTAATAATTTTATAAATATTAAATAAGAAAAGTATTTGATCTATTATATTGATTAATTAAAATATCAACATATTCATATTTAAAAAATAACATTTTATTAATATTAAAATTTTAAACATAATGTAATAAAATGAAAATGTAAACATCTACTATTGAAAAAGTAAATATCTCAAGCATACAAGAGTAACCACCACCATCCTGACTTTTAAAACTCAATATTTGTTTTGCCTGTATTTGAAATTTATCAGAATGGAATCACTCAATTTCTATTTGTATTTGGCTTCTTGCCATGAGCATTTTATGAGAAACCAATGCATTCTGTTGCATGAAACAATTCATTCATTTATATTGCTGCCTGGATGTCCTTAGTATACATCAATCTGTGTATCCTTTCAGCTGTGGATGGAGATTTACTTATTCAGATGTGGAGCTATTAAGAATAGTACCAGTGTGAATGCCCCACGAACACATGTTGTTTGACGCATATTCTTCCATAGAGGTGGGATTCTTAGGCCGTAGAGTATGTCAAGCTTTAGAAAACATTAATAGTTTTCCAAAATGGTTGTACCAATTTACATTCTCACCAGTAGGGCATGATTATGGTTCCAGGTGCTCCACATTCTCTCTGTCATGTGGTATTTTCCATCTTTGTAAGTTTACCCTTTCTGGTATGTTCATAGTGATACCTCATTGTTATTTGAATTCGCATTTTTCTGATGTCCAAGAAGTTGAGCACCTTTTTGTAATTTTACTGACAATTGGATTTCTCTTTTTTGAAGGACTCTTTCAACTCTTTAGCTACTCTGTCCTGCATGAGTGCTTTTAATATAGTATATACAAGTCATTTGGTGTTTGTTTGTTGAGACACAGTCTTGATCTGTCGCCCAGTCTGGGGTGCAGTGGCACGATCTCAGCTCACTGCAACCTCCGCCTCCCAGGTTCAAGCGATTCTCCCGCCTCAGCCTCCTGAATAGCTGGGATTATAGGCGTGTGCCACCATGCCCAGCTAATTTTTGTATTTTTAGTAGATATGGGGTTTCACCATGTTGGCCAGGCTGGTCTTGAACTCCTGATCTCAAGTGATCTGCCTGCCTTGGCCTCCCAAAGTGCTAGGATTATAGGCGTGAGCCACTGTATCCAGCCATCATTTGTTTTCATGTAAGTATTTTCTTCCACTCTGATCCACTCTTGCATTTTTAACTTTCTTCTTAGTGGGTTTTTTTTTTTTTGATGGAGTTTCACTCTTGTTGCCCAGGCTGGTCCGCATCCTGGGTTCAAGCGATTCTCCTATCTTAGCCTCCAGAGTAGCTGCGATTAAAGGTGGCTGCCGCCATGCCCGGCTAATTTTTTGTATTTTCAGTAGAGACAGGGTTTCACCATGTTGACCAGGCTGGTCTTGAACTCCTGACCTCAGGTGATCTCCCTGCCTCAGCCTCCCAAAATGCTGGGATTACAGGCGCACTGCTCCCAGCCCTTAGTGGTTCTTAATTTTAGAGATAAGCAATTCATCATTTTGTTTCCTTTAGGTTTAGTATTCTCTATGTCCTGGTTAGGAAATCCTTTTTCATACAAAGGTCACAAAGATATTCTCCTTTCTTGTCTTCTTGTCCACTGTTTCATCTTTTGTATTAGTCCACTTTCATACTGCTATGAATACCTGAGACTGGGTAATTTATAAGGAAAAAGAGGTTTAATGGACACACAGTTCCACATGGCTGGGGAGACCTCACAATCATTGCGGAAGGTGAAGGAGGAGCAAAGGCATACCTTACGTGGTGGTAGGCAAAAGAGCATGTCCAGGAGAACTGCAATTTATAAAACCATCAGATCTCATGAGACTTACTCACTATCATGAGAACAACATGGGAAAACCTCGTCCCCATGATTCAGTTACCTCCCACCAGGTTCCTCCCATGACATGTGGGGATTATGGGAGCTACAATTCAAGATGAGATTTGGGTGGGGACATAGCCAAATCATATCACCTTTTATTCTTAAGCTCTTTTACCCAGAATTGATTTTTGTTGTAGAGGGTCAGTGTTCTTTTTTTTTTTTCCTTCTGATCTCCTTCTCTGATACATCATGATATATTTTTTAAATGACTATTTTCCCCAAAGCTCTACAGTGCCTCATTTGCCCTAAATAATGCATATATGTGCAAGTTAATTTTTGGACTTTCTATAGAGTCTTTGACATATTTTTGCAATGTTGTGACAATACCTTACTGTCTTAACTACTATAGATTTATAAATATTTCTAATGATAGTCCTCTAGTTTTTATTTCTTTATCAAATTGTCTCAACTATTCCTGGCCTTTTGCATTTTTATATACATATTTGAATTAATTTTTCGATTTCCACAAAAACTTCCTGAGATATTTATGGAGATTGAATTCATCCACGTGTCAATGATTTTGAAGAATTCGCATCTTAAAAATACTGAGTGTTCCAATCTACAAACATGGTATGCCACTGTATTCAGGTTTAAAATTTTTGTCTCAACAATGTTTTATAATATATTGGATAGAAAGTATGATACTTTTTAATATGATTTTTCCAAGGTATTTGTGTTTATTTTTATCCTATTATAGATGGCATACTTTTTCCTCAATTATACTTTCTGATTTTTGTTGTTGGTATATTATAAATATATTTTATATTCATATATTGACTGTGAATCCAGCAATATTGTTTTAGCACTTTGTTAATTATAACATTTTCTCTGATGATTTGTTTGCATTTTTTCTACAAAAACCATCATCTAGTTTGTAAATAATGAGAATTTTATATTTTCCTTTCCATATCTTTGATGTTTTAGTTTTCCCTTGCCTTAAAACTGGCTGAGAGTTTCAGTACAATGGTGACTAAAAGTGATACTATTAGGCATGATGTTTAAGTGTAAGGTTTTTGAAGACATCCCTGGTCAGATTAATACAATCCCCTACTCTTCTTACTTGCAAAGTTTTTGTTGTTAATGGATACTGGTTTTTATCAAATATTCTTACTTCATCTAGTGAAATGATCATACATTTTTCTTCTTTGTTCTATTAACATGATGAACTAGAGGAAACATTATAGATCACCTCCTAGGTCTGTTGTGTGGAATAAATGAGATTACACATCCAGATTGGTTGGACCGGTGCCTGGCACAAAGGAGACACCTTAGGTGTTTCAGTGTGAGGATTCTTACGGCACTGCTTATAGTGCAGAGAGAGGACAGGATGTCAGGACAGACGTAAAGAGCCTCTGAGCCCAGCCTTTTAAGGCTTGGTGTTGCTTTAGGACTGACTCTCAATGTTTTCTCCTTTGTGAACAACAAAGAGCAGTGCTTTAAGACATGATTTAATTGTCCAATTTGCAATACAAGTGCTACAAAACTTAGGCATCTTATTAAATTTGGCAGAAGAAAAGAGATTCACCTTCACTGCACTGTATCAGCAAGCAGTAATATGACCAATATTCCCATACAATAATGATTTCAGTGCATGACAAATAGGAAACATGGTTGTTGGCATAGATATGTACACATATACACACATGTACACATATATACACACGTATTACTTTGAATAACTCAAAGTTAGAAATAAATGTGAAGAATATCAGTGGTTTTCTCAAATACTGAAATCTTTAAAGAAACCATAAGCAGAGAATTGTCTCAATATTTATTAATCAATATTAGAGTCCATAGTATTATCCAGTTTACGATGCATGAAATTGTGGACTTGATGATAAAGGGACAAGATCCAAAGGCAAGGAGTGACCTTGATTTGGGTTCCAAAAGTGATGCTGACTTGATTGATGTTTAGTGACTTGGACCCTGGGCCACAAAGGAGAAGCTGGGAGTGATGAGCTCATGTGACGGAGGTAAACTAGCCTCTATTTGTCAGTAATGATTTGTTTCACTAATGGAAATGCCTCGCAGTCAGTTAGTGTTCAAACTGTTTTCTTCATACCCATTTCCAGCCTCTGAAATGAGTTAACCTCCAGGAATGCTACCTACTACAGACCAACATTAAGCCATCATCTAATAAGTACATATCCATGCTGGCCAGAGAACACTCTTTGTGGCTGGCCAAAACCTTGATTCCAAAGATATAACTGATTTCAAATATATTTCTAAAAGAGAATGTTCTGTGCAGTGGCCTTCAACAGTTGACAGTGTAGCCTCCAGTCAAAACTATTGTGGTTACAGTGTTACTGCTTACTCAAGAGACAGAGATTCATTCTACATCTTTAGTGACATGTCAGGATTTGTTCTGTGGATTTTTTTGTAGACCATGCATCTGCTCCTTGCCATTTCAACTCATGCCCTCTCTATATATTCACGCTAAAACTTTCTTTGAAGTGACAGGAAGTTCTTGAAAACACTTGGTATGGATTCCCTTCAAAAGAATGGCAAAAATATGGAATTTGGCATTTTGCTTTTACCTTGTTTAGGAAGATCCTCCCAAACAGTTTGGAATCTAAAAAGAACATTGTGTAAAAATATCTAGACAGAATACTTATGACTCTACTGAGTACGCTAAGCCCTTTACCAAAATAATAGGGTGTAAAAACAAATAGAGCTTAATTTTCCTACACAAATCCTGTGTCTGACAGCTGGTGGCAGAATCTTTTCATTTTCAATTAAAGTGACAAAGGAAATATAGAAAAAAAAGAACGGGAAGAAAGGTCTGGTTGTTCTTTTAAGTTAATCCTTTAGATATATAGTAAACATTGCAAACAGTAATAAGAGTCTTTAGATGAGTATTTTAATACATCCAAAAATGGTATGTTCAACTTTCATTTGAAAATGTGAAGTTTTAAAACTTTGAATTGGCCAGGCGCGGTGGCTCACGCCTGTAATCCCAGCACTTTGGGAGGCCAAGGCGGGCGGATCATGAGGTTAGGAATTTGAGACCAGTCTGGCCAATATGGTGAAACCCCGTCTCTACTAAAAATACAAAAATTAGCCGGGCATGGGGGTGCATGCCTGTAGTCCCAGCTACTTGGGAGACCGAGGCAGGAGATTCGCTTGAACCCGGGAGGCAGAGGTTGCAGTGAGCCGAGACCGCGCCACTGACTCCAGCCTGGGTGACAGAGCGAGACACCGTCAAAAAAAAACACCTTTGAATTAACTTAGATATCAATGAATGCATTTCCATTCACTTTTTGTCTTCTTTTGCAAATGGACACAAATTACCGACTTTATGCCAGGCTGTGTGCCACGTGATGGGAATACAATAACGGATAAGAGAGATTTCCTACCTTTAAGGAACCTGCAGTTCTGAGGCTTAGGCAGTTAGGCAGTTGCCACATAATAAGACATTATTCTTCATAGCAGTCTGGATAAACAGCTGAAGTAGTTGAGAGCAGAGAGATTTTGACGTTGTGTGCAGAGGAATTTTCACAGAGGAGGTAAAGTTTAAGGTACATTTTAAAGGCTGGATTACTTTTTTTGGCCAGGGAAGATGAACACTTCTGGCCCAGGACATGAAGAGGTGCAGCTGGGAGAAAGATCGGGAATGTCAAGTATTGGTGAGATTGAGGAAGTGACTGTGTGAGGCTGGAGAGACAGATCAATGTCAAGTGATGGAGAAGCTTATATGGTATGCCAGGAAGCTTGGATTTTGTTCTACATGGAGGAGAGGGATGTGAAGTAGCAGGGGAAATTCTGAGCAGGACTTAGAGATGTTAGCAAAAGCAAGTGTGCAAGGAATATGGATTGGAAAAGTTCAGAGAGAGCACGTCGGTTAATTTCAGTAGCCAAGACAAGAAATAATCAGATCATGAATTAGAGACAGCAGTAGGAGGAGGAAGGTTGGCGAGTTATGTAAGAGTATTACACAAGTGACCACATAATTTATTGTCTGAACTGGGATTTATTTGAGAATAAAAGGAGGCATTTGTAAACATTATTCCCCACCAACAGACATAGACTGTAACTCTCCCAGGAAAGCCAGGATGTATGGCCACTTGGATATTAAGACCTGCCTGAAGAGAAAAAGAGAAATGGATCTAAATGGAGTGTTTATCTTCTAGCTTGAATGACTAACAGTACTTCGACTAACAAAGATTGTGAGCAGTAGAATTATGATATGTTTCATGGGATATGTCTCCATGATATGGAGAATTTGGTTTTGGTGTGTCGAATTTGAGATAACTACATGATTGCCAGAAAATGTCATAGGCAGTCAGAAATACATACTTGTAGCTCAGGAGGCAGCTCTGTGATAGCATCGTGGATTTGACTGGAGCTATGGTCAATCCACTGACTATACTGTCAGGGGATCTGCAAATGTTAGTTGATTTCCACTGGATCACACACACACTTACTATTAGGAGCTGAGAACAGCTCATGCTCTAATTAGAGTTTCGTATTTTCCAAAAAGTCCTTTTTCTTAAATTTTATCCATTCCCACTTCCCTTGTTATTTTAAATCTGAAAGCCAAATGAACATATAAATTGTAGCAGAGCTCATGATGTTGAACACATGATAGAAGGGAGTGGTAGAAAGCTTTGGGAAGTCCAAAGAACAATGAAGAGGAAAGTATGTGTTTCAAACTTATTCCACATTTTTCCTCCTTACAGAAACCTTTTATGTACTCACCACATGATCTACAGAATCCCAAACCAAAGTTTCCCCAGACATTCATAAAACATGCTCTTATTCATAATTATCACACATGTAGGAAAGGAGACCTTTGAAATGGACTCAGTATTACTAGCATAGGAGCACTGTACGGAATGTGAATATCAGCACAGTTTCTGTCATGGGAAAGGACACTTTGGCTGGATTTTCTGGATTTTTTTGACTTTGTAAAATGAGAAATTATCTCCTCTGTATGAAACTCAATAGACCCATCTAAAGTGGTTTCAAACTCCTTGACAAGTAGCTGAATATTTTTGAATGATAATTTATTTCCAATTGTGGACACACTGAGTTGAAAACCTAAAAAGACTTAATGCTTTTGGCAAATAAGGGAAGAAAAGAATCTTGCTCATTAATCAAAACTCAATCATAAACAGAAATGGGTTCTTATGTCACATTTCCTAAAAGTGATGGTGGGCAAAATATTGCTTTTGGACTTGGAGTTAGGGACCTAAAAGCCCAAATCTATTCATTTCACTCAAAATTTTTCAGAGACAGTTTCAGTTATTAGGATGTAGCATGTAGTTTCATAGATAAATGAATTAAACGTCAAATATTAGCTTTCTTTACTTAATACACATAGTAGTTGGGTTATAATAGTGAATGCTCTGGGAGAAAATAAATATTTTCAACATTGCATTTGTAGAACAAACATTATTTTAAAACAATTCCACTTAGCTAATTTTGTTAGTAATTTTATTACTCCATTGATATTAGTTCATTTTTACTGTGTAATAATAGAATAAACAATTGTTTTAAGCTTTCTGGCCTGCCTGCCTGCCTGCCTGCCTTCCTTCCTTCCTTCCTTCCTTCCTTCCCTTTCCTTTCCTTTCTTCCTCCCTCCCTCCCTCTCTCTTTCTTCTCCTCTCCTCTTTTCCTTTCCTTTCCCTTCCTTTCCTTTCCTTTCTCTCTCTCTCTTTCTTTCTTTCTTTTTTTTTTTTTGTCATAGAGACAGGGTCTTGCTCTGTCACCCAGGCTGGAGTGCAGTGGCATGATCATGGCTCACTGCAACTTCAAACTCCTGGCCTCAAGCAATCCTCCTGCCTCAGCCTCACAAGAAGCTGGAACTACAGACATGCACCACCATGCCCAGCTAATTTTCTTTTCTCTTCTTTTCTTTTTTTTTTTTTTTTTTTTTTGGAGTTTCTCTCTTGTTGCCCAGGCTGGAGTGCAATGTCGCAATCTCGGCTCACCACAACCTCTGCCTTCCGGGTTTGAGTGATTCTCCTGTCTCAGCCTCCCAGGTAGCTGGGATTACAGGCAGGCACCACCACGCTTGGCTAATTTTGTATTTTTAGTAGAGACGGGGTTTCTCCATGTTGGTCAGGCCGGTCTCGAACTCCCAACCTCAGGAGATCCACCCACCTCAGCCTCCCAAAGTGCTGGGATTACAGGCGTGACCCACAGTGCCTGGCCGCCCAGCTAATTTTTTAAAAAATATATTTTTTGTAGAGATGCGGTCTTGCTATGTTGCCCAGGATGGTCTCAAACTCCTGGCCTCAGGTGATCCTTCAGCCTCAGACTCCCAAAACGCTGGGGTTGAAGGCATGAGCCACTGCATCTTGATGGTTTTCTGGCTCTAGACTTTGTGTCTCTACAACGTAAATGTGAAAAGTTAGCTCAGACATAGAGGAAACATTCATGCTTCTATTTTAAGTAGAAATGCCTATGTGATACTCAAAAATTCTTATTTTAGTTGTACATCAGAAAGTTCTGTTTCACCAGATCATGTTTACAGATAGAGTATGAGGCATTGATCCATGAGAGGACTTCATTCAACTAACCTTTACTGAGCACCTACTGTATGCAATGCACCATTTCCGATGCTAAAACACTGCAAAGAGGCAGACAGAAATCCCTACCCTGATGGAATTGGCATTCTGTGACACCTCTCTAAGTGTGTGCCCCCTTCCCTAGTGCTGTGACTTACAATTCTTTTTAAAGCAATTATTATTCTGGAGAACCCAAGGATTGCCTCTTTCTCAGAGCTCTAATGTCAATAACCCTATCATTCTTTGTCATTAGACTTTTGCGAACTGAGGAATTCACATTTAATGAAAAATTTTAGAGCCCTTTGTTTATGCCAGACACTGTGAGTTACATCTATTTGAAAAGAAAATTAGACCCATCTAATTTTTGAACCATAGTTGAAGCATATTACAGGTAAATTTTTTATCACTTAAAAATACTTTTCAGGTACTTTCTTTGTAATGTCATTTATTTGTGGAAGGAATTAAGCTAAGGAACCAGATCAACTGGGTATTTAGCACAGAATTTTCAGATACAGCCTTTCAGGAAGTGTTTGGCTATTTATTTTATTTTATTATTATTTTTTTAAGACAGAGTTTTACTGTTGTTGCCCAGGCTGGAGTGCAATGGCATGATCTCAGCTCACCGCAACATCCACTTCCCGGGTTCAAGCGATTCTCCTGCCTCAGCCTCCCGAGTAGCTGGGATTACAAGCATGTGCCACCATACCTGGCTAATTTTTGTATTTTTAGTAGAGACAGGGTTTCACCATGCTGGCCAGGCTGCTCTTGAGCTCCTGACCTCAGACAATCCACCCACCTCAGCCTCCCAAAGTGCTGGGATTACAGGCATGAGCCACCACGCCCGGCCTGAACTATGCTATTTTTAATATTCTAGTTACAGATTGAGACCTGCAGTCATAACCTAAAATACAAGCTCTTAGGATTTTAGTAATTAGCAAGATAAAGCTAAGGACATGATGTTTGTATAAATGACTTCCATCAAAGCAAATATCTATGAATTGATCTGTTAAAATTGAGCTCAACTCACATAAATGAGTGTGGGCATTGTTAGTCCCCATACTGGTCATTTGGGGGTGCCATTTACAATACTTTCAGGGCATTTTTAATCTAAGTTTAATTTATATTTTACTTTCTCAGATTGCTTTTAATTACCTTATGTAATATCATGTCTTTTCACACTTTCTTCCGTGTCTTAGATTATAAGGAATTATTTTCACTGTTGCCAGAATGAGTAGAGAAATAAAAGTGAATTTGAACTGGTATACCTTTGTTCACTTATTTATTCATTAAATGTTTACTGTCTGTTTATCACCTGCCAGGCACCATGCTCATCTTTGTTTATGCAACAGTGACAGCAAATAGGCATTATCTTTATAGTTATGGAGCTCTAACCAAATGGGGTTGACAGGGATTCATGAAGTAACCACAGAATCAAACAAAACATTGGGAACGAGAGGAGTGTCTGCATGAGATGAATATGTAGAGGCAGTGGAGACCTGGAAGCCAGGCTGAGTATTAGTGTCTTTATTCAGAGGGCAGAGAAAAGCCATTCAATGACTCAAAGCCAACCTTGAGATGGGGATATTACCCTTAATTATTTGGGTGGAAACGAATACAATCACAAAAGTCCTTAAAAGTAGAATAGGGAAGCAGAGTGCAAGAATCAGAGAGATGGCATGGTGCGAAGGACTCAGCCCAGTGTTGTTGACTTTGAAGCTGGTGGAAGGGCACCACCAGCCAAAGAATTCCAGAAGCCTCTAGAAACCTGAAAAGTCATGAAAATACATTCTTCCCTGGAGCCTCCAGAAAGGAGTACAGGCCTGCCTTGATTTTAGACCAGTGACACCCATTTCAGACCTCCAGAAGAGAAGACATTTATATTGTTTTAAGCATCTACACTCAAGGTAATTTGTCACAGCAGCTGTAGAAAACCAGTACATGAACTGATTTAAAACACACCAAACCTATTGCATTGGCTGAATTAGTATCCTTATTCTCAGATACAGGGAATGAGGCTCACTGAGGCTGTTGGAGTTGCTTGCTGAAGCCCACCTTCCTCGAAGGTTATGTGTGGGGTCAAAATTCTGCATCCTACAGCCAGAAAGAAAAGTGTGAATGCAAGGAGCAGTTGAGGTGCAGAAATCAACATGGTAGCTACAGCAAAGTTGAGTTTGGAAAGCCTCCACATGGGAGAGGAAGGAGGGAGCATCAGCTCTTCAAGGGACTAGCTCAGGTGAAAGTAGACATTTGGGAGCTGTCAGCAGAAAAATTTTTCAAACCATGGGAATCAATGAAGTGATTCATGGAGGTGACACAGAGAGAAGATGAAAGTGCAGTGAACTCAGACATGGCGAGATTTAGGGCTAACAAAAGGGAGGGAACCCAAAAGGAGTGCCCCATGTGTCACTCTTGATGCTGCCTCCTATGAAAATATAATTGCATTGTAAAATATGTAAAGGATTTTTAGGATATGGAGGATCCCCAGGGCAGCCAAGCCTCCTTGTATTGCTGTAATGTAGCCACCCCAAGTCCCCTGACTGCTCTTCACCAAAGACCTTCAGTCATCCGTCATGCTCCGTTCTCATGTCAGCACTTTGGCACGTGCTGTGTATTCCCTGCTGGTAGAGCATTTAAGCTGCCCAATATTGTAACCATGGCCATCTTCAGCTGTTTAAATTTAAATTAATTAAAATGAAACAGAATAAAGAATTAAATTCCTCTGTTAAACAGAGGACATGTGAAATGCTTTATAGGCACAGGTGACTAGTGTTTACCACAGACAGAACATTTCCATCACACCCGCCAGTTCTGTTGGACAGGACTGGCTGAGAACACCCTCCCACAGGTCTCTGCAGTGCCACTACCCACTGCTACACCTTCTTCAAGTCCTGACTCAGAATTGAACACACGCCAGCCGCCTTATATAAAATCAGCACTTTTTGTCAATCCACCCTACTGCCCTTACCTTCTGGTTTTTTTTTTGTTTTATTTTTTTGTTTTTTTGTTTTTGGGGGGGGGGTGGTGGGAGACGGAGTTTTGCTCTTGTTGCCCAGGCTGGAGTGCAGTGGCGTGATCTCGGCTCACTGAAACATCCGCCTTCCGGTTTCAAGAGATTCTCTGGCCTCAGCCTCCCGAGTAGCTGGGATTACAGGCGCCTGCCACCACGCCTGGCTAATTTTTGTATTGTTAGTAGAGAGGGGGTTTCACCATGTTGGCCAGGCTGGTCTCAAACTCCTGACCTAGTGATCTGCCTGCCTCGGCCTCCCAAAGTGCTGGGATTACAGGCGTGAACCACCGTGCCCAGCCACCTTCTGTATTTATATGTGGACTTACTACGTTCTAACATAATATCTATCTTATCTATGTATTGTATTTATTCTCTGTTATTATTGGCCCCATTACTATGTAAAATTCAGGAGGGCAGCAGCCACTCCTGTGTGATTATTTCATTGCTGTTGAATGGAAGAACATGAACACACTCAGTGATTGACTTCAGCGTTGTGCATAGCCTATAATTCTTTTTTTAAAAAATAAACTCTTGATGTCTGCTATGTAAAAATTAAAACCTCTAGTACATGATTTCTCTTTTAGCTAAATGCCCGGAGTGCCCACTTTTATATCTGTTTGCTTTCTCGGATTTAAAGTTCTTCTTTTCTGGTTCCAAAGTGCTCAAAGCGAAGTTCCCACTAGATCAACCCAATTTCATCAAAGAGTTTTCTCCTCTGAAAACTCCCATCAAACACTTGGCATGATGTTGGGGGACAAGATGTTAAATCACCTGCAAAATGGTGCCATTTGGTGCCATTTCACACTCCTCGGACACACTGGGGTGATTAATAAACCCGAGACTGTCAAGGTCTGCTTTCCCACACTCATTGAGTTGCTTGCCGCTATTTTATCTTTTTTCCCCCCACTTTATTGTCCAAAGTAAAGAAATGTACAGAAAATATTCCTCTTGCCCTGGGAATAAACGTGTTCAAAGGGTCAGTCTTCTGGCCTGTGTTTGAGAACACCAAGTCATATTTCAGTAGGGATCAGCCATACAGAAATGCCACGATGCGCTTGGTTAAGGGAGAGTGGGAAGCATACGTCCCTATCCTTTGGACAAAAGAACTTCTTTATGGCAATACATAACAGGAAATAAACGTGGATAGCCAATTCTGCAAGTGTGAAGGGAATGTTTTTGTTCTTGTGTGGATTCAATAGTATCTCATCTTTATCAAAAAAAAAGGTAGGATTGAGAAACTTCTGATGATTCTCTTTTGCAACAGGAATTACGAGAGCTGTTGCTAGGTGTTGCCTTTCATTGTAGGGCTTTGCTTACTGTAAAAACCATGGCTAGGTTATTCTCAAGACATCTTTGGAATCATTTTGCTATGAATTTACTAATTTTTTTTTCTACTTAGTGCTTGCACTTCAACACAGGTTTTCCCTTGGCAGTATATTACTTTTTTCCCTTACTTTGTTCTTAATGATTAAGTATTCAGAATTACTAATTATTATAATTATTAAGTAATCAGAATCTCACCTCCTTTGGCTCACTGTGCATTTATTGGTCACCTGTAGAGTTTCATTTCCTCTCCTTTTCTCCTCTCAAGTTCAAGAACCCCAGGCTACCTGGAATGTAACATCCAGCCTATTATTTTTGTTTGCGTGTTTTGGCATTATAGATCCCACTGTCAACCGATATCATGTGCGGTGGTTTCCTGAAGCGTGTGCCCACAACAGAACAACCGGATCAGAGGCATCATCTGGCATGACCCACGTAAGGACATGATCTCTAGGCCAACTTGATCTGTGAACATAATTAGACAGGAGGATGTACAAACTAGACAGGTCAAACAGATAACTCATTCCCACAAATCAGCTATGGAGTAATGACTTGATGGAAGTGGAAAGCAGAATGGTCATTATATTCACTCATTCTTTTATCCATTCACACCATTGCACTGGGAGCTTACTCTGTTATCCACATGGAGCAAAACCTAAAGTGCAGAGACTAAAGACACAGTTCTTAAAGAACTCCCATATTTCAGGGGGAAATATGTCTGAGTATGTGTGTGCTTCATCTTAACTGGACAAAAGCTTTGAATTATTTTCTGAATTTTGACATGTCACCGTGATCTAAAGGTGTAATGGTACAAGTGGATTTCTATGTGACTCTATCATTGAGCACCATGTCCCTAACTGCCATCAGCTCAGTTAGTGAAATAATCTCCCTGTCCTGTATAGCATGCACCAATATTTTGACTTTCAACTTTAAGAGAACATTAAACTCTCTGAGGATAGCAACTCTGTCAATATTGCCCAAAATGTTATTCCAAATATTTTGGGGTTCATTCATGAATTATAGATTAGAATCAACAAACTAACACAAAATATTTAAGAGGTCATTTTATTATACAGTGTATAATACACTTTGATGGCAGTTTATATGTGATACCTCAGGACAGTTTAAAAAATCCAAAAACATGGCCCCAAACATAGAATGTTTTGGTTTGTGATATGTAACTAGAATATTTTTGTTTTGAACATTTTCTAAAGCAAGCACGATATTTTAAGAACCATACCTGCTGGCATAATTTTAAGAGAGTGAGATAAAACAAGTCACTGGATTTTCAGAAATACACAGATTCTTTTTCTTTTTTACTGGACTTAATTTGTCTCATGTTCAGCAATGTTTCTCCTTGTATTTATCCTTAAATTAGCTCCAATGTTTGTGACCTTCAGTAAAATAATTAAACAGACATTCTAAATAAGGAAGTCGATTTGAAAAGCAGAGAAAGCAATAAACAGAAGCTGGAATTATTAATATTTTTGTGGGCAGAGGGGTGAGGTTTTTGTTTTACTTATATGTGTGTGCCTCAGAACCTTACAGAACTGGGCTTATGTCAATGCAATTCCCCAATCCTAGGCTTATCATCTTTAGGAACTCTGAAAGTGGTAACAACTATTTGCTGAGCAGATGTAATGTATCTGGTAGAAATAAAAATCAAACTCCTGAAAAATTATCCTTCTAGGGGTTTAGAACTTATCTGTATTTAGTTTTAAACCTTTAGATCCAATTATTATAATTTGTTTTTATGCTACAATGGAGCATCCACTAATTCACTTACTGCTGCAGATGTCTGTCTCCTATGCAATATGAAAACAATCTTGAAATATCTGTGAAACAGGATCCTTAATAGCTAACCTTGGATTCCAGTATAGTCCCATGTAAAGAGCAGATTTATTTCCAAAGAAAAGCAATTCAGACTCCCAAAGAAACATGGTGGCCTTGGCTTGGGCTTGGGTTGGGCTTGGGTTGGTCTTGCGTTGTCCAGATTGATTTGTTTCCTATTCACTGTTTGTGCTAACTGGCTGCAGAGTTGGGTGCACCCCATCTCCTGTCACCATCTGGATGAAGGGCCAGCACACCTGGAGGTCACTCCCGGTCTCTTTTGAACATTCAGTGCTCTGTCACCTGCAGCCACTTCCACTCCTCACTTAAGTAAATCACTCAAGCCTCAGTTTTGATTTTAATTCTTGTCTCATGTTTTTCCCGTCAACGCTGCTGCTTTCTAGCAAGATCCCCTACCCATCATCCAATGAGTGCCAGAGATATTCCATCTGTACTTTTTTTCCTCTCTTAAAAAATAATTAAACACACACACACACACACACACACACACACACACACGTAAAAACCATGGAGTCTCACTATGTTGACCAAGCTGGTCACAAACTCCTGAGTTCAAGCGATCCTCCCACCTCAGCCTCTCGAGTAGCTAGGACTATGACACGAGTCACCATGCCCAGCTATCCATCTGCACTTTTATACATATACATTAAGAATTGGTAAATACAAAACAGAATGGATAAGTGCCATTTAGCCAAATATGAAAGAAACAGAGATACACACCTGTTATCACAGGAAATGTCATCTTTTGACATTATCATAAAGTTATATTCTTAGCCCGTGACTCCTTACCATTTAGCCTCTTTCTTTTATTTATATTTAATCACAACATTATGGCAGAAAACAGTAACAGCACTCCAAAAAAGGGAAAAATTATATTGCTAAAGAATATCATCATTTTTTAACAGAAAAACTTACATATAAACTAATTCTATGTCTCAGAGAAGCCTGCGTTAGTTTTTTTTAACTGAAAAAAGTTAGATTTGTATTTACAGCTTTACACCACTACCTGCACTGCTACCAACTCAAAAATGCTGATTGCGACCTTAGAAGTAGCCTGCTTTGATGAGGAATTATTATGATACTGTTTAATTCTAGAAGGCATATCCCGCAGCCATGGGAGTGTTTCACAATTGTCATTAATCAAAATGTGGACAGTATGTGCTTTGTACTTTTTATAAAAGCCATATTGCACACACTATATAGGAAAACATCCTTGTTGGATGGAATATGATTTCAATTCTTGCCAGTGTTTTTTAATCCCTAATGAGATTTATTGCTAGCATAATTCTCTTTCTCTTGCTCTAGGAAAATTACATAATTCTTCAAGATCTGTCATTTTCCTGCAAGTATAAGGTGACTGTCCAACCAATACGGCCAAAAAGTCACTCCAAGGCAGAAGCTGTTTTCTTCACTACTCCACCATGCTCTGCTCTTAAGGGGAAGAGCCACAAGCCTGTTGGCTGCCTGGGCGAAGCAGGTACGTTTTCACCTGAAGGACTTCTACATCTAGGTCTACGGTGTCAGCAGCGCTTTGCAAACCTTGTCAAACTGCGTTTCACAAGACCGTGAAAACCAAAAGTGCCTCTCTTTCTAAGTTGTGTTATGATGGCCCAATGTGGAGGGAAGAGATGTAGGAATGAATGTGTTATTTTAAAGCCTAACAGGCTTGGAAAGATGTCCTTTGATAGTAATGTTATCCCTTTGGAAATGAAGGCAAACATTTAGATACCGCTTGTGTTTTGGGAAAGTTTGATATAATTATTTCATTATTTTCCCACCCCTTTGCTGCGTGGGTTATACTCACACACTTTCCATGCCAACCTGGCAAACCTCACATCTGTACCTTCCATCCCATCTCCTTGCCAATGTCCCTGTCTTGCAGTGGGAAAAAGTCTTTTAAATGCCCTGGATTTGGCCAGGCATGGCGGCTCATGCCTGAAATCCCAGTACTTTGAGAGGCTGAGATGAGAGAATCACTTGAGCCCTGGAGTTCCAGACCAACATGGGCAACATAGCAAGATCTCACCTTTTAAAAAAAAAAAAAAAAAAAAAAAAAAAAGCTTCGGATTTAATAACTCTTCTAACAGCTTTAATATTTACCTTCTCACTGCAGTCAATGCTATTCTTTAAGAAATAGTTAAGTCTTGCCAGGGTCTAAACTGCTCTCCTGCCTCCATCTTCAAAAGAGCATTCTAAAAATGATCCCCAAAAGACTGGAAGAAGCATTTAGTACAAAGTTGGAGTGAGGAGATTCCTACTCAACCTATCCCCATATGTCAAAGGGGTGATTGTCTGAACCCATGTTTAAAGAACAAGGTCACATTGCTTCTATTAATATCATCCCATAGACTGGCCGCTGAAAATTCCTACAATGGATCCCTTGGGCACACCTTCTCCAGTCGCCTAATCCTGGTTTTCCTTCTTGCATTGCTGCAGGTCATGTTCTTTCTAAGGTGCTAGCTAAGCCTGAGAACCTTTCTGCTTCATTCATCGTCCAGGATGTGAACATCACCGGTCACTTTTCTTGGAAGATGGCCAAGGCCAATCTCTATCAGCCCATGACTGGGTTTCAAGTGACTTGGGCTGAGGTCACTACGGAAAGCAGACAGAACAGCCTACCCAACAGCATTATTTCACAGTCCCAGATCCTGCCTTCCGTAGGTCCCACCTCTTGTACTATGTCTGTGTCATTGGTATCTACTGCTCCTTTTTACTGACCTTCAGAGGTGGCTACCTCTGTCATTCTGTGTGCTGCACTATTGAGTCTTATTTTTGCATTTTCTTCTTCTGAGTGTATCTTTTGCAAGCATTAACACATCACAAATGTGACTGCATAGCTAAGAAGTAGCATAAGCTGCCATCTAGATAAAGTTTGATGGCTAGAGCCAACTCATGAAAAGACCTTACCCTATCTTGTATATAAGTGATTGAGCCATTTTCTTCTATCTTTGTTAACCTCATGTCTCTCTGGTCCAAGTGAACATGCCCTGTTTGAAGTGTTGAATTGGGGAGGGCAGGAATAGCTAAAAGAAGCTTGTTGTTTGTCCGTCTTCCCCGCAACTTCAAATTTGGCTCGAGGCTGTAATGAGTTGGCCTGTCTTCCAGGCCACTTAATTCCTTGGCTTCAAAAAAAAAAAAAAAAAATCATGTGTGGGATTTTACCCTCTCTGAAAATGCCCTTAGAATAGCCAACTACCGTTACAAAATCCAAAAAGAGGGGCAGAGAGGGAAAGAAACACAACTTAAATCTCAGAAGGAAAAATTCCATGGAATTAGAGAGTAGTTATTCTATAAATGTACTAGGTTTTATTGAGTTTTGAGAAGAATATGTTGGCATAAAAATAAACATTTTCAGTTATGGGCATTGACAGATACTGTGTTTTAAGAAAAACAGTTGGCTCATTCACTGAAATTTGGACTATCAAGAGTTCACATCACAAGATGTGCAGCTGAAGACTTTAAACCATGGGAAAGTTTTACGTTAAGGAATTAAAAAAATAAATAAAATCCCAGGAGTGAGCCCTGAGAACTGGCACCTCAGCATATTTTAACTCTGCCAAGTGTCTTAGGCTGCCAAGAATTGAGTGAGGTGCTAAGAAACCATATGGCAGAGAACCCCCACAAATGAGAAATAGTCTATAAATTAAACTATGCCTTTACAAAGCAACCAAACTTGCCTGTGTATGATATTCTCCAGTGGGGGAAAAACTGTTCTAGGCTCTCTGTGCATTGCATGTTGTCTCTGAAAGGTTGTCGGTGAGCATGCTCTTTTATGTTGTCCCCTTAGGATCATTATGTCCTAACAGTGCCCAATCTGAGACCATCTACTCTTTACCGACTGGAAGTGCAAGTGCTGACCCCAGGAGGGGAGGGGCCGGCCACCATCAAGACGTTCCGGACGCCGGAGCTCCCACCCTCTTCAGCACACAGTGAGTGGGGTGCCAGGGCATTAAGCCATCCTGTCAGGTCTTGTGGACATAGAGAAAAATCTTGCTGGAAAATGAAAACAAATAAATACACTAGTACAGGTTTCTATGAGATAGGGAAATTGTCATCATCTGAAATTCTTTCTCCCTGTTTGTACCGACTTACTAGATTCTATTCCAGGCACCTGTAGTATACATTGCATAGTTGATGCTTAATTGTTCTTTTTCTCCCTCCCTCCCTCTTCCCCGCTTTTCTCCCTTTCTTTGCTCCTTCCTTGTTTCCTTTCTCCATCCTCTCTCCCTCCCTCCTTCATTCTTCCCTCTCTTCTTTTCTCCTTTCCTCTATCCTTCCTTTGTTTTTTTTTTCCTTCCTTGCATTTTCCCCTATGTAATGCATGCTTTTTTCCTTGTCTTTTAAACCATAAATACATATGGGAAAAAAATCTGTAGTCTCATATCTGAAATATTTTTAAATCAAGATTTTCATATATCACAATATAGGAAATAATATTTTGCTAAGGAACTTATGTTCTTGTTACATAGATATTACTGTAATAAATATTATGAATTTTCTTCATGATATGACCCAAGTCCACCTACTTCATTTATTGCTAAATCAAGTAAAATTTAAAAAGAAAATTGTCACCTAGATTTTCAAAACAGCCTCTTGCTGATTTTTAAATTATGTACTTCGTTTACTTTATTTTCTAGCTTAAATTTTTTAAAAAAGTGTCTGATGACTAGTGTGTGGACAAAACATTGAGAATTAGTCATAGTTTTAACTCTGATTTTTTTAAATGATAGATTGGTATGCTTATAATTGATAACTTGGTATGCTTATAATTTGAAGAAAAACAAAAACTATCACAATGGGAGAGCTTGATAGCCTCTAAAATTTTTGTCAGATAAATGCTTTTCTGATATTCCTTCATAGAAATTCCTTTTAACAGAAGTATTTGATAATTTTTAAACTTCTTTGAGCAAATAAAAAAGGATTATGGTTTGATTGGATAAGTGTGAGCTTAAGGAAAGGAGCTTGTCTTCTTTTTCTTGTTATTTTATAGTTTGGGAAGACATCAAAGAGGAAGAGAAAAACAGGAAAAGGAGAGAAAGAGTGTGGTTGTACATTCAGATTCAGAATAGGAAAGACATGGTCATAGGAAGGAACATTTGCCAGGGTCTCGTGCTTTTTCTACAAATAAAGGTAATTCTATCATTTATTTGATACATACAAATGGATGTGACTGACATATTTTGTCACTTTTTAGGATCTCATCTTAAGCATCGTCATCCACATCATTACAAGCCTTCTCCAGAAAGATACTAAACTGTTCAAAAAGATTTTGTGAAATTGCACAGATGTGTAAGCTTGTTGAACTTCGGCCACGAGACATGCACACTTCCAGAGGCAGTGGGAACTGCTCAGAGGCCCGGACTCTCCTATGTGACTTTAGTGCAGGAAGAACTTCTGTCAATCATGGACGCATCTGGAGACAAGTGAGAAACAGTAGATTGGTGAAGACAGACACCAGTTCCCTACAAGCATGGAGAAAATGAAGAATAGGCCTGTTTAATGCTAAATTTTGTTTTCATGTATGGTGTCGCTCATTTCTATTGAATTACAACAGAACTCAGTTTTCCCTGAATTTGGAGCACCAAACTCCGCCCCAAAAAGGAGAGTAACAAATACACAATTCACACATAACACTAAGCGTAAATCTAATCAATAAAATATATTTTTGACTAAATTATTGATTCGATATGAAAAATCAACTAAGATTACACAGCTTTGTTTTTTTGAATCTTTCCTAAGATCATTTTTATCCTAGGTGATTTTTAAATGAAAATGTGTAATCTAAAATATACCAGCGAATTTAAATCTAAAAATGCTCCTACTTTAAGTACCTTGTGCTGCTCTTTATGCAAAGGTAAATCAAAGTTCCCTCTATAAATTATGATTTACAAAAGACACCCAAGCCAGAGGAACTCAATGAAATAAGCTGCTAATCAGATTTTACCTTGGAGAAATGAAAATTATTTCTTGGGGATGCCTTTTAATATTTGATCCTATTATGTGAGAGATTTTCCTGATATGTTATCTTATTTATATTTTCCCTTATTTTCCTCAATGCAGATAATAGCTTTTGGTGCACTTTTGTTTCACCATCTGAAAATTCACAAAACTTCTTGCTTCAAATGAAAAAATCCCAACTATTGAGCATGTTTAAATCTTTGCAGAGATTTGCCTTTTCTTAATCAAAGAAAGGTCTTTGTGTGCTAGAATATTATTGGTAATGTTTTAAAAATTCCTTTGATTGATAGAGAAGGACAGTTATTTGCATTTAATTCACCCATATGCTTTCAAATCTAGTATATCTTACTTTTTGGAAATGTTTTATGCTACAAATTAGTGCCTTGTAGCATGAACTTAAGTCAAAACGTGTTATCAATATAGAGTGTTGCAGTGTATATTGTAACAACCTAAAACGCAGAGAAGTTTAATTTAATACTGTTTTTTTTCTTGAAGGAATACTCACATACATGGTTTGAAATGTGCATAGATATGCATGTCTATATAATTATAAATGCATGTGTATATATATGCAAATATATGTACATATACATGTATATACACACAGACACATGCATATACATGAATATACCTTGAGCATGAATCCCTGGAGAAATCGTTTTCGTAGCTCACCAATGGTGAGTAAAGATACAGCTCTTTTAAAGGTCATAAGGATAATATATTTTCCCCATCAATGCTGATTCTGAGAAAAGAGCAATTTATCAAAATTAAACACTGTAAAAGAAAGGTGTCCATATGTCTTTACCTACCTAAGTAAAACAGGAAGAAAATCAGTAACATTATCCTTAGGTTTTGACAATGGTACTTGCTTCTTGTTGTTTTATTGTTTCCTGAATTCATGCAGATGCCTGGCCATTCCTGGGAAGAGTGGATAACTCAGAAGTCACTGTACTCCACAGAGCCTCACTGCAGTGTCTAAAGGTAGATGCAAATTAAAATGCAGGGAAAATAACTTTTCTGATGTTGATGCATGTCTTTGGGAAACACATTTATAAACATGGATACCTGATAATAGATATTGAAACCCATTTCCTGTGTGTTAAAATATTTAAAAAGTGGATATTCCAGGAATGTTTTGCAGCTTTGTACAAGTAACATAAATTGGACACCTCAGAATGAAAGTTCATGTTGGTTCTGAATGGTTCACTGCAGCTCCTGTCACAAGCTGGGATGGATTTATCACATTGAGTTATGAAATTACCTGGTTCTAAGAATTTTTGAGTGGCAAAAATAGAAAACAATCTTCATTTGAAAACATCCCTAAGCTTGAATAAATGGATACCATAGATAGCTTCTCTTTTTTATTCTGGTGTCATTACCAGCATCTGAATTTCAAGTTCTTAAAATTTCAAAAATTAAAATTTTTCATTATTAGCTATCCATTTATCTTTTACATGAACTTGTCATGAACAAATTCAAATGTTTATGCCAGCAAATTTTTGTACTGTTGCATAGTTAAAAATGCTGGGAGTCTCTGCATAGATACAAAATATTATTAAATTATTACATAAATTTAATTTTATAAAATTTAATCATGCTTCTTTTGTCTGGGTAATAGACATTGGACAGATATTTTTAGTTCAGATGGTGATTCTGAAGCTTACATCTCCCTTAAAAAAATCTAAAGCAGCTCTTATGGGCTTCTAATTTTAATATAAATAAATAATTTAAATTTTATTGGTGTTATTGGAAGAAAAATGCTATTAATGGGCTAATAAAAAACATGTGTTTCTCTTATGGATTTTAATAAGCTCCAGTATTATTCAAATGATCAAAAATATAGTTATAATTTTTTGAATTTTAAAAATGTGATTGCTCTAATAAAGAATAAAATCTATGCTTTTTAACAAACATAGTTTTGGTGCCTAATTCTGTAATATGTTTTATTGAAATTAGATTCATTTCTCTAATGTGAGAAAAATATATCCAGTAATAGTATTGACTGTTTAAAAAATTGAGCTCATCAAAAATATTGTCATCAAATACAGGTGGTTAATCTGACATACATTGCAGTTACATGCATTATTTTTATTTACAACATTTGCTCCTTAATGATGAATTTATCTGTGTTACCCTGTTTTTCTACCTGGAACTCCATAGAATGATGTTTGCAAACCAACATGTGCTCTTTTCAGTCATTCACTGTTTTAATATGACATGGTAGAGAAGATAAGGTTTATGGCAGGTAATTTTTTGTAATGTGTATTAAACGAAGTTCAAAGATTAGAAATACATCTGTGTCCTGAAAACCTTAGATACATAGCCGACTGTATACAGAGGTTCATCTCAACCTCAACACTATTGACTTTTGGGGCTGGATAGTTCTCTGTTGTGGGGGTTTGTCTTGTGCACTGTAGGTTTTTAGTAGCATCCACACTTTCTCCTCACCAGATGCCAGTTGCACCCTCCCCCAAGTTGAGACAACCAAAAATGTCTCCAGATATTGCCAGCTACCCCTTGAGGGATGGTACCTCTGGTTGAGAACCATTGCTAGAGAATGATCTTTACTGAATTTGCCCTTTATAAGAAACCCAGTGAATTTCTAGAGCAAGTCCCAAAAACTAAGGGACAGCTAAGAAGTTATTATGGTTGACTTCAAAGGCCTAAACTGTGTTTTTTATGTCCACTAAACAACTTGATTAAAAGACGGAATTTTGACTCGTGTCTGTATCATACAAGTACAAATACTAATTTTGCCCTATGTATCCGTAAATGTCATTTGTGATTTTGACTTATTTATTTAATGCCCTTTCTTATGCCGTGGGTTTTCAAGTTTACTCATTTCTATGGTTGCAAATAACTCTAAAACTTATTATATAAACTTTCATATTATAGGCAGAACACAATGGCTAAATATCTGTTGCATGTACTTTAAAGTTTATTATAAAATATAAACAGATATATAAAGATGTTGACTCTTACCTGTGATTTTGCATGGTCAGACTCGGTGTCAGGTACGGAGAGGATTCTCATGACTGTCTTACCTCTACTGAATATTCTAGTGAGTTATATGATTTACGGAGTGATTAACAGAGGTCTATATAAAGTTACTTTTCCCCTTTACTTAATTATATTGTAGTGTGCAGATAACAAAACTGCTACCTTCTCATCCAAGTGGTCTGTAGAATTCATGTCCCTTACAGTGGTCATTTAAAGTCAATATTTATTTATGTATGTAATAAAAAAAGTTGGATTTTTGTGTATGTCTGTCACATTATTTAGAGAGAAGTAATCTTGTAAAAATGTTTTGTAAAAAACAAAAAAGTATTGTAAATAGTCTTGATATTCTGTGACTCATTATTTTCATGTTAGAGTTTGTACATACTGGTTCAATAATAAAGTATCCTTAAACCAGACCAAGGAGTCGACTCATTTATTTCTTAAAGAAACATTTTTGCTGGGCACAGTGGCATGCACCTGTAGTCTCAGCTACTCGGGAGGCTGAATCTGAAGGATCACTTGAGTCCTGAATGTTTGAGACCAGCCTGGGCAACATAGCAAGGCCCTGTCTCCAAACTTAAAAAAAAGAAAAGAAACTTTATTGAATTTAAGAGGAAAAATGGACAGTTCCTGCTGCCAAGGAGATTCAAAAAGTCTCTTTCCATGTCAGTGTTAATGGAATTTGAGGTCTGGTAAATGTTAACAAGACAGCACTTCATCCTAATGAAAGTATCTTGGAGTTTGACAACCAACACTTCAGATTTCTATCATCATGTTTACAATTGTAACTCCTGATGGTTTTAGTGGTATATTAAGTCAAGGATATACAATTTTAAGCTGTTTTTCTTTTGCCACCAATATTTACTCCTAAAATTGTAGATATATGCAATGCCAATAAGCATTCACCTGTATTTCAATACTACTCAATTGTTTTTCAATACTACGTACTATACTATAAGCCTTTAAATCTCCATTATCTAAGTAGAGTTTTGAGAGGCTTGTACATCCCCACTTTGACATGCAATTGACCCATAATTGCTGATGAATTGGAAAAAATGCCTAAGAAAAAAAAGCATAAGAAATAAAGGCTTTTAGGGCATTCACCAAAATAATATATATTGTACCCATTAAGTAATTTCTCTTTACTCCCACTCTCCCACCCTCTGACCCTCCCACCTTTCCAAGTGTTTATTGTCAATTATTCTACATTCTATGTACATGTGTACACATTATTTAGTTCCCAATTATAAATGAGAATATGTGGCATTTGTCTTTTTGTGTCAGCGTCATTTCAATTAAGATAATGGCCTCCATTCCATCCATGTTGCTGCAAAAGACATGATTGCATTCTTGTTTATGGCTGAATAATACTCCATTATGTACATAGGGACCACTTATATGCTGTTGGTCATAATGTAAATTAACATGACCTCTATGTAAAACAGTATGGAGATTTCTCAAAGCACTAAAAATAGAACTACCATTTGACCTAGCAGTCCCACTACTGGGTATCTACCCAGAGAAAAAGTAATCATTATATGAAAAAGATACATGTTTATCACAGCACTATTCACAATAGTAGAGGTATGGAAACAGCCTATCAAGGCTATCAGTGGAGGATTGCTTGACGCTTTTATGCCATCTTGAAGTTACAGAAAGAATGGGGGCTCGGATCTTGGCAACACAATTTATGGGAGGGAGAGAAGAGAAGTCCTGACTAGCAAAGGTGGTCTTGTTACGCAGATGAAACCTCCCAGGTCGCAGCCTTTAGAGAGAATAGATGGTGACTGTTTCTTTCAGACCTTAAAGGTGTTAGGCTTTTAGTTAATTTTTCCTAGATCCAGACACGGGGGCAGGGAGTGGGTGTCAGAGAAAGCCTGGCTGCAGCAATGCATCAATGCAGATTTTCTCTACATCTACAGATGCCAATTTCCCCCACAAAAGACAGCTTTGTAGGGCTGTTATTTTCAGGCCCTCTGAACAGCCATCTCTAAATATGTCAAAGAAGGGTTATTTGGGGGTGAAATATTTTGATTTCTTTCAATGGCTGCTGCCGCCACCCTACAGCATGAGCACCCATGCCAGTGGCCCCAGGCTTGACCCTCCCCAGTCCCTGAGGCCTGAATTTCCTGGGAGTTTTCCTGGGAGTTCTTATCCACTCATTCTCTGAGGCTTCACCCAGCCAATCAGCTGCACAGCTTGGGCACCTCACACTGGTCTCCAACCTCCATTCTTCATCAAAGATCAGAGAGGCTGGGGCTACTGACCCAGAGATCGGGCTTGAAGGCTGCAATAAGAATCCAACTTCCTTCACATTCTTTTACTTCTTGAGCTACACCACAGGGTAAGCAGGTTCTTAGGGCCAGTGGAGTGTCTTGGCAGGGACCGAAAACCCAAGAAATATTTTTAGTATTGTTTCCATTGGGGAGGTATTTTTTTACACAAATGAGTCCTGAGAATACAGCTTTGTTGTAAATTGGAGACAACTTCTACATATACCACCCATTGATGGAGCATGGTATCAAAGGAGAAAAAGCTGTAGGGGATACAAGAAAAAAAAAATTTTTTTTTTTTTTTTTTGAGACGGAGTCTCGCTCTGTCGCCCAGGCTGGAGTGCAGTGGCGCGATCTCGGTTCACTGCAAGCTCCGCCTACCAGGTTCACGCCATTCTCCTGCCTCAGCCTCCTGAGTAGCTGGGGCTACAGGTGCCTGCCACCACGTCCGGCTAATGTTTTGTATTTTTAGTAGAGACGGGGTTTCACCGTGTTAGCCAGGATGGTCTCGATCTCCCGGCCTCCCAAAGTGCTGGGATTACAGGCGTGAGCCACCACGCCCGGCCAAGAAAAATTTTTGAAAAGAGTAAGAGGCCAGGCATGATGGCTCACACCTGCAATCCCAGCACTTTGGAAGGCTGAGGCGGGAGGATCACTTGGTCCCCGCCTGGGCAACATAAAAAGACTCCATGTCTGCAAAAAAAAAATGGAAAATTAGCTGGACATGGTAGTGCACACCTGTAGTCCCAGCGACTTGGGTGGCTGAGGCAGGAGAATCGCTTGAACTCACCAGGTATTGGCTGCAGTGAGCTATGATCACATGATTGAGCTCCAGCCTGGATGACAGAATGAGAACCTGTCTAAAAAAAAATAAAAATAAAAATTGTGCCCTCTCTTGTGCAGAAACACAGAGAGTGTGCCTGCCTATCCTTTCTCTGCCTTGGTATTCCCACCCAAAGTAAGGATTTTGCCACTCACTTCATGGTTACTGTGAAGATGGTCATGTAACAGTGCTTGGAAAAATCCACGTGTGTGTGTGTGTGTGTGTGTGTGTGTGTGTGTCTAAAAATGTCAGATTGAAGACACCAAAAGCAATCATAACAAAAGCAAAAATTGGCAAATAGGATCTAATTAAACTTAAGAGCTTCTTCATAGCAAAAGAAACTGTCAACAGAGTAAATAGACAAACTAGAGAATGGGAGAAAATATTTGCAACTTATGCATGTAACAAAGGTCTTACATCCAGCATCCAGCACCGATAAGGAACTTAAACACATATACAAGAAAAAAATATCATTAAAATTTGGGCAAAGGACATGAACAGACACTTTTCAAAAGAAGACATACATGTGGCCAACAAGCATATAAAACAAAGCCCAATATCACTGATCATTAGAGAAATGCGAATCAAAACCACAATGAAATATCATCTCACACCAGGCAGAATGGGTATTTCATTAAAAAGAAAAAAATAGCAGGTACTGGCAAGATTGCAGACAAAAGGGAATACTTATACACTGTTGGTGGGGGTGTAAATTAGTTCAACCATTGTGAACAGCAGTGTGGCAATTCCTCAAAGAGCTGAAAGCAGAAATACCATTTGACCCAGCAATCTCATTACTGGATATATACCCAAAGAAATATACATCATTCTACCAAAAAGACACATGCATGCAAATGTTCATTGCAGCACTATTCACAATCACAAAAAACATAGAATCAACCTAAATGCTCATCACTGGTAGACTGTATAAAGAAAATATGGTACATACACACCATGGAATACTATACAGCCACAAAAAAGGAAAAAGATAATCTCCTTTGCGGGAACATAGATGGAGCTGGAAGCCATCATCCTTAGGAAACCAACACAGGAACAGAAAAGCCAATACCACATGTTCTCACTTATAAGTGGGAGCTAAATGATGAGAACACATGAACACAAAGAAGGGAACAACAGATACTGGGACCTACTTGAGGGTGGAAGGTGGGAGGAGGGAGAGGATCAGGAAAAAATAACTAATGAGTACTAGGCTTAGTACCTGGGTGATGGAATAATCTGTACAACAAACCTCTATGACAAGAGTTTACCCATATAACAAACTTGCAATTGTACCCCTGAGCCTAAAATAAAAGTTAAAAGAAGAAAAAGAAAATTGAATTAATCATATAAAAAAATTAAAATGCCAAATCACTAAGGTGGGGGTGGGGGTGGAAGGTTTGTAATCCCTAAAACAATTTAGAGCAACTAATAGAAAATTGAGTTGGTTGTATTTGTACCAACACTTCTTGATATTCAATCCCTGGCAGTGACAGAATGAAATTTAGAATAAGATGAGGAAAGTGAGCAGTTTATGTAAGATCTGTGTAATAGAAGGTTCTAATCTACACAGAACACAGTAAGAAGAATTTGGAAAAGCAAAATCTAAGAATGGAAACAAAATAGAATTAAGAGGGCATTTAGAAAGTAAGGCAAAGAAAGACTAAGATAAGGGTGGGGAGAGAAGGAGAGACCGTGAAACCAAAGACATAAGTACTGAAGACTACAGTTCTTTTGCATCATGACTAAGGGCCAGAGGTCTGATTTAGGTGCCACAGCAAATTTTGAAATGGGAACACTGTAGAGTAAATGTTACTGAGTAAATTTTACATATATTCTATGTATGAAATTGAAGTAGTTGGGAGAACTAGAACTGATAAGGAACAATGTGGAGTCCAGGGCTCCCTGTGTTTTGTGAAATTTAAATTCAAATCCAAGCCCTATGTCATTTGCCAATCTTCTTTAAAGGAGTCTCTCCCTCTCTCTCTCTCTCTCTCTTTTTTTTTTTTTTACTTTGTATTTTGAGAAAATTGTAGATTCACATGCAATTGTAGGAAATAATAGAGATTATGAACTATCCTGAACCCTTCATTTAGTTTCCCACAATGGCGACATCTTTCAAAACTACAGTATAGTATCACAACCAGGAAATTGACATTGATACAAACCATATCCTTTATTCAGATCTCATAGATTTGATATACACACAGTTCTGTGTGTGTGGGTGTTTGTATGTACTTGGTTCTATTCAATTTTACACACAAATTATTTGCAATCTGTTTACACAAATGAGTCATTGTGTTTTAAGTAGATAAACATCTAAGGGACACACAATGACTTAAATAAATTAGTTTTAAGGAGGTATGGCAGATTTTTGCACATTTCCCTAGGGCTGAGTGCAATGTACTTTGTGCTGATTTTAACTTTAACATTCTAGGAATGATCGACTCAATATGCATGTGATGCCATCTTCAATTTCTGTCAGTGAATTGTTTTCATAAAGTGGCCGAGCACATAACAAGTCTGTTTAGAAAAATCCATCTTGTCCAAGGAAACAAAATGTTTGAGTACGTAAAAATCTATAGATTTGAAAAATCATTTCACTGAGAGAAATCCTGGTGCACATTTATAGTCTAGACGTGGATTTGAGAAAAGAAAAAGAAGAGTGAAATCCTTTATTGGCTAGAAAACTAAAGATTGCCCAAAGTAGGAAGAATAATCGAGTTTCAGATTAAGGTAATACTTAAAGATTGAGTTTTGCACAATTGACTCTGATTATTAGCATGATTCTGACCCTGGGTCAGAGGCTTTCAAAACTGGCTGCCTATTAGAACTCCCAGGGGAGCTTTTAAGAAGTCCAGTGTCCTCTGGCACCTAAAGATCAGGAGAGAAGTATGGACATTGCACATTAGTGCTAGTTTAAAGGGTCCCCAGGTGATTCTAATATGTGCCCAGTGCCGCAAACCACTCTTCCAGACCCTGAGAAGCTATTGAATGATAAATGTTAGAAACATTCCTGCTTGCAGAGCTGAAGAAGCAAAAAGTCATATTGAAGCATCACATTTTTATCTCAGTGCATCAGAATATACTGAAGTTTTTCTCCTCAAATTCCCTGGATTAAGTTACATATAAAGATGTAGATGCAGACATGAAAATGCATGCAAATACATACACATGTAGATAAATATAGGTAGAGCTATCACAGGCGTCTTCCTTTCGATCTTCTTTTGAGTATAATTTGGAATTTATCCTGAGAAATACTGATAAAATATAGGGCTAGGCAAATGTAATTTGGGATGCTGTCGAGTGTTATTAGTGGAAACGACTTCTCTTTTCTGAGCCTTGTGAAATAGCTTCCAAGGGGCAGCTGGTAGTGATTTAAGGGCAGTCACAGAGACAGCCAATTAGCATTGATCAGTCATTATACTTATAGCACCAGACTATCATGCAATACAAAACTGATGCCGACTTGACCTTTTCATCCCCTATATTTCCTTCCCCATCTCAAACAGCAGCCAATCATATGCAATGGGCTTCATTATGAATAATAGGAAGCATCTTACATTCCTTCGTAGGGTGGTCCACCTCGGTATGGCACAGGATGCTTCACAAGGCCCTGCCTGTAGCTTTTTGTAGTTTACTTGAGAGACCACTAATGGAATTAACCTCTACAGCTAACATTTACTGAGGAACCACTAATTGTAAGGTACACTAAGTGCATTATTGACATTCCTTCATTCATTTCTACAGCCACCCTATGGCTGGCCATATTTTAAAGCTGAGGACAGTGAGGCAAAGATCATTTAAACCAGTAGCCCAGGCTGGGCGCAGTGGCTCATGCCTGTAATCCCAGCCCTTTGGAAGGCTGAGGCAGGCGGATCACCTGAGGTCAGGAGTTCGAGACCAGCCTGGCCAACATGGTGAAACCCCCTCTCTACTAAAAATACAAAAATTAGCTGGGCATAGTGGCATGGCCTGTAATCCCAGCTACTAGGGAAACTGAGGCAGGAGAACCTCTTGAACCCAGGAGGCGGAGGTTGCAGTGAGCCAAGATTGCACCACTGCAGACTGGGTGACAGAGCGAGACTCCATAAGAAAAAAAAAAAAAAAAAAAAAAGCCCAAAGTCATATAGCTACCGAGTGGCAGAGCCTGAAAATAATCCCAGGCCATTGAGTTCCAGTGTCCTTGTAGTTAACCACTAATCTTTTCTGCCTGTCAGACTGTCCTCCAATAAGGGCAAGTTGCAAAAGATACTACATAGCTTGTTAAATCTATGGGTAAATATGCATATGTGTATGAAATACTCTGTATATATGCATAGACTATATATGTGTGAAATACGCTGTACTACTGCATGAAATACCATTTATATGCAGAGTACTATGTATTATATATATGCATGAGATACTATATATATTAGAATATTATATATCATAAAATATGTTGTATGTATGTATAAATACTGTGTATATATGTATGGTATACTATGCATATAAGTATGAAATTTGATATACATATGGAATGTATATGATAGTAAATGTATAGGATACTAAATATATTATCTATGTAGAGGTGGAGAGCAAGTTAAATGTCAATGTGACTTGATATGTTCGAGGTGTTTTTTTGTTCTGTTTTGTTTTTGTTTTTTGAGCTACACTTTACTGATTCCATCAGAATCTGAACAGCGGGATGTTCTGAAAGATTTTGAATTGATTCTAATATGCGGCTGGAGAGACAATCACTACCGTGTGTAGTTGTCCAGACTCTCTGTGCAGAACTGAAGACTTGCGATTTGGCTGTGCCTAACTTTCTTGCAAGACTCCTTAGGTTTGACCACTGATGTATATTAATGAATATAGCTAACCCCGAAGTTCTTTTACAAAAGCTATTCCTTTTTCTCTCCTCTCTTCCTTCTCTAGGTAATGGGATAATTTATAATCATTTTCATTTTACAAAGGACATTAACCCTACTTTTTAATTTCAGAGTACATTTTGAAAACATCAGGAGACACACTTTTCAGGACTTTGTCAAAGACTTGACAACAATTATTCTATATAGTCATCAGTTTTGTTTGCAGTGATTCACCACCCTGGGGTTTGCAAATATTGGCATTTTTCCCATGTGTGATAACTTCCAGGCAAATAGCCAATCGAATGATGAATTTGTAATGCTAAATGTTTTAAGAAGATAATTAAAAAGAAACCCCTTTTACAGGTTTGCTATGATGAAATATTCCAGGTTTTGATAAAATAAAAGTGGTGAGGTTAGATTTGGCTCAATCCCACGCTTTTGAGTGCAAAATGTCTGCCAAGTCAAATTAGGCTATAAATTGAAGAGGCATGTTGTGGGTATTATTCATGGGCAAATGTTTCCCAATATTCTTACCACATTTTGTATAGAAATAAGTGATTATCGAATGAACTATCTCAAATGTGAAATATATATATATATAATTACTCTCAACATAAGAAATGTTTATTGACTGAGTAGTTTGAAGACATGCTATTATTGTTTTTCCACATGAAGATAATTTTCTGTTTCCCCAAATTAATCACATGGCATGATTTAACACAATAATTATTTACTACTAAAGTATTCCCAAAGGTAGTCGGGTTAGAGGTAAGAGTTGATAAAAGGCACCCCAGTATTCCCATACCAGCCATGCAAAGCATTTTGATGCCTTCCTTATTATCAAATCCACTTACCACACTTCCTTCAACCAAAACATCTGGTTTTGCGACTCTGGTTCCAAGCTTGAGAGAAGATGCCAATGAGTTGTCATGCCCCACCCCACATTATCAAAGAGACTTTCCCCTAGCATTCTAACAGAAGTGTTACCACACCCAAGTCAAAGCCCAATTCTGTGCACATGCCAGGATTTGCAAATCCAAGCCCTACAGCTGTCTCCAAAGTGCAGGTGTGGGTGCTTCACCACTGTACAGATAGCGACGTCTTTGTACCTTCATCTCTGTTCCTTTACAGGTGCTGTATTGTCATTTGGACAGATGTCAGCTTTCTCTAGCAAGGCCCAAAGCCAAAACATCAGCTTCATTCAGTTGCTGACAACCACAGCACCTATGCCAAGTGAAGAAGACACCGAGGAGTCGCATAGGGAGTGGATTCTGAGTCCTGCCAAGGTGCTTGGCATCTCACAGAGGCCAAAAGCAACCCCACTGTGTAACATGAGAACAGCTTAAATCAACATACATTTTACAGTACCAAAAACACAATGGAGAACTTGAAATGCGTATTTTAGGGAGATGGATGACGTCCTGGAAATCTCTGTTGAGTCTGTACAGAGTCTTTCGCATGAGTTTTTTACTGGCTTAAGAAATCATTTGCTAGGCTTGTTTTTTGTTGTAGGGTTATTGTCTTTTCTCCCCCCCAACCCCCAATAGGACATTTAGGACTCGGCTCCAAGGGAGCTCTCTTGATGTGTGTCCAGGATCCTTGGGCTGGGAGGCTTTAGTCACAGGAAACAAAGCCTGAGCTTTGGGGCTGGGAGAGGACCTTCCTCTCACTTCTGCCATAAGGGAGGAGACTTATCTGAGCCCATAAGCAAAGCTTTGCCAACCTAGGGATGCACTTAGGGCCGACCACTGTTGATGAAAAGAGTCCAGCTCTGTAAAATATTTGAAGAAATTTAATCTGAACCAAATATGAGTGACCAAGGTCTATGACACAGCCCTCCGGAGACCCTGAGAACACGTGCCCAAGGTGGTCAGGCCACAACTATACAACTAGGTTTTATGCATTTTAGGGGGACATAAGACATAAATCAATCCATGTAAGATGTACATTGTTTCCATTTGGAAAGGTGGGACAACCGGAAGTGGAGGGCTAGGGGTGGGTCCAGGTTATAGGCAGATGCAAAGATTTTCTGACTGGCAATTGGTTAAAAGAGTTTGTCTAAAGACCTGGAATCAATAGAAAGGAAATGTCTGGGTTAAGATAAGAGGCTGCAGTGAGCTATGATTGCACCACTGCACTCTAGCCTGAGCAACAGACTGAGAACCTTTGTCAAAAAAAAAAAAAAAGAGAGAGAGAGAGAGAAGGGGTTTTGGAGACCAAGGTTCCTACTATGCAGATGAAGCCTCCAGGTAGCAGGCATCAGAGAGAGTAGATTGTAAATGTTAGTAAATGTTTCTTATCAGACTTAGAAAGGTGTCAACTTCTTAGTTGATTCTCTCCTGGATCAGAAGAAAGACCTTGAAAAGGGAAAGGGATTCTCTATAGAATGTAGATCTTCCCCAGGAGACAACTTCGCATGGCTATTTCAAGATATGGCAAATAAACACATTTGGGGTTAAAATACTTGGATTTCCTTTCTTATCTGTCATGCGATGCTATGTCAGAGTCAGGCTGGAAAGCAGGCCATGTTATATAGGATTAAACAAAACCCCTCTGATGAGACGTTATGGTTTGTAGGGTGGACTCTTTAGGCCCCTTAGATAGGAATTTGGGCAAAAGACGAAAAAAGGTCAAAGTTCAGTCCTCACCACCATGCTTATTGATGAGTGGTTGACTGGCCGGGTATCGTAGGTGGAATGACTAATGCATATTTATCCTGAAGGCCTAGCTTACTAAAAATTCAGCTGGCACTCAGGGCCATGGGGGTAAATCTGGAAATAGAGCTTGGCATCCAATCCTATAATAATTCCCCAAGTGACACTTTTAGGAAGTCAGAGTCCATGTGTCTCCATTAGTGTCTAATGTATCACTCCATTTATAATTTGTATGGACTCCCTCTTAACTTTCTTAAGAATGAATGTTCTCAACAATTTTGCTACAGGTAGTTATCCAGGCATGAGTGTGGCGGGAGAGTGCTTCCCATCAGGAATGTCAGGCAACCATCAGGTGATGGTTGGGCAGTGATCACAATGCCTCTCTTAAAATGATAATTGGCAGCCAGCGCCCCGCCATGGAGAGACCATTTCCTGATAATTCACAGTTGTCACACTAAAGTGATAATTGATCGCAGGCCCCAGGGATAGGCAATTTACCAAACAGTTGAGATTGGTAATCTGCAGCTTCCAATAAAATCTCAGGAGTTGGGAGTGAGTTTGGGCATTCTCCTTAGGAGACAAAATGGCAGAATATGACCTTCTGGGGGCATTCCACTGGAAAAGGGAAGAAAGCCTCAGGTGGGCATGCCCACAACTTCCTAAACACACTGCACATGCTCACCTCCCAAGGCAAGTATGTGCGTGGCTCACCCTTAAGGAAGAATGAGGGAAAAGGGGTGCAAGATGCCAGAAACAGGCCAGCAAATAAAGTCCTAGAGTCAAGGTTAAATGGGGCACTTGTCCTTCAGGTCACCCACTTGGATCTCTTCTAAGTGTGCTTTTCTTTCTTTCCTGCTCTAAAGCTTTTTAATAAACTTCCACTCCTTCTCTGAAACTTGCCTCAGTCTCTTTTTCTGCCTTATGCCCCTCAGTTGAATTTCTTCTTTCTTTTGAGGAGGCAAGAATTGAGGTTGCCACTGTTAAAGCAAACTAAATATGACCTGAGAAGGACTTGGTACTTCTATATTTCAGTCCTTGTGGATGAACTGCAACCTAACTTAGTAGGTCGACAAGATTGAAAACCTAACTTAGGAGTACCGACCTGTAACAATAAGTGAGTCTTGGCCAATCCCAGTGGCCATACTTCAACCACTTACAGACTGTTAAGTGCTCAAACTGTGTTCAAATAAGGCAAACACCGAGCTGTAACCAATCCAGTTATTTTTGTATCTCACTTCTGATTTCTGTACGTTGCTTCCCTTTTTTGCCTATAAATTGGTTCTGACCACAAGGCATCTCTGAAGACTCGTTCATTGCTCAATTAAACTCCTTTAAATTTAATTTGGCTGAAGTTTTTATTTTAACACATCAGACCCATCAATAGTTTGGATATTCGCCACCCCCTAACATCTTCATGCTCTTCTAGATTTTTCTATGCCAAGAATGGCATTGTAGAGGATTTTTGCAGCTACTTCTCCCTTTCTCTTTTCATTTTTCTGGACTGCAGCAAAATATTTGGTAGTTGACATGCTATACACTTTATTCAAGGACAACCAATGCCCTTGATTCAATAAGCCCAGAAAGCCTGAGGAATTTGAGGCCAGTGCTGGGGAACCCAGGTCTGTGAGATTTTCCCGGGATTTGACAAGGATCTGAGCAGATTCTCTGAACCCGTTTCAGCCACATTAATGTTGGTCATTGAAAACTTTCCTTCACTTCATTTTGCTCACTAATAGTGTTATCCAGAATTGAGTAGTAAGTCAATTCCAGAAAAGGCTGTGGATAGCAGAGAAATATGATTTAGAATAGTAGAATTGCAGGGTCATGGGTAGAATATCAATGCAGGAAGAAAAAGCTAGCTCAAAAAAGGAGAGAGCACACAAAAGTTTTTAAAAAGGGAGACATAAAATTGTGTTCATATTTGATACTTAAATTATTTTATTTTTTTAAATTTTTAATTGTTATGGGAACATCATAGGTGAATATGTTTATGGGGTACATGTGATGTTTTGATATGAGCATGCAATGTGTAACAATCAAACCAGGGTAATCTGGGCACCCATCGCCTCAAGCATTAATCCTTTCTTTGTGTTAGGAATATTGCAATTCCTCTCTCTTAGTTATTTAAAAATATACAAGGAATTATTGTTGACATAGTCACCCTGTTGTGGTATCAAATACTAGCTCTTATTCCTTCTATCTTATTCCTTCTGTCTTTTGCACCCATTAATCATTCCAAATTATCCCCACCCTCCACACCCACTCCCCTTCCCAGCCTTTGCTAACCATCCTTCTACTCCCTATCTTTAGGAGTTCCATTGTTTTAATTTTTAGCTTCTACATGTGAGTGAGAACATGCAAAATTTGTCTTTCTGTGCCTGGCTTATTTCACTTAATGTAAATGTCCTCAAGTTCCATCCATGTTGTTGTAAATGATAGGATCTCATTCTTTTTTGTTAATTTTTAATTTTTGTGGGTACATCATAGGTGTATATATTTATGGGGTACATAAGAGGTTTTGATACAGGCATGCAATGTGTAATAATCATATTATGTAAAACGGGGCATTCATCCTCTCAAGCATTTATCCCTTGTGTTACAAACAATCCAATTATACTCTTTTAGTTATTTTAAAATGTACAATTAAATTATTATTGACTATAGTCACCCTGTTGTGCTATTAAATACTAGATGTTATTCATTCTTTTAAACTATTTTTTGTACCTATTGAACATCCTCACTCCCCTCACACCCCCCAACTACCCTTCCTAGCTTCTGGTAACGATCCTTCTACTCTCTATCTCCATGAGTTCAATTGTCTTAATTTTTAGCTCCAACAAATAAGTCAGAACATGAGAAGCTTGTCTTTCTGTGCCTGGCTTATTTCACTTAATATAGTGACCTTCAGTTTCATCCACATTGTTGCAAATGACAGGATCTCACTCTTTTTAAAGGCTGAATAGTACTCCATTGTGTATAGGTATCACTTTTTTTTTTTAGATGGAGTCTCGCTATGTCACCCAGTCTGGAGTGCAGTGGCGCGATCTCGGCTCACTGCAAGCTCCGCCTCCCGGGTTCATGCCATTCTCCTGCCTCAGCTTCCCTAGTAGCTGAGACTACAGGCACCGGCCACCATGCCCGGCTAATTTTTTTTGTATTTTTAGTGACCTCATGATCCACCTGCCTTGGCCTGCCAAAGTGCTGGGATTACAGGCATGAGCCACCACGCCCGGCCTATAGGTATCACATTTTCTTTATCCATTCATCTACTGATGCACACTTAGGCTGCTTCCTTATCTTGGCTATCATGAGTAGTGTTGCAATAAACTTCAGAGTGCAAACATCTCCTCAACATACTGATTTCCTTTCTTTTGCATATATTCACAACAGTGGGATTGCTGGATCATATGGTAGTTGTATTTTTAGTTTTTTGAAGAACCTCCATACTGTTCTTCATAGTGGCCGTTCAATACTTTTAATAAATGGTGGGGTGAGATACTGTCTGAAAAGATATAGTCCTTGACTTACCAAGACTGGATATGGGGCTCGTAGGTGATACATACAAATAGCTATGACAAAACCCAGGAGTAGTGTGTACTGTCTGATGGGTGAGAACTTTAAAGGAGGGAGCCCAAGGTGATCTACGTCATTTGCAGCTTCATTACCACATGCAGCAAAGACAATGATTTTAATTACATCACGAGTGCTAATATCTGTTCCCTAACACTGCAGTAACAAATGACCACTAACAGTGAGTTAATACAACACAATTTTATGATCTTACATTTCTGAACACAGTCTGACAAACTCACCCGGCAGGGCTGCTCTCCCTTTGGAGGCTTAAGGGGAAATTCCATTTCTTTGATTTTCCCAGCCTGTAGAGGCGACCTGCTCTCCTTGGCTCAAGGAGCCTCCTCCATCTTCCAAGCCAACTTGACAGGTTGAGTCCTTCTTATACTGAATCATTCTGATCTTCCCTCCTGCCTCCCTCTTCCACTTTTAAGGCATTTTGTGATTACAATGGGCCCACCCAAATACTCTGGAATAATTTCCCTACTGTAAAGTCAGCTCATTAGCAACTTGAATTCCATTTGCAACCTTAACTCACTATTATCATAAGTCTGCACTTGTACATTGGTTTCATCCTAAATAATGGATAGCTTTCTTTAACTCATACTGACTCCTCCTGCACAGAACAAAAAAGTATCTAGGTGCCAGAAGACCCATGCTTATGTCTAATTCCCCAAAGTTGCTCTGGGAAATGCCTTCTTTCAAACAACAAATTCTAATTAATAGTGTCTCTGTGTGTATCCAATGTTCTTGTTGATACCTTACAGGATCATAATATTAATGACAGCAATCCTAACACAAACAAGAGCTAATATTCCTTATTGGGGAACCTGCCCCAATAGTCACATAGGTTCTTTTCTGTTTTCCCTAAGCATCGGCCGGTTTGAGAAATAAAGGGACAGAGTACAAAAGAGAGAAATTTTAAAGCTGGGCGTCCGGGGGAGACATCACATGTTGGTAGGTTCTGTGATGCCCCACAAGCCGTAAAACCAGCAAGGTTTTATTAGGGACTTTCAAAAGGGGAGGGACTGTGCGAATAGGTGTGGGTCACAGAGATTACGTACTTCACAAGGTAATAGAATATCACAAGGCAAATGGAGGCAGGGCGAGATCACAGGACCACAGGACGGGGCGAAATTAAAATTGCTAATGAAGTTTTGGGCACCATTGTCATTGATAACATCTTATCAGGAGACAGGGTTTTGAGAGCAACCGGTCTGACCAAAATTTATTAGGTGGGAATTTTTTCTTCCTAATAAGCCTGGGAGTGCTATGGGAGACTGGGATCTATTTTACCCCTACAGTCTACAGACCATAAAAGATGACCACGCCCAGAGAGCCGTCTATAGACCTACCCCCAGGCACATATTCTCTTTCCCAGGGATGTTCCTTGCTGAGAAAAAGAATTCAGTGATATTTCTCCCATTTGCTTTTGAAAGAAGAGAAATATGGCTCTGTTCCGCCCGGCTCACTGGCGGTCAGTGTTTAAGGTTATCTCTCTTATTCCCTGAACAATTGCTGTTATCCTGTTCTTTTTTCAAGGTGCCCAGATTTCATATTGTTTAAACACACATGCTCTACAATTTGTGCAGTTAACGCAATTATCACATGGTCCTGAGGCCACATACATCCTCCTCGGCTTATGAGATGACAGGATTAAGAGATTAAAGTAAAGACAGGCCTAGGAAATCACAAGGGTATTGACTGGGGAAGTGATAAGTGTCCATGAAATCTTCACAATTTATGTTTAGAGATTGCAGTAAAGACAGGCATGAGAAATTATAAAAGTATTAATTTGGGGAACTAATAAATGTCCATGAAATCTTCACCATCCATGTTCTTCTGCCATGGCTTCAGCTGGTCCCTCCGTTTGGGGTCCCTGACTTCCTGCAACAATTCCTTGTGGTTTTTAATGTGGCGGACATTGGGCTAAAGTGATTCTTTTAAATGCATCATCATTTAATCCCCGTAACACTGCATGTAGTAAGTCTTAGCATCATTCTTGTTTTACAGACAAGCAAGAGGCATGGAGAGGCTGAGTGCTTCTCTGAGCTCCTCCAGCCGACAAGTGACAAAGCTGCACGGTGACTTCAGAGTGTGGTCTTTAACATAAAGCCAAGTTGCCTCTGGGTGTGAGTATCAAAGTTGGCAATTGTCAATCTGGAGCGCAGGTGTTTCTCCAGGATGAAAAACATTCTTTATTGAAACATGCAACATGTTGTAGACATCATTCTTCATCTACTTTTCTACTTCACTTATCAAAATTACTCTTCTTGTATTTCACAAAAGTCAGACACATCCCTCAGACATACCAAATATGGCTGTGCTGCATTATCACCCCCAGTGGAAAACATTCCAATGTGCAGAAAAAAAAAAAAAAGAAAAAGAAAAAGAAAACAACAACAATTTGACAATGGAAGCAAGAGTAAAGGTTTCGTTTGTTTTTGTTTTAAAATAAAACCTTGAAAACAACTTGCAGAGTTTTATGTCTTTCCTTGTCTCATGCATATTTTTGTAACAGACCAATCATGGTGTTAGATACAAGACATTTTGTTCATGTGATCTTTTAATTAGATATTGTTTAGAAAATATTACATGAGGTGTGGGTGGTGAGATGCCCATGTCTATTAACCAACAAAACAATCCAAGTTTGTTTAATCAACAGAATAACCTATTATTAGCCAGTAATGATGATTTTGTTTTGATTTGCAACTGAAAAACAGTGCATTGAAGTATTATGATTGAGCTATTGAATTACTAATGTAAGTGATTATTGTACACTTTCAAATGATAGCTCACCAGTGTCTGTCTATAGGTCTGCCAGTTACAATTCTCTGTACCGCATCCTTATAAATAGTGGTTAGGAGACCGGCTGGCCCATAAGAGGGGAGCGCTGGAGAGCCTGGGAAATGGAATTCCCAGCAGTATAACCCTTGGTGTCATCTTTGTTTTGGGCGCTTCCATAGTTGTTAGAAAACCTCACAGGTTTTCCATGGGGAGCTTCAGGCCCATCTCTCCTCACTGGTGCAAGACTGAACACAACTGAAGCCTCACAGTTCTTCATTGCTTTCCAATTTCCAACCCCAATGCAATGTCCTCTTGAAGTTTCCCAAAGATTCTTATTTTTAAAAAGGGATAGTGAGACTATGGGGAGAGGCTTTCTGCTTTTATTACTTAGGTCCTGTAGCAAAGACCAAGGTGCATAAAAAGAGATGCTGGTCATTGGTCATTGCTTTTTTTTTTTTTTTTTTGACAGAGTCTCACTCTGTCGCCCAGGCTGGAGTGCAGTGGCATGATCTCGGCTCACTGCAACTTCCACCTCCCAGGTTAAAGTGATTCTTCTGCCTCAGCCTCCTGAGTAGCTGGGATTACAGGCATGCACCACCGTGCCCGACTACTTTTTTTTTTTTTTTTTTTTTGTATTTTTAGTAGAGATGGGGTTTCACCATATTGGCCAGGCTGGTCTCAAACTCCTAACCTCATGATCCGCCTGCCTTGGCTTCCCAAAGTGCTGGGATTATAGGCGTGAGCCACCGCACCCGGCTGTTCATTGCTTTTTGCTTCAAGAATGGATGCATTCTGATTCCCAGGCATTGGAATGAGTGTAAAGGTCAAATTTAGGTGGCTCTGTATGGGGCAGATGTGTGTATTATGTAATGGAATTGGGATTGCTGCAGTGGGAACAGAGGGAGAGATCTAAGATTGGACAAAGGGAGTTCCTGTTTCTATTTCTATTTTCGGTTGAATAATTTAATTAAATACCTGAAAAATAGAGATTGTCTTTCTAACCATTTTTTCAGCACCTTCCCATTTTCAAATGAGGCCGGATAGATGTGGGTGAAGGTTCTTAAGGTATCTAAAGCCTAATTTTATTACAAGAGGATGCAACATTATGCTCAGATTAGTTTTCCTGTCTAATAGGATGCATTCCTAGCATTGGTAACACTTATGACACCATTAGAGGGAATTATTTTGGGGATTTTGGAAAATCTTGGTACAGGATGTTAATAATTATTTTGGTTCATCTGCGGGAATTTCTTGGCTTCTACATTCCTTTACAGAAAAACCAAAAAGAGCTCTCTTGAAGCAAACTACAGTAGCTTCACAGAGCAGGACTGGCGGAGCGCAATGTTGCCTGCAACACTAAGGGAGGTGGCCTTCTCTGCCCAGACTGTTTCCCAGCAAGCAGATCCTTGGACTCCAAAGTTTTTGTTCATTTACTCCCATCAGTAGAAATGTTTAAGGCATTCATTCTCAATTGGTTGGCATTTCTTACTTTACAAAGTATAGGTATGCATTACTGTACTCACATATAATTTACACTGTAAAACCAACACAGAAGTAGAAAAAAAGATGAGGTTAAGAGATGAAATTATAATGTGGAAATATTACTTCATATATTTTTATTTACAAATGGTACATATTCCCTTTTGTTTTCATTAAAAATATATATTAGCATTGATATTGTCCAGGAGGGCTGACTTCTAATTGTCTTGCTAATTATGATGGCTTAATAATACAGTTTGAGATGATCTCGAGGGATAAGGTTCATGGCTAACAATCATTGATGCAAATTTCCATTTCAAATAATGCTCTTGATAACTTCAGATTCCGCAGGCAATTGCTCGGCCCATCTTATTACATGGGTGCTGTGTTCACCTCATACTATGGATAGTGAAAATCTCCTATTAGAATTAAATCCAAGAATCAACTGAGCTATTATCTTTCTCTCTTGGACTTGAAATATGGACAAATATTTTGAATCCATAGTTCTTTCCCAGGAAAATTGTAAGCTACATATTCATTTTGTGTGGGCAAGATCAGTTAAACCTAGATGAAATAATGCACAAATCTGCCTAACTATGCATATGTCACAGGACACTGAAAGTTGAGGGCTAAGCAAATTAAAAGCCCAGTCAAGGCTGCTCTGTGGTTCACAGACTACAAGTGTGCCCTTAGGGTGCTTCGAATTTCAAGAAAATTATGCATCGTGACTGTCATAGTACCAAGTGGGCAGTCAACGTCAAGCCAACTGTTACAAATCAGCATAGCATGTCTTAATCACTCCCTTAACTATTTAGGTAGAAATAAATATGAGTGGAAGTTCCAGAACTATCTTCTTACATCTAATTTGTTTTCTTATAAACCTCACTCTACATTGAAGACCATCAAATGAGACAACAATCACTAGAGTACAGCCAGGTTAGTACTGCCTATGGAATTACCTCCAGGAGGTGATAAAAACAACTCTTGAGCATTTTCCAGCTCACTTTGTGGATAGGTGAGGCCTGTGTGAGGAGATACTTCTTTAGGAAGGGAAATATCTCTCAGTAGCATTTCCATTTCCACGGGGTATCCAAACTCCAGTATACAGAGCTGAGAATTATCTAGGGCAGTGTATCTGTTTTTTATGCAATTCTCCAGCCTTTTCTCCAAGGAAATAAGCATTTCAGAAATGTCAGATTCATGAACTAACGAATAAATAAATGTTGAATGACTCAATGATTTATAAGGAGATAAAATAATTTTGCCTGAAATCTTACTTAATCCAGATGGGGTGTTCCGACCTTCAGGATGGCAGACACCAGACCTGCCCTAAGGAATGGAACCAGGTTTGGGCTGAGGTTGGTCCTGCTGTAACATTTAGCTGTCTCCTGGACACTGCATGGCAGCAAAAACTAATGTCCTGTTCAGAAAGCTTTGGATCCTCACTCATCTTTTCCTCCTTTTCTTTTCTTTTCTTTTTTTTAAACTCTTCTATTCTGCACTATTATGGAGTGCCTGCTAAAGAGATAGATTTCTTAGTGACTATTGCAGGGGACCTAAAAAATAATTCCAAATGAGAGAGACCACTGGCCTTTCCTGCAGTTCTCACTATGCCTCCTGATGGAATCAGGGCCACAGGCATTAATCCATACTGAAGATGCTGATTCTCACTGTGGCCCAGGAAAGCCAGAAGAGGAGGAAAAACAGAGAGCAAGAATTACACCAATGTGAAGATGGTCATGCAGGAAGGCTTATGAAATGCAGTGAAAGAACAAGAGATACGCTACTGGAGAATATAATGAGAGCTTATTTTGAATGACAAGTATTGATTTCTCTCTCCCTATTTTTTTTAACTGTCCATATAGTAACTGGTATATATGCACGGGCAGTCTCTAAAAACCACCACCACCAACAAAACAACTGTATTTGCTAGTGGACTGTTTTGAACAACATCAGATGGAAATGAAGAGGGCAAGACGTTGGTCCTGGGAAAAAGTCATCTTTTCTCCATTAATGGCACATTTATTTAAGTGTTATCTGTATATTACAGCAAACTATTTTTTGCATTCATTGTTTAACACAACCAACAACAGTAAACAATCTTAATTACCTGTTTGATTGAAAAAGTCAACATTTTTCATTTGTCATTGCAAAATTAAAGACAGATTTATAACTTCTTTAGGTATGGTTGTTACTGGGAACAATTTTTATTTAGTAGAAATAAATCAGTTTTTCCTTGAAAGTGCCTTATTGTTTAAACATGTTACTTTTTATTTTGGAAATAACCATAGATGTAGACAAGAGATATCCAACAAACACAGAGGTTGAAATTGAATGCAAAGTGAATTTGTAGCATGAAAAAGAAAAAAAACAAACAAAAAAAAGACTTTTCACCATCTTTTGTGGAAGAAGGTCGCTGAACATTGGCTCTGTTCTCCTCCTGAAGTTTGGTGGAGTTTCTTACAACAGCATTACTGCCCGGGCCATTATGCAGAACCCACTTTCATCTCATCCCTCAATTCCTGGGAGTCTCTGCATTACAACAACCTTTATGGAGCTTTGCAGCTAGCAGTATTAGCTTGCACTGTGACCACAGGGGAAGGGTAAACAATGCTCACCAGGACGGATGCCTGAAGGGTTATCATCTGAGATGGACTGGACATCCTGCCTTGCAAAAGGTTATCATCTGAGATGGATTGGATGTCCCTGCCTTGGAAGACACTCAGCTTGTTTCAATGGCTCTACATCAAGCAATCTTTCTCAGTCCAACTGATCTTATTTAAGCTCCACCAAAAGGGCATTTGCAACACCAAGCGATCAAGACAATGTTCAGGGGCTGTGTGGTTGGAAGTCCCTTGAAGTTTGATGGCTTGCCTTTTCATGACTTTAATAAATTTCATCTCATCTTGAAATCATTGGCCAACCATAAATCACTGATTAACCAAGTTAATGAATGAAATAGAACTAATAAAATGCAAACTCTGCACATATTAGCAAAGTGAGATGTCTTTCTTCAGGATCTTTTTAATCCTGATTTTGGCAGGCATAACTTTTGGGATGGTTTTTTTTTATTTTCAGAACATAAAACTTATTAACATATAAGCTCCGAGGCAATACAGCTTTCTTTTTCTTTTCTTTTCCTTTCTTTCTTTCTTTCTTTTTCTTTCTTTGTTTCTTTCTTTCTTTCTTTTTCTTTATTCTTTCATTATTTTCTTTCTTCTTCTTTCTTTTTTTTTTTTTTGACAGGGTCTCGCTGTCTTGCCCTGATTGGAGTGAAGTGATATAATCATAGATCACTGCAGCCTCAAACTTCTGGGCTCAAGCAATCCTCCCACCTTAGCTTCCCAAGTAGCTGGGGCTACAGGTACGTGCCACTGTGCTTGCCTAATTTTCGAATATTTTTGTAGAGACGGAAGTCTCACCATGTTGCCCAGGCTGGTCTTGACCCCTGGCCTCAAGTGATCCTCCTGCCTCAGCATCCCAAAGTGCTGGGATTAAAGGAATGAGCCAGCATACCTGGCTACAATATAGTGTAAACCAAAAATAAAAATTTAAGCCCCTCAACCATCTGAATGGACCCCAGTTCATGGCCCAGGAAATTCCAAAATTTACCTGGAAAACTAGTTCAAGCAATGATAAGAAGGGGGAGTTGGACATGCTTCATTATTCCCTCTTCCCTTCTACAATTCAGACACAGCTGACCTTAAGACTGATAGAACAGACTCTTTTAAGTCTGTTGTGAAACATTTACAATCTATTCTCTCTGAAGCCTGCTACCTGGAGGCTTCAACTGCATGATAAAACATCAGTCTCCGTAGCCCGTAGCCCGTTATCTTAACTCAGACATTCCTTTCTATTGATTCCAGGTCTTTAGTTAGTAACTCTTTCAACCAATTGCCAATCAGTGCATTTTTGAATCTGCCTATGACCTGGAAGCCCCCCAACATTCTAGTTGTCTTGCCTTTCCAGACTGAGCCAATGTACCAATATACATATAAGATGTATATATCTTATGTTATGTTATGTTATGATTAATGTCTTATGTCTCCCTAAAATGTACAAAACCAAGTTGTAGCCTTGTTGTACAAAACCAAGTTGACCACCTTGGGCACATGTTCTCAGGACCTCCTGAGGGCTGTGTCATGGGACACTGATTGCTCATATTTGGCTCAGGATAAATCTCTTCAAATATTTTACAGAGTTTGACTTTTTTTTTTCAACAATTGCTTTATGAAGTATCCTGATGTTGTTATAGCAAGTTCACATGAATACTAGAATTGCTAGATGTCAGCTGAAACTGGCTGGTATCAAGGAAGCATTCTTAGACTCTAAGAACATGTCTGTTATACAGATCTTGTGGTTTCCATTCAAACATGAAAAAATATTTAATCAAATGAAGATCTTTTAGTACATTTGCTGTGTGAAAAGTGTGGATGCATTTTCTAAGCATGGTTATTTTCCCTTTTTTTAAGGAATCAAAGTATAACTGTGATCCTTTGTGCAAATATATAGTTTATTTGAAATCTTTTGGACAACTAGGTTTTAATACAAAACAAAGGCATTTTCAAATTTTGCATTATGGATGGGCATGGAGACTCACACCTCTAATCCCAGGACTTGGGGAGGCCAAGGTGGGCAGATCACTTCAGGTCAGGAGTTCAAGACAAGCCTGGCCAACATGGCAAAACCTCATCTCTGATAATACAAAAATTAGCCATGCATGGTGTGTCACGTGCCTGTAGTCCCAGTTACTTGGGAGGCTTAGGCAAGAGAATCTCTTCAGCCTGGGAGATGGAGGTTGCAGTGAGCCTCGATTGCACCACTGTGCTCCAGCATGGGCGACAGAGTGAAGCTGTGTCTCAAAAATACAATAAAAATAAAAATAAAATAAAATTTCGCAGTATTAGGGAGTTTTTTATTTACACTTGTATTCTTTTTCATCTCAAACTGTATTAATCATTTATGTCAAAGCAGAATTATGTAAGTCAGAAAAGGCATATGGAATTGTATGGAGTAGATTTGAGGGAGAACAAATATTACAATGAGTTATAAAAAGATGTCTAAAATTTCTGAGATATTTTAATTAGCAGCTAGAGAAACAGTGATGGGGAAGAGTGAAGTCAGAATCTTCCACTCCCATCGCTAATCAGCTGTTGCTATTGTACACAATACAGTTGAACATTAATAAAACCTCCATTCGTGTTTCAGCAGATGCCACGTGACATCTGTCAGAGCTGGTATTTGCTTTGCAGTGTTTCTTGCAGTCTTTTTGGCTTCTGTTTCTTGCAGTCTTTTTAGCTTCATGGGTATACCTTTAAAACATTGTATTAAAAAAGTATATTTTCAATGAGTACTTCATGCAGGTATTTAACTGTCTGGCAAAGATAACTGTGATCTTTTTATTAAAAATCTAATTTCCCTTATGTGAAACAATCAAGTATTGAGAAGTTCTCCACAGCCATGCAAAGGGCAACTGGGTTTCCTAGGGTTACATTATGTCTATGGAATATTTCAGGAAGAAGGAATTATTGTGTGGCTATTAAAAATAGTAACTTAAAAATATGGACATTGGTTAAAGTTTCATATGGGTTAGAGTTTTCAAAATAATTGATCAGAAATTTATATGTCTGTGTGCATTTTTGATATATCACACTAACAGGCTGGAAACAACAGGCTTTGCTGATGTACAAAATCCAGAATAATATCTTAAGAAAGCCCTTTTGTCACAGAAAATGTAACAGATCAGGGATTTAATTTAAAGTTATCTCCAGTAAGAGAGGAGTATTTTTCACCTCCTTGGGATGCATGAAATTGCAAAGAATTGAGAGAAACTGCAGTTCAGAGTGAGAAGGATAGAGTTTGCAATTCCAGAGGGAAAATTTATTATCAAGGTTTCCCGAATCACATCATCTCATGGTCAATGCCAAATAATAAGTAGATGCAATAAATATTTCCTTAAAAAACAATAATCATGTTGACAAAAATGAATATTAATGAAACATAAATTACAATTTCTAAATCAGCTCTAACGACAAAAGAAAAGTGCAACTTTTCATGAGGATTAAGGAAAGACAATGAAAAAGGGTTGCAGTCTGACTAACCTCCACATAACCCCGGGGAATGATGTCTGGAGTTTCATGGACTGACTCAACCATCAGTTATGTGTGCAACTTTCTGCTTTCCTCTAGCAACTGGACAAGAGAAGTAGAAATTCGCCTGCCCATTGACGTTGCAGCTATAAACACAGAAGAGTAGTGTATAAAAGCAGCAACAAGAGTGAGAGCATCTTAATAATGCCTCGCAGAAGTTTATGGGGCTGCCCTCTTTGAGACACATGGTCAGTTGCCTTAGTTTTCTCGACATTCCATGCTTATCTATCAACTTCCCAGAAGTATAATATTTTAAGTAGAAATAGTTCAGTCCTGGTGAGCTATTCTGGGAGAAAGAGGACAAGCTGCTTGTTCTCAGTGCAATGCACCCTCTTGCTTCTCTGTCGTGGCCCCATGGTCGTCTAGGTGTGGGAACGAGGGAAATAAGAAAGGGTTACATTTTGCTTACTGAACACCAGCAAGGTAAGCACTTTTCCATTTTCTAGCTATGTTAACATTGACCTGGGAAGTGAGACAGAGTATTCATGTTGCTCTCTTTCATTACATTCTTTGTATCAAAAGATTTTGCTTGGAATTGTATTAAATTAATAGGTTACATGACTGTTTCTCATCCCCCCCAACAAGGAATATTTTATATTTCTTCATTCATTCAGGATGTGGCTTTGTCCTTCACTGTGAGCACAAAGTTCCTGGAAATATATGTTTATACACACACAAACACGATTGACTAAGAAAAGAAAAAACATATATAGGTGTGTATATAATCTATGTATATTAAAATCTATTTTATTAGTTATTCTGTAGTTTTAGCTGCTATTATGAATAAAAATATAATCTAATTTTAAAATTTATTCTATTGGCATAAAATGCAAGACAATTTTGACATATACAGCTTTTATCATTCATTTTACTACTCTGCCTCACTAATTCTTAAGTACCTTTAATTGTTTTTTCAATTTTCTAGATATTTAGTGTCAACATCTGCAAACTAAACATTGTTGTAGCTTTAAAATATATGTTAATAATTTAACAATTGCTTTAGCTTTCTGGTTTATCAAGAATCTTCAAAGCCATGTTAAGTAAGAGTGGTACTGGTGTTCATTCTGTATTTTTCCCTTGATTTTTAAAAGAAATATATAATTGCTTTTTTCTTTCCAATGATATTTGCTGTTAAGTAATGGTCATGTTCTTCTACTCTTATCTTACCTAGAGATTTTTTAGGAATAGCCTCACATTTTTAGGCAATTTACCAAATGCCTTTCCATCATCACCTCCCATGAATATAAACAGATGGTTTTCTCCTTTAATTTAATAAAATAAATGATCTTAAGCCATTCATTCATGCTTTCATCCAATATTAAAAATATTGGTCATTATCTTGAATATAGTAGAATCTATCGAGTTGTAATTTAGAATGTTTGCACCTAATCATGCACAATAAGCATATAGAATTATCCTACAATTTTTTCCACTATTTTCCACTCATCTTAGCAAGTTATAGCTTAAAAGTTACACTAACATCATGAAATCGGGCAATTTTCCAGCTTTTTCTTTAGCCTAGAAAAGTTTATGTTACATAGAAATGATTTGTTCTTTAAAGCTCAAGTAGAACACAACTGTGAAACCATCTGGGTCTGATGTATATTATTTTTTAACCTGGCGTCTCTTTAATTACCTTTTCAACACCTTCCTTTATTTGTAGATTCAGTTTTCTGCCTCTTTGGGAAGCCAGTTAGAATATTTTTGCAAGAAACTAGCCACTCGCTTCAGAATTCTCATATTTATTGCCATAGAAGTACATAGACTATGCACTTATAATCTTTCTTTTTTTTTTTTTTTTTTTTTTAGTATTTATTGATCATTCTTGGGTGTTTCTCGGAGAGGGTGATGTGGCAGGGTCATAGGATAATAGTGGAGAGAAGGTCAGCAGATAAACAAGTGAACAAAGGTCTCTGGTTTTCCTAGGCAGAGGACCCTGGGGCCTTCCGCAGTGTTTGTGTCCCTGGGTACTTGAGATTAGGGAGTGGTGATGACTCTTAAGGAGCATGCTGCCTTCAAGCATCTGTTTAACAAAGCACATCTTGCACTGCCCTTAATCCATTTAACCCTGAGTGGACACAGCACATGTTTCAGAGAGCACGGGGTTGGGGGTAAGGTTATAGATTAACAGCATCCCAAGGCAGAAGAATTTTTCTTAGTACAGAACAAAATGGAGTCTCCTATGTCTACTTCTTTCTATATAGACACAGTAACAATCTGTTCTCTCTTTCTTTTCCCCACATTTCCCCCTTTTCTTTTCGACAAAACCGCCATCGTCATCATGGCCCATTCTCGATGGTCGCTGTCTCTTCGGAGCTGTTGGGTACACCTCCCAGACGGGGCGGCGGGGCAGAGGTGCTCCTCACTTCCCAGACGGGGCGGCCGGGCAGAGGCACTCACTTCCTAGACGGGGTGGCCGGGCAGAGGCGCTCCCCACCTCCCAGACGGGGCGGCCAGGCAGAGGCGCTCCTTACCTCCCAGACGGGGTGTCGGCCGGCACTTATAATGTTTCTTTTAATCTCTTAAATCTGTGATTTTATTGCCTTTTTATTCATAATCTCATTCATTTCTTTGTGCCATCTTATTTTTTCTCAATCTAATATGCTAGTACTTTTTCTGTTTTATAGTTATTTTCAGAGAAATGATGTTTGGATATATTTCTGTTGGCTACTATTTATACTATTTTAGTAATTTCCGTTTTTATCTTTATTCTCTTTTATTTTACTATTTTAATTGTTTTTTCTAGTTTCTTATATTGAATAATTATTTCATTTATGTTCAGCCTTTTTTCATTTTAATAATGAAAGCTTGTGAATATAAACAGGTTTATCATAGATTTTGGCATACAGAATTAGCCTTTTCATTACTTCCTAGATAACTGACATATCTGTTATGATGTTCCCTTTGATCTGAATATTGTTTAATACCATGTTTTTATTAAATTTACAAGTAGATCACTCAATTTACAAATGATTGGGTTTTTGAGGTCATTTTGTATTGTTGATACCAAGCTTTCATTGTTTATGAAAGTGTTTTGTAAAATCTGGACATTTTACTTTATAGGATTTTGTTTTGGTTAAGTCACAGCCAGCATGTGTATAAATACATGCACACAAACATGTATCCATAAATACAAATGCAGGTCGGGCACAGTGGCTCATGCCTGTAATCCTAGCACTTTGGGAGGCTGAGGCAGGAGGATCATTTGAGGTCAGGAGTTTGAGACCAGCCTGGCCAACATGGTGAAACTCCCACTCTACTAAAAAGATACATAAATTAGCTGGGCGTGGTGGCATGCGCCTGTAGTCCCAGCTACTCGGGAGGTTGAGGCAGGAGAATTTCTTGAACCTGAGAAGTAGAGGCAGGAGTGAATTGATTGTGCCACTCCACTGCAGCCTGGGCAACACAGCAACACTCCATCTAAAAAATAAATAAATAAATACAAATGCATAGTTAGAAATATAGACATAGATATAGATACAATTATAGTTGTAGAGGTAGATGATATAGATGTATAGATATCCTGCCCATATCTTCTTGATTTGTATAATTTTCATGGACACTGCTCTGGTCTTCCAGTTTTCCACCTCCCAGCACCTGTGTCTTCTTGCCCAAGGGCCTTTCCTGGCTACCAGGTTCAGCTCCGGCAAAGCACAAAGCATACAGGACATGCCAGGAGACAATGCCTCCTACATTGGCCTCCAGCAATGGCTGAAGGGTGTTGGTGACCAGCAGCTCCAGCTCCCTCTTGTTTTGGGAATGAGAATGCTGAGGTGTGTGCTCTGCTCTACCTCTCAGAGACACTCCTCAGAATGAAGCTACAACTGCCCGCAGCAATCACTTGTATTATAGGACAGCACACCCTTTCCGAGCTCCTTCTTTTGTCTTCTCTTCTCCCTCTGATGTTTCCTAGGCTCACATCCCTTCCTAAAAGTGATCACATTAAAATCTTGGTCTCAATATCTGCTCCTAAGAAACATAAACTAACTTTCTCTCTCCCTCTCTCATACTGAAAAACAAAACACATTTTTCTCTCCTGCTATTCTAATGGATAGAGGCAGGTAATTCTATTATATAATTTGGCCAGAATAGAAAAATCTGTACTGTTCTTGTAACAGTCTTTGGCGAATATTGCCTATATTACAGAACTTAAAATCTGTATTCTGATTCAGGTTGCAACACATTATCTTGAACAAAGTGACACAACATCCAGCTCAGCTTGCTGTGGGCAAAGAGGCTTTGCCCCGCCTGTGAAGTACGCGGCTGCAAATGGCATTATTCAGCTCTTATTTTTGTCCAACAATGTTTCTCAAGGCTATAGCTGACAGGTGTTAGGGATCCTCACCTCCAAGTTGAGTCTTATTCAGACCCAGCTAGAGACTGATGTTATCTCAGGTCAGTATCTTCTTCAATAACAATAACAGAAATCCAACCTGGGACAATCTAAATTAGAACCTAAGACATTTCTATTTTGAGAGAAAGAAAAGAACCTGAGAAGTTTGACCCACCTCATGACAGGTGGTATGACTTGGTCTGAATCTACACGTATTTTCGGATTTGAAAAAAATCCAACCAAAACAAAGCAAGGAAAGATACTATGTGCTGCTGAATTACAGTCTGTAGTAGTTTTAGACTGGATGCAGCTGAGGTTGGAAAGCCTAAGTGGTTCATATCTCTGTAGCATTCAAGCCGATGGAAATTGGGGGATTCCTGGAATGTAATCCTTTTTAAAGTTCTTAAATAAGGGTTTAGGGCCCCTGCTGTAATATGCCAAGGCAGTTTAATGAAAGATGGGTAAATTATCCCTCTGCCTCCTCCACATGATCTACTTACACAGATACTAAGTCCTGTAATGCATGAATTGCCATCAGAGATTAAATGCTTAGAAAGGAAATAGATATGAATTTAGATGAAACCCACATTATACTATCTGGTTTTTTCTCAAACGGTATTTAGAAGAATAACGAGAGCATTTCTATTTAAAATGACCAAAGCCTCTTTCCGGCTTATCTAGTCATCTAGTAGAGATGAGTTTTTTTCAGGATTTCTTAATCAAGAATGATTTCAGAGGTTGCGTTCACTTGAGTGTCAAAGTGTGTACCAAGACAAATTCATTCAGTGAATTCTTTTGATTTAATAAAAAACTACTCAAAATAATTAATGTCACATTTTGGGATCATGGGGATACAATATTTAAATATTTAAAGTATTTTGCATTTTCAACTGAACACCTCTCTATTCAGTTGGTGGTGTAGATAATCTGAAAGACAACCACTTATCTTGGTTTTAAATGCTGGGTAGTCATGATAATGCTACGTTTTTTGTTACCAAAATGTTGGTGAAGAAACACACTGGATACACATATATGTAAGCAATTATAATTACTTATCTCTATGAAGTGGGTTAACAATGTTTTGATTTTTCCCCAATGAAATTTAGTTTAACTCAAGACTTTCTCTTTCTTTCTTCTTTTTCTTTCCTTCTTTCTTTCTTTCTTTCTTTCTTTTTTCTTTCTTTCTTCTTTCTTTTCTTTCTTTCTTTTCTTTCTCTCTCTCTCTTTCTTTCCTTCTTTTCTCTCTTTCTTCATTTTTCCTTTCCTTCCCTCTCTCCCTCCCCCCTCTCGCTTTCCTTTCTCTTTCTTTCTTTCCTTCTTCTTCCTTTTTTCTTTCTTCATTTCTTCCTCTACTCTCTTTCCTTTCTTTCCTTTCTTTCTTTTCTCTTTCTCTCTCTCTCTTTCTCTGTTTCTTTCCTTCTTTTCTCTCTTCATTTTTCCTTTCCTTCCCTCTCTCCCTCCCCCCTCTCTCTTTCTTTTCTCTTTCTTTCTTTCTTCTTCCTTTTTTTCTTTCTTCATTTCTTCCTCTACTCTCCTTTCTTTTCTCTTTCTTTCTTTCCTTCCCCCCTTTCTTCCTTTGTCCCTCCCCTCCCCAAATCTCCCCTCCCCACTCTCCCCTCCCCCTCTTTCCTTTCCTTTTCTTTTTTTGTTATGCTCTTAATATACCTGGGGAGAATAAACCAATGAATAAACATATCCCTGAAGTTCTAGAGCAGGGGTGTCCAATCTTTTGGCTTCCCTGGGCCACATTAGAAGAAAAATAATTGTTTTGGGCCACACATAAAATACACAAACACTAGCAATAGCAGATGAGCAAAAAAAAAAAAAAAAAAAGAAAAAAAAAAAGAAAAAATCTGGTAATAATTTAAGAAAGTTTACAAATTCATGTTGCGCAGCATGGAAGGCTGTGCTGGGCTGCATGCAGGCAATAGGTTGGACAAGTTTGGTCTAGAGGCTTATGGAGAACAGAGCTAAGTCATCATTATGGGAAGGCTGAATTACTGTTCTCAATTCTTCCAGCCTTCCTGCTCCAAGAATGATGCACCCATGCAGGATAGTGGCTCTGCAATGCTGTCCACTGCAGCAGGGAGCCGCCTTTGCTTCCTGCCATGGTGGTACTGGGCTTGGTGAGAGGATTTGGATTGGCCAGTGGGAATTGAGTGATGGCGTAAGGATCCGGCCTGGGGCCAAAGTCTCAGGAAGCCTCATGTTTCCCCTCCCACTGCGGTATTCCTGCGATCTGCTGTCAGGACAGCATGTCCACAGAGCCATCAATAAAAAAAGGATGGAATGGCACATGAACCTTAAATGAATACCAACTGCCGCTTGAAGCAGAGTGGCCCCAGCTCCCCTGCAGAGCCATGAATGTTCAAGTGTTTTCTGTTATGAATGGCTGGGTTTTTGGATGATCCCTTTTGCTCAGCATTATTGTAGCAATTGTGGCACAGTAGATGACTTAACTATGGTCTGTCCATATAATGAAAACTGGCCTGAAAGTCATTTGACTAAAAGGAAAACAGTTCAAACAAAATAAGGGTTTTGCAAAATTCCAGGAGTCTGCACACCACCACATCCCATTTTGGGGAAAGCGCCATCACCCACAGTTCCCCACTGAGAGAAAAGATCTAGGTGGCTTCTTACACATAAATTTCTTATCAATATTTTGAAAACCTTCAACAAAAGGAGAGACGCAGCTGGGCGAGGTGGCTCACGCCTGTAATCCCAGCAATTTGGGAGGCCGAGGCGGGTGGATCACCTGAGTTCGGGAGTTCAAGACCAGCCTGACCAACATGGAGAAACCCCGTCTCTACTAAAGATACAAAATTAGCCAGGCGTGGTGGTGCATGCCTGTAATCCCAGCTACTCGGAAGGCTGAGACAGAATTGCTTGAACCTGGGAGGCAGAGGTTGTGCTGAGCTGAGATCGTGCCATTGCACTCCAGCCTGGGCAACAAGAGTAAAACTCCCTCAAAAATAAATAAATAAATAAATAAATTTAAAAAACAATAAAGAAAAAGAGGGAAACACTTCCCTGGTGGTAGAAACAGAAGAGAAAATGTAACAGAGAGGAGGAAGTAGTAGTGAAAAATACTAAAGTTCTGAGAATAGGAGAGCAACAAAGTGATGATAGGTGATCAAAGTTGTCATTCAAGCTTTCTTCTCTCCATTATTCTGCCTATACTTGGGTTCGTGTTCTTGCAGGGAGGGCGTCTTAGTGATTCCAGCTGCCTATCTCTTCCGCAAGGTGGCATCTTGATGGTGATTTCCCTGGTTTCTTATTTTCACATGTATCCTCATTGTTTGAGGTAAATGGAATGATTTTCTGGCTTTGAAACTGGGAAAATCCAATACACATGTTTGTCAAGAGGAGGCTGAATTATTTCCTTTGTCAAGGTGCTGCTGGCTTTCCCTGTATTAATGCTTATATTAGAAAATATCTACACTGCCAGTCCAAAACACCACTCCAGACGCTTTAGAGATCTGGGCGTCGTGTGTGCTCTTATTTTTATGGTTGGTGATGGTTTTATGGTGTTCGAACATCTGGTTGATGCCAGACATTATGTTATGTACTAGAGAAGAAAAATGCTGAATCTCTTCCCCTAGGAATCCAGTTGGGCATATAGATATATACAAAGATAGTTTCAATGCAGTCTATTAGATGTTTATAGTGGGTGCTATGGAACCACAGAGGATAGGCACAGCAACTGCTTCCTGAAATTCACATGAGCTTTAAATAACCGCCTTGAAATGCCCGTTTATGAATGAAAGGAAAAAAGAAGAGTGCCCAGGTTTCCTCATTTACTCACTTGTTTACTATAGTGCATTTATGTGTGCATTCTTAGAGTGAATGTCCACAAGTTCAAAATCCCTAAAAGGAGCTCACAGCAACTCTTCCTATGAAAGACCCTTCTGTCCATTTCAGAGATGAGGATATCTTGATAAGAAAGATAAATAGGAAGAGCATTGCAGAAAGGGATAGACCAGTAGGATGGAAAATGTCTGCTTGTCTTGAGTCCAGTCTTTACAGCTCCGTTTCAGAACTATTTCAATTGTTGTGAACTTCTCCCATGTTAGGGATGCATACTCAAATCCCCAAACACGTTCAGGTTAGATATAAATTCATTTTCATTATCTTGCTTTCAGGATAATCCATGCCACTAGAGTATGCTTTCCGAACAGTGAAAACATAAAAGTTAAGAGGATTCAAATTGAAGTTGGAAAGTTTTCCCTCTAGAAATTAGAAAGACAACATTAGTATTAATAGTGTTTAAACTATTGAGTTAAATATTAACATTTTCCATTTAAAATGAAATTTAATAATGTATAGAAGAGCAACGCATACATTAGTATTTCAGAAGTACAAATGATGAAAGATAATGAGGCTCTTGTCTTCGTAATGCGACTAAAAATCAGAATATTCTAAAGTTTTATAAGCCTTGATCCTGTCATCATTAGTGTATAGTGTCTAGGCCGATCTCACAGAAAACCTCAAGGGAATATATTTTAACACTTTCCAGTCTAATAGTGTCATTCAAGAAAAAGGATGTCTTTATGTGGTTGAAAACAAGGTTTAAATTGCATAATCCTGTTAAGAAAGAAAACTAGGCTCTTTTTCATATTCTATTCTGTATAAACACATGCACACTTTTTTCCCCTTACTTACATTTAGAGCTTTCAGAGCTGAAGGCCAAGATTTAGTGCCAGCTCTTTCACACTTTTGATATCTCAAGAGTGCCAGCCAAGAAAACATACACAATGCTCACTTAATTTGCATAATATCCAGGGCTCAAAAGAGGTTATAATAAATGCTACAAAAAAAATCTTGTAAGGAATATGCTTGCCTGATATTTAAAGCTATTGATATGATTCTGCTTAGAAAGTGACTTTTGATGTTCCCAATTTGGGTGTCAGCTGGAGTTATTATGCCTGAAAAAAATTCACTTAACTCTTTCATATATGGTGAACTGTGATTGTCCTGTTGCAGATAAACACTTCCAAGGCCTCGCTTCTGTTATTTGTTGCTGTCAGCAGCCTTCTGAGATGGCACACCATGATACCTGCTCCCTCATCTTCACGCCTTGCTTAATCACATCCTGTTGAGAGTGGGCTGGAAAGAGCAAGTGGCTTCTGAGGAATGGAGCACTGCCAAGTGTTGGGATGACGCTACTGAGACTAAGCCACAAAGACTCTAACTTTATGGTCTTCTTTCTCTTTCTGGGCCTCCTCACCTGTTTTCATGAAGGAAGTTGTGAGCTGCCCCATGGAGAGGCCTATATGACAGAGAACTGGTCAACAGCCAACAAAGAATGGAGGGCCTCCGTGCAGCAGCCCATGAGGATCTGAATCCCACCAATCACCTTGCAAGGGAGCTTGGAAAAGGATCCACCTAGGCTTGACACGACTGATGTCCCGGCTGACTACAGGCTCATAAGAGGGCTCAGCTAAGCAATGCCAAAATTCCTCACCCACAGAAACTGTGAGGTAATACATATAATGTTTCTCACCATTATATTTTGAGATGTTTTGTTACATGGCAATAGGCACCTACAGTAGTCCCCCTCTTGTCCGTGAGAGAGATGTTCCAAGATCCGGAGTGGATGCCTGAAACCAAGGATAGTACTGAACCCTATATACACTGCTTTTTCTTATACCTACATACATTACATATGTATGATAAAGTTTAATTTATAAATAAGGCACAGTAAGAGATGAACAACAATAACTAATACTAAAATTAAACAATTATAATAGTATCTTGTGAAGTTAAGTGATATCGCCTTCTTTCTCTCAAAATATCTTATTGTACTGTACTCACCTGATATGGTTAGGCTTTGTGTCCCCACCCAAATCTCATCTTGAATTGTAATCCCCATAATCCCCACGTGTCAAGGGAGAGACCAGGTGGAGGTAATTGAATCATGGGGGTGGTTTCCCTCATGCTGTTCTCGTGATAGTGAGTTCTCACGAGATCAGACGGTTTTATAAGGGACTATTCCCACTTCACTCAGCACTTCTCCTTCCTGCAGCCTTGTGAAGAAGGTGCCTTGCTTCCCTTTCACCTTCCACCATGATTGTAAGTTTCCTGAGGCCTCCCCAGCCATGTGAAACTGTGAGTCAATTAAACCTCTTTCCTTTATAAATTACCCAGTCTTGGCAGTTCTTTATAGCAGTATGAAAATGGACTAATACATCACCCTTCTTCTTGTGATGGTGTGAGATGATAATATGCCTGCCTCATGAGATGAAACGAGGTGAATGACATAGGCATTGTGGCACAGGCGTTGTGATGTAGTAGTGTTAGTCTACTATTGACCTTCTGACAAAGCATCAGAAGGAGGGTCATCTGCTTTGGGTGATCCCAGATCTTTGAGCTATGATGATGTCTAATGGGTGAATGTCAGGAGCAGATGATGTCCATGACTCTTGGGTGGGTAGCGAGTTATGTGCCCAGCTTTGGTGGGTAGCGAGTTATGTGCCCAGCGTGGAGATGCTGGACAAAGGGATAATTTACATCTCAGGCAGGATGGAGCAGGACAGTGTGAGATTTCATCATGTTATGAAGAATGGCACACAATTGAAAACTGAAAATTGTTTATTTTTGGAACTTTCCATGCAATATTTTCCAGCTGCAGTTGTCTGCAGGTAACTGAAACTGCAGACAGAGAAACTGTGGATAAGGCGACTGCTGTAATGCATTCACTATACTTCATCTCTGAATGTGAGCAACTCCAGAAAACTACTTGGCCAGGTAATTTCTCAGTAAATAGAAAGTATTGTGTTCTACCTTTTGGTACCTGGAAATAGCTAACCAGGTATTTACTAAATATTGGCTGAAATTACCTTAATTATAGATTAAGCACCATCAGTTCCTGAGAATACTAAGATTAATACACATGATCTATGGTGATGGTTGAAATGTCTCCGATAGTAATTTTTGGCAGAGTTGGTTTAAAGCCCAAAATTGACCACTTGATCAATTTGACCAACAAATTGATTTGTTGTGTGATCTTGAGGGGGTTAATTGGCCTCTTTGAGCCTATTGTCTGATTAACTAAATTGGAAATAATAAAACCTATCTTGGCCGGGCACGGTGGCTCACGCCTGTAATCCCAGCACTTTGGGAGGCCCAGGTGGGCGGATCACAAGGTCAGGAGACCGAGATCATCCTGTCTAACACGGCGAAACCCCGTCTCTACTAAAAATACAAAAAAATTAGCCGGTCTTGGTGGCGGGCGCCTGTAGTCCCAGCTACTCGGGAGGCTGAGGCAGGAGAATGGCGTGAACCCGGGAGGCGGAGCTTGAAGTGAGCCAAGATCGCGCCACTGCACTCCAGCCTGGGTGACAGAGCAAGAGCCCGTCTCAAAAAGAAACAAACAAACACCTATCTTGCAGCACTTTTGTGAGAATAAAATAATGTCTGTGGAAGAGCTGACATTTAGAGGGATCTTAATCCACCACAAATATTTTTTTGTCACCAGTCACCAAGGAGCTCTTAATTTAAGAAGGAAGGCAGAAATGATTGTGGCAAATATGGAGTATGTGGAAACAGAGGTGAATTCAGTGTGCAGCAGGGAGACACACTAAAAAGCATCACTTATTTCTCTAAATGTTAACATTTTCAGTTAGTTGCCTCTTAACAGAGGAAAATAAAAATGAACAGGACGATAGTGATTTTTCCCCTTAGCAAGTCTTCACTAGCTAGTTTTGAAAGCATGGCCAGCCTTATCAATTACTTACGGGTCTTCTTAAGTCATGTTGGAAGGAAGAGAACATGCAGACTTGATCTGTAATTCAACTACATGCAATGCAAAGAGTTTATTTAAAAAAACATATGTGTATATACACACACCTTACCTAATGAATGGCTGGCTTTACTTCATTGTACAGTGCGCAGTCTCTGATAATAAATGCCAGGTCTGCATAATACAGAAAGGTTCGTTAAACATTTCTTTGGTCTTACTTTCAAGAAATGAGAATTTATATGAGGCATAAATAGCTCATGAAAATGTCTTATTGCAAACAGCTTTGTTTTAATGTTCAATTACCTTTTTTTTAAGCTGCATTTCTACAACCACACTGAGTAGTTTGAGTTTCTCATCTTCTGGTGTTTTCTCTCTCTCTTTCTCTCTCTCTCTCTCTCCACACACACACACACACACACACACACACATATTCGCACATGTATATTCCAGCGAAATCCCTTGCACATATACAGTGGAACATTTACCTTTGTGTTTTTTGTTTTCTTGTCTACTGCTGTACTGCAATCTTAAATAAATGCTAAGCTACTTCAGTGCATGGAGTAGAATCAAATGCAGCCTTTAAACCACTCATTTACAGCCAGTAGCTTTTTGCAAGAGAATAACTGGGCCTCACACTCTGAGTTTTCCAAAAGAAGGGCTGTAGCAACCACCTCCTTGGTGTAAAGCAGCATTATAAGGCCTTCCGGATACTTAGTAAGGCACGTTTTGTCATACCTTTGACCTGATGTGTTGAAAAAAAGTGTTTTGATATGTGGAAACCAAAGCAATTTTTTTCCCTTTGGCAATGTCTACCTCTATTTTACAGTTTGCCAAAACTTTTCTCTTTTCAAAAGTTATCATTTTAGACTGCAGGACTGCTATGGATATCACTTATTGTACTTTCTGAAAAATTTTAAAAGACTTCATAACATCTGTCACATCTGTCTTTAGTCAAAAGAATCCCCTGAAAGATCTTTTCCATTAGGTTTTGCATAGCCTTATGGTTTACTATTTCATCCCTAAAAATTGCTATTATTCACACAATAGGATGGACAAGCACATTGTAAATGAAAAGTAAATATAAATATAGTTTAGGATAGCAAAACATTGTGAAAAAATGTTAGTGCAGTATAACTGCTTCATATTTTTAGTTAGGTGAACATAGGTGAAGATTAAATACAGATATACAACTTTTCTCTTGAAAACTTCGATGTAACTCATGTTTTGAAACATTAAAAAGAATTTTTATATAAACAAAAGTGAAATAAGTTCTCACACATTCTGCAGTTCTGTATGAAAATTTTGCTAAAGGTAAATGGCAAGATGACATTTATTTATTTAGTGTCATCTCATTATATATTTTTTTCTTAATTTGTCCAACCAAGAGACTTTCCAAGCCTTCTAGCAATAATAAGATTATATAATAAACCATGATCCCAAAAGCATGTTACAGGAAAAACAAAAATCTTGACATTTTAGTTGACTACAAATTTGTTCTGAGCTAATAATATGATAAATTCTAACTGATTTTAGAAATCAGCATATTAGAATAATTTCTTATAAAATGTCACATGTGTGCTACCCAGGCTAGACCACATCTAACTATTATATCTAAGCCATTGTCTTAATTTACAATATAGGATATCAAATAAACACCACTGTCTACTACAAGGTCTTTTTTTTTTTTTTTTTTTTTTTTTTTTTTTTTTGAGATAGGGTCTTGCTCTGTCATCCAGGCTGGAATGCAGGGACATAATCATGTCTCACTGCAGCCTCCACTTCATGGATGCAAGAGATCCTCCTGCCTTAGCCTCCTGAATACCTGGGACTCCAGGCATGCATCACCACCTCTGGCTAATTTTTGTAATTTTTCTTTTTGTAGAAATGGGGTTCCACTATGTTGCCCAAGCTTTGAACTCCCAGACTGAAGAGATCCTCCTACCTTCGCCTCCCAAAATGCTGGGATTAAGGGCACAAGCCACTGTGCCCTGCCTCCTACAATATTTTGACAGACATCAAATAGCTGCACTCTTTCTGAACAAGCCTGAATGTAACCTCTTATTTTCTTCTCAACTATGGTAGTTCAGGTCACTATACTAATTAATCAGCATTGTTACCATTTGTGACAGACTCAACAGTATCCAGAGTAGAGCAAATTATCATTGAAAGCACTTTTGAAAAATGGAATTGGGAACTGGTAGTATTTAGCAAAGAATGACAGTATCCAACAGAACACGGGAGCTCTCTTCAAATATTTAAAGGAGTGGTGTATGGAAGAGGAAGTAGATTCACTATTTGTTACAGCTCTTGAAGTCAAAACAAAGAAGAAGGCAGAGAATTGCAGGATCTCTGCTTATAATAGAAAATGTCAATTAGTGAAATAAGTGCTCTTAAAATGCTATAGTTACTCTCAACCCCTAGAACTATGCAAAAGTGGCTGAGGTATTAATCATTGAGAAGACTTTGGTAACAGTGAAATAGGTGACCAATAAATTAGTACCCAGAGGCTAAATTATGACATTAAAACACCCTCGGATTTTCATAAAAATAATTATTTTGCCACCATTTGTACCAGATTATGTCTGATTGTATTCAAATATTTTATGCAAATATTTCAGCACAGCATAATTACTGAGTTTGATTTGTAGACATGATTTATATATTCAAAGAAGACTGTGGACATCTCTCTTGTTGAAAGCTCTTTGGGCAAAAACTAAAGTGGCCTTAGACTCAACGTGCTCTGCAATATTATCTGCATTAATTTTGAATGTCACAAACAATTAGAAGCATTGTTAGAGATAAAAGTATTTATCATCATGTATGTCAATGTATTCTCTTAATAAGTTAATAGATGGAGATCATCATTCTAGATTTACTTTTATCTTCATTTTGACATCTGAGGAATTATGGTAATGTTATGTCAGAAAGTATGAATAAATGCTTGGAAAGTGTCAAAATTACACAGGTGCCATTTTGAAAGGGGTAACTTCAGAAAAGTGCACTTGTAATATCCAGGAATTCATACGGATAGTGAATAGAATGATAGAAGACAATGCAAAGCACTTCCTCACAGATAGCCAAGTGAGAAACACATAAAGAATGATGGAGTTGGGAAATCTTTGTATTGTAACCACCATATTGGCATCAAGGCCAACTAGATGACAAAATTAATTTGATGAACAAGATATGATATATACATAGTCTGAAATAGCCCATTGATTTCTTATCAATACCACATGTCTTATAAATTGCAAAGGTAAAATTAATAACTTTGTACGGGGATATCCAAGAGACACCATTTTAACCAAGTGATGAAGTTTATCATCACCAATAATGAGACAGAGGCATCATGTGCATCTAGACATAAGGTACTAGAGAAAACACACCTCATTTTGATGGTACTCCTGCCAAAAATAAATAAATTGAATCCAGTTATCAGGAATCATTAAACCAGCTCATATCGAAGGATGTTCAACAAAATAACTGGCCTGTCTTCAGATATATCAGCTTCATGAACAAACAAGAAACAGAGAATGTTCCAGACTGAAGGAAAGTAAAGTTACCAGACAATGTGATGTCATTCATGATTGTGAATTGGATACTGGACCAGAAAAAAATATAGCTAAAAAAGACAGTATAGCAATAATGAAGAAATTTTCAGTATCACTGTGAATTAGATAGTACTGCGCCAATGTTATCAATGATACCAATACTATCAATGAATTAGATAGTATTGTACCAATGTTAAATGTCTTGATTTTGTTAATTGTATCAGGTTCGTGCAGTTTTTATCTTTGGGAAATTCATACCAAAATATTTGGTGTTAGGTGAATATGATATCTACAACTTAATTTCAAGTAGTTCAGAAAAGTATATGCATATATAGATATACATATATAGATATATAGAATTGTGTGTGTTATGTGTGTATTTGTGTGCATGAAAACACTTAGGGGAGAGAAGACAGATAGATGATAGGTAGATAGGTAGCTAGAGAGAGAGAGAGACAGACAGATAGACAGACAGAAAGACAGACAGGTCCCTTAGACAGATAGATGGACAGACAGACAGACGGGCAGACGGATGGACAGACAGACAGAAAAATAGACGGACAGAAAGAAAGACAGATAGACAGATAGATGGACGGAGGACGAAAAGACATACAGACAGACAGACAGATGGACAGATAGAAAAACAGACAGAAAGATAGACAGAAAGGTAGACAGACTGAAAGGTAGACAGGCAGATAGAAAGACAGGTAGGTAGGTAGGTAGGTAGATAGATAGATAGATAGATAGATGATAGATAGATAGATAGATAGATAGATAGCCAGCCAGCCAGTCAGACAAATAGACAGATAGGCAGACAGATAGACAGATAGATAGACAGATAGACAGAAAGATAGTTAGACAGACAGATCCACAGATAGATAGACAAACGATAGCCAGCCAGCAAGCCAGCCAGACAGACAAATAGAGAGACAGACAGATAGATAGACAGAGAGACAGATAGACAGATATAGATAGATAGATAGATACAAATAGATGGATAGGTAGATGATAGATAGATAGATAGATAGATAGATAGATAGATAGATAGATAGACAGTCAGATAGAGCAAAGCAGTTGGGCGCAATGGTTCACACCTATAATCCCAGCACTTTGGGAGGCTGAGGCGGGCGGACCTGAGGTCGGGAGTTCAAGACCAGTCTGGCCAACATGGCGAAACCCCGTCTCTACTAGAAATATAAAAATTAGCCAGGTGTGGTGGCGGGTGCCTGTAATCCCAGCTACTTGGGAGGCTGAGGCAGGGAGAACTGCTTGAACCAGGGAGGCAGAGGTTGCAGTGAGCCAAGACTGTGCCACTGCACTCCAGCCTGAGTGAGACTCTGTCAAAAAACAAAACAAAACAAAACAAAAAACCACAATAACATAGATAGAGCAAAGCCACTGTGGGAAATTTTTAACATGTCCTAAATCTGGTTGAATGTTTACAGCAAATTTTATACTGTACTTTGATATTTTCTGTGTGCTTGAAAATATATAAAATAAAAATTTATAAAAATAAAAAGAGAACCAGAAACGAAAGTTGGAATAATCAAAAATAAATCTAAACAATGATGCATCTCTGGGTAATCAGTTGTTTTTTTTAGCTCATTCTGATGAAATTTTTGGCTGAATTGACTTCAGCAGTGGATCTCACTTTCTGAAAGATTTGTGCTGTCCTGTTAGGCTATCTGATACACAGGACTCAGTTTGTGGGAAACAGAAATGAAGTACAGTAACTTATGGTAAATATTTAACAAGAATACAGCTCAGTACCCTGCAGCATGAACTGCAGGGAAACTTACCTTAAGCAGAACCATACCTAACAATATTTAGGTTTCTTAAGCTGTTTGGGATTACACCACTTGTGCCTGCATAATGTCTAGGATGCCTTCTTAACAGCAATTGCAATTTTTTTTGCAAAGCCCAATACCAAAATGTAAAAGCTGGAAACTATTATGCTTTTCTCGATTCAAACTTTAATAATATACATTTGACAATGAGCTTATTTATATATGGTGAACTGTAATATAATGTGATGCAAACCTCATCCTGTGGTTATTCCAAATTTTCCACAAAATGTTCACAGAAGTAGCATTATCAAATAAATGAAATGTGAAAAAAATAATACATTCAATCTTGGCTTTCAGTAACAGAATTCAAGTTTAATTGCATGGACATGAGTTGTTCATGTTATTCATCAAGTTCAATGTCATTATCGATTTTTCAGGAATAGTATCGGCATGACTTACATTTTGAGGAATTTAGGCCAGAAATCCTAGGTGCCAATAATCTTTCTCTATATGGGAAAAATGCATCCTTTAGTCCCCCTGTCTGAAGGGAAACCACAGAGGCAGTGGAACCGTTAGAAGCAGGAAATAGGTTTGAATAATATAAATGGCCAATGAGTTCCTTTCTTTCTTTCTTTCTTTCTTTCTTTCTTTCTTTCTTTCTTTCTTTCTTTCTTCTTTCTTTCTCTCTCTCTCTCTCTCTCTTTCTTTCTTTCCTTCTTCTTTCTTTCTCTTTCTTTCTTCTTTTTATTTTTTTTTTGAGATGAAGTCTCGCTTTGTCGCCCAGGTTGGAGTGCAGTAGCGCGATTTCGGCTCACTGCAACCTCCATCTCCCCGGTTCAAGCCGTTCTCCTGCCTCAGCCTCCCAAGTAGCTGGGACTACAGGTGCCCGCCACCATGCGCAGCTAATTTTTTTTGTATTTTTAGTAGAGATGGGGTTTCACCGTCTTAGCCAGGCTGGTCTTGAACTCCTGACCTTGTGATCCGCCTGCCTTGGCCTCCCAAAGTGTTGGGATTACAGGCGTGAGCCATGGCACCCGGCCAATTTTCTTATTTGTATTTTCAGATGAGGTTTGAGAACATTATATGCAGTTTTATCTACTTAATGAAAAGATGTCAAAATATTTAGCAGTCAATGAATATAATACCTGTAACGTAGTCTCAAATGATTTCTTCTCCTTCTGTCCTAAAAGAAGTGTAGGGTCTTGTCTACACTAACCCCTGAATGATACACTCAGGGACTTAGTAAATGGGCAGAAAGTGGTTAGCCAAGATAATTAAAACTGAAGTATTATATTAGTGCTTTACTCTTCTTAAGAGTTTTGAAATCCCACTATGGTAGAGCCTCTTCAAGGCTGAAAAGAACATCATGAAAGAGCTTTGCTGGTGGCAGCTCTCACATGAATCACCACCACCAGGAATGGCTAGGCAGATAACTTTTGCATATGTTTCAACATTTTACTTTCGGTAGCTAAAGCAGAGGAGATGCTTCTTCTTTCAACTAGCAAGCTCCTGATGCCTCTCGAACCCAGATGCATCATGTTAGAATGAAAACCTTGTTCTTAGAAAATGAACTCAGTACAGTGTGTGGCCCTCACAGAGATGACACAAATGGCTTCTTCAATGGGAAGCTCATCGCCATCATCCCCTGCTCCATCCATTATTTGTTACTGACAGCTGCCCATGTGTCAATCTTATGTCAAGTACAGTGGAAGCCAGCTTCAACACAAATCCGCTTTTCATGTGACACCTGATCCCAGGTCACTGCCCCACACTCCTGCTCCGTTCTGTGAATGAGGGCCAAATTTTAAAAGTAATACATCATGGAACAGTTTTTTTTTTAAGTTATGTACCTTAATTGCCCATGAAGGCCTTACCTCATGTATGCTGTCCACTCTCCAACTAAATTCATTATATCCCAAATCGAAGCCATTTAAAATGAACATGAGAAGTATCTTGAACATAAATGATACATCCCCACTTGATCTTGATTCTATACTACTTACGTTTCCCATGAGATCAATTAGTGACACAGATAGCTTACTTTGTATGATGTTCACTGGAAACCTCATATACTATCCATGACGTTATTTGCATCTTGCCTGTTTCTAAATTACTATGAATTTTTTTCACCTAAAATAAGAATAATGCTAAGATGGAGAAATGGAGTTGTGCATATTTAAGTCATCATGTAACTGTATATATTTTGGTAAAATAGAAGAGCTGAGAATGTTTTATTCTTCAGAAAAAAATCCCAGAGGAGATGAGAAGACATACATCATTGAATAACACCACAGTGTGGCTCCATTAGAAAAGCAGTATACATTTCCTGACGTAGAAACGACCAAATTAAAACATTCCAAGTGGAATTATTATTTTCCTAAGCCTGTAAGTTTATTTGTTGTCCCTGTTTCCTTGTGTGCGTTAGTTAGAAGCATCCCTAGGAGACAGTGGAGAATGGAGATTGCTAAGCGATTTTCCATACTTCCTCAAATGCAAGGGTGAGCACTTTAAAATTCAAGACCCAGCACCCTTCAGTGCCTGTATACACTGCAGAGATGGATTGCTTGGTATTGTCTTACATAAGTAACTAGAGTCATAAGATTTGTATTTCTGTCTCTGAATTCATGAGCCATAAATCTTGAGCATGTTAAAAATGCTAGTGCGGGGACTTCATGAGAAGCCAGTGTCCTGCTGGTCAGCTTTCTCCATCAGGCGTGCATATGCAATAGCTCACAGAGGCATTCTAGGAGTGCCACAAGTCACACGATACCACTTTCCTACCATGATAACTCAGTGCGACACCAGCAGGCTCCTGTCCCCAGCTTCGTGTTAAACACTCTGCAAACACTTCAGTGTGAATCCAAGCACGTGTATGATTTACCTACCCATTTTAGCAAAATATCTGCTTTCAATCACTCATAACTTTGGTGAAAAACAAAACCAAACCATATGCTCTTGTGGAAAAAGAATACATTATGGTTGTCAATGTTTATACTATTAATATAAATTATATCAGTTTGCCTGGCTTGGAATTATAAGAATATCTCGAAAATGCTTTAGGTTTTTTAAAATGGAAATTTTCCTTCAGCAGCAATTTAAAATGACAAGAAAAAAAGATTCATCCTAGACTTGGGAGGCAATATCTAGATAATAAATGCTTCTTCATTAAAGAGAATAGGAAACAAAAACAAAACAAATGGAAAACAAATTTGGATTTATTATATTAACACTTCCAAATTGTTTCAAGAGTCTCATTCATGACTTCTATAAAACCTTGGTGATATTTTACCTCAAATAAATCACTTCTCTTTTGGACTTCAAATAAAGTTATAGAAGCATATATATATATATATATTTATATATATATATATTTATATATATATTTATATATATTTATATATATATTTATATATATTTATATATATATATATTTATATATATTTATATATATTTATACTTATATATTTATATATATTTATATATATTTATATATTTATATATATTTATATATATATTTATATATATATTTATATATATATTTATATATATATTTATATATATTTATATATATTTATATATATTTATATATATATTTATATATATATTTATATATATATATTTATATATATTTATATATATTTATATATATTTATATATATATTTATATATATATTTATATATATATATATCCTAATATATATATCCATATATGTATATATATATCTCCTACAAATTTGGATTCTGGCCAGGCATGGTGACTCATGCCTGTAATTCCAGCACTTTGGGAGGCAGAGGCAGGTAGGTCACTTGAGTTCAGGAGTTCGTGACCAGCCTGGGCAATATGGTGAAACCCCATCTCTACTAAAAATACAAAGATTAGCCAGTGTGATGGTGCGCACCTGTAGTCTGTAGTTCCAGCTACTCAGGGGGCTGAGGTGGGAGGATGGCGTGAGCCCAGGAGGTCGAGGTTGCAGTGAGCCTTGACTGTGCCACTGCACTCCAGTCTGGGCGACAGAGTAAGACCCTGTCAAAAAATAAATTAATTAAATAAACAAATCAGATTGTTGATTCAACCTCTAAAGCTGCAACTGAACATGTGAAGAAAAAAACAAAACCTGTCAGTTGCTTAATTATTTTTGGAATGACCACTGTCCGAAACCATCTTGTTCAGATTTGCACTCTTATTTCTAATCCCATGAATGTGCCCTATGGTACAATTTTTTTTTGAAATATATCTGACGCTTTTTTTTCTTCTTTATTTTCTGCAAATCCTCACCATTAAAATCAACATTTGGGCAGAAGGGTATTGCCCCAGAAATGGACAGGCTCAACAGAACCTAGCAAGATCAGAGTCAAATCTGTGGCTTTGAGTAGCAAAGTAGGACTTCTCTTTCAGCTCATAGCAGAAATATTCTTTTTATTCCAAATTCTGCATTTAAATATCAAGAGGCAAAGCCCAGAGAGCTCAAAACATTAAGGTTATGTCTTTAACTCTCAAGTGAGAGAAATGCACAATGAAATGAACACCTCCCAAGCAAAGGAGATGGGAGTTGCAACAGAAAGGAGCAGTGGGGAAGGGATGTCACTGCACTGTCTGTGTTGGTGGGGTAGGAAAGTGCGTTCTTTCCCAGGAGGCAGATGGAGCAATAAAATACCATTTAGGCTTTTTTTTCTCATCTGAAATTCTTAGAATAGGCAGTCTTGTCCTTCAGAAGGAAACATAGACGTGTATGAAATGGCTATGGGAGAGTAAAAAATGGCAATCAGAGAAAGGGATTGGAGTTGGGCAGAGTGGCTCATGTCTGTAATCCCAAAACTTCGGGAGGCTGAGGCAGGAGGATTACTTGGGGCCAGGAGTTGGACACCAGCCTGGGCAATATAGCCAGATATCATGTCTAAAAACATAAAAAAACAATTAATTGGATATGGTGTCATGCTCCTGTAGTCCCAGATACTCCAGAGGCTGAGACAGGAGGATCACTTGAGCCCAGGAGGTCCAGGCTGCAGTGACCTATGATTGCACCACTGCACTCCAGCCTGGGCTACAAAGCAAGACCCCAACTCCAAAAAAATACAATTAAAAAAAGGAAAAGAAAAAGGGATGCAGACAGTGTCCTGATTCCTCTGGGACCCCAGAAAAGTATTGGGGAGCTTTAGGTGGGTCTCAACCCTAGGCTTCCATGCCCAAGACATCCCTGGCAACTCAGCTGCAATGACCAACAGATAACCTCATGAAAAATTGGACTTCCCCTAGGGAAAGGAAAGGAGAAGGTGAAAATGAGTAGACATATCTGCCTCCAAGATGCGATAGCAATAGCTTTCCTTCTATTGGCAAAATAAAGGGTACAGTCAAATGACAGCTTGAGAGCTAAGCTATAGTCAGAGACATTTTGTTTTTAACTTGCTGTAAGTGGTAGAAAAAAATAAATGCATTAACCTCTCAGAAGTGGGTTTCCATGCAGCAAAATAGTGAAATAATGCCTAAATTTTATACAGAAAATAGCACATAGCAAGCCTTCAATAAGTTGTAGATAATATTATTATTGCAGAAATTATAATTGTTAGGAAAAATAAAACTATGATGCAGCTTATTCACTTTAATGGTTAAGTGTTACAATTTAATTAGATGAGATGAGAATCACATGTGTCCAGCATCTTTCCTGATTAGCCTACAACCATTATTACACTAAAACAAAAAGAAACAAACAGCAAATGGTTCTAATTTATCCTCAGGAGTAGTGTTAATTTTAGACTCATCATTTTGTAATGGCAGTCATAGAGACCACAACAATGCATGGTAAACCATTTCAATTTGCCCAAGATTTCTCAAATTAGGAAATCTCTTTAAAGAAACCTGTGCAAGGGAATAAGTGAAAGCCAGTTTGATTTTGTGGATCTCCTGACAGGCATGACAACTAATTGCCTTGTAAATTGAAAGGGTATAGGGAAGTCCCCAGGATTGAATATTGTAGTTAAGTGATCAGGACCACTTTCAGTGATGATTTAAACAAAATGGGTCAGATGTAGTGGACTGATTTATCTGCTCCAGGTGTGGTTCATGGACCAGCATCACCTGGGAGCTTGGGAGAAACACAGCATCTCAGGCCCACCCCATCCCTGCTGAATCAGCATCTGCATTTTAGCAGGATCCTCAGGTGTTTATGGGCACTGGAAAGTTTCAGAAGTGCAGGCCTAGGCTGATTTCCATGCTAAAATTCTAGCATTTGCATAACACAAAGCAGGAGACAAGGTTATTTTTATGTAATAGATAAAGAATAGATAATTTTGAATGGTTAAGCTTATTTTTATGTAATATATCATGAACAGATAATTTTCATAATAACATACAGTTGCATAGAGGAAAAATTTTATAAATAGAGAAATGAGCCAATAAAATCTTGTGAAGAATCGTGTGACTGTCACATCAAAGTGAAATTTCTATGCCATAAATATTTGGTTTTGTTTGAAATTATGACATTGCTTTCAGAAATTGGTAAAATTAAGGCCACTGTTCTGAGAATAGAGTATCTATACTCTTTTCTGATGCATTGTCTTTTTGCCTATTTATATATTTGCCACAACCCTTTTTCACTAAGCCTAGACACTTTTGAGTTACGACCTTTTCTGGAAGACCACAGGTACAACTTTCAGTTTAAGATAATGAAGATGGTTTGCAAATAAATGATTCCAGCATGCAAGATATAAATTATTTTTAACTTATCTATTGATAACTACTTATTCTGTTATAATCAAGGTAATCTACCTATAGGTAATGATTATTCTAATACATCATCTGCTAAGATGTTTAGAAAATGATTCTCAGAGAGCATATCAGTGGTTGTATTGAACTAGAATTATTGTATGTTTCCATCTGATTCCTTCACCAGAAAGGGAACTTGCCTTCCTTATCTTTATTTGTTTATAGCATTACTCATTACCTGGCTTATACTGGAAGTTCAATTAGTGTTCTTAAATCAATAATGAATGATTGCTGTAAATTGTATATACTTTTGTTTCTTTGTGACATTTTTGGTAATAGCCTGTAATGGTTAGTAGGTCACTTCATATCAGGTGTTTAAAAAGATGAAGTTTCCCAAGTAAATTCACTTGTGATGCTATGCTTTCATTTTTATTATTTTTTATGTGTGGTTTGATGAATTTAGTTAAATAAGATAATGGGCATTGCAAGAATTAGAATTTCAGGAATTCTAATATCTAAGGTACCTACTGGCAAACAGGTTTGCGACAGCTATAAGCTGAAACCAGGCCATTTACAAATAATTACAAACCAGTAATATCCTTCTGACCTACTCTTCAAATTCATTGCACTCAATTTGGAACAAACCATGTTCTATTCTGTATTCACGGTAACATGTTGTTGGGCAATTAGACATTGTAAGTAGTATTTTGGGTAGTAATAGGTATTTTTCAAGATCATTTTCTTTTTCTGAAAGGAATACACAATTTCTGTATATCTAAGGACCTTGTCATTGCTTCATAATCAACCAGACTTTACTTCTTAATAGTTTTTGGTTTATTTTTCCATCCCATATTTTTTGTTTTAGTTTTTTATATTTTTATCTTTCACCCTTGATCATTTGGGAGCTCTTGACAATGACAACAGAAGAAAAACCAAAGCAAGTAATTTCAGTTTAATCTATAATTCATTTGTGAGCATTTCAAAACATTTCACATATTACCTGAAATATCAGTGTTCTCTTTAAAAGAAAAGCTAAGAGACAGAACCATTTTACTTAAAAAAAAAATGATCCAAGCTGGTAGAATAAATGCACATTTTCCTCTCTAGGCACAACTCAAAGTCAACACTCCCCAACTCTTTCTTGTCCAATGGGGACAGAAGGAAGACTTAGAGGTGTGCCTCTATTGTCCCTACTGAACAATGTTCCCAGATGTTAAAATTGTCATGAAAATGTGAAACTCTTTGCTACAAATTTTGGCAACAACAACAACAATAAAACATCTATTCAATGTAACACAATTTTTAAGAGTGTGTATACAGAATGCTAAAAAATAAATTGGCTGATTGTAGTCAAATTAATTGTTTACCCAGTTAAATAAAGAAAAAATAATAATAAAATCAATCACTCCTGATAAGTGTTTAAAAAAAAAAAAACTGTTTCCAATTTAGAGTTCTTAGTAATGTCGCATTGGTGCCTCTTCCCTATAGAAAAAGGTGTAGTGTTTTTATTCTTCTTCCATTCCTGGGCACTGTCAAGTCCCTGCCCAACTTTTGGCCTCAGACGAAAAGCATTCTTTGGTCTGGTCTTTCCTAGCCATGGGCATGGACTGAACAGCATCTCTCCGGAAGCACAGTTGATCTTCAGATGACAATAGTAAAAGAAAGAGGAGGTATTGTGAAGAAAACTGGTTTGGTGTTATCTGTCAACATTTCTTTTAGTTCCTACTGTATACTCGTGTACAGAGGTGCATAAAAAAGGGATTCGTGGCCCGGCGCGGTGGCTCACGCCTGTAATGTCAGCATTCTGGGACTTTGGGAGGCTGAGGCGGGCGGATCACGAGGTCAGGAGATCGAGACAATCCTGGCTAACACGGTGAAACCCCGTCTCTACTAAAAATACAAAAAATTAGCCAGGCGTGGCGGCGGGCGCCTGTAGTCCCAGCTACTCGGGAGGCTGAGGCAGGAGAATCGCTTGAACCTGGGAGACTGGAGGTTGCAGTGAGCGGAGATTGCGCCACTGCACTCCAGCCTGGGTGACAGAGCGAGACTCCATCTAAAAAAAAAGGGGGTAACTCGCTGCCCAGAATTATTTAGGCTACGATTAGTTGCTTATAGTCAAGAGTCAGGAAACTTGTTAGTTCCACACATTCAGCTATGAAGTAAATAAATTAGGAAGTTAAAATTTTGACTAGAAGAAACACCCTCTATTCACTCCTTCCATAGTTGTGGTTTCCAGGAGCATTCAGACAATGGCATATCAATGCCAATAAGTGTAGCATAAACTTAAAGAAGCAGTGTGGACACCTACATTTTGGAAACCCTTTGGTTACTGTGAGGAATTAGTCAATTAAACTTAAACATTTTCTTTCCTCAAAATTGGATGAGTTTACTGTAGGTACTTTGTTATCTATCACCCCAATAAATATACCCAGGTGAATAATGGAGATATATCTTGGTGAGGCAAACTTGTGTAGGAATTAGCAGACCTAGATTCCACTTGAGCAGAATAGATAAATCAATTTTAGTCAATCTGTTAACTGCTATGTAGCCTTCTCTTTCTGTGAATTAAGACACACATGCTCTTACATCCACAGGAACTGCGCTAGCCAGAAGGTAATGGAATGGCCCCCACAAAGTGTGAAAAAGGGGGAAAAACAACTGTTAGTTTACAGTTCTATATACACTGAAGATATCATTTTTAAATGAGGGGGAAATTAAGGCTTTTTAAGATGCACAAAAGCTGAGGGCATTTTTCTCCATCAGACCTGCACTTCAAGAAATGCTAAAGAAAGCTCTTCAGGTAGGATGGGAGTGGTACCAGATGGAACACTGAATCCATCCAAACCGTGACAGACACAGTGTGAAATATGTGAGAGGGTATAAAAGACTTATTTGCTCACTTTAAAGTTTCTTGAAAAGATAATTAACAATTTAAAGCAAAGTTTAATAATTACGAGTTTACCACACACATCAAAGTGAAAAATGTGTTTTAAAAATAGCACAATGGTCAGGGAGGGTAGGGATATGGCTGTGAGTGTCTTACATCACACATGACATGGTATATTATTATTTGAAGATGTTAAAGATTTATTATAAACACTGTAATTTTTTTTTTGAGACGGAGTTTCGCTCCTGTTGCCCAGGCTGGAGTGCAGTGGCACAATCTCAGCTCACCGCAACCTCTGCCTCCCAGGTTCAAGCAATTCTCCTGCCTCAGCCTCCTGAGTAGCTGGGATTACAGGCATGTGCCACCACGCCCAGCTAATTTTGTATTTTTGGTAGAGACGGGGTTTCTCCACGTTGGTCAGGATGGTCTCAAACTCCTGATTTCAGGTGATCTGCCCGCCTTGGCCTCCCAAAGTGCTGGGATTACAGGCGTGAGCCACTGCACCTGGCCATAAACACTATATTTTTTTTAATTAAAAGAAGGTATATCAAATAATTCTATGGTGGAGATAAATGGGATTCCACAAAATTAATTTTTATTTTGTATATATACACACAAACTTTTACCTTTATTTCTCTGAAATTACTATTTTAGTTCTAATATTAGGTTGGTGCAAAAGTCATTGCGGTTTTGGCCATCATTTTCAATGGCAAAGACCGCAATTACTTTTGCTCCACTCTAATACAAAATATGATGATGAATTTAATAAGTGACTTTGACCGGGCTAAGGGATGCCCAGATAGTTGGAAAAACATTTATTTCTGGCTGTCTCTGTAATGGTATTTCCAGAGGGATTAGCATTTGGATCAGAGGGGTTTTTTTGGGAGTGGGGGTGAGGGGTCCTGATTTGCATAAGTCCACAGCAACCACCAAAAATGTGAATGCTGCTTCCTTTCCATAGTGACTGCTTGAGTTACCTCTCACATAGAAAACCAAGGGTGTCCTGCTTCCAGGCGGTGGGATGGATTCAGAGATAATACCATTAACACCAATGCCTCTACACAATGCGTGAACATTCCTAGACAGAGATTTAAGTGGTGTGGTAGACAAGGGATCAAGAAGGATGCCAGAATGAAGGGAAGAAATTTGGAAAAACCAAGAGAATTGCAGAAAACCAGATCCAGGGCTCTAATAATCTATGAGAGCCTATGTAGACTTTTCTCTAGGATGAGTCAATGACTTACCATTTAAGAGCACAGAGATGGCAGGGCGCGGTGGCTCACGCCTGTAATCCCAGCACTTTGGGAGGCTGAGGCGGGTAGATCACGAGGTCAGGAGTTTGAGACCAGCCTTACCAACATGGTGAAACTTTTAGCTGGGCATGGTGGTGCACGCCTGTAATCCCAGCTACTAAGGAGGCTGAGGCAGGAGAATTGCTTGAACCCGGGAGGCCGAGGTTGCAGTGAGCTGAGGTTGTGCCACAGCACTCCAGCCTGGGCAACAGAGCGAGACTCTGTCTCAAAAAAAAAAAAAGGAAAAAAAAAGCACAGAGAGTGGGCCCTCTGTTACTTTTGATGTCCAGCCTGCAATATTAATGCTCCAGAATAATACAAGTTTTGAAAGGGATATCCTGATAAAAACCAGGAACCAAGTTATTTCAAAAGTAAGTAAATGAATCAAAAATCAACAATGAAACATTGATCCTGAAAATGTGACCAAATTTTGGTGCTTGGTGAAATGGAAATTCCGAGGGAAGAAAAAAGTGTAGTCTTTGCTCTTAACTTATTTAAAAAACAAACTAGTAGAAGATATACAAATTATTATTATATATGAGGAGCACAGTAGTGACATATATAAGCTTCATTTGTTATTGTCCATTCCAATTTTTTTTTTTTTTCTGTTGCCCAGGCTGCAGTGAAGTGGTGCAATCTCGGCTCATGGCAAGCTCCGCCTCCCAGGTTCAAGCGATTCTCCCGCTACAGGCACGAGCCACCACACCCAGCTAATTTTTGTATTTCTAGTGGAGACAGGGTTTCACCGTGTTGGCCAGGCTGGTCTCGAACTCCTGACCTCAAGTGATCCACCCGCATCGGCCTCCCAAAGTGCTGGGATTACAGGCGTGAGCCACCGTGCCTGGCCTATCCATTCCAATTTAAATGATAAAAAATGAGATCTCTACTGTAGGGAGTGTGAGTCCAGAAATTTTCTTGGAGAAAGTGGGTCTTCAGTTGGACTTAAGATGATGGAGTTTAGCAGAAAATGAGGAGAGGGAAGAACATCATGCTGGCAATTATGTGGAAAGCATATAGAGCTAGGTATGCACAGGACATATTTCTAAGAGAGAGAGAAGCCTGGCATTTTGGGGCAGAGAAACCTATTTGAATCATTTTACTACTTTAACCACATATTTTAAAAAATGGATCTCTTCCCCTCATGCCTTCATTTGTTTTTACGTTTGCATTGAAATATCATGCACCTCACCTCATTTTCACCTTGTATTTCAAATGAACATAGTCATAAATGAAATATTTTAGTAGGTGAGGAAATCTTCACACAAAAAATACAATTCACTGCTAATTGTAAATTTCAGCAATAAAAATTAGTTTATACGCACCTACCCTAAATAAGCCATAGATACTGAGACATAAGGTACGGTCCTCACCCTTGAATAGGCTACTATCCCCCTAAGAAGTGTAAAAATCCACATGTATGTGTGATTATATCAGGAGCCACTGTCTGGTAATAGTGGTAAGATAGCTTAAAGAAGGAGAGACCACTTCATGCTGTGGGGATTATCACAGAGTAGCAATGGGATAGATAAATTTTGGAAGCTGGGTAGAGTTGCTGCAGATGGCTGTGGTGGGGTGGGGGATATCAGTGAAAAGAGTCAGAAAGAAATAAAAATAAGAAGGTGAAAACACACACTTATCTTTCTCTTCATAACCTGTTTGTTATTAAGCCTTTTTCAGAGTGTTGGTAAGGCCAATAGTTACAAAGATCATGACACAAACTAGTGAAGGTGACTCAAGGTGAAAGGCTTTACTTTCCTGATATGTATTAGGGAGCACCTGAAGATAGGGTAGCCTCTAAACCAAAGCAAGATTGGAGTTAAACGGGGCCAGGAGAAGAGAAAACTCCACGAACCTGTGTCCTGGCCCAGGTAGCAGTGCGGTAAAACTTGTCATTGGAATGATTGGTGATTGTTACTGTTTTTCATGCCCTTTAATTGGAATCGCTGAGGGGATCTTGTTCTGAAAACTGTCGGAAGCATTCTTCTGAGAATAGTTTTTGTGAACCTTGCAAGTTCAGAAGAGGGCAAGATAGTAGAAACAAAGAAAAAGGTAAAAAGAGAACGGAAAAAAAGGGAAAATATTCAAGGGTTAAAACGAAAGAAACTGGATTCACTTTTAATCCATTTACATGATCTTGTGATGTCTCCACGGACTTGCTTCATGCTTTTAGCTATTTTCTACCAATTACATTGGGAGACATGACTGTGTGCAAGTACAGGGAAGACTATTTTCTGATCATTTCTCATTAAAGTAGAAAAGTGCTTTTATTTTGCAAAGAAACTTAAGGTTTGTCAGGTTTTTCTGATCTTGTGATTGAAGCTGACCCTTCTTTTTAAAAAACGTCTTTTGGTCTCATCTGCAATTACTCTAAAGGTCTTTAGAGACACATAGAAGTGCAGGTTACAGATTTTATTCCCACATCTTTGCTCTTTGATGTGGCTCTAAATGGATAATTGGGATGAGAGAGAACTCCTCTAAGAAGAAAAAGAAAATAGAGGTCTTGGTAGACACAGAGATTCTTTTTGTTCCATTTACCAAATTGGAAGAGGGGGTGTTGCTGCTAGAGGTCTTGCTCTGGCTCAGATGCAAACATTCTTCTCCTACTAATAAGCACTGCTTGATATCAACTTCACTGCATCCTATTACTCACTGTAGCCATGTAGCATGATAATTACGCCCGACACCCCTCTCTCTGCTTCTGGCCCCAAACGTCATGACTTACATGGGATACAAGACATAAATTAATCCTTATTCTTAATACAGTCTCCTGCACTTCATTCACATAGCCAGAGTATTGTCTCAATCCTGCCCCGTGTCATACTATAGGACTTGATGTAAATCATAGCATTAGATTTGGAAAAAAAACATTTCCCCTGAAGCGTTTAAGGTCTTAAGCTGAGCCCTTGAGTCAGCAAATAAGTAGTGCTACAAAAATGCCTACAAACAGAGGGGAAAAAACACCACAAACACAGCTGTGTCAAGGACAATGCTAGTTTAGGGAAAGCAGGTGATGACAAAAAACCCCAGGAGAGTTTGACTGGCATCTCAATGGGTGGATATCACCTCCATGCTGCAGATAAACTAATACTTTTGAGTATGTGCTTTGAGCTAGGGTCTTTCCAAGCCTCATTTACTTTTCTGAGTTAACTAGTAAGGCAGAAACAATTACTCCCGTATGATGTACGGGAGGCAGCATAGCATAATGTCATGAGCTGGCATTTTGTAAGTCTCAGGAATAGCTGTCATCTATGTGTGATGTTGGGCATTTAGTAAAACAGAATTAGCAACTGCACCTACCCTCTCAGGAGCCTATGAAGATCAAATGTAACCCCACATGTAAGGCATTGAACCTCTAGCTCCTTTCAAATGCTCAAAATATGCTAATTGTTATTGTACAAAAATCAGTCATGAGGCTTAAAGAAGTATATTTGGTCCAATTTCGCATAACTAACAAGTTCCATGACTACTCTTGACTATAAGTAACTAATCATAGACTAAATAATTCTGAGCAAAAAATCCCTTTCTTATGCACCTCTGCACACCAGTACAGAGGAACTAAAAGAATTGTTGGCAGATTACACCAAACCAGTTTTCTCCACAACGCCTCCTCTTTTTTTTTTTTTTTTTTTTTTTTTTTTTTTTAGTATTTTCATCTGAAGATCAATTGTGCTTCCTGAGAGATGCTGTTCAGTCTATGCCCATGGCTAGGAAAGACCAGACCAAAGAATGCTTTTCATCTGAGGCCAAAAGTTGGGCGGGCAACTAGAATCTGCTCTTGCTAAAGACCCAGATAAGCACCCCTGTGATCTTAGGTCCAGCAACCACAGAGAAAAGATAGTTCATCACCAGCATCATAGATCTTTACAGCTGGTTCATCCATGCCTTTTACTGTAAATGTAGCAGGATTATAAAATTCAATTTGTAATTCCTGCTGCTCTAGAGGAAGCCTTTGTGTCCATCCTCAAGGCATGGTGACTTGATAGTGCCCAGGAATGGAAAAAGAATAAAAACACTACACCTTTTTCTATCGGGAAGAGACACCAACCCGAGATGTTATTAAGAGTTCTAAATAGGAAACAGTTTATTTTTTTACATTTCTATTTTATTTTAGATTCAGGGAGCACATGTACAGATTTGTTATAAGGATATTTTGCCTATTGCTGAAGTCTGGGCTTGTACTGATCCCATCACCCAGATAGTCAATACAGTACCCGAAAGGAAGGTTTTTCAGCCCATAGCCCACTCCTTCTCTCCCCTGTTTTGAAGTCCTCAGGGTCTATTGTTACCATCTTTATGTCCATGTGGATCCAGGGTTTAGCTCCCACTTGTAAATGAGAAAATGTGATATTTGATTTTCTGTTCTGTGCTAATTTCTTTAGGACAATGGCCAGCTGCATCCATGTTGCTGCAAAGGACAGGATTTCTTTTTTTTTTTATGGCTGCACAGTATTCTATGGTGTATATGGATTTCTTTCTTTTTTTGTTGCTGCACAGTACCTCATGGTGTATATGCACCACATTTGAAAAAAATCCAATCCACCACTGATGGACACCTGGGTTGATTCTGAGTCATAATGTTTGGGACCAGAAGTAGGAAGAGGGGTAGGGGGTAATTGTCATGCTACATGCCTACAATGAGTAATAGGATGCAGTGAAGTTGACATCAAGCAGTGCTTATTAGTAGGAGAAGAATTTATGCATCTGGGCAGAGCAAGACCTCTAGCAGCACTGCTCCTTGCCGCCCACCAATTTTGTAAATGGAACGAAAAGAACCTCTGTGTCTACCAATACCTCTATTTTATTTTCCTTCCTAGAGGAGTTCTCTCTCATTCCAATTATCCATTTAGAGCCACATCAAAGAGCAAAACTAGAACTAAGAACGAAAACTAGAACTCCCATTTGACCCAGAAATCCCATTAATGGGTAGACACCCAAAGGAAACAATTTCTAAGGGCAAGAGTTTCTATGTGACAATTCCTTTATGATGAGACTTTTTATTGGAGTACAAAAAAAAATACCCCCTGCCCTCCCCCCTCCACAAAAAAATAATGATTTCCAATCAAGATAGCCCAACATGTTGAACCCCTTCCATTTTAAACAGGTATCAATGCAGGTAAATGCTATGGAGAAAATTTAGATACAGATAGGACAAAGCCAGGGGTCTGATAACAGGTCTCAACATTCACCAAGAGTTTTCTTCTGAAATAACTAAGACTTCATCTTCCTTACCTAGGTGGGAGAATTGGAATTAGATTTACCCAAATAAATCCAGAGGAAAGCAAGCTGAGAGAGGCAGGTTTCTTATGCTGCTTGGTGTTTAGCTTATTTTAAGCGTGTAGGCTTAGGGTTGAGACACATAACCAGGAACTAAAATATCTGCCTCCCTGGCTTAGTGAGAAGAGGATCAGCCATCCTACTCTCATCATGGGCAGGGAATACTGAGCCTTGATACCTGATGTCCCTTTGGACTGAGGACTCTGGAACGTGGCAAAGGGAGTTAAGGAAACTAAAGACTGGAAGACTAAATGTGTGAAAGTATATTTCCTTCTTTAAGTGAAGCTGAAAATACAAATTCACAAGCATGTAGAGAAATACAAGAATATGAAGGACAACCAATAAAACCAGTGATTGCAGGATAAATATAGTCCACAGGAAACTAAAAACAACTAGAAATGCAACTAAGATTTAAAAATACGTACAAGGTGCTTTCAAATTTTCCCACTAACTGTCTTTGACAGCTGGGAATCTCAAGATCACCTGTTGTTCATGACTGTTGTCAAGGGGATCCTCCCTTTAGGGACACAGGAAGATTTGCCTAAAAACGTCAGGAAACTTTGATATCTATTATTTTATTATAAAATTCAACTACAGCTTTGCTGCTATATTACTTCGGGTCTTTACTCATTCCACTGTTTATTTTAAGCCTCAGCTTGTGGATAGTTGGAGAAGGAGGGAAAATATGTAACACTCTTATTAACTAATTTAACTATGTATATAACATGTAGAATAATGAAAGACTTAAAAGAAGATGTAGTATTTGTGAATGCTCCAACAAATTAAAAGATTATTTAAATTATTGATTTCTGATTAAACCACTTATTGTCTATAATGAATTAAAACAGTTTGTGAAAATAAATTCAGTGACATTTTTGCATCTATAATTTCAAAATCATAGTAACTTTCCAAAGCCAAAAATTCCTGAAACACAAGTCTGCCAATCATCACAATAAAACATGAAGCCCCAGTGAAATAGCTAGTCAGGATGGGTTCCCAACAAATAGCAGTTGAAGCTCCTACTGCCATGAAATGATGAAATAAACCCATGGATAATTTTTTCAATGCCAAAAGAATCAACACAGACTGTTTTGGGTTGCAGAGCTTGAATGGAAATACGGCATTAAAATAAGGTGCACAAAATGAATTCTTGAGTATAATTTTAAAATACACTGCAACGTTGCTCCGTAATATTCATCAAACCCAAAAGTGACCACTGACAAGATTCAGTTTATTTTAGTTTTATGCTGTCATTATGGAAAAAACTATAGCAGGAAGTTCACCAATTTCCCTTTGGAAAGATATATACAACCACAGCCAATAGGCTTTCCTAAAAGACAGCAGCTTTTCATTCGGACTTGTTTCCCATCCATAACACACATGTATTTATTGTTCAGGGTCAATACAGCCTTGCAAATAAACAGGCTTTGAGTTATACCAAGCATGCTCATCCTTATATGGTATTTCCATACAAGAAATACAAAAGAAATATACCACAAAATGATGGTGCTCAGGACATGGGGCAACGCCCTGTTTCTGTGGTATAGCGTCCTAGGTTTCGTAGGATTCCATAGGAGGCAGCTACAAGATCAACATGCAAAGCTCTGAAATCCCTTCCTAAGCTAATGAAGTGAAGCCCTGACTGCACCAAGGAAAGGATGAAACAGAACCCATTTATTGTTTCTCAAATGATGCTACCATCTCTTCAAAGCCACCATTAATTTTAACGTCTTTAAAGCTATAAGAACAATCTATGTAACAAGTGAAAACTGCCTATAAAATTAGTGCTTTACATCACAAACACTTATTATATGGAAATTCATATTTTCAGAATCACATAAAAGTTTAACGTGCTATTCTTTGTAGGATTAAAGGACATGAGTTATTCTGTCCATGTAATTACTAACAACTGGAAATTAAATCGTGATAATTTTGTACTTTATTCTTCTTAAAATAATTTCCTTTCTCCTTTTTCCTGAGAAGCATGCTTCAACAATACTAACAGCTTACCTTCTAAAATAAATGATCACATATAGGATATTTTATATATAATATATATTTATATTTATACATTATATATTTATGTATTATATAGAAATATAAAAATGCTTATATATTTTACAGATGTCTAAATATTTATATAGAATATAAATATTTATATATATAAAATCTATATAGAATATAAATATTTATATATATAAAATCTATATAGAATATAAATATTTATATATATAAAATCTATATAGAATATAAATATTTATATATAACATCTATATAGAATATAAATATTTATATATATAACATCTATATAGAATATAAATATTTATATATATAAAATCTATATAGAATATAAATATTTATATATATAAAATCTATATAGAATATAAATATTTATATATATAACATCTATATAGAATATAAATATTTATATATATAAAATCTATATAGAATATAAATATTTATATATATAAAATCTATATAGAATATATTTATATATATAAAATCTATATAGAATATAAATATTTATATATATAAAATCTTTATATGAAACCTATCTATATGAATACATAAAATAGATAAATAAATACATAAATATACAAATATATAGATTATATGTATATAATACATAGACAAATATGAATTATATATACATATACACATTAGAAACACACCGATCTTTTCTGTATAAAGACCTGTGTGTTTATATAAAAACCTGTGCATTTATATAAATATTTATAAATACAGATTTTATATATATATATAAATATACACACACATTAGGAATACAGTAGTAAATTCTACCATATATAGAAAAGACCTGTGCATTTATATAATTATATATAAATGTAGATTACATATATACACATTAGAAATACACAGGTCTTTTCTATAAATAAAAAGTTCTACTATATTATACTCTCATTGCAATTATTGACAGCTGGGTATTGAATCGTGATAATTTTGTACTTTATTCTTCTGAAAGTGATAATTTCCTTTCTCTTTTTGCCTGTGAACCATGCTTCAACAAGCATAAACCCTTACCTTCTAAAATAAATGATTATAATATATACATATAAATGTTTTCTATAGGTATTTATATATAAATATTTCTATATACAATCTATATATATAAAAATATAAAAATACATGTTAATATATAAATATATATGGTAGGTTCTAGTATATATAGAAAAGACCTGTGTATTTCTAACGTGTTTGTATACAGCAAATACAGTTGTATATTACATTTTATTTACATATATTTATGTATATTTCTATATAGTAAATTCTACTATATTCAGAAAAGACCTGTGTATTTCTAATGAATGGAAATATGAAATATACTTTTTGTCTCCTCAGTCGCAAAAATAAAAAGACTCTTTTCAAGTAGACAGATTTTGCTCTACTTTGAATTTTTCTTCTTAATTATATTAGAGTGTAGGGAGGGGACGCTGAAAGGAAAGAGATGGAAACGATTCTTCCATCGGTTTCTATAACCGCAAACGTATTTTAACAATGAAACCTAAGTAGGTAGAATCCAGTGCTTGGTACTTGGTGTATGTGCTAGCAAGATTGCATGAAGAAACAAACCTTACAGGAAGCGGAGTCATCCTGTGAAGGGGAAATTTGTCTCCAGTGTTCAGCCATGACGCAATCCTTATCCTCCTGTCTGGCTAACTGTGACCTGTCCCTGTGACCTCAACCCCACGGGACCCCACTTCCCTCCCTCCCCACACACCACCTATTCCTTCCTTCTTTCCTTTCTCCCTCCCCACACACCACCTCTTCCTCCCTCCCTCCCCACACACCTCCTCTTCCCCCCTCCCTCCCTCCCTCCCCACACACCTCCTCTTCCTCCCTCCCTCCCCACACACCACCTCTTCCTCCCTCCCTCCCCACACACCACCTCTTCCTCCCTCCCTCCCCACACACCTCTTCCTCCCTCCCTCCCCACACACACACCACCTCTTCCTCCCTCCCTCCCCACACACCACCTCTTCCTCCCTCCCTCCCCACACACCACCTCTTCCTCCCTCCCTCCCCACACACCTCCTCTTCCTCCCTCCCTCCCTCCCCACACACCTCCTCTTCCTCCCTCCCTCCCCACACACCACCTCTTCCTCCCTCCCTCCCTCCCCACACACCACCTCTCCCTCCCTCCCTCCCTCCCCACACACCACCGCTTCCTCCCTCCCTCCCTCCCCACACACCTCTTCCTCCCTCCCTCCCTCCCCACACACCTCTTCCTCCCTCCCTCCCTCCCCACACACCTCCTCTTCCTCCCTCCCTCCCTCCCCACACACCACCTCTTCCTCCCTCCCTCCCCACACACCTCCTCTTCCTCCCTCCCTCCCCACACACCTCCTCTTCCTCCCTCCCTCCCCACACACCTCCTCTTCCTCCCTCCCTCCCCACACACCTCTTCCTCCCTCCCTCCCCACACACCACCTCTTCCTCCCTCCCTCCCCACACACCACCTCTTCCTCCCTCCCTCCCTCCCTCCCCACACACCTCCTCTTCCTCCCTCCCTCCCCACACACCTCCTCTTCCTCCCTCCCTCCCCACACACCACCTCTTCCCCCCTCCCTCCCTCCCTCCCCACCATCAGAGAACACAGAGTCACTCAGATCAATTTGCAACACATTCATTTTATTATCATCAGAATGGCAAGCACCCCGCTGGTGAGATCTCTGAGGTCTGGCGGCTGGGCCTGAACTTAGTCGCTGCTCTCGGAGATAGGGGAGTACTTGGCCGTCTACACACTCGGTAGTTCTTCCATCTCGCTCTCCTGACTCAGTGGTTCTTCCATCTCGCTCTCCTGACTCAGTGGTTCCTCCACCTGGCTCTCCTGACTCAGTGGTTCTTCCATCTCGCTCTCCTGACTCAGTGGTTCCTCCACCTGGCTCTCCTGACTCAGTGGTTCTTCCACCTCGCTCTCCTGACTCAGTGGTTCCTCCACCTGGCTCTCCTGACTCAGTGGTTCTTCCACCTCGCTCTCCTGACTCAGTGGTTCCTCCACCTCGCTCTCCTGACTCAGTGGTTCCTCCACCTGGCTCTCCTGACTCAGTGGTTCTTCCACCTCGCTCTCCTGACTCAGTGGTTCCTCCACCTGGCTCTCCTGACTCAGTGGTTCTTCCACCTCGCTCTCCTGACTCAGTGGTTCCTCCAGCTCGCTCTCCTGACTCAGGGGGTCGTGCTGGGTCCCCTCGCTCACTGGCTCCTCCGGCGGCAGCTCGTGCTGAGGGAGCTCCTGGCTGGGCTGGTCGCTGGGGCCGGGTGCCGCTGGCCCGCTCTCCGCCTCAGGTGCCGTCACGGCCGCCATCTTTGTCGCAGCCCCTTTCTTCCCGCGTCTCCCTCTACGAACTGCTTTTCCCTTCTTGGCCACCTTGGTAGTCTGGAAGGACAACAGGGAGATCACAGAAGGGCTCCGGTTTAGGGACGAGGATGGAGGAGGCTGGGAACAGGGACGTGTCCTCAGAAGCGGTGGGGGCCGGGTTGGGGGGTTGTGCCAAGTGACGACAGGAGAGGCTTCTTGTGAGGAAGGAGGCGAGGGGAAGACGAGGAGGAGCTTGGGAGGGTCACTCACCTTCTTCTTCGGGTCACTGGGGCTCGGCTGAGAGGAGGACTTCCTCTTTCCTGCCTCCTTGGCCTTGGCCGGAGGTCCCGAGGCTCTCGGCTTTGGACTCATCTTCCGCAGCTCAACGTCTCGCAACGGTCGACTAACTCCAGGCTGCCTGGCCTCCCTGTATATACACCTCTCGCGATCCCAGGACGAGACAATCACGCCCCTGAGCTGTGATTGGTCAACACTCCACTACCCAGCCAATGGTAGCCCTGGGCGGGAAGGAAGGCCTTATACGTCACAAAGCACCATCAGGACATGGCGGATGAAGTCGGGGGCGGGGGGGGGTGACATCTAATGAGGAAGGCAGGGTGCTCTAATTGGAGAAAGGGAGATTTGGGTTAGCACCCCTAAAGATAGTTCCCAAACTGACATGTCACCCCTCCTAAACTCCCCATGTTCAATTTTGGCAGATCACGTGGCACGGGAGGATATTTCCGCCACATGTTTCCCCCGGACCTCCCATTCAGTGGTACATTCTGTTCCTCCACACCTGCCATCATTACCCGGTTTCTGTATGACCTACCTAAAATCCCTCCATGCTAACTGGGATGGATGGAGGGCTACACGAAGATGTCAATCATCCCTCTCTCCTACAAATTCCTCTGCTACACCTTGAGGATCATTCACTTCTTGGATGCCATGAAACAACTTTTCCATCTCACATACTTCTCCCAGCATCCACATAGTGCCTCACAATTTTTCATTCTCATGGTTTAAAGCACTGGCTTCCAGAGGTCAAGATCAGCAAACACACTCGCTCAGCTGGGTATCCGTATCAGGCTGGGTTCCTCAGAGAAGGAGAAACTAAACCAACAGGATATTTGTGTGTGTGTGTGAGACAGAGAGAGAGTGTCTGTAATATTATATATCATAAACATCTGTTTACTATACTATAGTATTTATTTATCAATAATATTATATATATGATACGGTTTACTCTAAGTAATTGGCTCACACCTTCACACAATGTGGGGGTCTAGGAAGCTGAAATATATAGGGCAAGGGAGCAGGCTGGAAACTAAAAGCTTCTGCACAGCCAACAATCAACAAAATGAAAAGGCTACGGTTTGGGAGAAACTATTTGCGAACCATATATCTAATAATGAGTTAATATCCAAAATATATAAAGAACTCACACAGCTCAATAGCAAATAAATAAATAGTCTGGTTAACAAATAGGCAAAGGACTTGAATAGGCATTTCTAGAAAGAAAACACACAACTGGCCAACAGGTATATGAAAATGTGCTCAACATCGTTAATAATCAGAGAATGCAAATGAAAACCACAATGAACTATCACCTCACACCTGTTAGGATGGCTATTATAAAAAAGTCAAGAGATAAAAGATAATGATGGCAAAGGTGTGGAGAAAGTGAAACCCTTTTACGGTGTGCAGAAAACGGGACCTTTAAACGCTGTTGACAGACGTGTAATTGGTACAGCCGTTATGAAAAACAGTGTAATGGTTCCTTGGAAAATCAAAATAGATCTACCATGTGACCCAGCAGTTCATCTGTTGAGTAGGTACCCCACTCCCACAATGAAATCCACATCTTACACAGATATCTCCAGTACTAACTAAGTGTAACTCATTAATCACACAGGAAATTAGAGTTTCTATTTGAAAAGAATGTTTTTTTTTCACCATTCTGGTATCAAATATCTATTCTAGCCATCTCTTCTTATTTCTTGCTTTGTAATAATCTAGGTACTACTACCCACTGACAGAACTGACTCATTATTCCAACAAGAAATGAGAAATGTTGAGAAGAATGCAATGTTATGCTTCTTGTCTTCAATCAGTTATTTTAGTTTTATGGAGGATTCTGTATTTAACTCTTACCCAGGTAACTCTAGTTACCATATCCACAGTACGTAGTAAACAATCGTAAAAATGTAAGAACACAGAATTGACTAGAATGGTTACTAAACTTTCTATATTCAACCAGTTTTCCTAGTAATTGCTAGTTGTTTATTCAGCTGTTTGCCTAGGTACCACTAAATGTTTAGTTTTATGTCACAGAGACATAAGAAGTAGTACTGTGAAGAATTTATTTATTACAAGTACTGGCTTCATGTAGCTATCTCTAGTTAATTACTCACTTGGATAAAGTAGATATCTATTGTATGAGGTAATATTTCTAACATGAGGTTGGAATTTTGCATTGAGGAAAATGGTTATTGAACTCCCTGGCATAGGCCAGTTATCTTCAGCTTCCTGGGATCAATTACTTGGTCTGGCGAATTCTAGCTATCTTTAGGTTGCTAATTACATGTTTACCACCAGATGTCTGTGGTAATTTATTATTTCAACAAAAAATAGTGGAATGATAAGGAAGGATTTTCCTTTTTCTTGGCATCACATAGATGATTCAAGTTATCTCCAGTTATTCTTTGTAACTTTTTTTCCTGGGTAATATTCAGCACCTACCCTTGTAAGTTCTTATCTCAATTAAAACCGATAATTGAGAGTTGCAAAGAACATGATTTTCAGAATCAGGTTCATTTGGTATTGTAATGACTGTAGGCTCTTTCTATGTAACGAGTTTCATGGGAAAGCCCAGTTAAGTAAAACTTATATATTAACTCAACACCAACAAAATTTTATCTGACCAGACTAGATTCCCTATGTTCTACATTCCACTGAACTATTCTTGTTGTCTCTATTTTACTACTTACTTAGGTACATGACTTACCTGTAGTACTAACTCATTATTCCAGCAATAATTCAGCAGTAAGTGGTGAGAAGAAAGTGATTTTATTTTTAATATTTATTTTTATTGAAGTAAAATATACATATATAATGTACCCTCTTTACCACTTGTAAGTGTGCAGTTCAGTGGTAATAAATACATTTATACTCTTTTATTTCCCCTTCACCCCCCCCCCTTCCCCTTCACCCCCCCTTCCCCTTCTGGCCTCTGGTAACCATCACTATAGTTGCTGTTTTCATTAGAATCACTTTTTTAGCTCCCATGTATGAGTGAAAACATGCAATATTTGTTTTTCTGTGCCTGGCTTATTTTATTTAACATAATGGCCTCCAGTTCCATCCATATTGCTGCAAATGACAGTATGTCATTCTTCTTATGGCTGGATAATATTCCATTGTGTACATATACCACATTTTCCTTATCCATTTGTCTATTGATGGGCACTTAGGCTAAATCCATATTTTGGCTATTGTGACTTGTGCTGCAATACACGTGAGCAAGTATTCCAGCAGTGGAATACTCAGATCATATAGTAGTTCTATTTTTAGGATTCTGAGGAACTCCATACTCTTCTCCATAGTGGCTACAGTAATATCTATTCCCACCAACAGTGTACAAAGTGGGTTCCCCTTTCTCCACCTCCTTGCTAGCAACCTTTCATGCCTGTCCTTTTGATCAAAGCCATTTTAACTGGGGTGAGATGATATGGCATTGTGGTTTTGATTTGTATTTCTTTGATGATTCGTGATGAGTATATTTTCATATGCCCGATGGCCATTTTTGTGTCTTCTTTTGAGAAACGCCTATTCAGATTATTTGTCCATTTTTAAGTCAGATTGTTTGTTATTAAGTTTTTCGAGCTCCTTATGTATTCTGGTTATGAATCACTTATCAGATGTATAGTTTGCAAATATTTTCTGCCATTCTGTGGGTTGTCTCTTCACTTGGTTGATAATTTCCTTTGCTATGCAGAAGCTTTTTAACTTGATGTAATCCCAGTGGTTTACTTTTGCTTTGGTTCTTGTGCTTTTGAAGTCTTACTCAAGAAATCCTTGCCCAGACTGATGTCCTGGAGCATTTCCCCAATGTTTTCTTCTGGTCGTTTCTGTTTCAAGTCATAGTTTTGAGTCTTTTTTTTTTTGTTTTTGTTTTTTGTTGAGGCAGAGTCTCATTCTGTCGCCCAGGCCCAGGCTGGAGTGCAATGGCACAACCTCGGTTCACTGTAACCCCTACCTCCTGGGTTCAAGCAATTCTCATGCTTCAGCCTCCTGAGTAGCTGGGATTACAGGTATGCACCACCATGCTTGGCTAATTGTTGTATTTTTAGTAGAGACGGGGCTTTACCATGTTGACCAGGCTGGTCTCAAACCCCTGACCTCAAGTGGTCCATCCGCCTCAGCCTCCCAAAATGCTGGGATTACAGGCTTGAGTCACCATGCCCAACCAGAGTCAAGTCTTTAATCCATTTTTTATTTGCTTTTTATGTGTGGTGAGAGATAGAAATCTAATTTCATTCTTCTGCATATACTTATACAGCTTTCCTACCACTGTTTATTGAAATATCTGTCTTTTCAGCATCATATGTTCTTCGTGTCTTTGTTGAAGTTGAGTTGGTTTTAAGCATGTGGCTTTATATCTGGGTTCTGTATTCTGTTCCATTTGTCTCTGTTTCTGTTTTTATGCCAGTACCATGCTGCTTGGTTTACTATAGCTTTGTAGTAAATATTGAAGTCAGGTAGTGTGATGCCTCCAGCTTTCTGCTTTTTGTTCAGGATTGCTTTGGCTATTTGAGGTCTTTTATGGTTTCATATGAATATTATAAGTATTTTCCTATTTCTGTGAAGTATGTCATTGGTACTTTGATAGGGATTGCATTGAATCTGCAAATTGCTTTGGGGAGTATTGTCAATTTAACGATATTAATCCTGTCAATCTATGAGCATGGACTATCTTTCCATTTTTTTGTGTCTTGAGAAGACAGTGTTTTAAAAATTTTTGTGTTTAGTTTTTCTAGCTATTATTACTTATTCATAGTAAACTAATTACCTGGGTACTGGCAGGTACAGGTCGACCTTGTTTTATTGTGATGCACTTTATTGCATTTATAGATATTGTGTTTTTTTAATATACATAAATTGAAGGTTTCTGGCAACTGTCTGTTGAGCATGTCAGTGTCATTTTTCCAACAGCAGGTGCCCACTTCATGTCCCTGTGTCACATTTTGGTAATTCTCACAATATTTCAAACTTTCCCATCATTATTATATCTGTTATGATGATTTCTGATCAGTGATCTTTGATGTTATTATTATAATTGCTTTAGGACTCTACAAACCGGGCCCATATAAGAACACACCAAGAGGCATCACACTACCTGACTTCAAAATATACTACAAAGGTGTATTTCAAAATATACTACAGATCTACAGTAGGAGCAAGATGGCAGAATAGAAGGCTTCACCGATTATTCCCCTGGCCCTCTTGCAAAGACACTAATTTAACAAATATTTACACAGAAAAAAACACCTTCATGAGAACCAGAAATCTAGTGAACACCCATAGTACCTGGTTTTAACTTCACATAGCTTGATATGGTTTGGCTGTGTCCCCACTGAAATCTCAACTTGAATTGTATTTCTCAGAATTCCTGTGTTGTGGGAAGGAACTAGGGGGAGGTAATTGAATCATGGGGGCTAGTTTTTCCTGTGCTATTCTCGTGATAGTGAATTAAGTCTCACGAGATCTGAAGGGTTTATCAGGGGTCTCTGCTTTTGCTTCTTCCTCATTTTTTCTTGCTGCCACCATGTTAAGAAGTACCTTTTGCCACCTGCCATGATTCTGAGGCCTCCCCAGCCATGTGGAACTGTGAGTCCAATGAAACCTCTTTTTCTTCCCAGTCTCGGGTATGTCTTTATCAGCAGCATGAAAATGGACTAATACAGTAAATTGGTACCAGTAGAGTGAGGCGTTTCTGAAAAGATGCCCGAAAATGTGGAAATGACTTTAGAACTGGGTAACAGGCAGAGGTTGGAACAGTTTGAAGGGCTCAGAAGAAGATAGGAAAATGTGGAAATGTTTGGAACTTCTGGACACTTGTTGAATGGTTTTGTCCAAAATGCTGATAGCGATATGGACAATAAAATTCAGGCTGAGGTGAGCTTAGATGGAGATGAGGAACTTGTTGAGATCTGGAGCAAAGGTGACTCTTGTTATGTTTTAGCAAAGAGACTGGTGGCTTTTTGCCCCTGCCCTACAGATTTGTTGAACTTTGAATTTGAGAGAGATGATGTAGGGTATCTGGCAGAAGAAATTTCTAAGCAGCAAAGCATTCAAGAGGTGACTTGGGTGCTGTTAAATGCATTTAGTTTCATAAGGGAAGCAGAGCATAAAAGCTAGGAAAATATGCAGCCTGATTATGTGATAGAAAAGAAAAACCCATTTTCTGGGGAGAAATTCAAGCTCACTGCAGACATTTGCAGAAGCAGCAAGGAGCCTAATGTTAATCCCTAAGGCCATGGGGAAAATGTCTCCAGGTCATGTTAGAGACCTTCACAGCAGCCTCTCCCTTCACAGGCCTGGAGGCCCCGAAGGAAAATGTGGTTTCATGGGCCAGGCCCAGGGTCCCCGTGCTGTGTGTAGCCTAGGAACCTGTTTCCCTGTGTCCCAGCCGCTCTAGTCGTGGCTGAAAGGGGCCAATGTACAGCTTGGGCTGTGGCTTCAGAGGGCAGAAGCCCCAAGCCTTGGCAGCTTCTGCATGGTGTTAAGCCTTCAGGTGCACAAAAGTCAAGAATTGAGGTTTGGCAACCTCTGCCTATATTTCAGAAGATATATGGAAATTCCTAGATGCCCAGGCAAAAGTTTGCTGCAGGGGTGGAGCCCTCATGGAGAACCTCTGCTAGGGTAGTGTGCAAGGGAAATGTGGGGTCAGAGCCCTACTGGGGTACTGCCAGGTAGAGCTGTGACAAGAGGGCCACAGACCTTCAGACACCAGAATGGTAGATCAACTGACAGCTTGCACTGTGTACCTGGAAAAGCTGCAGACACTCAATGCCAGCCCATGAAAGCAGCTAGGAGGGAGGCTGTACCCTGCAATGCCACAGGGGCAGAGCTGCCTAAGACCATGGGAACCCACCTCTTGCATCAGCATGACCTGGATGTGAGACCTGGAGTCAAAGAAGATCATTTTGGAGCTTTAAAATTTGATGGCACTGCTGCATTTTGGACTTGCATGGGCCCTGCAACCCCTTTGTTTTGGCCAATTTCTCCCATTTGGAACAGCTGTATTTACCCAATACTTGTACCCTCATTGCATCTAGGAAGTTACTAGCTTGCTTTTGATTTTACAGTCTCATAGATAGAAGGGGCTTGCCTTGTCTCAGATGAGACTTTGGACTGTGGACTTTTCGGTTAATGCTGAAATGAGTTTAGACTTTGGGGTACTGTTGGGAAGGCATGATTGGTTTGAAATGTGAAGTTTTGGAGGGGCTAGGGGTGGAATGATATGGTTTGGCTGTGTTCCCACCCAAATCTCAACTTGCATTGTATCTCCCAGAATTCCCACATGTGAGAGGGACCCAGTGGGAGGTAATTGAATCATGGGGGCCTGTCTTTCCCATGCTATCGTCATGATAGTGAATAAGTCTCACAAGATCTGATGGGTTTATCAGGGGTTTCGGTATTTGCTTCTTTCTCATTTTCTCTTGCCACTGCCAGGTAAGAAGTACCTTTCACCTCCTGCCATGATTCTGAGGCCTCCCTCGCCATGTGGAACTGTAAGTCCAATTAAACCTCTTTTTCTTCCCAGTCTCAGATATGTCTTTATCAGCAGCATGAAAATGGACAAACACAGGGACACTATTTCCTTTTGCACAATGGAAAGCATCATAAATAAGGTAAAAATTAAGATACAGAACAGAAGAGCACATGTGTAACTTCAATTTATTGACTTGGATAGTTTCTAGATGATATACACATATTTATACCCAACAAATTAGTAATTTAAAAAATCCTCAAGACATTTAAAGATGGGCAAATTATATGGAATAAAATGTATTGAAGACAAAACCCAAATGGATAGTAATCACAAAAAGTCTGGTGTCACTGAGAGTCAAGGGATTACAAAATATCACAAAGGAATGCACTTCCATTTGCAAACAGTGGTAATGCCGTGTGTTGATAGAAATATGTAATCGATCTTTTCTTTGGTGGGCAATTAGCAATATTGAGGAAAGTTAAAGATGTATGTATCCCTACCACTTGAAACACCTGGAAATGCCATTACCATGCTTATATTCTAGAACAGAAGTTCTCTGCCATGACTGTACATGAGAATCACTGCTCTAGAATATGGCACAATACACATTCATGCGCATTATTCCTTGTCCAGCAAATGCAAGAGTTTCTCTAGAGGAGGGGCTTATCTCAATCCTAGGCTCCTGTTAGAATCTCTTCAGGGGTTCTTTCACAAAAGTAATACCTAAACATCCCCCTCCAAATCTGATTAAGTTGGCCTGGATGGAGTCTGACTGAGGAAGCCTGGATGCCCATTAAGTTCTTCCAGGGAACTATTGAAAATCTTGACACCCACGTTGCAATCCAATATCTCTGGATTTGAGCCCCAAGCTTTGTGTAAACAAATTACAACCTTGTGTGTAATAGCAAAAATCTGGAAGCCACTTAGATGTTCATTGAGAGGAGAATGCATAAATACATTGTAGAATATACCTATAATAAAATATATCCTGCTCTTAAAATGAAACAAATTTTGCCCTCATCTATCAGCATGACTGAAACTTAAACATGACATTTTGTGCAAAAAAAGGCAAGCTAAAAGAATATATGGACATAAGTTCTTTATGCCACCCTTATGTCCATATATTCTTTGTAGTATAGATGTAAATATGTAGAATATATATTTATAAAATATGATCTAGACACAAATATATAGAATATATATTTATAAAATATGATCTGTCGACATAAATATATAGAATAGAATATATAGAAATAAATAATTTCTATCTATATAACCTTTATGGTATAGGATGTCATCTAAATAACATAAGCATATTGAATATCCTATTTATTATTTACAGATACATTTGTGTACTAAAGGTATGAAAGTTCAAAGGCTGGGTGCGGTGGCTCATGCCTGTAATCCCAGCACTTTGGGAAGCCGAGGTGGGTGGATCACAAGATCAGGAGTTCAAGACCAGCCTGGCCAATATGGTGAAACCCCGTCTCTACTAAAAATACCAAAATTAGCCGGGCATGGTGGCAGGCACCTGTAGTCCCAGCTTCTCGGGAGGCTGAGGCAGGAGAATCACTTGAACCTGGGAGGCAGAGGTTGCCATGAGCCGAGATCGGGCCACTGCACTCCAGCCTGGGAGACAGGGCACGACTCCATCTAAAAAAAAAAAAAAAAGTATGAAAGTTCATATAGAGGTAATATAAGTCAAGTAAGGGTTAGTAGTTACACCTGGAGAGGGAAGGACGGAAGGAAGACAGGGGCAATAATAAGGTCTGATGTCACTGCAAAAACAGAACATTTCAGCTCAGTGTTGGAGTCTCACTGATTTGTCATTGCTTCCAGACCCTGCACCCAAGCATGTTGTAGTGTGAACTGAGGACACCTTTAGCAAGATTTAACAGCTGTGGTCATTCAATATTTTCAATGAAAGAGCTCACAGAGCAGTTTCTCAGCTTACCAATAGACTTAGGAAACATCAGTCTTCACCATAAAATGGAAATTTTCTTTTCCTTGAATTTAACATATTATTTGAATAATTTATAAAAAGTTTGCCTTGTTTTCTTTTCTCGTTTGGAAATGTTGCTCTGTAGCTGTCAAAACTCCTTCTCACTTCACCACTGAGAAGTCTAAGGCAGTGGAGAAAGAGTTCTGGCACTGAAAATGTATCCAAAACAGTTGCTCCTTTTCTAAACTGAAGAACAGCAGTTACCTTAGACTGGAACAGCATGTCAGGATGACATGAGGCTCCATGGGAACATGTTTGTATCATCTGTGGCCACCTAGAGTCCATCAGCAGTAACCACAGTGGAATCAGAGTTGGAAAGAATTGCACTGGGCATAACTCACAAGTTTCCTTCTGCAATGACGAGGGTGGCAGTCTATCTATCCGCAATCTGTGCATGCACATTCCAAATCCTACCGAGAAAGGTTCGGGGATGCATCAGGGGATTCCATGAAAGGGAGAGAAATGTGCATTTTAATGCATGTAATGTGCCAACCATGAGGCTACTAGAGTTACATAGATTGTTTTATTTAATTGCCACATGGTTTGAAATAGACATCCTTAGCCCCTGCCCCCCCCCCTTTTTTTTTCCATAGGGGGAATGTGAAGTTAGAGTGGTTAATTTTCTCACATTTACATAGCTTGTTTGTGACAGACCCTATATTGACACAGCCTGTATCATTCCAATCCATGCCTCCCCTCTTCAGTGCTTCTATGCCACAGTCTGTGCATCCCCATTTTCCTTAGCCAGTTATTTCGGAGTTTATGCTTCTCCACGCTCCCAGCTGCTCCTTCTCCTCTTCATTTCATGCCTCTCCTAATTTGAAAACTCGTCAATTTTCTGAGTCTTACCTAAACTCAATTTCCTCTCCTGTGTCCTACGTTTTTGCACCAAACCTGCACTGGGTGGGAGGATGCCGTGAGTGGAAATTGTGGGATTTTCAGTTGGACACAGAGGAAATTGAATTCAAACCTGTTATATGCAGCTGTGTGATATTGGACAGTGACCTAATGATGGAGAGCTTGAGTTTCTTCATGTATAGTAATAAATACTTCTCATGGAAGATTGCTGTGAGAATAGAACAGGATTGCATTTGTGCAGTGGCTGCGTTCCAGTGCTCACCTGGTGAACATTTGCTCCCCTTCCCTTCTAACTGTCTCATAAGGTTTCCAGTGGGAATTGCATCTTCTTGGCCTTGCTTTGAACTTGCTAACGAGATTCAGAACTGGATCTGTAACAGATTTTCAGTTAATACATTTTGAATATAAAATGTTTACATTTCCAGTCTCTTTTAGGGGTTCTGTTTCCTTTGCATCAACTTTTAATTTTTGAATAATTTTAGATATAGAGAAAAGCTGGAAAGACAGTGCAGAGAGATAACACGAACCCCTCGCCCATATTCCCCTAATGTTAACATATTATGGAACCACAGAGTATCTGTCAAAATGAAGATATTAACATTGGTAAGTTACTATGAGCTAAACTCCAGACCTCATTGGGATTTCCTCTGTGTTTCCATGGGCTCCCTTTCTCTGTTCCAAGATTCAATTCAGAATCCCATGTTGAGATCATGTCATTACAGTTCACTGGCTTCCTCCCATATGTGGCAATTAATTAGTCTTTCCTTGTCTTCATGACCTTGACAATTTTGAGGAGTACTCCTCAGATATTTTGTAGAATGTCCCTTGATTGGACTGGGTTTACCAGATGCTTTTGTGAACATTATACTGTGGTTCTGGGTTACCGGGCAGAATATCACAGAGGTGAAGAGCTCTTCTCCTCACACCGTTCCAGTGGTACAGGATGAGGGTGCCCGTTTTAGGAGACTCAAAGCAATAATTTGCTAATACTGAGTGACTTGTTTAGAAAGAGTCAGTGAAGCTTCTAGAAATAGCTACCCTTTTTTTGGAATGCCTTGGCTCTGATGTCTTATCACACATAACATTCTTGGCTGCATTAGGATGTCATACACTCCCAGTGAGATGCTTGAGCAGAAAAGGAGCTTGTAAGAATTGAGCTATTAGGCAAACATGCAAGCAAACAAACAAAAAACCAGGTGGGCAATGTACACTTTGGAAAATACTGCCTTGCTCTGTTGGCTGCCATCGTGAACCTGTTTTTCTAACATCTGTTATAAACAGCGGTACCCTTCTGCAAACAGTGCCACCTCATGCACAGAGAGAATAAATTTTCCTGGGCATTTGTGGCTCTGTGTGTGGCCCGGGAGGCAGCTCAGCCTGGGATTTGGGCCTGCAAAAATAGAATCATTCTTTCCACTAGCAGAGGAAATTAGTCCTTGTGAAACTTCAGCTTTGTTGAAAGGACACACACAATGCACAGATTTCCTGTCTACAAAATTCATCCCACAGATACTATGAGGAGATATTTTTAAATGTACCCATGCTAATGGCTGGATTTTGAGATTTTTACAAAGCAGAAATAGATGTAATGATCTCTCCTTCTTCCTTCTCTTTTTTTTTTTTTTTTTGCACTCTACTTTTCTCTCTCTCACAAACTGAAGTTTAACTCAAAATCAGTGGTCCTCGATTAAGTTGACTGCATCCCCAAGGGGACAGTTGGCAGAGTCTGGAGAAATTTTGCATTGTCCGTATTAGAGGAGGGGTGGATTGGCATCTAGTGGGCAGAGGCCAGGGGTGCTGCTAAGTAAGCATCTTACAATGTACAAGACACGCCCCACCACAGAGAATCATCCAGCCCCAAATGTCAACTGTGTCAAGGCTGAACAATCTTCTCCTTGCACTGCTTCCCCTCTCCACTGCTAGTGGAGCCTGTGACTGCGGCAGTCCTGCAATTCTCCCCCCTCCCCCCACTTTTTTTAAAGATGAAGTCTTGATTTGTCACCCAGGCTGGAACAACCTCCGCCTCCCGGGTTCAAGTGATTCCCCTGCCTCAGCCTCCCAGAGTAGCTGGGATTAAAGGTACTCACCACCACATTTGGCTAATTTTTGTATTTTTGGTGGAGACAGGGTTGAGAGGTGACAGCGTGCTGGCAGTCCTCACAGCCCTCGCTTACTCTCGGCGCCTCCTCTGCCTGGGCTGCCACTTTGGCAGCACTTGAGGAGCCCTTCGGCCCGCCGCTGCACTGTGGGAGCCCTTTTCTGGGCTGGCCAAGGCTGGAGCCCACTCCCTCAGCTTGCAGGGAGGTGTGGAGGGAGAGGCGTGAGCGGGAACCGGGGCTGCGTGCGGCGCTTGCGGGCCAGCTGGAGTTCCGGGTGGGCGTGGGCTTGGCAGGCCCCGCACTCGGAGCAGCCGGCCAGCCCTGCTGGCCCCGGGCAATGAGGGACTTAGCACCCGGGCCACTGGCTGCGGAGGGTGTACTGGGTCCCCCAGCAGTGCCAGCCCACCAGTGCTGCGCTCGATTTCTCACCGACCCTTAGCTGCCTTCCTGCGGGGCAGGGCTCGGGACCTGCAGCCCGACTTGCCTGAGCCTCCCACCCACTCCATGGGCTCCTGTGCGGCCCGAGCCTCCCCAACGAGCACCACCCCCTGCTCCACGGCGCCCAGTCCCATCGACCACCCAAGCGCTGAGGAATGGGAACGCACGGCGCGGGACTGGCAGGCAGCTCCACCTGCAGCCCCGGTGCGGGATCCACTGGGTGAAGCTAGCTGGGCTCCTGAGTCTGGTGGGGAGGTGGAGAGTCTTTATGTCTAGCTCAGGAATTGTAAATACACCAATCAGCACCCTGTGTTTAGCTCAAGGTTTGTGAGTGCACCAATCGACACTCTGTATCTAGCTGCTCTGGTGGGGCCTTGGAGAACCTGTGTGTCGAAACTCTGTATCTAACTAATCTGATGGGGACGCGGAGAACCTCTGTATCTAGCTCAGGGATTGTAAACGCACCAATCAGCGCCCTGACAAAACAGGCCACTCGGCTCTACCAATCAGCAGGATGTGGGCGGGGCCAGATAAGAGAATAAAAGCAGGCTGCCTGAGCCAGCATTGGCAACCCGCTCGGGTCCCCTTCCACACTGTGGAACTGTGGAAGCTTTGTTCTTTCACTCTTTGCAATAAGTCTTGCTACTGCTCACTCTTTGGGTCCACGCTGCTTTTATGAGCTATAACACTCACCACGAAGATCTGCAGCTTCACTCCTGAGCCAGCGAGACCACGAACCCCCCAGAAGGAAGAAACTCCGAACACATCTGAACATCAGAAGGGACAGACTCCAGACGCGCCACCTTAAGAGCTGTAACACTCACCGCCAGGGTCCGTGGCTTCATTCTTGAAGTCAGTGAGACCCAGAACCCGCCAATTCCGGACACAGGGTTTCTCCATATTGGCCATGCTGGTCTCAAACTCCTGACCTCAAGTGATTCGGCAGCCTTGGCCTCCCAAAGTGCTGGGATTGCAGGCATGAGCCATTGTGCCTGACCTGTGATCCTCTTGGAACTCCATTCTTTGCCTCCCCAAGACTGCCCTCAGCTCTTTCCTCCAAACCTCCCTTTACGTTCTTGCTGGAGTTCAGTGAGTTCCTTCTCCCTATGACTCCAGCTCAGAGTTCCAACATGTATTTCTCCCCACGTTTGTCTTAGGTTACATTGTTTTGTTTAATTGCATCTGACATCCCTTTAAAATTACTTATCAAGTCATTACATCTACCTGCACTTGGATGTCCTCTCCTTTCCTAAGTCAACATGTCCCAAACTGAATCCTTCCTCCTCTTGCCTCGATTTTCCCTGGCATGACTTCATTTCTGCAAATGACACTGCAATTTCCCCAGGCAGCCAGGCTCAAACCTTCATCTTTCAGTGATTCCCTATCAAATTCATCATCCATTCTCCAGTACAAAATTTACCAGTTCTTTCTACCAAACTCCTTCTGTAGTTATTTCTTTCCTGCCTCTTCAGCTTTGCACAGGGTTCTCCTTCATAACCTTTTAGTCTTTGGTTCACCAACCTCCTAACTACCCCCTCATCCTTGAATCAGCTCACCGTCAACAATGGGTCGTCTTCCTACTGTGACAGCACAAACCCCAATTCCTGCCTTTCATTCCTCATTTCCCTGCCTCCTCCCCTGGCAATGATTCCCTCTAGTTTAAAAAATATATATATTATTTAATTTATTAATACATATTTAATATATATTAATATAAACATATGTGTATATATACATATTTAATATATACATATATGTATATATACATATTTAATATATATACATATATGTATATGTATTTAATATATATGTGTGTATATATACGTGTGTGTATATATATACATATATACATATATATACATATATATACACATATATATATACATATATATATACACATATATATATGTATATATATATATATAGAACAGTTTCAGGATTACAAAAAAGATGCAAAGATAGTCCAGAGAGTTCCATCTACTGCTCACTCATCTACCGTTAGTGTTAAAGTTTTCTATCACTGTGGTTCCTTTGTCACAACTAATGAATCCATGTTGGTACATTAGTCTTAACTAAACACAAGGTTTTATTTGGGTTTTGCTAGTTTTCCTTTCAAAGCCCATGTTCTCTTCTCGGACTCAGTCCTGGATTTATCATTGCATATAGCCATTTCTCCATAGTCAAGGCCGGGTGTGAAAATTTCTCAGACTGTCTTGTTGTTGTTGTTGTTGTTGTTGTTTTTGATGACTTTGACAGATTCGAGGAGCCCTGGTCAGGCATTTTGCAGAATGCCCTGAATTTGAATTTACCTGCTGTTTTTCTCATGATTAGACTGGGATGACTGAGCTGATGAGACTGTGGTGTTTCTTCTCTCTTAGAGAAGGAGACCTCAGAGGTGAGGTGTCCTTTTCCTGATATTTAATCACAAGTGCATGCTATGAACATGAAGTCACTGGCTAAGGTAATGCTTGCCTGGCTTCTCTACCTTGAAGCTACCATCTCCCCCTTCCCATATGCTAATTTTTGGAAGCTAGTCATTAAGTCCAGCCCACACTGAAATGTGAGGGAAGGAAGACATTCGATATACTTAGGCAAGTTTGCTTCTAATTCTGTTTTTCAGTGTCTATTTTTAATTGAAAATTAATAAATTATAGTTGTATATATTTATGGGGTACCAAGTGATGTTATGATTTATGAATACAATATGGAATAATTAAACTGAGCTAATTCACATATCCATCACCTCAAATACTTACCATTTTTTTGGTAGTGAGAACATCTGAAATTTACACTCTTAGCAATTTTAAAATGCTTCCAATTCTTTGTTTTAAATTCCACCCAGAGCACATTTATGCTTTCTTTAACTCAAATTCTATCTGAAGGGCTCAAAAGCTACTTTGTCTGTAGGGCACTCTTTGATTTCTCTTTGATGAAATTCTCTTATTATTTATCAAAAACACTCAGAAACTAAATTCTACCTGTACCCAGAATATTTCAGAGATGTGTGCTTCCCTTCATCTCAGACCACATCTCTAATTTATGTATTCATTTTGCCCTGCATTTCACATCAGTGTTTTGTGTTACTCTGATCATTCCTTGCTGGCTCCTGGATTGCTTGCTGAATTAGTTCTGTCTAGTCCAAAACCGTGACAAGACACACTCAAATGATACTTGCCAAGGGAATGAAGGAGCCATTCATTGACAGCTGATGTTTATATCCTCACACATAATATCATATTTCTTGCACCAAAGCAAGGCTAATGTGGGCTTAATTAAAACAATGTTGAAATACTTCTGGTTGCAAAGCTGGGCGCATTCAAGGACTCCCAAATGCAGCACAGTTCTGAATGCTTGGCAGATGCACAATATATAGGTGTGTATTCCTTTTTGAAAAATTCACACCAAGAAAATGAATGCCTGTTTTAGGAGAGCAGCGAAGAGCAGTTTACATATACAAACAGGAGTTAGCAAACACTGAAGGCGGCATGGCAAAAACTCAGCAATGCATCTGCAGAGCCGGGTACGGCCTGGGATCTTCCAGAAAGGCTTTCCTCACTATTCCAGTTGGAAATCAATCTCTTCTTCCATAGAAATCTTTCCTTTTTTTTTTTTTTTAGACAGTGTCTCGCTCTGTCGGCCAGACTGGAGTGCAGTGGCACGATCTCAGCTCACTGCAACCTCCACCTCCTGGGCTCAAGCAATTCTCCTGCCTCAGCCTCCCGAGTAGCTGGGATTACAGGCATGTGCCACCACGCCTGGCTAATTTTTGTATTTTTAGTAGAGACGGGGTTTCATCATGTTGGCCAGGCTGGTCTCGAACTCCTGACCTCAGGTAATCCGCCCGCCTCGGCCTCCCAAAGTGCTGGGATTACAGGTGGGAGCCACCACGCCCAGCCCTTCCATAGAAATCTTATAGAATCTGTTCCTGTGTTCCCCCTTTGACTGTTGCTTCATTGACTACTGCTATTTAGCATTGCACATTTACACAGTGACTATTTTTGCTTGTCACTTATAAATGGGATGCCTCATATAATTCACACTGTTCCTATGCTTCCTGTCTCTGGGTATGAATGACATCAACAGGTGATGACTCTATATCAATATATTTTGTGAGTGCTTACAGCCACATGTCTTCACTTTGCTTACAGCACAAGATGCTAGTCTTGAGTTTTCACATAGAAATACCAACAGTTACTCTTCTTTTAGGTAAGAGGACCTGAAAAACACACATTGGCCCTTTGCTTAAGCACAGTAAGCTACTTTTTCAAAATGAAACCCACACAGAGTCCTTATTATAAAATGCTTCTTCTCCTAAAACATGTTATCCTGGCTACAAAACACAACTTTTATAAAATAAGTTTAGGATACAGTCTTAACTCCAAGTCTGTCTCTCAGTACATATTTGCTGTCTGACTAGTCAATTTCTCCATGGTCTTTGCACTCACAGTGGTACCCCATGGAAAATATCAATTTGTTTATTGTTCTTTTGCGGCTTTGAGAGTTTTCAAGAGAAATGGCAAGGTTTAATAGAAACCTGCTTTCTGGGAAACCTTCTCTCCCTCCTGTCTTCCCACTGGTGCATTTCTTGCAATAGCTCCATTAACTATTAAAATTACCAGAGACATTCCCAATTTTGTTTCTCGTAATCAAACATAGAAAATATACAAACAACATTTTGAGCATTCTTCAACTATTTTCTTCATGCCTGAACTAGACATTGGGCCCTCTGGAAGTAGAAGTCGTGATCATGTTTATTCTAAATGTGATCATTCACACTTAATGATTAAATAATGAATTTCATTATTTAAAGGATTATACATGTTAAATATTCATTCTATTTTGAGTGACTCTTCCACTTTTCTCCCAGTGCTTTTCCTGGCTTCATCTCCTATAAATCCTCAATTCATATGTGTCATTTTGTATCATACAGACACGTCTAAAATAAGATAGCAGCTAAATTCATGTTGTTTGCTTTGGGAGAAGAATTCTGTCACTCAAAAGGCAAAATGATGCCTGACCTTAGGAGCCATCACACAACTTCCTGTCAGATGGACATATCCTGTGGTTTAATAGTCTTTTAGTTCTGAGCTGAGCCAACGTGATGTCCCATGTGTGAATGCCTTGTCTAAACGCATCCATCACAAGAGACATCTTATAGCAGAAGGCTCCGATTTTAACTGTTGTTGAAATCTGTGCATTGCTCACATTTGGCTATCTATAAACGATAAAGTGGAGAATTGAGACAAATATTCAGTTAATTTTTTAAAATCTTAATTTTATCATGATCTTTGTAGTCCTTAAGGTGAAGATCTTAAAGTAAAAAGAGATTTGAGTCTTTCAAATAGGTAGAAATAAGGGGTAACTTAGACTATTAAAATACAATTGATTTCCATGTAACTCAAATGCTAATGTTAAATTTTAATATTATAAAGACAACAAAACCAAGACATAATATTTGGATAGCAAAAATTCTCTCTCTCTGTCTCTCTCTCTCTGTCTCTCTCTCTCTCTCTCTCTCTCTCTCTCTCTCTCTATATATATATATATATATATATATATCCCGATATGTATCTGAGGGCAGTATTTTACTGTGTAAATAAAATTTGCATGCACAAAAAATATTGAGGGAACTTAAAGGATCAAAACCAAGTACTGAATTTTCAGAAATGGATTCCTTTCGGGGATATTACATATTTTATTAATTTAAGTACATTACTAACCCTCTAAACCACTGACAAATGATCTTTCTAATAATGTTCCACATATAAATTGAGTAGAAACTAATACTTGAAAAATACACATAGTCAAAATAAATCAGGAAATGAGTAGCTTGTTTCCTTTAGTGGTCAGAAAACATTTTCCCCCACTTTAGGATATGTGTGTCATGTATTTCCAATAAATAATTGCTGAGCTTAATACTTAGGTGATAGGTTGATAGGTGAAGTAAACCACCATGGCACATATTTACCTATGTAACATACCTGCACATCCTGCACATGTACCCCAGAACTAAAAATAAAAAAAAAAAAGAATTGAGGTGGACAAACACATTTATTGAGGGCTTGCTTGCATGATGGTGGTTACTACATGTTTCAAAATAGTATGCCTAACCTCCCTAACCTTTTATCTGTTTGACAAATGATTGAATGTTTTCATCATCCATATCAAAATCAAATAATTTTAAAGCTAAAGGGATATGTAGACATCTACCCATTGATCTTTCCGTATTTGACATGTTCTTGGAATTTTTTTAATAGCATCATTTTTCTGCCACATCAAAAGAATATCGACTGATAGTGAAATACTTAACATTTTTCACATGGAAGAAACTCTCTCTCCCATATTGTGAAACCCAAAACAGAGTCATATTCAAGCAAGGGAGACATGCTATTTTGATTCCCTAGAGACTTGCTGTATCCATGAATTCCACTCCTTATTAATTCTTTAATTTACAGTTCTTATATTGAACTCAGGAAAGGTGTGTGTAGTTGGTCCTGTGCTATGTGTTGGGAGGCTGACCTCCCTTCTAGATTGTACAAACAACACAGTGGGCTCATGGCATTCCCGGACTCGAGTCCTCCTTTTGGTCTATTCACAAGTGACCTTCAAATTCCACATCAAGGAATGAGTATGAATTTTGCCAAGGCATTGATTCAAATTCTGGGCAAGTATGTTCTGCAGAAACACATTTCATAGCTTCATGGTGATGTGAGCAGTAACTCTGGACTTCCGTGGTTTGGAAGTCTATAGGTTTTTTGTTGTTCTCTACTCATCATGGCAAAGGCTGTTTTTCCATCCTCACTTTATCTTTGCTGTCTAGATACTGACAAAAGATACTGATAGCCATCTCCACCATCTGTATGGGTTAGAGTATGCACTCTGCTGGATCCCATTAATTTTGAAATTTGCAAAGATTTAAAAACATATCCCTTGCAAAAATCAAGGCTCCATTTTAAGCACACACTTACAGAACTCTGTGGGTTTATCAGGTATTTCCACTTAAATGGTCTTTTTTAAACCATCATGGACAACAACATACGTTGTTCTGCTGTAGGGCTTTATTTCTCATCAACTAGGACACATTACACTCTCCAGATTAATAATAATTAATTTGTGTGTGTGCATGTATGTGCTCATATGCAAACCTGCAGGTCTGAAAAGAATGACATTTAATTTTAAAATAGAAAAATTTGCATTTTGAAATATAGTTGAGAAATAACAATGACATGGTTACATCAAGCCTTTGAGAAACAGTAGAGCCCATGAGTCAATTTAGGGAGACAGCCATTATTGTAAATCAGAAGTGATGCTCAAATGATTTCAGGTTAATTAAAGCATGGCTTGACCTTATTGCCCCATCAACCTCAGTGGGCTGGCATGACCTGGGTCAGAAATTCCCCAAAGAGGCCTGCCTTATCAATAAATAAGCCATGAGTGCTGATATCATTATTTTCGAAACTACAGCAGGTGACAGACACTTCTGTGCTTTAGAAATCAATGTCAAATTAATGAGTTCAGAGTCAAACGAAAAGTGTACACCTGCATCATCTAAGCCAAATTACATTACTGAAGCCCAATAAAATATTAAATAATATCTCAATTTCAGGAGTGCTGTCTTTCAGGCCATGTTTTTCTACTTCACAAGAGAATTTTAAAAATAGAAAGAAACAAAAGAAAAATGCATATGATCAGTTATTAGATGAAATCAAATTACCTGTCCCTTGAAGAAATATTAAATATTTATTTCTGGATGACTCTTTTGAAAAGGTGTTCATGTTGATGGGTGCACATCCATTTTCATTTTTAAACTACACATTAGTGAATTACTAATACAGGCATTAAACAGTATAATGCTTCAACTTATAAAGCAAGATGGAACATAATTTACGTTTTTTGGTATGTAGAGCCTGTAAAACCCATACAGAAAGTGAGGTTATACAAGTGAAATCCAGTAAAAAAAAAAAAAAGTCACTGATTATTAATATTTTAAAATTCATGTACTTATTTCCCCTCCAAAGAGGGGAAAAACAGCTTGAAGATGCACACATGGCTTTCTGCAAGAGTTAAATTGGTAAAATTGCCTCAAACACAAGAAGGAAGGAGGCAGCTGAATAAAGGGATGGAGTATCCCTTGCTGGAAAGATGAATATGACTGCTGCTTGTGTGAGAACCTGAATTGTAGCTCATATTTTTTGTTGCCCGTGGACAGAAAATCTGTAAATAGGAAAGAGCACAATAAGTAGGAATATATGAATGCATGAGTGAATGCATTTGTCCAAAAAAGAACTCAAATATATGACTTGACTTTATAAATGTAAGGTTAGAAAAGTTGGCTGATATTTTAACAACAGTTACACAACGGCACACCATCATCATAGTGTTTTCAACCACGGGTCTGTTCCTTTTTTTTTTTTTTTTTTTGCACGAAAAAGATCCTTAAAAACAAACTGTGTATCTCCTCAAGCAATATCTAATATTCCTTATCCAAATGAACATGTATAACAGGTGAAAACTGCATTGAACGGAATCAAACTTGAGTGTTCTGAATGAGCTTTACAAGGGACCTCGGAGTGAAAGAAAGAAAACCTTCTTTTTGGTTGTGCCTGCCAGTATTTCAGTGATCTTATAAGAGACAGGTCATTTATCCAATCAGATGCTTAGATTTCTTCATTTCTGAAGTGAACTAATCAACAGATTTCTAAAGCATTTCCACGTAATGCATAGATGTTCATTAGCACTACCTGCCTAGATAAGTTGGGGTGGAACCAGCAATATTTCCATAGATGACTTCATTGCAGAATTTAGCTTCAGCCATGAGAATTCTGTTGGTATAAATGAAGTGCAAGGGAAATTTATTCAATCAGGGCTCTGCAGATGGTTTAAACAGGTGCACTGTTTGGGGGGTGGGTTTCGGTTGTCTTGCTGTGGGTTGCACAGGGGTCAGAGGTTATGCTTCAACAGCAAGGTCTTGGATGCCTGGCAAACCTCGGCAGCGCTTTCTGGGGAAGAGAAAAATAGAATGTATTCTTTATGAAATTTATGGGCTGCAAAAGACAACTGCACCTGCATCTGGTTTCTCTTACTGAAAACACATGAAAGCTGTCACCAGGAATGGAAAGCTCAGCTCCCTAGTTCCTGAAAGTCAACAATGCAGGAACCTCGAGGAGATCTGGGATGTATCAGACATGTACAAAATAATCAGCTGATTGCCACAAAACTGCCACTGGGACCAGCACTACCTAGACATATACTTCAGGGACACCTGAGCTTTTGACCAGGAAATTCTATGAGAACAAAAAAGTTCAACTTTGAGTGGGACCTACACTTAATCTACATGACATGTACAAAAAGGATTCCAAATGTTTTGGGTCTGCCTATGAATCTCCAAATTTCTCTCTTCTTGTATTTGATCAAAGGTAATTTTCCTGATTGGAAGTTATATAATGTTGAATAGAAGTGTTTTTTTCAGTACAATTCATGTTGCTATACGAGAATTTGTTGGGATGTAAAATCAGTCCTGACATTTCAAATACTCCAGCTGTATTTGCAGATTTAAGCCCACGCTGCCCAATATGGCTGGTACCCACCTCCCTCAGTTTCTACTTTTGAAGAAGAAAAATGATTATGGCAACTCATCCTGATAGTTTATTAACAACTCATGAAATTGTTAGGCAGTTTTTTAACTACAGTTTTGAGAACTTTTCATGAGTTGGGTACTTTGCCTGACATTTGAAACTCAAAGATATATAAACTATACATCCCTCAGGATTGATGGTTAGGGTATTTCATTTTAGTTCATTACTGTGCATATCCATTTCTTTACTATGGAAATAACCTCCACGTTTCCATGAAAGACTGAATTGAGAGACTGCAGATTTTACTTTCACTTGACAACAATGACTTACTTAGTTTGGGCCTTTGTATTAGGTTGGTGTAAAAGTAATTGCGGTTTTTACTTCAATGGCAAAATCGCAATTACTTTTGCACCAACCTAATAAATGCATTCCACTCCTTGAACTCCAGTTCCTTCATCTAAAGTGAGGAACTAGAGCTATAGATTGTTTCTATGGTTCTTTTCAATTCTCACTATCAAGAATTTTGTAATTATAGGTGGCCTCCTAACACTCAGACATTATCCTGGGAGTTTAGCTTTGCTAACTAGGTAATACAATGGTTAATGTGTACCAAAGATTTCTCCTGATGACATGTAAAACCCCTATTTTGTGATACTGAAAACTTATATTTGCTGGGTGATAATTCTCACCATATTTCCCTACTGGAATGGTCTCCAGATAACTTATGGCAGTTTTCAGATTCTGAACCCATCTTTATAAGAATGTTTATTTATAAAATGTTTATTGTAATAAATGTGTCTTGATTTTCGATGAAAATTCTAAGACAAGACCCAAGAGACATTGTGGGTCATCTAAGTATCACAGAAATAATTGCATAACTTAAACTAAACACTCTACCATCCACTGCTCCAATCCAATTAATTGGCATTTTCTTGTATGTACAATGCACCCTTATGTCTTATTAGCTTAGCATTTATTACACTGGGGGACAATAATGTAGTAATGTTTGATTGTCATATATTTCCATATTCTTAAGCAACAATATTTGGCAAAATGTCTAGCTGAGAGTAGCAAATACATTGTTTGTCTTCAGACAACTATGGAGAAAATAACTGGTTCTATTTGTTCAAATAAATCTGTCACAGAAAGTGAGAAGTAGATGTGGTTAAAAATGTATGGGAAAATATTCAACCTCACTATCAAAAGAAACACACCTTGTAAAAAATATTACCAGGCTTTCAATTTGTTAAATTCATAAAACATTTGAGAAGATTGCCTATGGTTTGTGAGAGTGTGTGCAGTGGATGCAAATTGTCATTTGGTGAGCTTTTTGACAACATGTATCAAATATCTAAAATATATGTATACTCTTTATTTGGCAATTTCATATCTGAAAATTTATCCTAAATATATTGAACATAAGCAGCTATCAAAGAATCAAATATTAACGAATGTCAACAAAATTGAAACAATATTTGTCAAATCTTAGTCAAAATAGCCAAAACCAGCGACAGAAAAGTGTGTAAGTAAAAAATAAGATGGCATAGCATGCAATTGTTAAAATGTTTGAGATGGGTATGAAAACATAAAATGAAAAATGGGCTAACACATTTTAATAAATACAGGACAAATAGAAAGCAATACCATTGGTAAATATGGACTCATACAAGATAATTACGGGAAGGCCATACACTAGATAATAATTGCCAATAGCTAGAGGACTATACATCTATTTTTAAATTGCTTATAAGTAATAGGTATTGATTTTATAACATAATAAAATTAAATTCATTTTGTTTAAAAACAGGCATTACAAAACCATATTTGTCTTTCCAACATTCATTTAGGTTTTTAGCATGGCTGAGAACTTGTTCTCAAATCTGCTCTCAAAACTAATGCTATCCACAGTTCAAGCTAACATACGTATACACTAGCTTTGAGCCAAACCCTAGATCTTTACTAAATTTGTTTCTATCAGTTCATTTTTAAAGGAGATATATGAATTCGCCTTAAGAAGCCAGCATGAGGACACAAAAGTCACCCAGAATAAGCAGTCAAAAGTAATGTAAGTGGACAAAGTTTTGGCAAATTACTTTAAAATCACCTGTTAACCAGGTGGACTTAGGTCAATTCACCCAATGGATTGACCAATCCTACACACTTTTAAAAGAGTCTAGTTCATGGGATGGAGTGAACCCAGGCAATATTTGTGGATGACTCCCTTTGGTATTGGTGATAGAACTGTGGTTGTTGGGTTGTGCAGTACCACACCAGTAAGAGACTCTCCAATTGTAATCTGTTCCCATGGGTAATATCAGATGAAGACTGCTTAAAGCCCAAATAATGAGACCACTAATAGGGAAACATGCTATTGACTCCTGTGGCAAAGGAAGGGGAGTAAAAATAGGAAGATGATAGGTTACTGTTGATTGACACGTACCTAATAGGCACAATCTTACGCCAAAATAAATATGCATTTTTGTGAGCACTTTAGTTCTAGTCTTTAAAATCATGTCCCTAAGATGTTTCTTCAAAATATTTTGAGCAGCAACGACATCTGTAACAGGCTATTTTTGAAGCTTGTTAGCATTATTATAAGTAGATAGTAACAAGAATTAATACCTAAAGTCATATGGAGTGAAATTTGTATTGCATCTTAGAAATCAAAAAATCATTGCCCAATTATGTTATCTAATTTTTTTCCCAATAATGTACTGAGTTTGGACTGTATTTATCATATTTTCATAGGTTAGAGGAGGGCTGAAGAGTTAAATAAAAGGTTTGTACAATTTTGTGTTCTTCATAAAATATTGAAAATAACATATTTTTATTAATCCACAAGTTCAATGAATATGAAATAGAGAATAAAGGGAAAATAGCTCTTCCTACCCTATCCTTCTATCCCTCTACTCTCCTGATGGTAACCAATGTGTACAGCCTCATACATATTATTTTTGGTACATGTCAAAATACACATGGTACATATGTCAAAATACAAATGACTGCATTAAGTACACACATTTTCTGTACTACTCACTTTTTTCATTTAAAAACATGTATTAAAAAACTCGATAAAACAATGGAGATACATACCCTTCTTAGTTCTTGTTGACATTTCTTTATGCTGATATATGATTTCCTTAACCAGTGCTATACTGTTCGTTGTTTAGGAAGATTATAGATTACACTCTCAATGATTTGAAGAATTATCTTGTGCATTTATCTTGTAGGATTGTGATACAATTTCTGAAAAAATATGACGGAATTTTTTGGTTCCAGTTATGAAAATGTTAAATTCATATTCTCTCAAATTGTACTTTGCACTCTCACTACTGGTTGTACAAAAATACAAGTTTCTTCACACTATTTCCGATATTTTATATTACCTTTGCTAATTTATCTGTAGTCTGATAGAGTCAAATGGTATCTTTTTATATATTAAGTATTTCTTCTACAAGCATTCTACACGCAATTTATAATTCTCAGAATTGTCTGTTGTATTCCTTATTCCTTTTTCCTGCTGGGTTTGTGGCTTTCCTATGGATCTATGAGGTTTTTACATAATTGTATAAGTAAGAATAATTATAAATTTTATATTTAATTTTATAATCTACATTGCTTGTCCCTTGTGTCCACATCATTGTTAGGAGTGGAGAAAAGTGTTGAATTTTTACGTATTTTTACCTGAAATACAACAAATTTATAGAATGATGAAAGAAAATTTCAGAGACTCCAGTTAAGATATGGTTCTCAAATCTCACATAGGAGACCTGCAGGTAAACGGAGGATAAGCATTGTCTAGTGTCCTGTCTCACCTATGGGTAACTGTCAACTCATATGAAATATAAATTTCTTAACTAATGAAAACAAACAGGCTATTTTTAGTGCAGACAGAACTACTGTCCTACCTTTTCCCACATTCTAAACTAACACTGGTGGTATCATAAGAAGTAGGTGCAGTTGAGGATACATTTTTTAAAAATAAAACTGACCAAACAATATATAGGTGATAGAGTTTGGATTTGTGTCTCTGCCCAAATCTTATGTCCAATTGGAGGAGGGGCCAGGTGGGAGGTGATTGGATCATGGAGGCAGATTTCCCCCTTGCTGTTCTCGTGATAGTGAGTGAGTTCTCATGAGATCTGATGGTTTAAAAGTGTGTGGCACCTCCCCCCTTGCTCTCGCTCTCTCTGTCTCTCCTGCCATCATATGAAGAAGGTGCTTGCTTCCCCTTCGCTTTCTGCCATGATGGCAAATTTCCTGAGGCCTCCCAGTCAAGCTTCTTGTTAAGCTTGTGGAACTGTGAGTCAATTAAATCTCTTTTCTTCATAAATTACCCAGTCTCACGTAGTTCTTTATAGCAGTGTGAAAACAAACGAATACAGTAGGTAATGAAATTAATACTTCCAATATGCATACTGACATTAGTAACACCTAACCTGAGCATAACATACTTTGCAGAATGCCTTAATACTTCCTCTGCCTGACATCTAAAGAAATCTGACTTGCTGTCATCCTCTTATATTTAGCAAGAGGAGATGTTTTCTATGTCAAGAAGTGTTTTTATGTCATCTGTCATTGCTGTGGGCCCTCCCTTAGTTTATCTACCATTGGAAAGCAACTTGTAAGTATCATTTTCAAGGAACAAGAAAAGAATATATTTTTGCTGTGACAGAAGTCACTTCTTGTAACCCTGCCTGTTACATTCCTTGCATAATGTCAGGTCCATATTCCCAGACATCTGTTTGAACACAATGTAGGGGCATCTAGCCATTCCCAAAAGTGAGAAACCTACAAGAACACCCAACATTGTTTTGGGGTTTGATCTGATTGATCCACATTGAATTGAGTTGAAGAGGAAAAAAACAAAACAAAACAAAAATGAGAAAGGTTTTCCATTTTTCCGGTTTCCTGTAACTGTACAACAGAAAACTCCAAACGCATTTAGAGTGGTGATTCAATGCATAGTAGTAATCCATGCTTTGCAATATCCCATCATGCATAACATAATAAAACAAATCAAGCTGGGGTTATAGAGGTGGACTTTTAATCACTGGCTTGTTCTGAATTTCCCTGCATAAATACTTTTGCGTAGAATCAGTCATTCTTTGAAAAATATTCTCAACCGTTAAAAATCACAAAACAGATTGAATGTTATTTAGCCACAAACAATAGAACCTACATCCTTCAGCTGCCATGCAGCTACCATTTCCTTCTGTAGCATTACAAGTTGCTTGCAATGCTTTATTTGCTCCCACCGTGCCTAGAATATATATTTGGTACATAATAAAATTGACCCACAGCCAAGTGAATGGTTTGATTTTTGCCTGACTCATTTACTGAGATTTGTTATCCATCTGTCCTAGAATGGAATATTTCTGCCTTGCTGTAGACATGTGAAAATGAATGGTGAGAATTCTTTTGGTTTCAAGGAATGGAAGCCACATCAATCTAGCTCTCAATTTCATGGGAATCTGGGAGAAACTGAGTAACCAGTACTTAGGAAATGTAGGCACCTAACTGTTACAGTAGATAGTAGGGCAGAGATGAGCAGGATGGGAGACGGCCCTCTCACCTCCCAAGGAATGTCAGAGGACTATCAGGTGATGTTCAGGAGGTTGTTAAACTGTCTCTCTAAAATAGTAATTGGTCACAGCCAAATCCAGGGAAAGGTCAGTCTCCTAATAGGTAGAATCTGGTGATTAGCAGTTTCCTGATAAGATCTCAGGAGTTGGGTGATTGGGCTCAAGGATGTGCAGTGCAAGGCAAAATGGTGGAGTTTAACTGGTCTATGACCTTCCTCTAGGAATGCTCGACTGGTAAGGGGAAAAGCACCTCAAGTGAGCATGTGCACAACTTCAGTAAACACACTGCGCATGCAGCCCCTCCCAAGTGCTAGCAATGCCACTGCACATGCAGACAGCCCACCCCAAGGGAAGAATCAGAGAAGAGACGCAAGACCCCTGAACCATGCCATTGTAAAACCCCAAGTCAAAGGTCAACTGTACACTTGAATCTCTCAAGTTGCCCGCTTGACCCTCTTCCAAGTGTAATTTACTTCTTTTCATTCCTGCTGTAAAACTTTTTAATAAACTTTCACTACTGGTTTCAAGCTTGCCTCAGTCTCTCATGTGCTTTATGCCCCCTCGGTTGAATTCTTTCTTCCGAAGAAGCAAGAATTGAGGTTGCTGCAGACCTGTATGGATTTGCCGCTGCTAACATAATAAAATATGTAGTCACTCATCTGCTGTTATCTTTCAAACCTCAACTCTGAGATCGGTGATATTTCTTCCAGATTGGCAGCTTTCACAAAGTTGATTTACAAGCACAATGTCCTCAAGCAAACGTTACTCAGCCATACCACGGGCCAACTTTTAAGTCAGAAGCGAGATCTTAGAGACTTGGTTTCACACCATCGAAAAATTATGACAGTTCTTAAAGACATTCCCCAGACATGCCATTGTTTTTATGGCAAGAATATGAATATAAAACAGCATTTATTCAGAAAAAAGATGTCAACTCCTTATCCCATAATGAAATTAATTAAGCCTTGATGGGTGTGAATACCCCTTCTCTTGATTTGAATTGGGGAAAGGGTGTGGCCTAGTGGGTCGTACTGATAGCTTTTCTCCAGATGCACAAGCATGGGCATCTTAACACATTTGGAGAGATGGAGTTGTAAGCACCTAAGCCATTGAGCTTGACTCTCCCTCTGTGAAGGAGGCATCTCACATTTGACCTAGAGAGATCATGTAAAATGCTTGAAATTTGAACGCAAAATGCTTAGTCTCAGTATTAATTGTCCATTTTGCTCAGATATATCCTACCTCCAAAACCATACTTCTATAATAGATGATTTTTTTTGTTATTAAGTTGCTTTGGTTTAACTGCACACTTTATAATAACTGAGCCACAGGACGTGTTGGAGATATCTATCTGGAAACACTGGATCTTATTATACAATCGCCTAGCAATATATTATTACCCTCTTTCCTAACATTTTCATTTTTATAGCAATACTTCAAAGTGCTATTCTTTTGTAAAATAATGTAAGCTAAGTTATTTAATCATTTTATATTCGATGAGCAATTATGTTTTCATTTTACACTATATGAAAATGAACACTTGGATTTGTGTATCTATATGTTTATATCTACTCATTCTTTTTTGTTTGTTTGTTTGTTTTTTGAGACAGGGTCTCACTTTGTCACCCAGGCTGGAGTGCAGTGGCATGATCATGTCTCACTGTAGCCTAGACCTCCTGGGCTCAGGTGATCCTCCCACCTCAGCCTCCCGAGTAGCTGGGACTACAGGTGTGCACCACCACACTGGCTAATTTTTGTATTTTTCTGGTAATTTTGCCAATGTTTTGCCATGGGATTTTGCCATGTTTCCCAGGCTGGTCTTGAACTCTTGTGCTCAAGTGGTCCACCTGCCTCGGCCTCCCAAAGTTCTGGGATTACAGACTTGAACCACCTTGCTTGGCCTCTATTCATATTTTCTAAATAGCCATATCTTTGTACATTACCTCCAACATTTTTCATAGACTAGTTTATTTGAAAATTACATTGACAAGAGATATATACTCTTTAAAATTATATTTATAGAGTGAATAAGTATATTGTGAAAATTTGTATAAATTTACACATTTATAACACCACTAAGATTATATATAGGTTTCCATTTCAGCCCCTTTAAATAAACATGAATTATCACTTTGTCAAATATATGCCAAAATCATAGGGAAAAAACAAGAACCTCCCTGGATCTTTTTTGTGCATGTGTGTGGAAGGGATAGTAGTGAGGTTGAAACATTTTTATGTTTACTAACTATTTTTCTCTCTTCTGGAAATTGCCTGTTTATAACTTTACCCACTATTGTTTTAACCATAAAGGCTATTTTGAGGGTAAGGAACAGATGATGTTAACTTCTTGCTTACGGACATAGTATGACCATTTGTTTCCAGAAAATAGTGTCATTTTGGCTTGTATATAGTGCATTTTCCATAGAAAATGAGTGACAGGTCAGGATTTTTCTTCACAGTTTTATTATTATCATACCTAAAAATGCCTTTCAGAACCGGAATATTACAAAAAAGTCACTCTTTTTTTGTACAGTTATAGTCTTGTTTACTACACATGAATTTCTTATGTGTACCTAAATTATAGTTTGCTGTGCTGGGTGAGGTAGGAGTCCGATTTTCACTGGAATAATTCATCTTTTCACAACTGGTTTAGCATACTAGCTTTATGAGCTACTGCAGTCTATCTATCTGATACAGTTTCCTGACTTTTGAGTTCTCGGTTTATTCCAAATTCTGTGTATTCTGCCTTTTGTTACAATTTTTAAAACCCTACATGTTCCAGTGCCCCTCCCCCCATGATTTCCCATTTCATTATTTTTCTGGCTATGTTTTTCACTACAGGTGAATTTTAAAAGTCAACAGAGGAGTTTGTTTGGAGTCATTTTGAGTTTTTATTAATTAATTTAGGCAGCTTCAACATTTCTACAATGTGTCATCTCACTTACTGACAATTTATGTTTCAATTTTCTGAAGCACTTTTTCTTAAGCTTTATGCTTTTCTTCACATTTTTCATTCCTGCTACTTACTAAATTGGCTCCCGAGAATGTAATTATTTTGTTTGCTACTAAGAATGTGATTTTTCTCACATAATATTTTCTGAGTGTCATTTGGATGTAGAAACCTGTTTATGTAAGTATCTTTCTGAATTCTTCTGAATTCATGTGTTTTGTCAAATTCTTTTCAAACTCTTCTATAAGGTTTTTTTTAAAAAAAACCCTTCATGAGATTATTTAATCATTTTTATGATAGCAGAACATATTTATTTATTCTGATTGTGCTTAAAAAGATTTTCACTGCTTCAGTGCTTAGCATGAAGATGGTATTTGTCTTATGTCATCTTTCAGATCAAGAAAGTAGTAAACTGTTCTGAATTTTGTCAGATTTGGCATTTTAAAAATCTTTTGAAAGTTGGAATTTTCAGCCTTTTTGCCAAAACAAAACTGTCCATTAAGATCTTTGGCACCAGAGTATCCAAGAGAACCCCTTTAACCTCTTTTTCATTGTTTATGTAGAACTATATTGGGGTTTTCACAGTGCTCTTGCTTTTCTAGGTGTGGCTGTTTTATGGGCTCTTGTGACACCTGTGCATACTTCCTGCAGCACAATAATGTACGTACATACATATACATACACACACTCCATATATATATATACACATATACATACATACACACACAGTTGGTTCTTGTTATTTATGATAGTAATGCTCTATAAAGCCACTGTGAATGCTGAATTATCATAATACCATTGCTCTTAGGAGAAACACAGGCTTAGGGAGTCTATGAAGTCTCTGGTCACAACATTTTCATCAATTGGTCAATACATGACCTTGGTTTGTGTATCTCTGTTTAAAGACACTGTATTTAATATACATAGTTGATTCATTAATGCTGAATGCACAGCCAACAGCACTATGACTCATGCCTGAGAAAAGCTAATTGAACACACCCATCTTCTCCGTTGGACACATCAGAGCTTTTTTGTGCTTAGCAACATTAGACAGCACTTCAGCACCAGGCTTGGGTGCCATTTGAGAGTGACATCACCAACAAAAAGCACAAAAATGTGAGCAATGTGGGTCTCAGTTATTGAAAATTGTCACCACTCTGTGCATGTCTCTGGATGACTACGGAAGTGCTAGATTACAAATCAATTTTAGTATGTAAGCAAACTTGCAAATATGGAAGTCAACAAATGATGAGGATGTGAGTGTGTCACCTGAAATAGACTGTGAGCTTCTCAGTGTAGGACACAGACATTTCTCATCCTTGTTCCAGTGGAAACAGCATCATGCCTAGCACTGGGTAATCTATAGACTAAGCTGTTCTTACACTTTTTAAAATTATAGAGTTTTTTTTTAAACTTGAAATGCAAATAAAATAGATAAATTCAAATAAAATAGATAATAGTAGATTTCCTCTGCTTGATATTTTGTCATTCACCTTGTCCTTTGGGCAGGTAAAGTGAATTGCAAGAGATTATATTACAAGCAGGTAATTACAAGCCTCTAGAAATGATGCTTTTCGGATTCTAGGATCCTAGTTGAGTGCATTTTTCTTTACTCCAAGCTGTCTCACTTCCCAGGCACTCTTATGATAAACTCAATGATGTTGCCTCTCCTAGAAAACATCACTCATAATTCTTAGTTTCATGTAACTCCTGAGCTCTTTGCAGTGTGAACATGTCTAATATATAACAGCTGGTTTTGAAATGACGATTTCACCACAAATTGTAAATTGTCCAGTCAGGATCTTAAATGCCCTTTTCCCATCAGGAATCATTTGGTAACATAGTCTCCTGGAAGTAATAATCTCTGCTATATATGGAGCCTCATTAGGGAGGAGTGAGCCCCCATAATCAGTTCAGATGCGTGATTTAAGGAGACCTACACCAAACTCTGCCACTAACGTAATTATCCATGTAGGAGGTCTTTGGGAGGGCTTTCCACACATTTTTATCTTATAACTCACCCCTGTGTGGAGTTACAAGAGGACTGTGTTTAAATGCTTGAGGTTTGATAATGTAAAATGAAGCAAAATTAGACCTTAATCTGTGTCAACACCAACTAAATGAAGTTTTCAACATATTTAGTCCCTGGTCCTGGCAGAGAATCAGGGTGATGTAGCCAAGAGTTCACATATGTCTGCCAGCTCAGCTTTTCTTTGCTATAAGGGCTGCATGAGAAAGGGTTCCCATAGACCCAGTGGCCCCAGAAGCTGCCTGGAGCACACCATCCCCTTTCACAAATCTAATGTTCTGGGAGAAATGCCGACCTAAACAATGTGACTCCATGAGAGAGGATCACTGAATTCTTTCATCTGCTCATCTCCTGTAAACCCACAATGAAAAGTGCTCTGCGTAAACTTCAGGAACCTTTTTCTCATGTTTATGGTAAATATCAGGAAACAAGAACGTGTTTCCTATCTTGTAGTTCTGTTACCTACAACCAGGATTCCAACATTATATAAAGCACTGAGCTTCTCCTTGGCTTCCCTTCTCTGGATAAGCATATATTTTAGAGAGATTCTATTTTCACATGAAGAGTTGGCTAAAGTCTCATTAACTTAGACCACATTTCACATAGAAATGGTTGTGTTTCTCTGGTGCTACAGCCTCTGTCCACAAAGAGTGGAGATAAGCTAAACTACTTGCTGTAAAGAAATGCATCATGCTGTTCAATGGAAGGGATGTGACCTAAAATTTGAGGGTTCAACCTGCAGCAAGGAATCCAGGATTACAGAAAAGTTAAGCTTTGCACATGTTCTGATGCCAGGAAACAACTTATCTTTCATCAAGTTATGGGAGATGAAAATATACTTGGCTTTTAATAATCATTGATCTTTTCTTTTGTCTATCTATCTTGCTTGTTACCAGAAATAAAATGTATCTATCTATCTATCTATCTATCTATCTATCTATCTATCTATCTATCTAATCTCTATGTGTATCTATCTATCTATCTATCTATCTATCTATCTATCTATCTATCTATCTATCTATTCATCCATGTATGGATGTATCTATCTATCATCTATCATCCATTTCTACTTATCTCTCTCACTACCTACATATCTATCATATCTATCTAATCTCTGTGTCTATCATCTATCATCTATTTATATCTATCTAATCTCTATATCTATCTATCCATCTATCATCTATATCCATCCATCTATGTATCTATCTATCCATCATTAATCTCTATCTATGTATCTATGTATGTATGTATCTATCATCTATATATCTACCTAGCTATCCATCTATCATATGTTTTTATGTAGGTATCCATCTATCTATCTTCTATCATTGATCTCTATCCATCCATCATCTATGTATGTATGTATGCATCATGTATGTATGTATCTATCTATCTACCTGTCATCTATTTCTATCTATCCATCTCTGTATGTATCTATCTATCTTTATCTGCCTGCTTATAGCACACATCTATCTTTTGATGGTCTGCATTATTCATGCAAGAAATGTGAACACGGTGCAAATCTTTTTTCTTGTTTACTTGGGTTTTGCTTGCAATATTTTGAAGAAACAAAACCCATTTGAATGAAACCATGATGTGTGCAGTCCCCAGGAATGCAGTAAAACTCCCCAGCAACTCACTTGCCCCAGTGTGTATGTCCCTGGGAATGCGGTGAAGCTCCCCAGCAATTCACTTGCCCTACTCTAAGAGAGAGATTTTTTTCATGGTATAAGTATGTAAGTGTTTAGTGTTCGTTGTATTCATAACTAATACAATTTTAGGCACTCAATACAAATCTATGCAATAATATATTCTGTTTAATAAGAATATTTACTCAAGCCCGTAGTTAACTTTATGTGAGTCATCTTGTGAAGTGGCAGAAAATCCAAGATAACATAATGTTTGTGAACCTGTATTTACTTACCTTATAGTACCACTTATATCTAAATGCCTGGGAAAATAATCATTTAAATTGAAACATTAAAATACTACATCTTTAGGTCTCAGTGCTACAGTAGACTCAAATGTTAGCTATTTAGGATCTGCTAAGGTCATATATAGTTTTCAAATATTCTATGAAAGGAGAAAAATTCAGCTTATTTCCTGAAACCATGGGGTTTGTAAGGAAAGTTGTATTATCTGATAAGAACAGACGTTTTGTATTCCAAAGCAGATAACATTTAGGCTTTTTTACTGTTCACAAATAAGTCGTGTATCCATAAACTGGGAAAAACAATAAAGGAAATATCATTCCATCCCTTTAATTTTAAGGACCTGAGACTCCTTGAGTTTATTCGTGTTCCAATAAAAGGATGTAAAACCTATATGCAAAAGCTTTTAAATCATCTTAGATACATGCTATTGCTAATATGCCTTTGAAGCTATGCCTTTGAAGCGTCCATGGGTTGCAAATTTACAAAGCCCTCCACACTCACTGTATTCAAACTATTCTTTGACATACTTCTGATTTTCACAGGCATCTCAGGAACTTAAAGCATGTTGCAAACACTAATTACATGTAAGTATGTGAAGCATGTAAGAGAGCAAACTTGAGGAAGATAAATATTAGCCCCACTTGATCGTGATGTCAAGTAAGATGTAGAGGCTGCCCATACTTATGCCACATCTCTGGAACTGGGCGGTGGCGCCTACATGCCTTTATCAACTGGATTCACAATGTTGCTGGCTTTCCTCATTAGCTTGCGAAAATAATTATGGCAAAGCTCTATTTCAGTACTGTACAAAGTGCTAGGTAACTGTAAAAAGTTACTTAGAATTGAGAAGTCAAATAACTATTAAGATTAAGTTCAACTTACTTAGAATTGAGTTGTCAAATAACTATTAAGATTAAGTTCAACTTACTTAGAATTGAGTTGTCAAATAACTATTAAGATTACAGATCGACTTTCAGTAAAATTCTGCCTGAGTCTGTCTTCAGAAATTGATAACAAGGAGCCACATACTCATGTGTTCAGATGTTGTTTGTGAAAATTAATACAGATGCAGAGTCCAACTCTCTTAATTTCCTGGAGTAGGGGGCCCATCACAAGCAAACTATGAAACCTAAACAAATACAGTAAAACGAATACAACTGATCCTTGAACAACATGAGCTTGAACTGTGAAGCTCCACTTATATGAGGATTTTCTTCCACCTCTGTCACCCTTGAGACAGCAAGACCAACCCCTCCTCTTCCTCCTGCTCCTCAACCTCCTCAACATGAAGACAAGGATGAAGACCTTTATGATGATCCACTTCTACTTAATGAATACTAAATATATTTTCTCTTCCTCATAGTTTTCTTAATAACATTTTCTTTTCTCTAGCTTACTTTACTGTAAGAATACAGCATATAATATATATATAGCATACAAAATATGTGTCAGTTGGCTATTTATGTTACCAGTAAGGCTTCCAGTCAACAGTAGGCTATTAGTAGTTAAGTTTTTAGGGAATCAAAAGTTGTACATAGATTTTTTTAAGTGCATGAGGTCTGACACCCCTAACTCCTGTGTTGTTCAAAAGTCAACTGTACATCTGAATATGTATGGGAACAAGGCCTATCTTTGTTAGGCATTATGGATGATAAAGAATTAACCATGACTCTTGCCTTTAGGAGTTTGCCTCTAAATAGAAAGAATGGACCTCATTTTTTTTTTTTTTTTTTTTTGAGACAGAATCGCTCTGTCGCCCAGGCTGGAGTGCAGTGATGAGATCTTGGCTCACTGCAACCTCCACCTCCCAGGTTCAAGCGATTCTCCTGCCTCAGCCTCCTGAGTAGCTGGAACTACAGGTGTGCACTACCACTTCCAGCTAATTTTTGTATTTTTAGTAGAGACAGGGTTTTGCCATGTTGGCCATGCTGGTCTCGAACTCCCGACCTCAAATGGTCCACCTGCCTCGTGGCTGGGATTACAGGTGTGAGCCATCACACCCAACCAGAATGGACCTCACATTGACCACATAGGCTTTAAATAACAAGCTGGGAATTGATACAACAGACAGCCTTGAGTTCAATCTCTTGAGGCTTGCGGCATGGAGCAAGAAATGTAGAGCGTCTAAATCGTCCCTTTCTGAAGATTAAGTTAGTCCTAATCCGGGAAGAAACTTGCATAGCTGGTAATGATTTTTTAAGGTAGCAACTCAATGACAGTTCATTGTCAAGAACATGTTAAAGTCACCAAGAGGAGTGCCCTTCAATCTCAATTCTCTAAAGCTAAAAGTAGAGGGAAATCCTCTGCTCACCTGAGCCAAAGGCTCCTCCTCTGCCTCCCAATCTCTGCTCCTGAATCTACACCTCTCATGGGCAGTTGGAAATGGGAGTTGCCCCTCTCCTTAGGAGAAATGCCTCTTGCTACACACCAGTGGGTCACCTTTGCTTCTGGTTCCTACAGAATAATCTCATCACAACATCACAGTTTCCTCATCTATTGATTCACATCCATTCATTTATTTGAGCATTTACTAAATATTTGAGTGGAAAAGCTCAATTCCAACACTGGGTTTTGCAAGTACAGTGCTGAACTAGACAGGTCTGGTTCCTGACCTCAGGTATTTTGCACATCACTACTCATTCCAAGGTGTAAAGTTGGGCTCATCCAGGCTTAAATAGGTGCATATATTCTGGGCCAAAACTTTAGGGCCCTGTACATCCATCTTAGGTCTTCATCTTTCAAAATACCTGCTCACACACACAAGGATAAACACGACTGAAGTAAGACAACCAAGTATTTTTTAATTGCCATATATACATATACATACATATGAGTGTATATATATATTTTATATATATATTATATATATTTTTATATATATTTTATATTTTATATATATTTTAAATTTTATATATTATGTGTATTTTATATATTATATATACATTTTATATATTATATATATTTTATATATATAATATATTATATATTATATATTATATATAATATATATAATATATTATATATTATATATATAATATATATATATTATATCTTATATATTATATATTTATATCTATATTATACATATTATATATATATTATATACATATTTTATATATATAATATATTATATATATATATTTTATATATATATAATATATTATATATATATATTTGGAGACAGGATCTTGCTCTGTCACCAATGTTGGAGTGCAGTGGTGTAATCATAGTTCACTGCAGCCTTGAACCCATGGTCTCAAGAAATTCTCCTGCCTCAGCCTCCCAAGTAGCTGGGACTACAGGTGCACACCATGACACCTGGCTTATTTTTACATTTTTTGTTGTTGTTGTAGAGACAGAGTCTTGCTATGTTGTCCAGGCTAGTCTGGAACTCCTGGCATCAAGCAGTCCTCTAAAAGTGCTGGGATTACAGGTGTGAGCCCCTGTTCCTGCACTGTATTTTATATTCATGTTGAGAAAAGCAACATCCTCATGAAAAAAAAAAACACACACATTTCAGGGAGACATAGCTGTGACTCAACCAATTCCTGCCATGTATTCTGCAGGATCAAATTCTATCTTCTCAGGCTTCTCCTCCTCAAGGACTGAGGGTTAGCTGAGTAGTATTCTTAGCTTTGTAGAAGAGGCAGGATTGTCAAGCGGGGATGCAGCTGTGAAATGCTCCAATGTGCTGCCTTCAAGTTGCTACTTTGAAAAATCATTAGGAGCCATGCAAGTCCCTTCCTCTATTGGAACTAACTGAATCTTCAGAAAGGTAAGACTTAGACACTCCACATTTTTTTGCCCCTTCCCTTCCGCCACCAAAAAAAACCCATGGTGATTAAAGATACTTGGTTGTCTTAGTTTACTAATATGAGATGGGGTGACCCAGGACTCAAAGAAGAAGCCCTTATGATGTATGATGAGAAGTCCATAGGCTTCTGTGTGTCATAGGGCTGGAGAAGGACATGCTTGGGAAGTGGAATAGGGTGACCATGACCTTGGAGTTCAGAAAGGCTGCTCCAGGGAATCAACACCAGAAAAGTGAGTTCCTGGTGAAGGGTAGTGGGAGGAGAGAGTGGATAACTGGTTTAGCCCACCTGTGTAAGTGTTGAGAGTTAGACTCTATCTACTCCCCTCTCCCACATCAGTTTTGGAAGCCTTGACTTCCAACTTGAGGTTGGCGAGTTTCTTCTGGGGATACCGGGGAGACATAAATGACAACTCAGAAGTGGTCAGAGCATCAGCATAGGCGGAATGCACCTGTGCGGTTTGTCACCTGTGGGGTTTCCAGGAAGGACACTTACAAGCCACATCCTCTTATCTCTCCAAATGCTTGGGTCCCACGCTCTTCCATATAAGCTGCATCCTCTTACCCCTCCACTGCCTGGGTCCCAAGCTCTTACTCTTTCCCTGCCACATTTCCTATTGGCACTCAACAAGTCAGGAGTGTCAATCTGAGGCCATTTCCTAAGCTTTTGAAAGGAATCCTCAGTAATATCTTTCAGACCGAGGACATTCTGCCAGCTGATTTACCAGAGGGGTGTTTTTTACCCAGGTAATACCTGAGGAAAATGAATGTCTGGTTGGTATTGGTATCCAGTCGTAAAGCAGAAAAAAATCACAGTGAGAAATTGTGTACACACAATAAGAAATACAGTATTCACAGGTTATTTTCTTTTATTATTTATTTGACATTATGTTTTAGAAGAATTTTGTAGCTTTCTGTAGTAAACCCTACTTTCATCTTTCTGCCCAAGGAAGCAATAGTTATGACTCAAGGGAAGTGTGAGGAAATCCAAAAGAGAGCATCTCCCCCTAAACCTGATCAAATTCCGTGGAGAGTTTGGTGTTAATTGAAGGAAGTGGCAGCCTTTCTGTAGTTGAATATGTATCAAAGTGAGGGACAAGTTGTTTTCCCTAAAAGAGTGTATGCGTATTTGAGAGTGAATATTTGCACACAGACATATATTTATAAAGATCTATAACAAGACAGTGTGGTTACATTGTGTTTGAATCAACATGTTTTGGATTAAGTCTCACTTCATCAGAAGCTCCCATTAAGACAAAAAGTGTCTCTCTACTACTCTGTTTTCCTACATCATTACATAAAACTCCACCACCCCTGGTGGGGGAGGAAAACTAAGAAATCTATTTTAGATATTCAAGGAAAATATGTGCAGGAAGTGTTATTACATTCTATTAGCTACACCAACTGCCACATAGAAAAAAGTCAGTTCCAAACTAACCAATATCCAGTCCTTGAAGTCTTCCGGGTGAGATTTTGCAGTGAGGGTCTCTAGAAAAGAAAGAATTGTTTACTTACTACCTTGAAGTGCTGGAGCTTAGGTGTGTCAAACTGAGGATGGCTTTCCCATCTGTGTTTTAAAAACCATATCAAGTCTGTGCATGTTCAGGACCTGTTCATGGGTGAGTGTGTGGGGCAGAAGCAGAAACTGGCACTCTCTATCTGTTCTAAAACAAAAACAAGGCTTTTGAATTACAAATTTGGAGGCAGAGTTCTGACTCATGAGAGTGTTAAGGGAAATTATTTGCAAGCTTGGACATAAAAATATGCAGCAAAGTCTAGATCTGTTTTATTTACTTTCTTTTTTGCTGCTGCAAAAGTCTTTTTTAAAATCTTTCTTTCTCTCTTCAGGTTAAAAGAAATGGACTGAGCTGGCATATTCATCAAAGCAATTTACTGAGAATGCACTTTGACAGACTGCATTAAGAATGTTGACTTGTGAAAACAAAGGGTTGCTTTATAATGCACATAAATTATATGCTTTAAAAAAGTGAAGGGTCTGAATTTTTTAATGATCCTCTAGCTAGAGCAGAATGGAGTTTTGCCTATTTTTCATTTTAGCACTTCAAAAGGTCTTCTCAGGATCCCATGGCTGACATAACTCAAGCAGAAAAGATAGCACGACTGTATTATGCTTTTCTACTTGGATCTATTAAAATTAGATTTAAGTCAACATATATTTATTAAGTATCAACCATGAACCAAAGACTGTGCTGAATGCTTTTAAGGATACAAAGATAAACCAAACAATGTCAGAAGAAGGTTGAAGGGAAATATCTCCTCAAATAGTAGCCTACCAGGGTATACTAAAAAAATGTACCCTCAAAAGAACAATATGGTTTCAAAGAATCAATTGATTGTGTTTGGTTGAGGGCTAGTAAATTATCTTATTTAAAACCCAATTTTGACTTCCATGTTTCTTGAGGGATGGATACTAGAAGAGACAGGAATCAAGGGAGAAGCGGGAGTCCAGAGGCACTAAGCAGCCTAAGCAAAGGTAATGTTTAAGGTCTGTTAAGGTGGCTGGTTTGACTTGGTGTCCAAAGTACACATAGAGGAAGAGGAAGAGGAAGACGCAGGGCTGGAAAGAGTGCAGCTTTGACACATAATTGATGGAAAATATGAGGAAGAGATGAAGATCTGGTAAGAAAATGCTATGCTGAAGGTGATATTTAATAATGGTTAATCCTGAAATGGTGTATGGTTGAATTGGTGAGGGATATGACTGAAGTTCCATCATGGGAGTATGGTAAAAAATTGCTGAGAAACAGTTGCATCTGAAATGCATGGGAAAACATGTGAGAACGGAAAAGAAGATGGATGTAGAATGTTATCTATATACGTTGGTGTTTGTGGAGTGAGGAAAGAGTTTAAAAATTACTTCTGCTATTATTGGCTTGACCAAGGATTGGGGTCAAATAGTTCTTTCATAATTTAGTAAAACCTGACAATGATACAAGGAACAATGAGTTAGAAATTTAAATGTAAGGGAACAAATAAATAAATGAATTCACATGTACACATAAATCGATCTAGTTAATTATGTGACACTTCTACACAGGAAACAACAACAAAAATGCTCAGAGAAATTAAAGGCCTACATACGGAAATATATCATGTTTATAGTCTGGAGGACCCAATATTTTTAAGATACCCATTTTTCCAAGCTTGTGCAATCCCTATCAATATTTTACCAAAGATTTTGTGGAAATTGTGAAACTGACTTGTAAAATTTATATCCAAAGCCGAAGTACCTAAAAAGCAGCTAAGGTAGCCTTGAAGAAAAACAAAGGCCAAATACTTAATTTACCAGATATCAAGAATTACAACGAAGCTATGGTAATCAAGATAGTAGCACAAGAATACACTAAAAGATACATAGAAAACAGAGTCTAGAATCTAGAGTACATCCCATATATGCAGTCGACATATTTATGAAAAAGTGTTACAGCAATTCATTGGCGGGAAAGAATGGTTGCTTAAATAGGTGTTGTTGGTTCCATTGGATTTCAATATTTTAAAAATAAAGTTTTACCTCTACTTCAAATAAATTAATATGAAATAGGTCACAGATGATCTGTAAAATACGAATTATAAAACTTATAGAAAAAAACAAGAAGAATATGTTTATGAGCTTGGGATATACAACAATTTTTAAAGAGAACACAAAAATTACTAGGCATAAAAAACTGATAAATTGGTTATCATTAAAATTAAAAAACTTTGCTCATCACTAGACATCACTAAGAGAGTTAAAGGATATGATAACGAATGAGACATTATAGTCTCCAGAGGACTGATATTTAGAATATATTAAGAAATCCTATAAATTAGTACAAAAAAGACAACTCGATTAAACATTTTCAGAAGATTTAGACAGACCATTTCCAAATAAAGATTTCTGACTGGCCCATAAGCATATGGAAAGTTACTCAACAGCATTCCTTATCAGGAAAATATAAGTTAAAGCCATAACGACATGCTACTGCCCAGCTACCAGAATGAATGAAATTGTGAAACGATTGACAATCCCATGTATTTGCACATGTCTGTGGAGTGACTGAAATTCTCACATATGGCTACTGGGAGAGTGAATTTGATGCAGGACAGGCGAGTCCCAAAGTGGGGCTTAGCCTTTCAGGATTTTTGGCTTTGCCAAGGATTCAAAGGTAAGCCAGTGGTAGGGTAGAAGAAAACAGCTTTATTGAAGCAGCAATAAAACGAATTTTACTTAAAAGATTTGTACAGTATATGCATGCTATGTCTAAAACATGATGATAATTTTGAAAACTTACTTTATCCCTTATGTAGAATGTTGTAAAATGTTCCATTTTAGCAACAACAAAACAATTGTAAAGGCATTTTTAAGAAAGGAGGCAAAAATCTATTATGTTTATTTTTTTCCCAGAATCTTACTGACCTACATATTTCCACATATTATGCATTTCAGTAAAACAATGGAGAAGAAATACATTTTCTTCACTTTAGAAAGAAAAAAATAACCCCAAGCCTATTAAGAAGCATAGCAATGATTGGAAGCATAAAAATGAAACTATCTTCGTTAATAAAAATGATTGCCCTGATCATATTATATACTCGTGTTTCAAAAGAAATGTTACCCAATAGAATTATACTGTACCTGACCGCTCACAACTCTCATTTTATTTCTGATCTATCTTATAGTTATCTCTGGAAAGAAAATGGCCCTCTGGTAATATATGTGACATCATGTGCTGAATTTGCCAAGAGGGGTAATTTTGATGAGAATAAATTCATAATAACATAATACATTTCCAGTATATAGGCCAATACTCACTCTAATGTCTATATCTTTTCACCAGTCTAGCATCTGATAGCATTTATGGAAAGCTTCACTGGCTGATCAAAATGTTCATATACTAAAGTGATTCAAGTTTAACTCATTTAAAGCATATAAGTCATGATGTGAGATGCAATTGTGTATTTGGAATATCTCCATTGGTCAGTAGTTTTTAGTACAAAATGAATGAGCCTTCTGGGTCCTGTAAATATTTTGTATTTTGAATAAATATATTACACAAATATCTTGCCATACATAAACACCACCTCCTAATGTCTAAACAAATATAATTTGATATTCAAAGAAGCACATGGTAATGGGGTGCTTCCCATGTGCAAGCACTTCAGACGTAGTGAGTTTGGGTCAGAATTTGCATTAGAAGCAGAGCCAAGATTCAAACACATCTCTTTCTGGGTCTAAAACCTATGATCTTCCCCTATTTCCAAATAATATCAGAGGGCAAAATGGCATGGCCACCAAGATCCCAGACTATGGAATTGAAGGAAAACGGGTTTCCTTCACAGTTCTGCCACTCACTCACTCTGGGGACCTTGAGCAGACTCAAATTAGTTGGTCAACGGTTGGTTGGCCAACATCAATGCCAACCTCACTCAGTTATCACAAAAATCAGACATCATGATATGTGACAAGTCCAGGGTGCAGTGCCCTGCCAATGGTGAGAGTCTCAATCCCTATCTGCGGCTATAACCAAACATCTTAGATGGTATAATTTATACATAATATAAATTTATTTCTCACAATTCTGGAGGCTGAGAAATCCAAGATCAAGGCACAGACAGATTTGGTATATGGTGAAGTCTGCTCTCTGCTTTGTAGATGGTGCCTCTCATTGTGTCCTCACCTGGATAAAGGGTGAAAGGGCCAAAGAGATCCTCTCAATTTCTTTCATAAGGGTACTCATCCCATTCAGGAGGCTGGAGCTCTCATGACCTAATCATCCCTCAAATCCTCCTAATACTATTGCATTGGAGATTAAGTATCAACCATAAATTTTGGAGGGACACTAACATTCAAATCACAGCAGTGAGGGCTCTATAAAAGTAAGTCATATTTATTACCCAACCACGTTTGCAATGAGGGGTTGTGGGGCAGATTTGACTGTCATAACAATTCCGGTTTTCTCTAAACTTGGGCACATCCTGTAGTTGAGTTGTTATAAGCTCATGCGACCAGGATGAATGGCTGGGGAGACACTGGAGATGTAAGCTGCCTCTTTATCTGTCTGTAGATCATCTTAACAGTTTATCATTAGATTTTTACTTTTGAGATGGAGTCTTATTCCATCACCTAGGCTGGATTAAAGTGGTGCAGTCATAGCTCACTATAGCCTTGACCTCCCGGGCTGAAGCAATCTTTCCGCTTCTATTTCCGAGTAGCTGGAACTACAGGCACAAACAACCATGCCTGGCTAATTCTCAATTTGTTTTGTACAGATGGGGTCTCACTATGTTGCCCAGGCTGGTCTTGAATTCCTGGAATCAAGCAATCCTCTCACCTCAGCCTCCCAAAGTGCTGGGATTACAGGCATGAGCCACGGTGCCTGACCTATTCTTAGATGTTGAGAGAAGCACACTGAATGCTTTTGCTAATGCTGAATAATAAAATCTTAACCACCAGTTACATGGCAAATACTTCCTGAGCATTTCACAGATATGATATTACGAAATCAGTAAGAAAATGTGGGGAGGTAAATAATAGTGTCCTCATATTACCAATAAATTAAATGAGTTTGTGCTGTGCTGTTCTGAAGAGATTCAACTTGTACTTTATTACAATGATATAGTCCAACACTCGGAGATGATAGTTCAAGTATTTTGTAAAAGTATCACAAAGAAAGATGCAATAGGGAGGGAACACACACACACCCCACAGAGATAGTGAAGAAAACCAAGGAGAAAAATTGCAACAGGTAAGAGAACAGCAACTTTTGTAGAGAAGAGGACAGTCTCCTTAACAGGGTGCAGCCAGGAAAGCCCTTCTGATCAAATGACATTTGAGCCTAGACCTGGAAGAAGTTGAGGATATATTGAAGATACATTTTCAAAGTAGAGCTGAATCTCTCAGGAGTTGAGAGAACGTCTACGTCAGATCATGGGATGATACTGCCATCGCTCCTCAGGCAGCAGGTGGCTATGGCTTCCTTGTGACTTCAGACCACGGTGGAGGCACCAACCTAATGGGTGCTCATTGGAGCCTGTAAGTGTCTGGAGGAGAAGGACTGTATGATCTTTCTGATATTGAAGAGCATGTAGAGGAAATCAAGCCTTTACCTGAAGCCACCATCATATTTTCTTCCTGTCATCTCTGTAGATTTCCTTGTTTTGACCAGACAAGTTAAAACTTTTGGATCTGCCAACAACCTTCATACCACGCCATTTTCCAATATGTATTCTGAATGTGACGGCTAATCACTTCATCATGGTAGGCAAATGTAGAAAGCCTGCCATTTTCGCAACCCAATGTATGATTTATCTGTAATTTGCAAAATAAAACCTAAATCAGCAAGCCATAAATTGTTACTGCTGTGTGCTGTTTACAAGAGATTTGAATGATAGGATGGCATTATTGGAAACCTGATAAATGTCAATTTAAGAGTTTTTTCCCAAAGTGCAAGACAGATTGACACCATACCAGATACTTTATAGAGAGCTGTAGTTTACTCAGATAAATAGTGTTTTCCACGAAAGTTACTGGATGGTTTTGTTATTGAGTCATTATTCTTTTCATACAGTGGTTTGGTAGCCAATTCATACAGAACCACAATTCTTTAGGTTTGCTTTGACCATACTATTCAACCTAGTGGAGATTAGGCTCAATTGTTTTGAGCAGCAGGAATACAAAATCTTGAAGAAGAGATACTAAATCAAGGTTCAACATAGCCACCACACACACACACACACACGCACACACACACACACACACACACACACACACACACACAGTGCAGCATAATGCAATTCTCTTGCAAGAATTTTCTACAGAATTCATTTGAGAGAAAAAATATCATCTTTTTAATTACAGTTCCCAGATTTGCTCTGCTGTTGCTGACACAGTGTATTAGCCACCCTGATTATGTTTTAGAGACTCATGAAAATTTCGGGTTTCATTGTGTTTGCAAAATGTTTCTCCGAGTGCACACTGTATGCTGACATGGCAGACTGTTGAACTAATATAATGTTACTCTGATTAAGCTGATTAAAAGCTGTGTGTTTTGACACATATTGGAAAAGGCTAAGCTGTTGGAATAGGGGACAATAATGAAATAAAGCTTAAACTTGTTCCATGTCACACAATACCATGGTTCCTCCTAACAAGATTACGATGACATTAAGATTCCTTTCTCATCTAAATCTGGATTTTGTGAGACAATGTACAGACACATTTTAAGAGATATCACCCGTAGTAAAGTGTTTAAGAAGACAGTTCACAGATCCAACTTTTAATAAAATATAGGCTGTGACATTAACTCATATTTCATAGGCTTAGGGTTTTAAAGATCACCCTTTAAGGAACTGGTTCTTTCCCTAGAACTTGTCTTTAATAATTTCCGTAGCTGTCATTGGAGGAGCAACAGCACTGGCCATGGGTTTCTTTGACCTCCTCAGGTTGTTCCTGGAAATTTCGCACCAGGGTTAGCTAATCATGTGCTTCCTACAAAAATTATTTTTTATTAAGATGACAGGATAAAATTTACCTAAACCCTGTATTTGCTGGGCATATGCAAAGTGAGGAAAAAACACATTTATGTACCTACATACAGGGAAAATTAGCCCAAATTCAAATTTTTATAACTCATTCTTAACTTTATTCTGGTTTTCTTTTCTTCTTCTGATTAACCATTAACTTATATCATAGGTGGTACCCACCCATGTTTTCTAGGGCTTTCCCTATAAAGGAGAGCAATTTATTTGTATTTAGTAACTATTTTTTTTGCTCTTTTTTGCCTATACTTTATTTATTCACTTATTTGAGACACGATCTCACTCTGTCCCTCAGGCTAAAGTGCAGTGGCGCGACCATAGCTTACTGCAGCCTGAAACTCCTGGCCTCAAGCAATCCTCCCACCTCAGCCTCCAAGTAGCTGGGCCTATGGGCATGCACCACCATGCCTCGCTACATTTTAGATTTTTTTGTAGAGACAACGTCTCACTATGTTGTCCAGGCTGGTCTCACACTCTTGGGCTCAAGAGATCCTCCCACCTTGGCCTCCCCAAATGCTGGGGTTACAGGCATGAACCACCATGTCTGGCCCGCCTTTCCTTAAAAAAATTATGGAACAATGAAAACACCAATACCTTTGCAAATCTGTAACATATGGTTCTCATGCCCTCCATGGATTCTTTCCACAGTGGACAAGCATTTCTTAGCACTCACTCTGTTCATTGCTCTTTCAAATGATATGGATAAACAACAGATTTTCATAAAGCACTTCAGAGCCCTTGAAGCACTTTGACAATGGTTGTCCTACTTTATCCTTGAAATGACCCCTTAAAGAAGGAAAAACAGATGTTATTATCTCCGTATTTGAAAACAAAATATAATCAGACAGATTATACAGTTAGGCAAAGTTCTTATAGCCATGAGTGGGGTGGTTTGGTCCTTGGACTTCTAGTTTGACAACTTTTCTGAAACTACATATTCAAATCTTAGATTCATTTCTTTACTAAGCTTCACAGTTTTCAAATCTGTGGTTTTCAATCTTTGGATGTGCACTCTTGCACCCAACAACCTAAATGGATATAAACACTGCTATGGACCGAATTGTGTCCCTCAAAATTAATAATTTGGAACCCTAACCCCCAATATGACTGTGTCTGAAGACAGGGCCTTTGAGGAAATACTAAAATGAAGTCATAAGAGTGGGCCCTCACTCAATAGATCTGGTGCTCTTATAAGAAGGGGAAGAGACACCAGCACTCTCTCTCTACCATGTTAGAATGTGGCTGCCTGAAGCCAGCAAGAGAGCCTTTACCAGAATCTCCACGTTGCTAGACCTTGATCCTAAACTTCCCATCCTCCAGTACTGTGAGAAACGGAATTCTGTTGCTTAAGCCATGTAGTTTGTAGTGTTTTGTTAAGATAGCCTGAACAGATTCGTATAAACACAATAGTACTATTACAAGAATTATCAACTAAGTTTTCTCACATGTGAAAATTATACATTCACAGGCGTATATATGTATTAGTTTATTTTCATGCTGCTGATAGAGACACACCCGAGCCTGGGCAATTTACAAAAGAAAGAGGTTTAATGGACTCACAGTTCCACATGGCTGGGAAGGCCTCACAATCATGATATAAGGTGAAAGGCACATCTCACATGGTGACAGACAAGAGAAGAGAACGTGTGCAGGGAAACTACCCTTTGTAAAACCATCAGATCTCATGAGACTTATTCACTACCACAAGAACAGCACAGGAAAGACCTGCCCCCATGATCCAATTACCTCCCACCCTGTCCTTCCCAAAAGTGGGAATTGTGGGAGGTACAATTCAAGATGAGATTTGAGTGGGGACACAACCAAATCAAATCAATATGCATAAGTGTTTTCAGCTATGCTGAGTGAATAATGAATGGCTTTCCAAATATGTCCATGTCCTTAATCACCAGAGCCCATACCTGTGTCACCTTATATGGCAAAAGGGACTTTGCAGTTGTGATTAAGTTAAGGACTTTGAGAAGGGGAGATGATCTTGGATTATCTGCCTGTGTTCAAAATAATCATTAATGTCCTTTAAGAGAGAGGCAGGAGAATCAGAATCAGAGAAGGAGATGGGACAAGGGAAGCAGAGGTTGGAGTGATGGAGGAGGAAGCCACAAGCTAAGGAAGGCAGGTGGCCTCTAGAAGTTGGAAAAGGCAAGAAAATGAATTCTCCCCAGGAGCCTTCAGAGGAGACACAACGTTGTCAAAATATCAGTTTTAGCCTTCCGAGACTGATTTTGGACTCCCAACGTGCAGAAATAAAAAATAATGTTTGCATTGTTTTAAGAAACTAAATTTGTGATTAATGGCAAAGGAACAGTAGGAAAGGAATACCTCATCCTAAAAGGGAATTCTAGGATTAGAATGATTAAACTATGAAAAATTAAACTCATTTCAGAACCAACTTTTAAGGTTTGGGGATCAGTTGACGAAAAACCTCACCCACAAAGAATTAGGCATCTAAAAGTTTTCAGTTATAATTTAAGAAAAAGAATTTTAAAACCCTGCTGAATGCATGTTCATATGTCTATTTATAAGTAACAATTTTAAGATTTTAATGGCCACTTTAGCTAGCAAGAGAAGGAAATATTGCCATGTGTATTACATATTTTGAAGCAAAAAGCTTAATACTTGGAGAGGAATCAGAAGGATTCTGAGTCCTACACTATTCACTGGCATAAACAAAATATCTACTTTCTGCCTCTTCAGTCACAAAAAAAGGGCCTATCTCTTGCCGCTTCATGCAATTAAAGAAAGAAAGATGCGCCTGGGTATTTATTTCGGATATTCAGCACAATGGGAGCTTGTAATTAATATGAATCTTTTCCTTTGTGGCTATTTTAAAGTCAGCAGGAAGTCATATGAAAGGAAAGGCTGTATTTTTAAAACTTCAGGTAATGTTCCCAAGCTTGGGAGGTTCACGCTAATAAAGAAAATGTCTTTTGAAAAAGAATATAGAGCTAGTTATATTTTTTATATGTTATGAAAGAAAAACAGTCCTTGGAGGACAAAGATCTCTAACCAAGCCTTAGCCTCAGAGCTGTGGGGAAGCACCAGGTCAGAGACTTTCAATTCTAAACTTTAAAGTCTGCATCTCTCCTTGTTTGGGCTACACCAGATCCTGACTGCACATGTTCGCCATTCCTCCACCATTCCTCCGTTATCAGTCATGAGTTCTCCACAGTCTCCCAGCACTTTGCATGTATTTCAGTCATGACACTGAGCATGTCTCATGGTGTTCTATTATTTCCATCTTTATGTCCATGTGTACCCATTGTTTAACTCCCACTTATCAGTGAGAACACGAAATATTTGATTTTCTGTTTCTGCTTGAATTTGCTTAGGATTATGGCCTCCAGCTCCATTTATGTTGCTTCAAAGGACACGGTTTCATTCTTTTTTATGGCTGTGTAGTATTCCATAGATTATATGTATCACATTTTCTTTATCCAATCAACCCTTGATGAGCAGTTAGATTTGTTCCCTGACTTTGCTACTGTGAATTGTGCTGCAATGAACATCCTAGTGCAAATGTATTTTTTTATATAATGATTTGTTTTCCTTTGAGTAGATACCCAGTAGTGGGATTGTTGGGTTGGATGGTAGTTCTATTTTTAGTTCTTTGGGAAATCTCCATACTGATTTCTATCGAGGTTGAACTAATTTATATTCCCACCAATAGTGTATAACAGTGTAGTCACTTGTTCTGAGTGCATTTCCCCCTGTTGGTCTCTTAAACAATCAGCAATTAAGAAACAAGGTCTGGGTCTGATCATTGACATGTTCCTTCCCCACTTTCTCATTTTTCTCTATTGCAAGTCTATCTACAGTGTTTGGTATGCAATAGGCATTCAATAGTGTTGGTCAATGTCTCCTCGTTCTTGCTCCATGCAGGTCTGTGTGGACCCCTGGCAATATTCATGGCACAGGGAGCTTATTCTCCCAATCCTCCTCTGGGGACCTGGACACTCAAGCATGTATGACATGCTGTCTTTCTTCTGCACCAAGACCAAGGCTCTTACCGGGCACTCCATCCTGGCCCTGGGACTGCATTGGCCTCTCAGAACAATTTTATGACATCTACCTACATTCTGTTGCTTAAAATTCTTCTCACTCTTGTGCCTTCCAATGAAGTCACTTCACTAAACGTGAAAACAAGACAAGACAAAACATAACAAAAAAAAAGTGTTTTGGATAATACACACACATTCAGAGAAGACTGAGGAAGCAGGAAACATCTTTTCTTTTTCAATGTGCTTTTTTTTTGTTGTTTTTTTTTTTTTGGAGATGGAGTCTTACTCTGCCACCCAGGCTGGAGTGCAGTGGTGCGATTTCGGCTCACTGCAACCTCCACCGTCTGGGTTCAAGCGATTCTTCTGCCTCAGCCTCCCTACTAGCTGGGAAAACAGGCACCCACCACCATGCCTGGCTAATTTTTTTGTGTGTTTTTAGTAGAGACGGGGTTTTACCATGTTGGCCAGGCTGATCTCGAACTCCTGACCTCAGGTGATCCGCCTGCCTCAGCCTCCAAAAGTGCTGGGATTAAAGGCATGAGTCACTTGGCTCAGGCCAAAGTGCATATTTTTAAAGTATACATTGTGGATTTCAATTTAAGTCAGAGTCTAAGGTGAGGTTTTGGGAAGCTGGAGGAGGGACATGTGGCAAGTCTCATCATTCCTCATTGCCTTAGCAGATGTTTTTTTTTTACCTCAGGCCTGGCCTGTAGAGAGCGATACAATGGAATGCCAAGATTTAGCTGAGGGTAGGCTAGGGATGTGGCCCAGATGAAATGTGGGTGTGCTTGTGCTACTGAACTTTGCCTAGCAAGAATACTCGGGGCTGAGAAGAAATATGCCAGCAATTTTATGAGTTCAAATTTAGGAATTTAAAATCAAGCTTTACAAACATGTACCCCACTTAGAAGGGCACTTGTCATGAATCCTGGAATGGCTGGGCCTTTCCAGGTGTTGAGAGAACCCACCACTTGCACAGTTACTTATTTCTTGAGGAACAAAGATTCTTCGGGTTGATTTTTAGTGTTGGTGCCCCCACCACCTTTGCGATTTTCCACATTGGCAGTTGTACACGCCCAGTAATAAACATCTCCTTCACATCATCAATGTGCAGGTAGCAGGATGTTTCAAGTTTTAAACTTTTGAAAGAAGAGTCCATTTCTAATATTTAATACATTTTATTTTCTGGAGCAGTCTTACATAGCTTCAGGAGGCATGATGCTTATCAGTTGACTATTTACTCTTTTGCCTTTTAGGGCTTGGCAAATTCATGTTTCATTTATTAAACTTTATGAATGCATTTTAAAATACTTAAAAGTTACTAATTTGAAAGCACATCTTCTTCATTTTAAAACTTGATAGAAGAAAGTCATTATTTTATATTTTTTGAGACAGGGTTTTGCTCTGTCGCCCAGGCTGGAGTGCAGTGGTGTGATCATGGCTTACTGCAGCCTCTACCTCCCTGGGCTCAGGTGATCCTCCCACCACAGCCTCCTGAGTAGCTGAGACTACAGACATATACCACCATGCCTGGCAATTTTTGTAGTTTTTGTAGAGACAGGGTTTTGGCTTATTGCCCAAGCAGTCTGCCTGCCTTGGCCTCCCAAAGTGTTGGGGTTACAGGCATGAGCCACCATGACCAGCAATCCATTATCTTTTTTTTTTTTTTTGGAGATGGAGTCTCGCTCTGTTGCCCAGGCTGGAGTGCAGTGGCGCCATCTCCACTCACTGCAAGCTCGCCTCCCGGGTTCACGCCATTCTCCTGCCTCACCTCCCGAGTAGCTGGGACTACAGTCACCCGCCACCACGCCCGGATAATTTTTTTTTGTATTTTTAGTAGAGACGGGCTTTCACCATGTTAGCCAGGATGGTCGCGATCTCCTGACGTCGTGATCCGCCCACCTCGGCCTCCTAAAGTGCTGGGATTACAGGTGTGAGCCACCGTGCCCGGCCCTTTATCTTTAGAATGGAAATTTTTATTGCAATCCAAGAGATACCATATTCATTGGTAATTATAATATAGATTAATCAATAGAAAGTCTTCTTTCACTAATTATAGTTCCTCACTAACCTGACTACTGTCTTTCTTTGAAGACCTTTAAAAATATAATAAGCACTTAAGTTCTTTTGACTTTCTCTATGGCTTAATTTCAAAGATTGTAGTCCCTTTCCATCAGCCCAGTATTATTTAAATGATGGTTAAACATGCACATGTTTGCCCCTTCCTAAAAAAGACCTAATACAGCAGAATCACTAAAGAGAGGAGCCCCAAATCTGCACATAAAACAATATCTCTGTGAAACAAAATTCTTCTGAACAACGTTTTATAAGTAAGGGGGGGAGCAATTTTATTAAGTAACAGATGATTGCCAAGAGTGTAAGGTGCATTATACACATTATCTTATTACGTTTCTGACAATACTCCAAGGGCAACATACTGTCTGCTTTTTACAGATGAGTACACAGGACCAGGGAGAACATGATTTGTGCAATAGCGCCCAGCACACCTTTATGCACACAAGATTCTTGTCGTTACTTGTTATTTCTGACTCCCTTGACCTTTTCCACCTTTTTCGAATTCTGTGATGATCTTTTGGACATGCCAGCTTTGCTAAGCTATGGTGTCCCGTTATTTAAACGAACGTAGGCATTGTCATAAAGATATGTAATTAAAGCCCATAATCAGTTGACTTTAAGTAAGGCAGATTATCCCGTTAACCTTGTGGTCCTTGTTTATTCTGGGGAAAGGCTTTCAAAGCAGGGTCGATGCTTAAAAACATGTAGAGAAGAAGAAACTCTGCCTCTGGGGAGCAGCCTCAGTCTATGTGGTGAGTTTCAGGCTGTACTTCCTGCTAGCTTGCCCTGTGGGATTTGGACCTGTTTCTCTCTCTCTCTCTCTCTCTCTCTCAAATAAATAGAGAGCTACCTGAAATAGTTCTAGATAGATGGATAGATGAATAGATGTATGGATGAATAGATGGATAGATAGATGATAGGTAGAATAGATCTAGATAGATAGATGGATAGATGAATAGATGTATGGAATGTATAGGTGAACAGAAAGATAGATAGCTGGAATAGATATAAATGGATGGATAGATGAATAGACAGATGAATAGATGGATAGATAGACGATAGGTGGAATAGATCTAGATAGATGGATAGATGAATATATGTATGGATGGACAGAAAGATAGATAGCTGGAATAGATATAGATAGATGAATAGACAGATAGAATAGGTCTAGGTAGATAGATGAATAGATGAATAGGTAGATGGATGGACAGAAAGATAGCTGGAAGAGATATAGATGAATGGATGAATGAGTGGAGAGATGGATAGATAAATGGACGGAATAGATCTAGATAGATAGATAGTGATATGGTTAGGCTTTGTGTCCCCACCCAAATCTCATCTTGAATTGTAATCACCATAATTCCCACATGTCAAGGGAGAGACTAGGTGGAGGTAATTGCATCACTGGGTTGGTTTCCCCCATGCTGTTCTCATGATAGTGAATTCTCATGAGATCTAATGGTTTTATAAGGGCCTCTTCCCCCTTCCCTGGGTATTTCTCCTTCCTGCCGCCTTGTAAAGAAGGTGCCTTGCTTCCCTTTCACCTTCCGCCATGATTATAAGTTTCCTGAAGCCTCCCCAGCCATGTGGAACTGTGAGTCAATTAAACCTCATATATATATATATATATATATATATATATATATATATATATATATATATCCCAGTCTCAGGCAGTTCTTTTTAGCAGTGTGAAAATGGACTAATGCACATGGATAGATGAATACGTGGATGGATGGATGGATGGATGGATGGATGGATGGATGGAATAAACACATATACAGATAGATGATAGCTCTCTAGCTTTTTCTCTCTTGCTTCCTCTAGAAAGATAAATAGATTTCATATATTTTTATCAATCATACATGTATAAAGAGGATATATATGTGTATATCTATCTGTATCCATATCTGCATTTATATCTATAGCTTTAGCTATCTTTGTAGTTCTGCTTCCCTGCCTGAGTCATGTTTTACACAGATATGATATTGTGTGGGAAATCTGGGCAACACTGACACTGTTAATGTTCATAAAATGACTCCAGGGGCCAGGTGTGGTGGCTCACGCCTGTAACCCCAGCACTTTGGGAGGCTGAGGCGAGTGGATCACTTGAGGCCGGGAGTTTGAGACCAGATTGGCCAGTATGGTGAAACCACGTCTCTACAGAAAATACAAAAATTAGCCAGGAGTGGGGGCACGTGCCTGTAATCCCAGCTACTGGGGAGGCTGAGGCAGAAGATTCACTTGAACCCAGGAGGCAGAAGTTGCAGTGAGCCGAGATCACGCCACTGCACTCCAGCCTGGGCGACAGTGAGACTCTGTCTCTAAAACAAACAAACAAAAAAATATGACAGCAGAAAAGTGATGATTTCACTACAGAATCATTGAGAACTCACTCTAAACAACCAGCACGTCATCTTAAGGAGATGACTCATTAAATTTCCTCTTGGTATGTAACTGCAGCTGGTTGGTACCCATGAAGTCAGGTGTTGGCAGCTACCTTTTGGCTTTGATTTACGGAAAGAAAATGTGATTGCTTTCTTGGGGTCTTTTACAAACAAATACAGAGAAAAGCTGCTCCATGTGCAGGGAAACCAGCCTCTTGATTCTGTGTGAAGTGCGTAATCCTGAAAAGGAAAATGAATGAGCCTTGGAGATGCTCTTCAAGAGACATGAGGGAAAATAGAGAACTAAAGGGAGATGTGAAACTACTAATTTAGGAAATAAGAGAACTTCAAATACCTTGTAGGTTAGTGAAGGTGAGACAATCTTACAGTCACGCAATCAAATGCTATTATTTTATAGTCAAAAGTGCTACGAGAAGGGTTTAAGTGGATTCAGCACTCCTGTAGCAGTACTACAGTAAAAATCTAGGCGTTATGATATCCATTCCAATGGCATGTCTACTAAACTGCATTGCTTCTAGTAATTTGTTTGCTATTTGGTGTCCATGGTATCAGTGTTTTGGAAGGTGAGGTGAGGAATCTGATCTTTAAGGCCCAATACTGTAGAATGGGCTATAATTCAAATAGAGAAACTTGGAGTCAGCGCATTTTAATCGTCTTTAACTCAGACACTTGCATTGCTGAAGTTAAGTGCCCTTGATATCAGGAATATTGATGTTTTTATAGAATCAGAGAGCTGTGAACTAAGGGAGGCAGAAATGAAGTTATGTAGAATTTGAACTAAGGCTGCAGAATGCAAAATGCCTCCTAACACTAAAATTGCCTTTTGGACCTATGCTTCAAAATTTTTGGCTCATCCTCCTGGAATTCCTACCCCTCACTTCCCAAAGATGCTCTCTTCTTTCCTTGCTACCTGCATGTATCCTCATGTTTTTCTATCATACACAGTCATGTGTTGCTTAGCAATAGTGAGAGGTTCTGAGAAATGTGTCCTTAGATGATTTTGTCATCATGTGAACATCACAGAGTGGACTTACACAAACTTAGATGGTATAGCCTGCTATATACCTGGACTATATGGTATAACCTATTGCTCCTAGGCTACAAACCTGAACAGCCTGATCCTGTACTACATACTGTAGGTAATTGTAACCCAATGATAAGAAGTTGGGTATCTAAATATGGAAAAGGCACAGTACAGTAAAAATACAGTATTATAATCTCATGGGAGCACTGTTGTATATGCGGTCTGTTGTTGACATGTTGTTAGAGCAAGACTATATATATATATATATATACACACACACACATACATTATATATATGTATAAAGCTGCTGTGAACATATTTGTACAACTCTTTTGTGTATATATGCACTCATTTCTCTTAGGTCTATATCTAGGAGTTGAATTTCAATGTAAATATCCATTCAAAGGAAAATGGATGAACACAGTATGGCATGCTCATAGAATGGAGTGTACACATGTTGGTACCAACAAACAAAAAGCACATATGACAGACAGAAGCACAAATATGACTGAATCTCCAAAACGTCATGTTGAGAAAAAGAGCCCGTTCTTGTAGCCCATGAGGGTAAAGAGCCCTGGGTGGAAAGTACGTCTAGAGGGCAGATGGAAGTGCTCCAGCACTCCAGCCTTGCCTGCAGAAGAAAGATCTTTAGGAAAAAGAGACGAAAGATGTCAGATTCCCTATGGAAGGGCAAAATAGTGACGCCAGGCTGTGAAATATGATGGAACATAAATTGGTCAGCTTGTCTGTGGTGACTGTGTCTCTTTTCCCCCTGCTCTTCATGATTTAAAATGAAGCCTAGTTAGCATTTTAACCTAAGGGTTGGTTTTTCCGAAGGAGGAGCAAACCACAATTTTTCAATTTAGTTTTGATAAGTCTAGAAGCCAGATTTCAGCTTTCACAGTTATAAAGGAAAGCAACAAAGGAGAGTTATGATTCCATTTTGATGGTTTATCTGGTAGCTGAGACAACTGTTGGTGGCTTCTACTCAATCCAGGCACAACATTCTATGTCTGGGTGTTTGCATCAAGAAAGGAAAACCCGGCCGGGCGCGGTGGCTCACGCCTGTAATCCCAGCACTTTGGGAGGCCGAGGCGGGCGGATCACGAGGTCAGGAGATCGAGACCATCCCGGCTAAAAACGGTGAAACCCCGTCTCTACTAAAAATACAAAAATTAGCCGGGCGTAGTGGCGGGCGCCTGTAGTCCCAGCTACTTGGGAGGCTGAGGCAGGAGAATGGCGTGAACCCGGGAGGCGGAGCTTGCAGTGAGCCGAGATCCCGCCACTGCACTCCAGCCTGGGCGACAGAGCGAGACTCCGTCTCAAAAAAAAAAAAAAAAAAAAAAAAAGAAAGGAAAACCCTGGAGATATGACTTTTCCTTGGTAGGATCACGTACTTTGTATTCAATTTCTCTCTGCAGGAATGCATAGACTTTTTCCTAAAGATTATACCTGTCCTCTCTGCCTGCCTTCCCTCCTTGGAATATTACAAATGCTTTCTTCCTGCCATTTTTCTGCCTTTCTTCATATGGTTTCTTTAAGTAATTAAAAAAATTTTTTGAGATAATTTTAGTTTTACATGTAGGTGTAAGAAATAATACAGAGAGATCTCAAGTATCCTTCATCCAGTTTTCCCCAAGAGTAACCTCTTGAAGAAAGAACTACAGTACAATGTCACAACCAGGAAGCTGACATCCGCCAACCTCACCAACCTCATTCACATTTCCCTGGTTTTTCATGCCCTCATTTGTGTGTTAGTGTATATGTTTGTGTGTACTTCAGTGCAATTTTATCATACTCATAACCTCTTCTCTGTAAAATTTTGATTCAAGTTTATATTGACACAACTTTCTAAAAATTCACTACTTTGAATTAGAGGTAAGTTTTTTAACACTCACCTTTTAGGTCCCTAAAAATTCAATGTGTCAAAATTTGCCTAAGCTCCCCGGGAGCCTAATTACTGTTGGCACTCAGCTCAGACCATTTTTAGGACAGGTGTGTCTTTTAAGATGCTGAAATTCCCTTCAATTAACCAGCAGTCAATATCTCGTTGAGAGGGATTCTCTGCAAAGGTGCACAGTTACCGGAATTTGGAGTCATAGGACTCACTATGACTCCTCACACCTAAATGTCTCAAGCATCTCCCATTATGATCTATACTTTTCTATTTTTTAATTATTTAATTATGTCACAGTCCAATTTTGGACCTTGAAATAACAAAATATAAAGGCCAATAAATTTTTTAACTGGGGGCAAATGTGAATGAGAAGGTGGTGAAGAGTATTTCACACTATTTGATTTCATTTTGTTTCAAAACTCCAAATCAGAATGGGGACCATTCAAGCAACAAAAAATATTTAAAGAGACAGTATCAGATTGCATCAGATTGCATTCAGAGTGCAGAATAAATTCTATTACCCAAAAGGAATGCATGCACGCACACACACACACATACGAACACACATAAGTACACACACACATACACACACATAAATATCCACACATGACTATACACACATACACACATGCACACACATATGTAAGATTCTATTTGCCTGCTCAGCAGGAAATTTCCTGAAAATGACATAGGAATAAAAAAGAATGACCTAAGAAACATCCCCCACGTTAAGGCAGTCTTCGGTTGTAATAAATTGCATGAAAAAGGTGGACAGACATTTGTGGGGCGTAGGTGATGGCTTCCTCTCTAGTTGAGAGACTAATGTTCTCCTGCAGACAAAGGGTGGCTCTATAGTAATTTTCCTTCCTAATGAGAGGTGAGAAGCAAAATCACAGCCACATACTTTGGAGCCTGGAAACAGAACCACATCCTACCGGGGTCTCGTGCCCAGAGGAAGTTATACATAATGTTGAGTATTAGCAACACTTCTCTGGTGGTTTCATGTTTAAGACAAGCCATGTTAACCACTTCCTGGTGAAATAGTGTGAATTGCATTCTGAGGGAGCTCAAGGTCGAGCCAAAAGATTCTGGCAGGCTGTTCCTGCCTACCTCCACCCTACGTAGATTCCTAAATCAACATGGTATGCTCATGTCCAGGTAAACAAAGCGATCGTGTCTTCTGTGTTGTAGATGAGAAAGGTGGGAGGTAGGTTGGCTTGCTGTCCAATAAACAGAATAAAGGAAGAGCAGATACTCTCTTTACAGAAAAGTTTCACAGTCATAATTATTAAAGCAAGTATAGAAACTATACAAGCCAGGCTTATGCTTTAATGGTTTAAATGGAACTATAGCGACCAAGGAGTCCATATTTCTAGGAGAAACTCCTCTAGTGAAGAAAAATAAAGTGTTGACAGAACAGAATCAATAATAACCTTTAGGCTTTAATACACCATGTATTGGACTTATTCCAACTATGTCCCCTGGGCTCCCCCATCTACCCTGTGAATCAATCCTCCTTGTTTGATCAAGATTCCAGCTCCCTTGCTCAGGCTGTTTAGAGAAATAACAGTTCAGATATTCCGTACCTCAGCTTTAACCAAGGGGAAAGATCATTCTGCACTGCCCTTTCTTCCAGCAGCCAAACTAGCATTTCACAACCTTTTCTTAGCACACTCAAGAAGCAGAAAACTTCCTGCCAAATAAAAGGCTTGGATTTGCTTGGCTAATTACATTTTGAGCTGGAAGGTAGATGATCTTTATTCTGAAGCTCTCAATCGCAGGCACAAACCTCCTTTTCTCTGAGTCTGGCTTTCCTCCTCTGGAAGCAGGGATATATTTTCTACCTACCTCACAGGTGAACTGTGAGTTTTGAGTGAGATTTTTGGGAGCCAAAATGTCAACCTAGAAAGCTCTATCCAAACAGAACAGGAAAATTCTTATTTTCTTTGGCGTGACCCTTGGAACTTGCAAAAGGTGATTAATAAAAACGTATAAAGCTGTGGCCTGTAATTTAAGAATGTCAACAACCGCCAGCAATTTTTGTTATTGTGATCCAAATGGCAGGCAGCAACAATGAGCAAGTTTTCCTTCTGTGTCAGAGCTTGCAGTCTCAGTTTACGTGCACAGCACTGCCAGCTCCAAGCCTGTGTTATCAGGAGACTCAGGAAACTTGGGCACATTCTTCGGTGTCTTCTTGGCACAGAGCTTGGAATAGTTTCACCTCTTAATCTGGATTCCCTTTCAGTTCAGCAAACACAGCCAGCAGCTTCAATAGAGACTTTGCCTGGTTCTAAGACTCTGCAGATTACGTGGGGCTGCACAAATCACTGGGTGGAGATCAAGTTAAATCAAGATACACATTGTTGTACACTGTAGGCTGGCAGACTGAAAATGAGAGTTTTCAAACAAGAACCTGGGTCTTTTCTTTCCTAAATAATATTTGTTTCAGAGGCTACCTTTTAGGTTATGTTTAAGAAAGGTGTTTCTGAATAGGAAAACCCTCATCTTGAAAATTTCCCAGGAGGGACTCGACCATGAGTCTGTGATCTTGAGAGAAATGCCTCGGAGTATGTTTCCTCTCATCTTGGGACTTTTCTGGCCAAATGCCAGCCACCTCCTTTCTTAGAGAATGCCTCTTTTGGGGCCATAGAAAGAGAGAGGGTAGTAGGTGGTTTTGCTATTAAGCCAGGGGATTAAAAGGGAGGTGTTTTAAGGATAACGTTAGCTAATAGTTTATTTCAAAGGTTTAAGGGAAGAAGTGTTTGCGGTGCTGAAAGCAAATCCTCTTTACACCTTGACAAACGTAGACAGTTTCCTATTCCCAGAAGATGGCTTAGAAAATGGAAATATTCACTGGTATGAATAAAAGCTTGTCTGTGTAAAATTAAAGGAAAAAAAAAAGAGAAAGAAAACCAAGTCCTGGATAGGTTAGCTTTCTGCAAATAAATTCAATGTTTAGAACAGAAACACATTATGAATGGAGGACACATCTTCTTTCCCTTCCCCTGGGACACAATCTCTTCTTGAATGCCAACCTCAGGACAGATGAGGGTCTATTTGGGGTCTTCTGACTTCATTCAATCCTTGAACATTCCTGAGAAGACAGGCTAAATCATTACAAGCTGTAGTGGAGGCCAAGAAGGCTATCTAGGCAATAAAGGGTATGACTGTCACAAAGCCCCTGAGACTTACACTGTGCATGCAGGCTAAAAAAATTCTAACTATTTTGAAAGCAATGGAATGTTTTTCAGTGCGAACAGTAGTCTCAGTTTGGGATATTTTTAAGTAATTTATTTTTCCTTTATTTTTCTCAGCTACCATCTTGAAAGGTAGCTTTGCTTGTATTTGTTCAGCTCAGACTTTTAGGTTAAGAGCTTTGTTCATACTCTGGTGCAGGGCTTGGAAGAAAAAAAAAATTTTTTTTGTAAAGTTGTAGATAGTAAATAGTTTAGGCTTTGCAGGCCTCAGGGTCTCTTACGTGAGTACTCAACTCTTTCTTTGTAGTGTGGAAACAGACATAGACAACATAAAAACTAATGTGGCTGTGTTCCAATAAAACTTTATTTATAAAAACAGGTACTAGGCCAGATTGACCCACAGACTAATTTTTTTTGCTGTCAGTTTTTTGACCCCTCTAGAAGCTGATGTAGTCCAGATGTGCAGAGCCAGTGGTCAGTAGCTTTGGGGTAATAGCTTAAAGCAGGGGTTAGCAAACTACAGATGGTGGGCCATATCTGTCCTGCTGACCAAGTCTTAGCAGTTTATCCAGTGAAACGTTACACAACAAGCACAGTAAATGAACTACAGTGAACTATATCAACACCTAACAATATGTTAGAAACTTGACACTAACTGAAAAAATAAAGCTACTACAATATCACTTTTCATAAAGCATGGAAGCAAATAAAATTGACGTGCTTTGGTGTTACCATACATTAGTCTTGCCTGTTGTAATTAAAAAGAAATGAAATCATGTAGTTTTTTCTCTTTTTCATCTGGTTTCTTTTCCTTAAAGTCATAATTTTGAGATGTATCCACACTGTTGCATGTAATAATAGTTTCATTTTTATTGCTGAGTATTAGTCTATCAATACACCACAATTTGTTAATCTATTCTCCTGTTGTTCGACATTGTTGTTGCTTCTAGTTTGGGACTTTCATTAATAAAGTTGCTAGGAACTTTTGTGCAAACATTGCTTTATGGACATAAGTTATCATTTCTTTGGGGTAAATCCTATAAGCGAAATTGCTGTGTAGTACTCCAGGTGGTACATTTGACTTTTAAAAAGAAAATGCTAAATTGTTTTGCAAAGTGGTTGTGCCATTTTCATCCCTCCACAGCTATGTGAGCATCCCAGTTGCTCCATATCTTCACCAACACTTGGTATGATCAGTCTTTTCCATTTTCATCATTTTGCTCAGTGTGTATTGATGTTTTGCTGTGGTTTTAATTTGCATTTTTCTGATGATTAATAATAATGAGAATTCTCTGTCAATAGTTGCCTTGAGATATAGAGGAATGGCAGCCATTAAGTCTAAAGGGGGATTAAATAACATTTTAGGGTGATGAAAATATTCTCCATCTTATGATGGTGATTGTTATATGAGTATAAAATCAAGAAAAATAGATGCCCATAACTGTTCATAAAATAACCTCAACAAAACAAGTATAAATATGCTAAGTTGATTTGAAAACCCCACCAAACAAAACATATTTAGGGACAAATATGCATGTAATAAAATGATATATATAATAAAAAGATATTTATTTACTTAAAATCAAGAGAATGAAGAGCACAAATTTCAGAGTAGTGGTTGTTTCTGGAAAGAGAAAAAGTGATAAGATAAAAGAAGGTAGGAGAGAAAAGATTTCTTATCCATCACAGGGTTTATGATGGAAACACCTATCATAAAAGAGAGACTAACAAGAGAAAAGCACACTAATTTATTTAATATAAGCTTATTTATTTATTTATTTTTTATTATACTTTAAGTTTTAGGGTACATGTGCACAACGTGCAGGCTTGTTACACATGCATACCTGTGCCATGTTGGCGTGCTGCACCCATTAACTCGTCATTTAACATTAGGTATATCTCCTAATGCTATCCCTCCCCCCTCCCCCCACCCCACAACAGGCCCCAGTGTGTGATGCTCTCCTTCCTGTGTCCATGTGTTCTCATTGTTCAATTCCCACCTATGAGTGAGAACATGTGGTGTTTTGGTTTTTTGTCCTTGCGATAGTTTGCTGAGAATGATGGTTTCCAGCTCCATCCATGTCCCTACAAAGGACATGAACTCATCATTTTTTATGGCTGCATAGTATTCCATGGTGTATATGTGCCACATTTTCTTAATCCAGTCTATCATTGTTGGACATTTGGGTTGGTTCCAAGTCTTTGCTATTGGGAATAGTGCCACAATAAACATTTGTGTGCATGTGTCTTTATAGCAGCATGATTTATAATCCTTTGGGTATATACCCAGTAATGGGATTACTGGGTCAATTGGTATTTCTAGTTCTAGATCCCTGAGGAATCACCACACTGACTTCCACAATGGTTGAACTAGTTTACAGTTCAATATAAGCTTTATGTGACATGAGGGCCTTCATAAATGAAGGCTCAAAGAAACAGGAACACTGTATTTTTATGGGAAGTCATAGAAGAGTATAATTGGAGGATACAAAGGCTTGGGCTAATGGTGATAAACTGGGGGCAACTCAGCAAGTCCTATTTATTCAGACTCTTGGCCTCTCTGTGTCTTGAAGGATACAGATGTTCCTTTTCCCCAGATATAGGGAGGATATCTCTGAAATGAAGGTCTCATGATCTATGTCAGAGAAAGGTCAGAGACTTCTTTTATGAGCTGCATCAGGGGAGAAGGGTGAAGGGAAGGTGACCTTCCTGCTTCCTGCTTCTGCTGTTTCCTCAAATGCCCAGGTGCCTATATTGGGGTAGCATGCCCTAAACCCCGTTACAAAGGAGTATAGAGATATATTTAGTTTCATAGGTATTTGGAGGGTCCATGGGGTTAATTTTATTATGTTTCATAATTTATGCAAACATACGTTATTTGGATGCATAAAACAGTACATAATAAATTCTACTTATAAAAACATGCTCTTAGTGCTTGGGTTAGAATCTCATACATGGGCAAATTCCAAGTCACTTAAAAAAAATCCCACATCTTTTCAACGTGGGATACATTGTGGTGGTCTGTAATCGCAGGGTCTGGTCTGATAGGACAAGACTGTTCAGAGAAAACGTTATATGATTTTGAGGACATACTAAGGACATACTAAGAAGTTTTCAGGGGAAGTCAATAATTTATTTAAAATGGAAGGTGGTGGTCACATAATCTGATTTATGTTTTAAAAGATCATAGGGCTGCTAAACAGTGACTGAGTGAAGTACAATCAGAAACTTTTAGGGATCTACTGTAGTTTGCACTTGGGGTGAATGGTAGAGAGGAAGTTGAATAGAAGGAGGTGGATTTGAGAAGATATTCTAGAATTAAAGTTGATGGAATTTGCTGAGGCTAGGATATAATTTTAAAATACCTCTCATGCAATATGCCTTATCTTCCCCTATCAAGCTTTACAAAATGCTTAACTTCCTTTAAAACCTATTGGCTAGGCTTCTAGGTCATTCTATGAATTCATAACAGTCATTTCTGTCTTATGTTGTTATGAGATTTAGGTTCAGATTTGACAGCTAAACGACAAAAATAATGACCAGGAACCAGATAATATTTTATTTTGGACATTAATTTTATATTTATCTTAGAACAGTAGCAGGGAACATATGCCATTTTGGAAAACCCATTCATTTAGGGCGTCCTTTTGCCTTCTTCTCTGAAGGAATGTGAGTGATGAGAAACTTCTATCAGTTGAAAATAATCCATTCAGAACTTTCTCTATAAAGACCACAATGCTTGGCTCAAAAGGAGGAGAATAATACTAAAATATGAGCTTTGCATACTGTAGAATTCCATCTAGTTATAAAAAATGTATTTTTTCCCAAAAACTTTATTTGCCTAACAAAGTGGTTTTGAATCAAGGGTCAAATTATTACAAGAAGAAGAAGTTTCTCAAAGTCCACACCCTGCCATAACATTTTCATTTTTCCTTCCAAAGTCAATCATACCGTCAGGAATTTCCATCCACAGATTTTGGGAGAATGCACATTTTGGTCTCCACCTAAGACTGTCATTTATTGAGTTCTATTACTCCAGTCATCTCTTCCAGATGTTCAAGTGAATCTTCCAAACTTGAACTTTCAGTTCCCCAATCTTTAGTCCATTCTATTCTCTCCGACCTTGGCTTAGTGACCTATGTCTGAGGACTTTTTGGATGAAATCTGGAACTTTCTAAGGAAGTTGGCACTTTTTATTTTGTAAATGAGGACCTTACAATTTTTTTTTTCTTACCAGACCCCTTCAGTTTTAAAGAAGGCACTGTGCCAAGGGAGTGAACACAGCGCAAATGTCTATGCTTAAGCTGAGTATGAAGTTACGACCCAGTGACTCTTCTTACACCATGAGTAAAGAGAAGGCAAGTGTGTAAATTGGAATAAATCCCACTTCCTGTCCTCCTAAGTACATGCATTTATGGTCATGGTTACTAGTTATAAAGCTCACTGGGAATTTGAAAGTAGCCAATTTGATAACAAACTAAGTGAATAGGGATAAAGTTTTACTGATTGTAGTTTTGTGAAATGCAATGGTAGTATATGATTCTGTTTGGATTTTTTGTTCATCAGTTGCTAATGCTGAATGGAAGTGTGTTAAGAAATGTACATTTCAACCCCAGTATATTATAAGAAGCAAAAAGAGGACGGGCAAAGTGCAATTTTCTTTATTCATGCTTGCGTTTAACATGCTGGTGGTTAATTGAAAAAGCACACAGTGAAGAAAAACATTTCACAAAATTACAAATATTCTAGGAAGCATCAGGAGGGATTGGGAGAGGTCAGTTGGCTCAATCTCTGCCTTACAACAAATATCAAGAATGCAATGATCCTGAATCTTAAGATTCGTTAAGAATTCTACCTTTCTCTCAGTAACTTCTGCTCTTTGCAGGAAAGATATTCCAAATGCCATGAAATCAAACAATTCTTACAATGTGAAATGATTTATTCAACTTTTTATTATATTTCCTTGGAAGGTTGTTTCAAACTGGGGATTTAGGAGATATATAGGATATCCATCTATCCAACTATCCATCCGTCCGTCTTTCTATCTATCCTCCTCTCTCTGTGTATCTACCTATCTACATACCTGTTTATTGATATTGGCTAAAACTGCCTAATGTCAAAGTTGTAACAGACTAAAAATTCACAGACATATTCAATCTTCTTGACAAAATTTAGATCCGAAAAATATTGACAAAGGAAATTGAACCCAGTAGAAACAGTTGACACAAATGAACATCCAAAAAATTAGAATTAATAATTGATCAGAGGATACAAAGTAGCAAAATATGGCATGAATATGTCTACAATTTAATGTACAACATTAGATTCTATAACTATGGGTAAAAAATTGTGCTGTATTTAGGATTCATGCTAAATGAACAGATTTTAGCTGCTCTTGCCATGGGGTAGTTGGGGAATGGGTATTTGCGTGAGATGATGAATGTGTTAATTTGTTTCACTATAGTAACCTTTTTACTATCTCATAACATTGTTCTGTATACCTTAGTATACACAATAATATTTGCTTAAAAAGTAAAAATAATAATTAGGAAAATTTGATATGTCTTAAATAATCATTGAAATAAAAATGAAAAGTAGGAGGGGGGAGGGATAGCATCAGGAGATATACCTAATGCTGAGTGACGAGTTAATGGGTGCAGCACACCAGCATGGCACATGTATACATATGTAACTAACCTGCACGTTGTGCACATGTACCCTAAAACTTAAAGTACAATAATAATAAAATAAAATTTAAAAAAAGAAATAAAAATGAAAAGTAAACAATGGAACCAGTTTAATCATATTGCATAGAAAATTGATCAAGGGATTCCATTGCATGTTGGATATGCACCAGAAAAGAGTCTAAGAATTGTAGTACAGTTTCTCTGTACAGCTTTTCTAAAAAATGCTTTGTTGGTAAAAAGCCATAAATATTAGTATAGTTCTGATTAAAATGACATAAATTGAAGTTGTCCTTGAGGGAACAGTGATATCCTCAAAACAAAAGTGTAAAAACACCCTCAACTAGATAGGTCTGATATGCAGTGGTCAAAATAGGTCCTATGATATTGTGTTCCTCTCGACTCTGGAGCTGTGGAAGCTGGGTACAGTCAGCAGACAAACGAACTCACCCTTCCTTGTATTTGTGAATAAGCTAGATGTCAAGGAGGCAGCAGAGAGAAGTGTTTCAAATGATGTTAAAAAAAAAAAAAAAAAAAAAAAAAAAAAAAGACTGGCTGGACACAGTAACTCAGACTTGTAATCCCAGTGCTTTGGGAAGCGAAGGTGGGAAGAACTTGAGCCCAGGAGTTCAAGGCTGTAGTGAGCTATGATCTTACCACTGCACTCCAGCCTGGGTGACAAAGTGAGACACTGAATAAAAAGAAAAGACTGATTTATGAAAGTAAATATATACTTAAAATGTGTATTTGCATGAATAAAACTGAAAAATGAAAACCCAAACCTTAAAAATATATTTCCAACATGTCAGATGGGAAATAGCCAGTGAAAGGACATTCAATATCCACTTTTCCAGAGCTTTACTGTGTTTTCAGGAGAAATTTTTCTGCCTAGAGTTCAACAGATGTTAAGAATAGTGACATTATAAAGTTCGACTTGATGGCCGAAAATCGGCAATTCAGGATAATGTTGTCTAAAGAGCAACATAAATTATTTCCTTATTATTTGGTTGGTGGGTATCATTTTCAGCAGGATAGGTTTTAAAATCCACAATGGGAACTTTGTGTAAAAATGATGCCAATACATATTAGTTAAATTACCTTGTATGCATATTTTATACTGATGGGATATAAGCTATTTGCTTGATGATGAAAATAAAGCACCTGAATATGTAAAGTTGAGTAGATTTCGCCTGCTGGGAAATATATTCTTAGTGTTAAAAATGCAGCATCACACGGAGCTAGAAAGTCTTCTCGTATCCCATAGGGTAATAAAATTGAATAGGAGAGAGTTTCAATTATTCCTCTAATAAGCAAATAAAGCAGCCACTTAGAAGTTAGTGTGTTTGCAGTACTGAGACTTAGTTCTGTGTTCAATTCTGCCTTCCAGTCTCTGAAAATGTATGTAACCTTTTACTATCTTAAATGAGATTTTCTTTAATGTAAGTTTTATGATGAGCAAGTTGGGTGAATGTAATTTTCCATGGTAAAAGTGAAAAACACAAATTTCATTAATGAATAGCATCAACAAAATGCCCTTCCAAATGAGGAAACAAAAAACAACAGATGCTTGCCAAAGAGCTAACAGAAACAAAGGCAAACAGAGAAAACTTTGGATATAAAATTAAAGAGGGGCAAGTGTTCACGGTCCTTCCTTGAAGTGGTGGGGGTATGCATAGTTCTGAGGAAACCCTGTCTGGCAAAAACCATAATTTTGAGTATTACAGTTGTGTCTACATGACCACATAAACTTTCCCAGTGGCTACCTTATAAATGGTGCCAAAGATTAATCTGACTTCAAAGGTGCAGAACAACTATGTGATGTGTTTGAAGTCAAGAAGACAATGAATATATTCATTTCTACAAAGTAGTCATTTAAGTTAAGCTGTTACTTTTTCTTCTTGCTGCCATCCAGTGATTTCAAAATGTTCAACCGCCTAGCAAGAATGTGATCCCAATTCCAATGCTGTGGATTAGGATTGTATATTATGTTTATGCAAAGTTATGGCCAATGAAAGATTTCCTTGAAAGGTTGTTTGAAACGGGGGATTTAGGAGATTTAGGAGATATAGGAGATATACAGGGAATATTTATAGGCAGAAGCGTAACCTTTTATTTTTTATTTTATTTTATTTTTTTGAGACAGAGTCTCAGTCTGTCGCCCAGGGTGGAGTGCAGTGGCATGATCTCGGCTCACTGCAACCTCTGCCTTTCAGGTTCAAGCAATTCTCATGCCTCAGCCTCCCGAGTAGCTGGGATTACAGGTGCCCGCCACCACGCCCAGCTAATTTTTGTATTTTTCGTAGAGATGGGGTTTCACTATGTTGGTCAGGCTGGTCTCGAACTCCTGGCTTCAGGTGATCCGCCCATCTCGGCCTCCCAAAATTCTGAGATTACAGGCTTGAGCCACTGTGTCCGGCCAGATACATCTTTTACATCTTCCCCAGTTTCATAAACGTAAAATACAAAAGGGAGTATCCCTTTTGAGAGACAGTATTTTCTAATATTTGTAAAACAGAAGCAAAAGATATCGATGGATTGAGATTTTTTTGTTTGTTTTCTGTTTTGTTTTGTTTTTTGAGACAGGGTCTCACTCTGTTGCCTGGGTTGGAATGCAGTGGTAAGACCATCGCTCACTGCAGCCTTGACCTGTGCTCAAGCTATCCTCCTGCCTCAGCCTCCTGAGTAGCTGAGAGGACAGACATGTGCCACCACACCTGGCTAATTTTTTAACTTTTTGTAGAGATGGGGTCTCACCATATTGCCTAGGCTGGTCTCAACCTCCTGGGCTCAAGCTATCCTCCCACCTCGGCCTCCCAATGTGTGAATTTTTAAAATATTGAAACTTCACAAAGTCCACACAAGAATAAGACTGCCAAACTGATATATTATTTATTTATTTAAAAAAACTATGGTTTCTCTTTGTATTGCTTTGTCTATATGTACACACCAGTTTAAAAAATGTAAAAGAACTTGATACTTTGAGGTGGTTGATCTGGAAACACTTGTCCCTCTTGTCTGGAAACAAGCCACTCTCTAATAGAGAAACATGGAAGCGGACACATACTGTCATTAGTTTTGGTGACACAGACCATTCTGTGGTGCCCTGAGAGAGGGAACTACACAACAGTGTGACTAACAGGAGGCCAGGTTCACTGGGGATGTCTTGAAGACAAGCTACCCCAGTTTATAAACATATCTTAACAGATCACCTACATGTAAAACCTATTTATTCTCACACATATCCAAATTTTTATTTTTTTCTTCTAACATAAAGATACAACATTTCTGGATAAAACAAGGCATGGTTTTAAGGCTTGTGGAAACAAGAAGTGTTTTAAGCTCAACTGAAAGTTCAAACTGTCTTTGAAATATGTTTGATTCAGCCAACTCTGAGGTACATTGTGCCAAGGTCAAAATACCTTTTACTTTAAAATCTAGAGAACGTTTACAAATTTAAGTCAAATGGCATTGCTCATTGTTTTATTCAACTCATTAAATATTTTCTTTTATAAGCTACTTAATGTCCAAAAGTTGTTCCTGCCTCATTTCTTAGGGACAGGAAGCCATGTTTACCAGGAGTATATTAAGTTACATGTCTGCAGTTTGGAGTATGGTTTACATTTTCTACCTGCTTGGAAAATATGATGTTGGTTCAACATTTTAAAAAATTAATTCTGCTTCCTTTGAAGACTCTTCCTAAATACCTAGATGTCTGTTCATTAGTTATAACATAAGTAAAACACAATCAAAATAAAAACATAAAAAGAATACGCAAATCAATCTAGAAACATAAATTCCTATAAAAATAAATGTAAGGAATAAAAAATGAATCAGTATTTTTTAGGACCTCAATGTTGGGCAATGTTTCCATTATCTATTTTCATCTTTAGAATGAGGAATTTTTACTTAAAATTGAAAGTCTACAATACCACTGAACCCTTTTCGGTTCTCCATAATTTTAACCCACTTTTAAATTATCTGCTTCTTACCCTAAGTAGGAGAAGCATAGGAATTATATTAGAAAGAGGTCCCTATTGTCAGAGTGCACAAAAAAGGAAACTGAGACCTGAGAGGAACACGTCCTAGTTCATGGGATTGGAGCTCCAGAAAGCTGGGGAAATAACTCAGGGCATCGGACTCAAAGTCCCACCAGCAACGATGTCCTTAGGAGAGAGAGCCTTGAAGCTAGACCTCCATTTAAACCACCAATCTTTTGTGGCCTCTGTAACATAAATTAATGCCTTAGAATACTGTTTTCCATATTGATGAATATAATAATAGTAATAGCTCACACTTCCATTGCACTTATTAAGCGTCATGAATTGTTCCATCAACTTTTATTTTATTGGTGTGTAATTTTCACATCAATCTCACATGTAGGGTAATGTTGTCACCCCCATCTTACAAATGAGAAACAGATGCATGGAAAGGTTAAGAAACTTGCCTGAGGTCACACAGCAAATGAGATGTGAGTCTTATCCCACAATCTGTGCTCTGACCTGCTGCACTGTTGCCTCTCCTTTAAATCTAGAGCAGAGTTGCTGGAGAGCTAACATAGGGAAGGAAGTTTGAGTGTTAAATACAATAAACTATGTGGACAGTGGACAGTTTCTTCCTTTCTTAAAGGCGAAACAGTCAAATATGAATTTTTTATATATAACAATGTCTATGTGTATGTCTATATGCCTACACCTAGACCTAAACCTATACGTGTGTCCAAATTTTGTACCTACATCTCTTCTTGTTAAACAGCATCACACGTGCCAGAATGCCATACAAATGTAAAAGAGAAAGTGTAATAGCCTGTTACTTTTTAAAAAAATTTTATTTTATTTTTAGTTCTGGGATACATGTACAGGACCTGCAGGTTTGTTTCATTGGTAAACATGTGCCATGGTGGTTTGCTGCACCTATCATCCCATCACCTAGGTATTAAGCCCCACATGCATTAGCTATTTTTCCTGATGCTCTCCCTCCACCTTCCCCCGATTGGCCCTGGTGTGTGTTGTTCCCCTCTCTGTGTCCATGTGTTCTCATTGTTCATTTCCCACTTGTGAGTGAGAACATGCAGTGTTTGGCTTTCTGTTCGTGGGTTAGTTTGCTGAGGATAACAGCTTCCAACTCCATCCATGTCTCTGCAAAGGACATGATCTCATTCCTTTTTATGGCTGCATAGTATTCCCTGGTGTATATGTACCACATTTTCTTTATCCAGTCTATCATTGATGGATATTTGGGTTGATTGCATGTCTTTGCTATTGTGAATAGTGCTGCAGTGAACATATGCATGCACGTATTTTATAACGGAATAATTTATATTCCTTTGGGTATATACTTGGTAATGGGATTGCTGGGTCAAGTGCTATTTCTGGTTCTAGGTCTCTGAGGAATCGCCACACCATCTTCCACAATGGTTGAACTAATTTACACTCCTGCCAATAGTGTAAAAGTGTTCCCATTTCTCTACAACCTCATTAGCATCTGTTGTTTCTTGACTTTTTAATAATCACCATTCTGACTGGCATGACATGGTATCTCATTGTGGTTTTGATTTGCATTTCTCTAATGATTAGTGATGTTGAGCTTTTTTTCATGTTTGTTGGCTGCATAAATTTTTGCAATCTATCCACCTGACAAAGGTCAAATATCCAGAATCTACAAGGAACTTAAACAAATTTACAAGAAAGCAAAAAACAACCCCATTGAAAAGTGGTCAAAGGGCACGAACAGACACTTCTTTGTTACTTTAGGTAACAGAAGTTCAGAATGTTTTGTGAAAGTTGCCTTTTCTTAAAGAGGGAGTCAAACTTCCAAAACAAATGAACAAACAAACAAATAAACAAGCGTTTTCAATTAAAGAAAGTCAAAGATTAGACAGACCAATGCAATTAGAGCAGTGCAAATAAAAATATGTTCTGCCTTTTGTAGATAAGTGCTGTGGAGATTATACAGTGTTTTATAAATTTTGAATGACACCTTTACATAAGAACTAATTATTCTGATGTAACATTTCACACTAATAATGCTAGAGGTTACATGTGAGTCTAATCAAGTGAAAAACAACATACTGTCTCTCCAGCCTAAATTATCTACACGTTTGTGGTTTACCCATTTGGTAGCTAAAATTTTTTTTCTGAGTAATACAAGAAATAATGGCATATATTTCATAAGGAAGAATATTCTACGTTAAAGCTTGAAAATATTATCCTTTAATTTTTTCCTTGTGTTTTTCATAACTTTATGATAGTTTTATTATCATTTTTTCCCCTGAGGATTACTTTCTGCAAAGTAAGGACAATTCTGGGCTTTCTATGAAGTCCTCTTGATGGCCCTTAATCCACACTGCACCAGGAATAACAGAAGTGACATTTAATTGAATGTTACTACTTTAGGGCAAAGCTCTGTTTTAGAGGTAAACAAAGAGATTAACATTAGTGTCCCTGTTAAGTTCTTGATGGTGTTTCTCAATGTCTAGCATTCAGCCTCAAACCAAAAAAAAAAAAAAAGTTGAGGTAAGAGCATATGTTTTTTAAAATGTCAATCTGTGTTGAAACCAGCAGCAATGAAAAATGGCAGCCTTGAGCTGAAACGTTGCTTTTCCTGAAGAGATGGGGAAACAGTTGACGCTTGAGGTCAGGGTCTGCAGAACACAATGGCAAATGTTGCAACTCTCTGCATCCTGTTTAAATGGAGGTCTATGTGTGTCCATCCCACCTTTGATGAATTGTTGTGAATGAGGTTTTATTAAATTGGACCCTGGGGTGATTTAATTGTTCCCTCCCTCTGAAAGCACTGAACGCTGAAAGAATGCTTCCTCCAGAGGAGTGAACCCAACATCTGTTGAGATCAACCAGCAGAAGGAAAAGAGCTTGAATATAATTGAGAGCTAATAAGTAAACTAAATAAATAGCCCTGACCATCTCAGTATGAAGCCTGATTTTTTTGGTGATTGTTGCCAGCAAAATCTAGAGACTTGGACCACTCTAACAGTCATAAACATAATAATAATAAATAATTTTTAAAAATCTGCTCCTTTCACCCCTGAGTATATACTATTACTTTATACATGGAGTCTGGATTCAACTTCCAGACCATGACATCAGCATCAATATATCATCCTAATTTGCCAACAAAATACCGATATGTGTTGCAAAAGAGAAAATATGTTCATGATGAAAGTCGACTTCATGGTGCAGATTTGCAATTGTTATTATGATTGTAAGAATTTAGTAAGCTGTCAGGAAAGCAGTATTCATTGACTGCCCACGAGGTCGCTGCATACAAAAATTCAATAGTTACCTATATGCTTATGTTGGAGGCAAAACAATAGTCAAATTCATGACTTTCCTTTATTTCTTTTAACTTCATATCACTAGTCTTTTTCTATCAGGTGCCAAATGTCTATCTTTTACATATTTAATGTCAGAGAGTGGTAAATATAAATGGCCATGTCTGTTCAGGTAGTGTAAAATCAGAGAGTGGCAACCTGATTCTCTCAATCACAGTAGTGTCCTGTTTCTTAAATGCCCCTACAAATTCACATCCTATACCACTGTTCTTCCAGGAGAAAGCCCCAAATCCTAAATCCATGCCCTCCTTAATCAGGCTTTACCTAAATTAAAATATGTCTAGGGTAGGTTGGATATTCCTGTGATTGGCCAAGTCTTGGAGTTTAGGGAATGGCAGGGCCAGCATCCTTCAGACTAGTGAATGGCTGAGATGAATGCGTGTTGGAAGGAAATTAGAGAGAGAACAAGAAAGAACATTCAAGTAATGGAGCTGATGCTATGGGTTTAGTGTCTGTCTGCCAGTTTCCGGTTGAGTGAAGCCAAAACTAAACCCATAGCCACCTGGTTATTTACTTTCCCTGTTTACATATCTCCTCTATTCACTAGAGGCTGTTTTAAAACTGTTCTACGCTCTTTAAACTTTCTATTATTATGTTTAAACTTTCTCAGTCTGAGTTGAGAGAGAGAATGAGCAAACGTTTATTGAGTTCTTACGAAATGTTAAGAGCCAGTCTAAGCACTTTTAATAAATTTACTTATTCAATTATCACAGTAATTGTATGAATTGATTACTCTGGTGGTTTGTTGTTGTTGTTTGTTTGTTTGTTTTTTGAGATAGGAACATTTGATAGGAAGAAACATTCAAACTATACCTGGGAGTAAAAACACCCCTGACTGAGTTCCACTGTTTACACACTCTTCATCCCTTTAATTAGTGTCTACACTACAATCCATAACTAAGCATTTTCATGTTTATAACGTCAACCTAAGCCTGAGTCTCACTCTGTCACCCAAGCTGGAGGGCAATGGTGTGATCATGGCTCGTTGCAGCCTTAACCTCCCAGGCTCAGGTGATCCTCCCACTTCAGCCTCCCGAGTAGCTGGGACTACAGGCACACACCACCGTGCTTGGCTAATTTTTTAATGATGATAGTGATTATTATTTGTCGCGGTAGCATTTCACTACATTGCCCAGGCAGATCTCAAACTCCTGGGCACAAACAATCCTCCCACCCTGCTTCCCATGCTGGGATCATAGGATTAAGCCACTGCGCCAGGCCCCTCTTATTTTTTCATTTCATAGCTAAAGGAAGCGAGGCTGACAGAGGTTAAGCCCCCTGCTCCAGGGTAGGCATCTTGAAATGGGTGGAGCTGGAACTTGAAACCCTGGGTGTTTCCTTAACTTAAAGCTGTCAGTGCATTCTCTTTGTAACTTCCCTCCTTCTCCAACAGAGAAGACACATCACGTCTTTTAGAAGACAGCTCTCCCACCAGGGCTCATGACTCTAACCTGTTTAACCCACTTTAGGACTTTAGGGACCAGGTTGCTTTTCCTGTATCTTCAACCTCTCCCCTCTTCTGTTCTCTTTCCATGAGCATCCACATGTCAAGTATTTTCTGCAAAGTCTTCCCTCAACTCTGTCTCTCCTTGGATCAACCAATTAATGCCTCACCTTCCTTTCAGGGTCACATTTCTGTTTATTTTCTCTCTCTCTCTTTTTTTTTTTTTTTTTTTTTGTTATGAGGTCACACCATGTTGCCCAGGCTGGTTTCCAACTCCTGGGCTCAGGCAATCCTCCCCCCTCTGCCTCCCAAAGTGCTGGGATTACAGGCGTGAGCTACCATGCCCAGCTCAGGGTCACATTTCTTAAAAGACGTGTCCTCATTTTCCATCTCTCCTTTCTCACATCCTGTTCAGTAGTAAACCAACTGCAGCACGACACTGTCACCATGACATTGATACAGTTGTTCCTGCTAAAGTCCCCTTGACCTTGCACTTGTGTGACCCAGCGAATGCTTTCTTGGTCTTTTTGTACTTGATATCTCTGTGACATTTTCCCCTGTTGTCTATGTCTCTTTCTTTAGCTTCTCTGACACCTCAATGTCTTGATTTTCTATGTCTCTGGTTGTTTCTCCACAGACAGTTTTGTGGGCTCCTTTCCTAATACTTTTCCTTTCAATGCTGGCACATAACAAGATGTTGTTCTTGAAACTCAGTCCTCTCCTCTGATTGCTCTGTATCATGGTTTCTCAACCTTAATATTATTGACCTTTTCAAACTGTGTAATTCTTTAATTCTTTGTTGTGGAGTTGTGCTGGGTGCATTGTAGGATGTTTAGCAGCATCCCCGACCTGCACTCACTACATGCTAGCAACATCCTTCCCTCTGACTGTAAGACTAACAATGTCCCCTGGCATTGCCAAGTGTGTCAGGATTTTTTGCATTGCTATAAAGAAATATAACCTGAGACTGGGTACTTTTAAAGAAAAGAGGTTTAATTGGCTTGGGGTTCTGCAGGCTATACAGGAAGCATAGTGCTGGCATCTGCTTCTGGTGGGGCTTCAGGAAGCTTCCAATCATGGTGGAAGGTGACAGGGAGCCAGCATGTCACATGGTGAGACCGGAAGCAAGAGAGAGTGAAGGGAGGTGTCGTACTCTTTTAAACAGCCAGATCTCAAGATAATTGACTCACTATCACCAACACCAAGCCATTCATGAGGGATCCACCCCCTGGTACCCAATCACCTCCCACCAGGCCCCACCTCTGACATTGGGGATCATACTTCAACATGAGATTTGGCAAGAACAAACATCCCAACTATATCACCAAGTGTCCCCTGGGAGGAAAAACACCCCTGATTGAGTTCCACTGTTTACACACTCTCTATCCCTTTCATTAGTATCAACACTACAATCCATAACTAAGCATTTTCATGTTTATATCATCAGCCTAGGCCTTTCTCCTCCATACCGGATTCTTCAATCCTGTTTGATAATTCCATGGAGCTGTCCTAAAAGCACAGGAAAATAAGTTTACCATTCCCCACATTGAAACTTGTCTTCTACTGCTAACTTGTCTGTTTGTTTTCTGAGATTTCTGACCTCAAGAAATAGCACCATCTTCCGTGATATTTCTCAAGGTAGG